>NC_000016.10:76380682-77005682 GCF_000001405.40 Homo sapiens | reverse complement strand
GCCAATAATTTGCTGTATTGATAGATTCATTAAACAGAATGAAACAACTGGACTTTTTAATATATACTTTTTTAGTTAAAATTATTATCTTCTAATGATCAAGATTATGGGAGAATTGAAAAGATAGATTACATGTATGTTCTTTTCATTGTACAGGAAAGGGGGCACTATATGATGCCTTAGGGTGTTGAGTATATTTTAAGGATATTTTAAAAGTATTAGTAGTAAAGGTAAAAATTGAAATTAGAATTTGTAAACTCAGAGAAGAAGCCAATGTATGTGGAGTTTCTCAATGCAAGCCCAAGCATTTGTATTTAACAGTAATTCAGTGATTACAACACATTCATCACAAATTGAGTTTCTGTTAATAGTTTAGGTGGGGAACAATGCTAGTGGGCTTTTTTTTTTTTTTTTTTTTGCTAATCTTGCTTGTACTTATGAATCCTTTATTCTGGTTGATTCTCTGCTCTGGGTTATTATGTAACAAGTCATTTTTTTGCTCTTATGGTTTAAAATAAACAAATATATATATACATATATACATATATATATATATATATTTTGAGAGGGAGTCTCGCTCTGTCGCCTAGGCTGGAGTGCAATGGCGCGATCTCGGCTTACTGCAAGCTCCACCTCCTGGGTTCACGCCATTCTCCTGCCTCAGCCTCCCGAGTAGCTGGGACTACAGGCGCCCGCCACCACACCCGGATAATTTTTTGTATTTTTGGTAGAGACGGGGTTTCACCATGTTAGCCAGGATGGTCTCGATCTCCTGACCTAGTGATCCGCCCGCCTCGGCCTCCAGAAGTGCTGGGATTACAGGCGTGAGCCACCACGCCCAGCCGGTTTAGATAAATATTGATATACCTTTTAAAAAGTTGAAATGAAGATGATAAGTCATAGAAGTACAACTGTAAACACCAAAACTTTCAAAAATGTAAAGGGTTTAGAAAGTACGATTTCACCGGTTTCTCTGCCACAAACATTGGCTATACACACACACACACACACACACACACACACACACACATACACACACACGAATTATGCTTAGATCTTCCTTTTACTTTATTGATGCGTAATTGTACATATTTCTGGGCTACATATATTTCATTACATGTATGGAACATGTGATGATCAAGTCAGTGTATTTAAGGGGTACTATTTTTATTGATTTATATTGCTGTTAAATTTTAAACCTTATTTATCTTGCATGAAGATGCAGAAAATTTTGATCACAATGTTGCAAAAGCATAATGTATTTCTAGTCACGACTGTATTTTATTGTAAAGTCCTATTCAACTTTTGCTTTTTTAGAAGAGCCATTTTCTCAGATGTTCCTTCTTTATGTTATATGTCAGCAAGTCATATAAAAATCATTACCAAACTGTTGTTGCATAATTCTCTAGTCCTGGAATACTTTTGCGTTCAGGACAAAATAATAGGAATTAAGAGGAGAAAAAAAATCTTGATCTGCAATCAGAAAGATTGTTAATTTCCTTCCTAAGTGACCAATTGATTTGAACCAGCCATTCAAAACTTGGGTCTTTAAAAAGAAAACCATTTTAAAAAGAACAAACTATGATTGATTGCGCATTGATATAAACATGCACATGGGGCTAGTTCTTCAGTCCAGAGATGGAAATATTCCTGTTGGAATCACAGAAAAAGAGATGCATTTAAAGGGAGCCTAAGGCAGTGGAAGCAAGAGAATTGAGGGCTGGGAAAACAGCTTGAATTGCATTATTTGAATGTTATTAGAAGTGTATGTGTCTGTGATGCAGTTTTAGTAGTTTATCTTAAGGCAAGGTGGCCTGTAAAATGCAAGATAAAATCAGCAGAAGCCAGTGGTATAACCTTGGACTTCCACTTAGACCACAACGTGGACTTGAGAAGCGTGCATGCATTCCTGGGTTTTCCAGAAACAGAGTTAGACATTATTGATTAGGAAGAGCACAGGCCTGACTCAAGAGACAGATTCTAGCTTCAGTCTTGTCAAAGAGCTGGCTGGACTTGGGCCCATCACTTCACCTCTCTGGACTTTATTTCCCTCAGGGGTGATTGTCCACATGTTCTCCAAGGAACCTCCAATTCTAACACCCTGAGACTAGTTGTAGGCTGACGTGTTGCTGTGAGGAAAGGATTCGTCAAAGTGTTTAAACAAAATCATGAGAGGACAGGACATGAAGTAAAAAACAAAAATCATTAAGTGCTCTTAAATCATGTCCTCAAGGTCATCTGCAAACACTGTGCATTCATTTATTCACCAACAGATATTTATTGGGCAATGAGCATGGCCCAAGCCTATGTTGGGTGCTGGGGCTAGTGGAGTGAAGGGAGTATCTATCTGTCTGCCCTTACAGAGCTTATGCATAGGTGAGCAGTTATTACGGTAAAGGCTTGTTGCGAAAAAGCTTAAGGTGCTGTCAGTGTTAGGCAGGGGCATCTAAACTGAGAGTAAAAGGAGGTGTTATAAGAACGAGATTGTGTTCTTTGCAGGAACATGCATGGAGCTGGAGGCCATTATCTTTAGCACGCTAACACAGGAATAGAAAACCAAATACCTCACTTATAAGTTGGAACTAAATGATGACAACACATGGACACGTAAAGGGGAAAAACAGACACTGGGACCTATCTGGGGGCGGAGGCTGGGAGGAGGGAGAGGATCAAGAAAAATAAATAATCGTTACTAGGCTTACCTGGGTGATGAGATAATCTGTACATCAACCCTTCATGACAGAAGTTTACCAATATAACAAACCTGCACATGTACTGCTGAATTTAAAATAAAAGTTAAATTTAAGAAAAAGAGGAAGTGTTACTCAGTGGGGTGGCAGTGGTGATGATGGCTGGGGTGTAGGCAAAGGGAATGGCTGTGCGAAGGGAAGACACCACGATGAGGTCCAGGGACACAAAGACCTTCAGCTCAGTTGGGAGGGGTACAGTGAGAGATGAGAGAAGAAAAGTAAACCCAGCAGACTGCCTAAAACCTGGGTGTTTGTCTGCCTCTCAGCAGGTGGATGGGGCTAGGCAGGGGCAGGTGTGTGGGTCAGGGAACTCAGCTCTATGTCTGCTTCTTGCTCTTGGCTCGTCAGGCACTCTATACCTCTCTAGCCTCATCCCTGTCCCCTCCTACTAGGAAAGGGGACACCTTCCCACCCTTGAGGGGTTTGGGGTGAGGATGAGCAGCTGTTAACACAGGAAGGTGGAAGGGATAGAATCCAGGAATGGGTGTGTTCTCTGTATCCTTGAACTGTGTCTTTCAGGCTTGCAGCTCCTGGGGTGGAGCTCTCTAGCTCAGTTCTACCCAAAGTTAGGACCATACCTGGGTCTCAGGAAGAGGACAAGTGAATGAGCCGTACCTTACGAGACCTCACCTTTTTAAATTTTACAAATGAGCACCTGGAAAGATGCCTGAGATTTGCATATGAGGAGGTACTAAGGGGAAGCCAGAAAGATAACTTGAAGCTTTGGGTTGAATTGTGTCTCCTCTCCGAAATTTATATGAAGTCTTGACCTCCAATACCTCAGAATGAGACCTTATTTAGAAATTAGGATCATTGCAGATACAATGATTTAATATGGCGTGATATGGGAACAGGGTGGCTCCTAATCCAATATGACTGGTGTTCTACTGGTGTTCTACAAAGGGGAAATCTGGGGCAGATACGCACACAGGGAGAATGCCATAAGAAGTTTAAGGTAGGGTTAAAGGTAGGGATGGGGCAATACTGCTACAAGCTAAGGAATGCCAAAGATTGCCAGTAAACCATCAGAAAACTAGGGAAGAGGCGTGGAACAGATTATTCCTCATAGACCCCAGAAGAAACTGATCTCGCCAGTGCCTTGATCTTGGACTCTTGGCCTCCAGAACTGCGAAAAATAATTTCTGCTATTTAAGCCACTCAGTTTGTGGTACTTTGTTACAGCAGCCTTTGTACGCTAATACAGTATGGCAATTGAAAGAATTTACAGTTTATGTGTTTTGTGGGGTTATTTCTTGTCAAACTGCTTAAATTTATAATAAAAATGTAGCTATATGCCTCTAATGAGGTCACTGAAGCCTCATGGTTGTTTAGCTATTAATATGAGATGGGTTATTAATTTAAATTCTGATTTGAGACTAGCACTTGTATTGATAGGATCGACTTGCACAGAACTGTTAAATGTGAAATTAATGTCAGCATATTTTTTTGAGCTTGAAAATAGTGATATCAGGGCTATTTCTTTTGTGCAATTTAGAATTATTACTAAATACATGTAGATATGCCTGTTTATCCCTAGAGGAAGATACACAGAAGCATTGAAGAATGTTATTACCTACAAGTGACTTTGTTGATGTTTTATTATTAAGTCTTTGGGAGTTGGACATAACGGCATTAAAAATCAGCAGAATGGAAATTAAGTTTTTTATTTTATTTCTGACTCATTAGTGACCCAAGGGCACCCACTAAATTAAAAGTTATATTCAGTTTCTCCACATGCAAGCTAAAGATGAAAAATTACGTTATTTTATTCTCTTGATTTTGTTGAGAAGATTAGGGATAAGCCATTTTTTTCTTAAATACAAAGTACATTTGTGTATACAGCACAATTCAAAGACAACATTTAAATATGTTCTGGTAGATGCCCAAAGGAGTAAATCTTGCCTGTTTAATTATGCGATAAATATTATGACTGTTTATACCTAGGGAAGTGAACATAATTATGCACTGGATTTTGTTATATTATAAAAAAAAGCCTCAGTGCATGTGCTTTGTGTTTAAGAAGATATGTGTGATAATGACATATTTCAAACAAGTTAGAGTCATCATCCTTGAAATCATGAATGTAGAGGTCTATTTGTCAGAGTTCTCCAGAGAAATAGAACCAGTAGGAAGTATAATGATATGCAGAAAGAGATTCATTATGAGTGATTGGCTCAGGTGACTGTGGAGGCTGAGAAGTTCCATGATCTGCCATCTGCAAGCAGCAGGTCCTCGAAAGCTGATGGTATAGTTCCAGTCCAAGCGTGAGGGCCTGAGAACCAGGAACACTGACTCCAAGGGCAAGAGAAAATGAATCTTCCAGCTCAAGTGGAGAGCAAATTCACCCAATTCTGCACTTTTGCAAAATGCACTGGGATGATACCTACTGACATTGGTGAGAGTGATCTTCTTCACTTTACTGATTCAAAAGCTCATCTGTCCCAGAAGCACCCTCATAGATACACCCAGAAAAAATGTTTTACCAGGTATCTGGGCATCCCTTAGCCCAGTCAAGTTGACACTTAAAATTAACCATCACAACAGATGTATTTACTTACAAGATTTTATTTTAGCTTTTAAATCAAATCCATTAAAACCGAATTTAAGCAAAAGAAACTAGCCAAAAAGTATACAATCCTATGAGCTTCTAAAATGATATATCTGTATAGCCAGCACTATAAGCAAGATACAGAATATTTCCATCACCCAAAAAAGTTCCCTTTTATACCTTTAAAACTTCCAGCCCCAGACAATCATTGACCTACTTTCTGTTACTATAGTTAATGTTGCCTGTTCTAGAATTTCATGTAAGTGGAACCATACAGTATGTGCTATTTGGTGTCCAGCTTCTTGCAGGCAGCGTATAGTTTGAGATTCATCCATCGCATATATGAGTAGTTCCCTTTTTTTGCTGATCGGTATTCTATTCTATGGTTATGCAACGTTTGTTTATCATTTCACATTTTGACAGACATTTGTTTCTAGTTTTTTGGCTTGTAAGTATAAAGATGATATAAACATTGTTGTATAAGCATTTTATGTTTTCATTTTTCTTGGATAAAGACCTATGAGTGGAATTTCTTCAGCACGTTATTTTAAATATACTTCCTTACCTAGTTAGATTCAAATAAATCTCTGAACATTACTCATGGTATGCTTCCTCACAGTATCATAAAATGTATTATTTTTTGAGGGAGGTTTATTTTAGAAATGCTTTTTAAAATGCAGACTACAAACATTTTGTGAAAATTCCAAATGTAAGTGGTATAATTTGAGCAAAGTAAAGAAGGCTAGAAGAACATTTTGTGGATTTGTGTACTTTTTAGTGAAAAGAGTGTAGCTTTTACTGGATTTTCAGAAAACAGAGGTGGTCAGGACCCAGCGTAGGGTAAGGATGCTGCTTTAGTGTCTCCAGTTTTTATTTCTGGATTAAGGAAGGCCATCTAAATTTTATTTTTATTTATTTAATTTTTGAGATGGAGTCTTGCTCTGTCACCAGGCTGGAGAGCACTGGCGCAATCTCAGCTCACTGCAACCTCCGCCTCCTGGGTTCAAGCGATTCTCCTGCCTCACCCTCCCAAGTAGCTGGGATTACAGGCACACACCACCACACCCAGCTAATTTTTTGTATTTTAGTAGAGATGGGGTTTCACCATGTTGGCCAAGATGGTCTCGATCTCCTGACCTCATGATCCACCCGCCTCAGCCTCCCAAAGTGCTGGGATTACAGGCCTGAGCCACCATGCCTGGCCAATTTTTTTTTTTTTTTTTTTTTTTTTCTTGAGACACAGTTTCACTCTGTTACCCAGATTGGAGTGCAGTGGCGCATCTTGGCTCACTGCAACTTCTGCCTTCCTGGTTCAAGCAATTCTTGTGTCTCAGCCTCCCAAGTAGCTGTGATTACAGGCACAGGCCACCACGCCCAACTAATTTTTGTATTTTTGTATTAGTAGTAGAGATGGGGTTTCACCATGTTGGCCAGGGTGGTCACGAACTCCTGACCTTGAGTGATCTGCCTGCCTGGGCCTCCCAAAGTGCTGGGATTACAGGTGTGAGCCACCATATCCCGCCAAGAAAGGTCAACTAAGTTGTTATATTGAGTGCATATTTTCTGCATTTACTTCCCCATGTGTTACATTTTCTGATCTTTTCTTATGGGACTAATCACTGTTCTTCTAACCACATTTCCCACCCCCCTACCCACATTCTTGCCAACACTTGACAACTTTTGAACTTCAGCCATTCTTTTAAGCAGATAGTGGTATCTCATGGTTTTAATTTCCCTGATTACTAGTGAAGTTGATTTTCTTTTTGTGTGCTTATTGGCCATCGCTACATCTCCTCTGGTAAAGTGCCTATTCAACTTTGTGACAATTTTAATTTATATTTTGTCTTATTCAGTTGTAAAAGTCATCTATATGGTCTGGACACAGTTGCTTTGTCAGATAGATACATTGCAAACATTTTCTCCCATTCTATGTCTTGTCCTTTTATATTCTGAAAAGTGTCTTATAAAGAAGAAACCTTTAGGTTTTTAAATTTGTTAATATAATCCAATGTGTCCTTTTTTTTTGACTGTATGTCAAAAAACTTCCATAGTGCATACACAGTGACTACCTGTCAAATAAATGAAGTAAATTAATGGGGGCCAAACTGAAGTGTAGGCCGTTCATAGCCCCATGTGTAGGTTGTGATAATGTTTGCTAGGATTAGGGCCTATGAGTCTTCAGCTGTCATACACACAGGAGAAAATCACTCACAGACACCAGGACTGGGCAAATACATCTTCTTTTCGTCGTCTGCTGAAATTTTAGCTGGCTCAGATATAGTAGCCAATTATGCCAGTGCAATATTATGGAACTTTTCCTTGTGAGTTGAGGCAGACAAGTCCAACACAAAGAGTGAGACATACTGAAGAACAGCCAAAGGAATATGGTGTTTCAGTATAAATGCAGCCAAACATCTAGAATTTACAGTGCTTTGAATGACTATCATCACAGAGCTAGAAAAATTTAGAGTCAGGAAGCATTCATTTCTTGAATTCACTAGATGTATTTACAAAAATGGTATTAGAAATGGTCTGTGATCTTTTAATATTGTTCCCATACATCTAATAGGCCAATTGGTAAACAGACAATTTAATTGGTAGGACAATTGTTAATCAACATTTTTTATGTATGTTCAAATCACTGTGTGAGGCTCTGTGAGGATAAAAGGTTGACCAAGATATAGACATTTTCTTAGTATTTATGGCGATAGAAATGCAAAGTGGATTGTAAAAAGTGCTACACTTCATTCATCTATAACATGTACTGCAAAACTGCTCTTGGCCATGCATTGTTCTAGGCACTGTGGAAAGAGGAATGAACAAAACAGCTGATGTCGCTGACTTCATGGAGCTTACATTCTAGTGTCCTCTGAAGCAAGAAGGCAACTAGCATGAAGCAGAAGAGATGGTAAAATTAGCTCCCCTGGAAGGATCAGAGATTTGAAGCTGAATGTGATATTTGAACTCAAATCCATGGCATGGAAACCATGACAGGTGGAAATGAAGAGTTGTATGGAGATAGGGACCTTCTGAATGTCAAAACACTCTCAAAGCGGGAAAGTCTAGGGTGTCTTCAGAAAATTTCATTTTGGCTAAATAATTAAGCATGCTGGCTTCCAAAACCTCATCACAATGTTATCTTTTATGTAAAAACCTAAGGCCACATACTGAATGTTTCTGAGTTTGCTATCAGATTTTACAAATTCTAAATTATACAAGTTTTGACAATAACATGACATCTGTGCATGCATTTAGTAAATGTGGGAATATATTGGCAACACGATCACTTTCAATTAATAAAAATTTTTAAAATAGTATATTAGCCAGGTTTTGCTAAAGTTTTGGACTGACAATATTTACAATTTAGAATAAAATTTTATGTTTCTCATTCATGTTGCATTTTCACTGCGGTGGCTAACATTTAGGTATGCTTTTGCTCTGTTGTGCCAGGATTCAGTTTAAAGGAGCTACTATTATTTGGAACATGTTGTACTCATGGCATAGGAAAAATGGCAAAGGACCAAGGAGCAACAGATCTCATGGCTTCCAATTTGACGTAGAGTACACAACTTCCGTTATGTTTCATTGCTAATATGGGTCACAAGACCAAGCTTGTCATCTATGGGACAAAGAAGTATATTACTCCAATTAAGAGATATTGTATGTCACATGACAATGATTAGGTGTGTAGGAGAGTAACTAACTGGGAACAATAATACTATCTATTGCAATTACTCTCAAATGTAGCCTTAGTGTGACTTGGATTCTGGGGTATTTAGAATATAGGGTTGACAGAATTACTTTATTGAAGTAAAATTTATAAGCAAAGCCCCCACATTTTTCACAGTTAAATGATAAAACTAAAAGAAACTTGTTGTCACCAACACTGGGTCCGATTCTAGAGGTAGTTGTCTTAAAGATTCATATAGTCTGGCTGGTTATACAGGATGTAATTCATTCATGAATTCAGAAAGGTACAAAGCCTATGAAAACTCCAGTTTGGGGATGCTCCTGTCACTTGGTAATATGCTTCTAATAGAGATGTGAGTGTCTTTAATACATTTTTATAGACTCAACCGAGAAGAATATCTTATACTTGTTTGAGAGTTCAAAATATGCACCTTTTCTGCGTAAGAAGCCCACAATGCCATTCTCTATTCTAAGCCTGAATAAAAATTGCTTTTGGAGCACTTAAAAATTCAATACCGAGATTTATCTAGCATTACTAAGCAACACTGTATTTGCTTTTCCGGAGCTCTGAGATTTCTGTAGTCCAGATACTGACAACAGATTCGCAGTCCCATTTTCTATTCCAAAGAGGCAGTAGGGTCTAGAGAGAGCACCTGTTGTTATCCATAATTCCTCTCTCCAATTAAATGAAATATTTAATGATACATGGGCAATATCTCAAAGGCTAGTGGTTTACTTCTCATATCACCTCCGCTTTTTAAAAAATATATTCCAAGTAAGCATCAATTATCAATTTAAAACAATGTGTACACATCTGCTCTTAACCTTGACATTATTCTCCCCAGGTGGCTATTCCTGAAAATGTCATTTACAGCATTTGACTAGAAGAATACTTGGGGGAAACCTAGTCACGCATGAAGCAGATCTCTGTATTTACTTTTAAAGCTTTTCTATGAAAATAAAGATCATTCACATCTGCTTTGTAGCACTATAACATCCTTTTGAAATGCTCAGTTCCTATAACCTCTGTATGAACTGTTATGGCCCCTCTGGTAATGTTTTATTCTTTTGACAAAGTCTAACACATATAAAAATTAAATAGTGGTTTTTCATGCCTCTTCCAACTTCCATCAAGTAGGGATTTGCAAGTTGATGTAACATTTCTATATCATATAGTATATTTTAATTAAAATCAGAATGCTGTGTAAGATTGAGCAAATTGCATTGCATTTGAAGAATTAAAGAATTACTTAGGCTTGCCAGCATGATCTGAAATTCTAATTCCCAACTCTGCGATGAATGCCAGCTGCACAGAATTCTTATTGTCCATCAAATACCACCTGGAGGTATTTATCACAACAGAAGGAAGAAGCTTCTAATATCTTTTTGCAGAGAGACTTTTATTAAAATTGGCTTCTTTTGATATTGTCCACATTTATAACGAATGACATCCATGAAAGGTCCTTAACTGTAATCAGAAATGCAGAACTGATTACAGTGTTTTAGTGATCACATAAAAGATAAAACCCTAAAAAGATTTTGCTTGAGAGGTAAATCGACTTTTTACGCACCAAAGAGAAACACAGAAGCAGGTAGAAATTTGGCAAAACGGCCCCATTTGTCATCAACCATCCCAAAACAAAATAGTTGAAAAATATTTTCTCTTTTTGGGAGAATACCAGTTAATTTGTACTATGGAGTTCTGTACAAGTTTAGGAAGAGAAAAGCACAAGAGTTCTTCAGCAAAAACACCTGCTTTTCATGGTTTTACCTTACGCATTTCAATAGCAGTTAGAAACTGGTATTAGTATTTCTATAGACTTTTTGTTTTTTTTAAAAAAGGATGATGCATAAAATGATGTCTTGAACCTGAAAGGAAGTTGGTTATATCCTGTCCTGAGGATAGAACCTACCTGATTCGTATCCTAAAATTGAACATCCAACCTGATAGAAAGGGTTTTTTTCCCCAGCTTTCCTTAGAATCTATTATTTTACTTAACATAGACTTGAAGTTAGGGAGATTAATCAAATGGTACAAATTTATTCCCAACCTATTTCCCTTCATGATGATATTAAAATGACTTGTCAGAATTGTTTCTGATTCCTAAAATTATTCCTCTTCCCTTTCTTCTCTCCTCTCCCCCTTCCTTCACTCCAGGGATATTTACCGAGTATCTACTACTTATTTGGCACTCTGCTGGGCATTTGGAAAATGCCAGTAAATAGGACAGATGAAAAGCACTGCTGTCATAGCAGTTACATTCTATTGGATGGAGACAAGTAAGGAATAAATGTAACAACTGCACTTCACAAGTATTTCTATACATCAACGCAGGGTGATATCTTCCTGAGAAGTAGGTGATTGTTTAAAGGTGAGTTTAGGCCAGGCGCGGTGGCTCACGCCTGTGATCCCAGCACTTTGGGAAGCCGAGGCAAGTGGATCACAAGGTCAGGAGATCGAGACCATCCTGGCTAATACGGTGAAAGCCCGTCTCCACTAAAAAATACAAAATAGTTAGCCAGGTGTGGTGGCAGGCGCCTGTAGTCCCAGCTACTCAGGAGGCTGAGGCAGGAGAATGGCGTGAACCCGGGAGATGGAGCTTGCAGTGAGCCGAGATCGCACCACTGCACTCCAGCCTGGGTGACAGAGCGAGACTACGTCTCAAAAAAAAAAAAAAAAGGAAAAAAAAAAGTGAGTTTAGTGACTTTTTTTTGCCAGATGAATATTACCTATATCTAGCCTAACTTCTTTCCATATGCACCTTATTTATTTCCTCTCTTCTTGTGGAAATAGAGAACAATCCTTATTATGCCTTTCTGTTAAATGACCCAGCGAAGACCATGCAGACAGTGACACAGTTGAACCCTTACTCAATTCACTGAATCATGCTTGCATGTATCATGACGGAAAACTATAGAAGCAGGTCATGGAATGTTCAAGCTTAGTGCCTAAAGTGATAAGTTTCGTGGACAGATCTCCCGGATCAGAATCTCAGTTCTTTTAAGCTGGATGATATTAGGCAGAGCAGCTAACCTCTGAGCCTTGGCTGCTGCTTTGCCAAATGTTCTTCCTAATAGTATCTTCGTCTGGAGCTGAAGTGATGAGGAAATAATGTATGTAAGCCACTTAGCACCAATACCCTTCAAGAAATGTGGTGGTTATAGTGGTTGTATGAGCCCTATTTTTTTTCTTTTTCGCTTTTCTTTCTTTAGCCTTGAGAATCTTGGATCCTTTCTCATCATAGTTGGCCATATCCATTATCATATAGAGTTCTTTCTTAACTTGTAGCATTATCGTATTTCATCAGCACAATGAAAAGAAGTTCATCAGGCTTGTTTCCAGTTATTGCTCCAGTCTGCTCAAGCTAAATTTGTTAAATGCCAGGAAAATGCATCTTCTGGAAAAGGGGAGAAGATGCCACCCCAGAGTAGGGTAGGGACAAACAGTAAGCTATGTGTATAGATAGGAAGAACTTACTGAACTTTAAGCAACATTAAAATGTCTACAAATATCTAATAGTACATTAAAAGTACATTAAAAGTAAAACCACTAATCAAGTATCTTTAACTGTATTGACTGCACTGGGGGTTAAATTAATCAGCCCAGCCTCTGCTTCATTTCCTGCTGTGCTGGACAAAGTGATTTTGACCACTTTGGTCAATGATCAAAGTGATTTTCCTTCAGATGCTAGGTCTCTGTGTCCCAGTTTTATGTGTTAAGAATTGTCCTGGTGTCTAGTGGATAATGACTTAAAAAATAACTCAGACTGTGTAAGATGGATAGGGAGGCTGGATCAGCGTTGCTGCATCTATTGCTTCTTCATTATCCTCCACATTTAGCGTCTTGGATGCTTCCATGTGAAATACTGAGCCACTTGCTCCTCTTGCTTCATTTGGGACAATACTGCCTTCCAATAGGGGTTTACTGGACTTGGGGTTTCACACTATCTGTGTTCAAAAAATAACTTCTACAAAGTCACCCTCAGCACCTATGACTGCATCTTTTATTTTTATTAGTTTCTTGATTGTAACATGACTCAATTTCTTTGATGTATTTGGACACAGGGTATAGAATAGTAGAGTATAACCCTTACTTTAAAAATATACCTAAACAATGTTGCCCACCTGCACAGAAACAACAAGTATATAGTAGGACATTTATGGTTTCATTTCATTAATCATTTTAAAATGAGCAATGTGGTTTACAGAAATCTGCTTGTTATAAAAGTAAAACTGCTTTTTTTTTAAGTTCATACAATAGGTGTTTCATAGAACATGGGTTTTATTAGCCAAATTCAAAATAGGAAGAAAATTTTAAATGTGACAATTTTGGTTTTCAATATATTCCTGTGGGAAAATATTAACGAACATTAATGAACCCAAGGCGAAACAAGATGATTCTTAGATTTGCAATATGTGCTGGACAAAGTGGGAATGGGTGGGGGAGATAGGATAAATATATATAGTTCTCTAAAACCTTTTAAGATTATTTTCTTTTTGTTTCCTCATTGGTTTGTAACTCATGAAGATGAAAGCTACAGCTAATTATCAACAATATCAATATTTTATCTGAAAAGTTGTAGAAAAATGATATGAAATGCAAAAGGAAAGATGAATATTTAGCACTTCCTGTTATCTGCTCTTGAAGACACAGATATCAAAAAAAAAAAAAGAATGAACAGTCCTTTGAGGTGGTAAGCTCCCCATCACAGGAGGTATTCAAGTACAATGTGACCATGACATGTATAATTCAAGCATCTATTTTCTTCATTCTTCAAACAGGTTTTGAAAACTTGCTTTGCGTTTATCACTGTTGTAGGCCCTGTGCTTGCAGTGAGAGAACAAGGCACGTAGAACCCATTGTCAAGGATTTCGAATCCTTATGGAGACTGAGAAAATAACACGAAGTTAAATAAAAGAACTTCATATAATAATAAACGTTAAGACAGACGCAAATAAGGCATATGACAGAAAGTAATGAGAGCAACTGACGAGATAGTTTAGACAGGGCAAGCCTCCAAGAGGAGGCAGTGCGTAAATTTACACCAAAATAAGGGGAAGAAGCTATCGATCTAGACAGTGGGGACAAGTTTTCCTGGCAGAGAAGAGAGCAAGTGGAAATGATGGGAGGCAGAAACACCAGTCTCTCTGAGGAACTAAAATGAGGGTGACACGTTTGGTAGCAATGAAAGGAGTGGCTAAAATGAGCTTGGAGAGAAGGGTCTTGGGGATCAAAGAAGCATATTTGGATTAAAATAAAATGTAGTATAATATATGGATGTTAAAATATGAAAAATAGAGCAGAGGAGTATTAATGAAAAGCAAGAATGCCTTGCCCTACCTTTTTCTATTTATAGTCCTGCTCTGCAGAGGAATATAACTTCAAATTTTATTCCTTCTGTTTCATTTTAGTTCTGGTGGTTGCCTACAGGTAATTAAATAATATGATTTCCAGGGTTTCTTGCTTTATCAAATTCATATCAAATCTATTAATCTTCTTCATGAGTAGTGCAGTGAGCAAAATAGTGGCTCTCCGAAGATGTCCATATGCAAATCCCCAGAACCTGTGAATGTGTTACCTTACATGGCAAAAGGAGAATTAGGTTGCAAATGGAATTAAGGTTGCTAATCCGATGATGGTAACACTGTAAGAAGCAGAAGAGGAGAGAGGTATATGGTCAGAAAGATACAATGCCATTGTCTTTGAAGATGAAAAAGGGAGGACCATGAGCCACAGAATGTGGTCTCTACATTTCGGGAACGGGGAGGAAATGGATTCCTCCTTGCAGCCTCCAGAAAGGAATCCAGCCCTGCCTATGCCTTGATTTTAACCTACTGAAAATCATTTTGAAATTCTCATCTGCAGAACTGTAAGATAATAAGTTTATGTTTTTTGTTTTAAATGCTTAAGCTATTTCCTCTAGGAAAGAAATTTTTGTGTTTTTAGTCATTAAGTTTTTGGTTGTTACAGCAGTAACAGAAAATTAACTCAAGTAGAGAATGATTTAGTTCAATTACATATCAGTCTTCTCTATACCCAGCAGTTGAATAGTCATATTAGTGAAAATGCCTTTGCAAAATTATGACAGTAAGAGAAATCTGACATAGCTGGCTCCATCTTGCTTCTAACCTCCAAGCTGTCCTTGTTCATTCTTAGGTGTAGGTCAAGCTAACATAGTGGGTAATTTATTTATAATTTAACCTTAAAGCAAAATGGCTAAGTGCACAAGAACCATTTTCTAAAACTCTATGATTTCATACCCAATCAATCAGCATCACCCATTCCCTAGCCCCCTGCCCACCAAGGTATCCATAAAAACCCTAGCTTCCTAGATTTTGGGGACACTGATTTGACTAATGAACTACTGCTTGGCTAGTCCTGTGTCAATTAAACTTTTTTCCTACTGCAATTTTGCTGTACCAGTGAATTGGTTTTGTCTGTGCAGCAAGCAAGAGGAACCCATCAGGTGATTACATTAGTATTTTTAATTTTTTCTTCCAAATTTAGGGACTCGGTTTATTTATGCCTACTTGCCTTTATGTCTTGATGCCTTTCTCTCATTCTAGACAATAGGTTTCCTTTCTGCATTCTCCTATACTTAACATTTCCTGTTCAGCCATTTCTTTCGGTTTGTTTTTGAAATGATTTTATTGTCTTTGTGCAGGATATCATTATGTACAATTGATTCCGTTCACTTTGCTCCTCAATTAGATGAAATGTTTTGGTCTAAATCTTTTATTTTTAAATCCCACTTTGTGACATTTTTATTCTTATTGCCAACTCCATTTTTTCTCCCTGCCCTAATGCCTCCAATTCACGGTTTTAATATCCTCCTAATATGTATATATTATGTTATGTTGCTTTAGAAATGTGCATAAATTATATTATAGTTTAAATATGCTGAAATTTGCTTGTTTTACTCAAGATTATGTGTCTATATTAATGCATACATATTTATTTCATTGCTTTTACTGCTCTATGGTATTTTGCTTCATAAATTTGGCAGATTTCATTTCCCCATTTCACTTTGTTGTCCATTTAGTTTGATTCCAAGTTCTAGCTATTTGTAACAAAAATGAAATGCACACAATTGGATACTTACATGTATTTTCAGTTTTGTCAAACGCTGCTGCAGTGCTTTGCAGAGTGCCTGTACCAATTTACCTTGCAGAGAACAATGTGTTAGGAACTTTTATTTCCTAAAGACTCAGGAACATTAATTGTTATTTAACAATATATTGCAGGAATAGTGGTATTTTACAATTTTTATTTCATTAATTATTACTGATGGATTATCATCTTTTTATGCTTTTTTGCCGGTTTTTTTTTCCTATGAGATGGGAATTAACTTTCTCCTCCCATCCCTCTATATTGCAGTTTTTTATTATTGCTGATTTTTAGGATATTTTTGGTAGTCTAATCCTTTATGAAATATATGTTTTGCATATCTTCTCAAGGCTGCTACTTTATGTCTGTGGCATTCACAACACGTTGCTAATTTTAACATAGCTAAATCTAACAGTCTTTTCTTTAATACTCATGTTTTCTTCTTTACATTTAAGGAATCTGTTCTTACTGCAATGTCATTAATTTTTATTCTATAGTTTCTTCTAATCTTGCAGAGTTTAACTTTTCACACTAACAGGTTTAACCTATCTGAAATATATCCTTACATATTGTGTGAAGGGGGATTTAATTTTTCCCAAAATGATGTATTTCTCTGCCTGATTTTTAAAAATACTTAATTATCATAATCTAAGCTCCTTACTCAGTTCCATTGATCTGTTGTTTTTGTTTCGGTGCCAAATGCACACTGTTTTAATTACTGTGACATTGTGAGTTTCCCTGGTTTGATTTCACTATTCTTAAGCTACTTTCAGACTACTACTGAGACAATCATTTTTTGATGTAAAATATACCAGCACTTTGTCAAGTTCTCAAGAAATGCAATAGGATTTCATCTGGGATTGCATCCAATTTTCCATTAACCAGAGTCTCCACATTAACCGACATGTTATCTTAATAGTGTGCAGTTTTCCTCACTGGAAAACCACTGGAATATTCCTAATGGAATATTTTTGCATTTATTAAGGTATCTTTTATGTCCTTTAAGAAAGTTTCAGGATGTACTTCATAAACATTTTATACAATGTTAGTTTAGTTCTCAATATTTTCAAATTAATTTTCGGACTGTGATTTTTAAAATTACATCTTCCTGTTTATTTTTGCGGGTAGTGTTCAGCAGGAACTCTTCTATAAGTTGTAGTGTCTTGGTTTTTCAGTAGGAACAGACACCCGAACTTCCATGGTATGATATTGTCTTCAGTACAATATAATCTTTTTATAAAACTTGCATGTTAATTGAGTCTCTTAGATGACTGTACTTCATTTGGTATACATTACTTCTAAAAGTGAATAAATGACCTGTTTTTCTTTTTTTTAAGCAAGTAGAGCTTCGAAATGTTATCTTCAACTCTTTTTCCCCTAGGCCCAAACATAAATGGGCAAATTGCTGAATGTAGTGGAGTCTTCATCATTAAAAAATTCTCAGGAGGTATTTTATATTATTATGTGGGTTTTGAAAGTTTGTTAAAACATGTAGAACTACAGCAGCAAAGTGAGTTTTGGGAAAGAACATTTATTACTACTTGATTATTTTGTGATCTAGTCAAATTTTCCACTTCTTAGGTCAATTTTGAGTGTTAATTTTTAAATCAACATTATTATGCATTTTACCTAAATTTCAAATGTATTGACAGATAAAAAGTATTCTTTTATTTCTCAGAACACCTGAGATTTTAGAGTTATGTTATGATTGATTTCAAATTTTACTGCAGTATGATCTAATAGTACAGTGTGTATAATTCCAGTTTTTTAAAATTGAGAATTCTGTTGTAATCTAATACATGGCCATATTTTTTAAAAGATGAGTTTAATAAATGTGCATTTTCTGTTGATAAGGTGTGAAATTTCAGTCTTTAAAATCATGTTAACCAAATTATACTGTTACTTATTTTTTGTCTGCATGTCTCAAAATTTCCTGAAAGAATTACTCTGGAGTATACGACACTTAAAATGAAATCTCTTACTGCATAATGTGGGAGAGAAAGAAAGCTTAATATGTGGACATAAAAAGGATTGGGGGTGGCATGAGAAGATGGCATTGTCATCCCTGCTGTATTATGTGGAAAGTTTATAAAAGATGTAATAGAGTAAGCCTACCTTCAGAAAGAGTTAATGTTTTAGGCTTTGTGGATAAAATTCATGCTGAAAACAATTTCAAAATAATATAGAGCCACATAACTAAAATGTATCATTATTTCTTGTGAAAAGTTAATTTTGGATTTCAGGAAAGGAGATGGGTAATTAACATTTGTATTTGATAATCTAGGCTTTGAGAGAATTATAGGTTATTAAACAGAACCTTGAAAAGAGTAAGATTTTTAGAATCTTGGAGAGGAAGGATGTGATGGTCATGGTTAAAAGAGAAAGAATAAGGGAAGACCCAAAGCCAGCAGTATCTGTGAGTTTGTTTAATCTGTGCTCATATGGTTCAATATCTGAGTAGAACCTGGTCCAAAAATCATGGCCCAGCAATCAAATGGTTATTTGAAATTCATTTAACTTCTTTTGTTTTTATATAAATCTTGACCATTTAGTTTTTAAAAATATGTTGATTAGAAGAAAAGGTGAAAAACATCCCAACATTTCAGACTTAGATTAGGAAAACGGTAACTGGAAGGTTAAAAATGTTAAGGTTCTGAATCATCACCATCACTATGAAGAGGAGACAAATGTTTCTTCATAATGAGGCAGGAGAATGGAGTCTGGAGATAGGGAACCTAAGGCCAATTCACAATGACTTCCTAGAACTAAATCAGAAGGAGAAGTCCAACTTTCCATGCCCAAATAACAAAAGGATCAGAGGCTGTTCCCTTTGCAACCCCACCCACCTTTGTGCATAGCAGGTAAAAATGGAAAATGCCTCTGATTAGTCCCCTCTGGCAAACAGTCAGACTGGTTGTAGGCCTAGTCTTCATTTGCATAGAGGTATAACTTTGTAATTTCACTTCAGCCTCTGATTGGTCACCTTGTGCAACCAAGCAGACGGGTCAAGGGTCATTCCTTCAGGTACCCAGAGTGTAAACCAGGTAATCAATGGGAAACCTCTAGAGAGCATTTAAACCCCAGAGAATTCTGTAACCAGGGCTCTTGAGCCGCTTGCTCAAGCCTGTTCCTACTCCGTGGAGTGTACTTTCGTTTCAGTAAATTTCTGCTTTCGTTGCTTCATTCTTTCATTGCTTTGTGTGTTTTATCCAGTTCTTTGTTTAAAATGCCAAGAACCTGGTCAACTAATAGTCAAGACCCTCCACAGTAACAACAGTACTATGGTTAGACATCAATGAATGAAAATTAAGTCCTAATGGTATAGGAGTACATTTTCCATCTCTAGGATCCAAAGCAACCCTTTATAAAAGGGTCTTGCATCATTTATTTATTGAAGGCAATAAATAGTTAAAATGCTACTGTAATGGCAATCATCCTTGAAGTGATTTTTATAGATAAAATCAACACATGTGGCAGAGAAGCTCCAATAATGATTATTTTTTGACTGCTTAATCTTACTTAACCTTATTGAGACACTGCTCAGATTTTTAGCTGTAGTACAGAAAAAAGAAAAACAAATCCTTTCCAAATACTTGTAATTCGAACAGGGCAATGTGCATTTGCAAAATTAATTTCACAAAGAAAAATTGCCAGATACAGAAAAGCTGTTTCAGCTATTTCATCACGCTGAAGTCAATTTGTTTGCCATATTCAGGGAGGGCAGGACTTTTCCCCACTGAAGAATGTAGAGGTGCACTAGCCATTATTTCTAAAAGCAGATGGTGCTGACTTTTGGCTTTTTCTTTAAGGGTGGGAATATAGCCACGTTCTAAAGGATGAAAGTGTGTAAACAACACATGTATTTCTTCAAAGCCTAAATGTTCTCTCTTTTTCTGAGTTGATTTTCTCAACTTGAAGCTTTTTGTCTTCTGCCAGGAGCCAGAAGTCTTGGAAGTAAAAAAAAAAAAAAAAGTTAAGCTGCAACATCACTGCAAACAGTCTGGTCGACTGGACAGTGGCATTTCAGGCTTCTGTGGTTTTAAATTCTTGGCCAGACAAATGTGTCATTGGGATGCTCTGCCACTGAGGCTTTGCTTCCAAGATTGTTTACTTCATTATAATGTATTTCTGTAAGGTTTTTTTAAATTGAAATTTCTATTATAGAAATCTCTTATGTTTTACTGCCTCTGTGATGAGCAGAGATAAGCTTCGCATTTGCAAAATTAAATTACTTTCCCAAAGTATTTCTTAATTTTCATGCAGATGCCACTAAAAATTCTAAGACAGAAAAAGTTGTTAGCTGCACTTTAAATATGAGAAAATCTCTGTGTGGAAAGGGGAAGGGAAGAGGGTGAAATTACTTTTACTTTAAAATTAAACATAGGGGTATTTGTTTTGCAGGATACACATCTGGAGAATAAGTACCTAAGGGGAAAACAGTTTCATAGTTCAAATTTTGAACATTTTTAGTGTCAAACTTTTGGATCAATGTAATCTACTAAGGAATATAAAAATGGAATTAAAAATGAAATGTGAAAATCTGGCACCTCCACAAGAAAAGAATCAATCCTGTGCCCATCTCAAGCTTGTTTCAGAGAATGAGACTTCCCAACAATTTTATAGATGCAGTGAGATCTTTCGTAACAGTACCTCTCTGATGTCCTTCCAATTTCATACCCCCTTCCCTTCTCCAGAGCAGCATATTCTAGAAATCTCTAAGATGCTGCTTTGTTTTTCTGTATCCTCTTAAGTTTAATAACTGAGGCCTGAGAATTAAGTGGACAAAAGACAAATTAACAGGGAAAAAAGTGAATCCATTTGCATACAGGAGCCAACAAAAGAAGTAGCTGGCTCATTAAATGGTTAACATTAAAGGCTTATATATCTGAGCAGGGGAAATGGAGAGGGTAGAAACAGCTTACAAACAAGTTTCTTTAGAAAAGACAAATGGATTTTTAGCAGAACAAATTAGAGATAAAAATAGTTTGTGATGATATTGGTCTATACAAATATGAATAGTCTTTCAGTCTTCTTCAGGGCCATAAATTCCTTCAGAGAAGGGGTTTAATGATTAGTTTACTCTAGGTTTCTCTTCTGGTAGTAGAAGCTGCCCTAAAGATGCCATCCACACTTCTGAGAAGTTTCTGTTTTTGGTCAGATAAGAAAATTTCCAAGAAGGCTTCCTTCGGTCTCTGTTAAATCTCAAATATTTTCAGCTTACGATAATCTTTATACCAACCCTGGAGTTCCAAGTAGTTCTCCACACTTTGAAGAATCTATTTCAAAACTTTACACCTCAAATGAATACAAATTAACCTCTGGTCAGTAGACCATAAAACTTGCAGAGAAAAAAAAAAGAACAACGATATTATTCTTAACCACTTTAAGCCTGAAAAGCTCAATTATGGTATCTCTGTAAATAAACTAGCTGGTTAAATGA
Organism: Homo sapiens; assembly: GCF_000001405.40. NCBI lineage: Eukaryota > Metazoa > Chordata > Mammalia > Primates > Hominidae > Homo > Homo sapiens. Next base: position 76,984,146 of record NC_000016.10, on the reverse strand, counting down.
CAACTTTGAAATTCTGTCAGTAAATTATTGACATAAATGGTTATCTAATTAGGCACCAGCTCTGAATAAATGTCACCATACACAAAAATCAAGTCAAGATGGATTAAAGACTTAAATGTAAACATGAAACTATAAAAATACTAGAACAAAATCTAAGGAAAACTCTTCTGGATATTGATATAGGCAAAGAATCATGACAAAGACCTAAAAGCACAGGTAACCAAACTAAAATTAGACAAATGACACTTAATTAATCTAAAAAGCTTCTGCACAAAAAAAGAAACAACCAACAGAATGAACAGACAACCTCAAGGATGGGAGAAAACATTTGTAAAATATGCATCTGACAAGAGTCTAATATCCAGTATATATATACAAGGAACTCAAACAACTCAACAAAAAAAACCAAAATCATCTGATTACAAAGTAGGCAAAAGAATTAAGTAGACATTGTTCAAAACAAGACCTACAAATCGCCACCAGGCATATGAAGAAATGCTCAGCATTACTGATCATCAGAGAAATGCAAATTAAAACCACAATGTGATATTATCTTACCTCAGTCAGAATGATAACTATTAAAAAGTCAAAAAAAAAAAAAAAGATGTTGGCGAGGATGCAGAGATAAGGGAACTCTTTCACACCATTGGTAGGAATGTAAATTAGTAAAACTTCTAAGGAAAACAGTATGGGGATGTCTCAAAGGACTAAAAATAGAACTACCATTTGATCTAGCCATCTCACTACTGGATATCTACCCAAAGAAAAAGAAATCATATCAAAAAACACCTGTATTTGTATGTTTATTGCAGCACTACTCACAATATCAAAGGTATGGAATAAGCCTAATTGTCCCTCAATGGATGATTAAACAAAGAAAACGTGTTATATGTACAAAATGGAATATTATTCAGTCAAAAAAGAATATAATCATGTCATTTGCAACAACATGGGTAGGATTTGCAGCCATTATCGTAAGTGAAACAAGTCATACAAAGAAGATAGCACGTTCTCACTTATAAATGGGAGCTAAATAATGTGTACACATGGACACACAATATGGAATGATAGAAGGGTAAGGGGGTGAGAGAGAGATGAACGATGACAAATTACTTAATGGATACAATGTACATTATTTGGGTGACAGATATCCTAATAGCCCCGATTTCACCAAGCTACAATGTATGCATGTAATAAAATGCACTTGTTGTTTGCCATATATTTATACAGATTAAAAATAAAGTAAACATTTGATCAACAAGCAAACACTGAAGATAGCTGAAACATAACTTCTGAGTTTTACTGAACCCCTTGTCATGTGGCATTTTCTGGCAAACATGTAGATCAGTAACAAACATGGGCAACATAAAGCCTTAATGAGATGATTTGCTTCATAGTGAGCATGTAATTATCGTGTGCATTTAGATTTTTCACCAAGTTTTTGCCTCTGTTATAGGAAAATGAATAGATTCACTGTTGATGCTATAATGAAAGTCAGCGATTGAAAGTTGAATTTTGTTCATTGTTCAGTTTGGAATTTTTTATTAGAGACTATATTTCTAAATCATAATGAAAATCAATGGCAGAATTAATCAATATATAAGATTATCTTCACATATATTGGAGAAACAAATCTAAAAGGTAAAGTAAAATCAAACTCTACTGATATTTTGTCACATTTATAAGGCAAAATTGATAGCTTTAGGATATGTGGGTTTCTTGCGAGAGGTATTTATCAAAGAAAAGATGGAGATATTGCCAGCGTAAGTAAACTTTGCTTTTTCTTCATGGTTAAAGCTTCAGCACTGGAATGATAAACAGCATGAGGTCCTTCTAATAAGTTATCAAATGTCTTGCACTTTTGCAGCCTTCATGTTCTCAAATGGTTTTCTGGATGGAAAATTACTCTCTTATCCATTGAGAAAATAATGTCATGTTTCAAGTATCCAGTGTTCTAGAGTTGAATGGGCAAAAGACTCAATGTATCAGGTTTGTAAGTTTTATGTTGATACCCGAAGGTATAGACATTGGCTCCCTGAGTTTTATGTTGACACCCCAAGGTGCAACATTGGCTACCTAATGTGTTTGCTGGTCTGTGGCTACTGAAAACAAACCATCTTCTTTCTACATTAAACTATGAGCTCCATGACGAGGTGGAGTCCTTGTGGAATCCTGCTGCCAATACACAACATACCATACATGTTAGCCTCTCTTTCTCTCATTCTCTGCCTCTGCTTCCCTCTGTCTTCTCCATATATATACATATATATATACACACATATACACATATCTATACATATCTATGCACATCTATACATCTATACATATATATATATATATCCTCTTCATTCTGCTTCTCTGGAGAAATGTGACTCATACAATAATTCAAGGGTCTACCATTGTAGTTTATTTCAGTAAAATTGTTTTGAGGGTGTCATCACAGAGCCAAACTGCCTGGCTTTGAATTTTGGCTTTTCCATTGAATAGTCCTATGCCTTGGAATGCCATACAACTCTTCTATTTCTTAGGTTTCCTATCTGTAAAGACGTTATTGATAATAAGCACTCATAGGGCTTTTAAGTATTAAAGGATAGATTATTTTCTCAGTAAACACTAAATGAACATTAGTTAATATGATCAAAGATTTTCAGGCCATTTTCAGAGTTAGATTTTATTCTGTGACATAGTAAGTATAAGAAAATGATGATCAATGCTTCTTTTGTGAAATTGTGGGTTTTTATAAATATTTGTTTATATTCACAGAGAGAGAGAGCGTACTAAAACTACCAACAATTAACACTAATGAGAGCCACTTCATTCTTTGTCATGGAAGATACTCTTGAGGAATATACCAATTTACCTACACTAATAAACTTATAGTTATCCATTTACACAGATAGGCTGGGAAGTCTTTACTACTAAGAATTGTAATTTATTTTCTGTATCACATATTTTGGCAATCTAAATTTACTGAAGGTTTGTAGGAATAAATTCATACTTTTCCATTGGCTTTGATTGCACTAATACTAAAAATTACCATTTTGATCCAATTCTATGGGCCAGGACCTTTGCTGAGAATCTCATTCAGCCTTTTCACGATCTCAGGGAGTAAATGAGTTGTTTCCACTTAACATCATCTTTCTGGAAGCCAAGGGACTTGCCCAAGGTCATATGGCTGATCAGTGGCAGTTAGAATGTAAACACAGTTTTGACATGCTCCAAAGCCAAGCAGCAACTCTACATTCAGATTCACAGTCAGGTGCTAGTCTTTTCCTTTCAACTCTTTTCATAAGCTTCCATCAGACATATTTATTCTTCATATAAATTAGGTCTATAATGATTTGTATCTAGATTATCACTTAATTTTTCAACAGATTATAAAGCCTTTTCTCTAGGGACTAGCCATAAAAGATCTTTTAGAAATCAGTTTCTAAAAAATGCTCTATCATCAATCCCATTTTTAAGAAGTGTGCTTTTCACATGGAAAATATTTCTTAAATCAGAAGAAAATAAACTTGTGGTTTCCATTTGGTGTAAAGCTCCCATGATGGCATAAATCAACTGTAAGGTGACTTCGTTTGGATAATTCTCTAAAGCAAGTAACCAGATGGCCACTTTAGTTGGTCAGAGATGCATCACTATTTATTGCTATAATTTCATGTATTCCTCTATGTACCATCTTTTTAGTGATATAAGGAGAAAGAGATGCCCAAATATTCTAATTGGAAGAACTCCAGAATATTCTACCCAAGAAACTTTGCTCCTTCCCCATCTCCATTTGATTTAACAGGCACTGTGTTGGAAGCTTTTTCACTAAACACATTTGTTAGGATTCAGTGGCTATGGTATCACTGACAGGGCTACTAATGTTATTTGAAATTCTAGTTAATTCTAGTTTGGTTGTTATTTCTATGCTGACTGAAATGAGACATTGTAATACATGCTCCTCAAAGATTGAATTGCAAACTTGTAGGCAGTGTTATTTGTCTAACATTCTCTTTTATAAACAAAAAAAGTAAGATACATCATCACTATAACCCTGCCTGCTGCCTGCATCAGGGTCGACTCAGGTGCCAGCTTAATCAAATTCTCATTTAACATAGTGTATTCATCACTCGAACAATCATAACAATTATCACCATCTACCCAGCGGGTGGCCTGGGTTTTGATGGATATTCATACGTATGTCTACAAGCACATGCATATGTGCCCATTGTTAATGCACCGAGGCATGCACAGAGTAATTTTCAGTGTGTTTAAGACTTGCCCTGATCTAAAAAAACTTTGATGATAAAAATATCATAAACATCAAAAAATGTACATATTTACCTGTTAAGTCTCACTCTACCATTTTCTGACCTCACAAAAATCATGGTTTTAGAAATATAAAATGTCACAGCAGAGTGTCAATTGAATTCCTATGACTTCTTGGAGAAATTTTAGCTATCTAATTATCCTTACCATAGTGTAGATGAAAAAAAGACAATCATAGGGATAAAAAAATCATTTAAGTTCTTTATCATCAATTATTTATTGTTTTATGTTATTTTTTGATTAGTAATGCATCACTTTCTATTTCTGTGATGTAGGGTAGTAATAACATATCAACAAAAATAATGACGATGGCTAATATTTTTTCATTACCTACTATATGCAAGCAAGGCCCTTCTTCAGCACTTACACATATTAACTCACTTAATCCTAAAAAACTACTCTGTAATTAGTGACTTCTTTTGTCTTTGTTTTGCAGATTAGGAAGCTGAAGCTTAAAGAGGTTGCATGCCAAATATCATTTAAATAGGAATTGGCAAGGTCCAGGGATGAAGCCTAGGTCTGTTTGATACCCAAGTCTGTATTCTTAACTATTCACTCTATCATTATATGTCATAAGTCTCAACATACGCAACTTAAAAATGGAGGTATCATGTGTTACCATAAGGGTTAAATGAGAAAAAAAAAGGCAGAGGACAGTGTTTGGGACATAAGAAAACTTACATGCTAATAGGTCACATTTCAGTTAGAAATGCATATTGCTGCAAGTGACAATAAATCTGAATTTGATTGTTTCAACAAATAGTCAAGGATCTAGAACCAGAAATACCATTTGACCCAGCAATCCCTATACTGGATACATACCCAAAGGATTATAAATCATTCTGTTATAAAGACACATGTACATGTATGTTTATTGCAGCACTGTTCACAATAGCAAAGACTTGGAACCAACCCAAATGCCCATCAATGATAGACTGGATAAAGAAAACGTGGCACATATACACCATGGAATACTACGCAGCCATAAAAAAGAATGAGTTCATGTCCTTTGCAGGGACATGGATGAAGCTGGAAGCCATCATTCTCAGCAAACTAACACAGGAACAGAAAACCAAACACCGCATGTTCTCACTTATAAGTGGGAGCTGAACAATAAGAACACATGGACACAGAGAGGGGAACATCACACACCGGGGCCTGTTGGAGGGTGGGAGGCAAGGGGAGGGAGGGAGAGCATTAGGACAAATACCTAATGCATGCAGGGCTTAAAACGTAGATAACGGGTTGGTAGGTGCAGCAAAACACCATGGCACATATATACCTATGTAACAAACCTGCATATTCTGCACATGTATCCCAGAACTTAAAGTAAAAAAAAAAAAAAAAAGAAAAGTAATAAATAAATACAATAATACTTTGAAAAAAAAAGTTTCAAAGGTAAGCAGCTACTGGAGTTTGTTCAGCAGTTCAATCACGTAAAAGCTGACATTTGTAAGATTTGTTTGGTGGTGTCTTGTGTTTGCAAAATAGGTGCTGCTGCTACAAATACTATAGCTGCCTTCAAAGTTGAAAGAGGAGGGTAGGGGCACAGCAGCTCCCCCTCTTATGAGGAAGATGAGTCATCATTCTTTACCCTGTGGGAAACAACTAAGTTCATGGCCACTTTCACTGCCAACGAGACTCAGAACATATATTTTGATGCTTTTTATTTTTCTAGTCTCTATTGTTGCAGACAAAAGGATGAAGGGTGTCATGGTGTCTTTTTTTTTTTTCTCAAGGAAGCCTAATTTTTTTCACATTTCTACCTTTTTCACTTTTATTTCTCCCATTATAAATTGGTACAGCTGTTACAGAAAAGGGGCCCCAATCCAGACCCCAAGAGAGGGTTCCTGGCTCTCACCCAGTGAAGAATTGAGGGCAAGAAAGAATTCAGGGCAAGAAAGAACTCAGTAAAGTGAAAGCAAGTTTATTAAGGAAAGTAAAAGAATAAAAGAATGGCTACTCCATAGGCAGAGCAGCCCTGAGGGCTGCTGGTGGCCCACTTTTATGGTTATTTCTTGATTATATGGTAAGCAAGGGGTGGATTATTCATGCCTCCCCTGTTTAGACCATATAGGGTAACTTCCTGACGTTGCCATGGCATTTGTAAACTGTCATGGTGCTGGTGGGTATGTAGTAGTGAGGATGACCAGAGGTCGCTCTCGTGGTCATCTTGGTTTTAGTGGGTTTTGGCCAGCTTCTTTACTGCAACCTGTTTTTATTAGCAAGGTCTTTATGACCTGTATCTTGTGCTGACCTCCTGCCTCATTCTGTGACTTAGAACGCCTTAACCATCTGGGAATGCAGCCCAGTAAGTCTCAGCCTCATTTTACCCAGCTCCTATTCAAGATGGAGTTGCTCTGGTTCACATGCCTCTGACACAACCATTATGGAAAGTAGTATGAAGGTTCTGCAATATGTATACTGTCATGTGATCCAGTAGTCCCACTTCTGGGTATATATCCAGAGGAATTGAAATCAGGATCTCAGTGATATGTGGGAAATTTGGTTTATACATACAATAAAATATTATTTTGCCTTAAAAAAGAAGGAAATCCTGGCATTTGCAACAAGATGCATAAAGTTTCAGGACATTATGCTAAGCGAAATAAACTGGAAACAGAAAGAAAATCTCACTTATATGTGGAATCTAAAAAAAGTCATACTCATAGAAACAGAGTTGAATGGTGGTTACCAAGGATCAAGAGCTGGAGGAAATGGGGAGATGTTGCTCAAAGGATACAAACTTGCAGTTATACAATGGATACATTCTGGACATCTAAGGTATAGCCTGGTGACTATAGTTAATGTATTACAGTCTTGAAATTTGCTAAGAGGTTAGATATTAAGTATTCTCGTCACACACAAAAATGTAGGTATGTGTGATGCATACTTTGTGTGTCACACAGATGAAGTGATGCATATGAGGTGATACATATGTTAATTAGCTCAATTGTAGTAATCATTTTTTTTTTTTTTTTGAGGCACAGTCTTACTCTGTTGCCCAGGCTGGAGTACAGTGGTGTGATCTCGGCTTGCTCTAACCTCTGCCTCCTGGGTTCAAGCAATTCTCCTGCCTCAGCCTCCCGAGTAGCTGGGATTACAGGTGCATGCCACCATGCCCGGCTAATTTCTGTATTTTTAGTAAAGATGGGGTTATGCCATATTGGCCAGATTGGTCTCGAACTCCTGACCCCAGGTGATCCACCTGCTTTGGCCTGCCAAAGTGCTGGGATTACAGGTGTGAGCCAGGGCACCTGGCCAGTAATCATTTTTATGTACCTATATCAAAACATTACATTGTACACCTTGAATCTGTATAATTTTTGACAATTATACTTCAATACGGCTGAAAAAATAAAAATTCATTCCAATACTAGGTTATTTTTCTCTCTAGGTTTAATAGCTGGGTAAATATGCTCAGCTGCATGTGTAGGTAGGATAAAACCCAGACAGGAAACAGATCCTCCTTTAGCAACACTGATGCCACCACATGAAAGTGATATAAACCAGTAGTGAAACTTTCTGAACTTTCATACTTGATCTGTGACCTCGATAAACCATGAGATGGTACAGAGCACAGTGGTAATTCATAGAATATCTACTAGCTATGTAGGACTTGAGAATATGATAGATGAGGTGCGTGGAGGGAGGTCATCATGTCCCTTTCAACTTTATTAAAATGTGGTTTAAGTAGTTTTAATCATATTCTGTAGGCAGTTGCTGAGCAGGCAACATGAAGAACCAGCTGAGTTCTCCAACTTGCAAAGAGTATTTACATTTTGCTCTATGGATGGAACCACCTGGGGTACAATTATGTGAGTAGTGCCGCTTTGAAGTTGCATCAGGGAATTATCGGTGCGACACAATTGGCTCTATACTTGAAACACAAATTAAAAAAACATACTTTCTACAAAATGTTTATAAAGGTGGGAGGATAATCCTTCTGAAATACAAAACAAAAGAATATGATAAAGGAGCATAATCATGGCTCAAAGTGCTTATTCGGCCCCTAGTGTGAGTAATTCTAAGGCTTTACAGGGGAAATGTTATTTTTAACTGGAAAAGGTTAGCACACTTGGCAAGTAGAAAATAACGAGGGGAGATGTTGAGTGGGGAGGATGCAGGGCCTAGTGAATGAAGTAGGATGATGTGGCTTGAATTCAGGTTCTAGGAGACATGAAAGAATGAAATGTTTATTTGGAATCAGAATTTGGAAGGTGATAAATGACTTGCTAACTCTTTTTTTTTTTTTGACAGAGTTTCACTCTTGTTGTCTAGGCTAGAGCACAATGGCAACACTCACTGCACAATGGCAACACTCACTCTCGGCTCACTGCAACCTCTGCTTCTCCAGTTTAAGCGATTCTCCTGCCTCAGCCTCCGCAGTAGATGGGATTATAGGCACCTGCCACCACACCTGGCTAATTTTGTATTTTTAGTAGAGACGGGGTTTCACCATGTTGGTCAGGCTGGTCTTGAACTCCTGACCTCAAGTGATCCACCCGCCTCGACCTCCCAAAGTGCTGAGATTACAGGCGTCAGCTACCGTGCCCAGCCAACTTGCTGACTTTTAAATTTAGGTTTCTTATTCTGGTAGTGATAGTTACAAAGATTTTATTATTATTTAGAGTGAAGTTGGAAATCATTATCTTTGTGGTACGTGCAGAGGTAAATTAGTCATTGTGAAAGACACATTGGAGACCTGATGGTTTAGAGAAAGAACAGGGAGGTTGTTAAAATAATGCAGGCATGTGAAATCAAATAGAGTAGAGGGTAAGGAGTATAACGGAATTTAAGGTAGAAATTGTCTCTTATATTTTTAATCAGAAAATTGAAAGAAAAGAAAGATTGTGTGTGAGGACCTAAATTTATTCAACAGATATCCTCTGAACCCTACTATGTTCAAGGTATTATGTTAATAGCCATAAAAATGGGATCTATGTCTTTCAATTTCTTCACATGAGAGTTGGGAATAAAAAGTATATGAATGACTTCTATTAATGGCAAAGTACTTTTATTAGACTAAACTTCCAGCAGACAGCGATTATAACTCTGAACCAATATAAGAAAGTAATTTGAATGCAATAAAAAATGGTCCAATGCAGTCAGAAACTGTAAATATTTTTTGAATAAAAGAGAAACGCCCTGCATAAAATTTGCTGTACCTATTATGTTTTATATGGGACCCAGGCTTCAAGGAGAAAAACACAGACTTATTGGCTTAGAAAGTCAGGGAAATGGAGTTCAGGGCTTCCTGAATGGCTAGACTGTAAGGCGAGAAACCTATTGAAAAGAAAACACAGAAAGAGAAGCCCCCTCAAATCTGCGCATAGATCCCTAAGTCTTTGGCTGACTTGGACTTTGCATGTACAGGAAAGATGTCAAAGTGGCCACTAAAAAGCAACTGCCCCAAAAAACAGATTTTTAGCTGCTATTCATCTTAGGGAGACAGAGTTAAAAATTTTAGGCCAGTCAACTTAAACATTTACTAAAAATTAACACGTCAAGGGAAGACAAATTTCAGAGCCTTCATAACATATCATTCAAAATAGTGTAGCTATAATAAAAACAAATACTAGACCTATGAAAAAATAGGAAGACATGACCCTGAGCTAAGGAGGATGAATACAAAGAAAAGCACAGCTAAGCGCGTTATAGTCAAACTGCTATAAACCAAAGATGAAGAGAAAATGTTAAAAGCAGTGAAGGAAAAATGACACATTACATGAAGGGAACAAAAATACAAATGATAACTGATTTCCCTTCAAAAAAAAAATGCCAGAATGCAATGTGACATTTTAAAAACGCGGAAAGAAAATAACAGTCCGTCTAAATTCTATACATTCCAAAGATCTTCAAAAATCTAGATGAAATGAAGACATTTTTACATAAATAAAAACTGAGGGAATTTTCTGCAGTTAGATCAGCTCTACAAGAAATACTAATGCTCTTCTGGGTAAAGGAAAGTTACAGCAGATGGAAGCTAATAGTTGTAGGAAGGAATGAAAAACTCTGGAAATTATAAATATGATCAAATATAAAGTTTTTTATTCTCTTAACTTTTCAAAAAGGAACCTAAATGTTTAAACGAAGTAATGCCACCTTATTAAGAGGATGATAATGTTGCTGGAGTAATATACACAAATAATACAATAATAACACAAATGACGGGATAAATGAAACTCTGTTGTTAGAGCATCTTTATGTTATATGAAGAGCAGATTGTGATTAAGGGAAAATATTGTAACTCCTAAAGCAGCCTTTGCTAATCATAGTCCATGAGATAATAAAATACTACAGAAAATATGTAGGGACTATTTTTTCAATTGCCCCCAAAATGTTCCATAGCTATTGTCACTCTAATGCATATATCATAAGTTAACTCCTTACATTCGATGGATATCTTTGGCCTTAATTCTTTATGGTTTGCATGAAAGACACAGACTATCAATATAAAGGATTCAAGAAGAGATATTACTACATATAATGAGAATATATTTTAATACCAATAAATCTGAAAACCTATAGACACATTCATAAAAGCCAGAACTTACTTATCCAACTGATACAAAATGAAATTGAAACTCTGAACAATGCCCCCACCCCTACCATACACAATAAATTGAACTTATTACCAAAGAACCTTCAAACACACACATGGACAGGCACATGCACACTGTGAACCCATGTAGTCTCACTGGTTAAATTCTATTAAACATTTAAGTTAGAAATATTAACCAATCGTACAAATTCTCTCTCAGCAATAAAAGGAGGGAAAGTTCCCCAACTTGATTCATGATGCCAGCAATACCCTGGTATCAAAGACATTACAAGAAAATTATAGACTACTGTGTTTTCTAAACATAGCTATATAAATCCCTGATGGAATAGTAGCAATTTGAATCCAGAAATATATGAAAGGGATAATGCTTAATGAAAAGTAAGTTCTAACTCTGGAATGCAAGGTTGATTCAACATTAAGCAAATCTGTTAATATAATTAACCATTTTAATAGACTAATAATTTCTTTTTCTCCAATCACCATACCTGTCCTCAGAAACATGAGGGATCATTCCAGAACAATAACCTGTTTATGGTTCAGGTGGGGAAACCTATTATGAAAATGATTGTATCTAACTAACATTGCACTGTTAACTTCTAGGCAGTGCTGTCTCTGTCAATGCCAAGACCTAGGTACCCAAGAGAGTTGCTGGATTTAAGCTGAAGGAAACCTAAACCATAACCACGGCTTATGACATGAAGGAATGACTATTTTAACCACAAGGTTTTTTTTTTTTTAATCTTCCACTGTGATTTTATGTTAGTTCTTTTGAAAACATTAGTATATTGTTCTATATTAAGAATCATAGGGAATCCAAGGTGATTAAGAATCATGGGGAATCCAAGGTCAAGGTTCTATTGACGATTTCACAAGTCTCAGAGACATTAATCTTTTCCAATTATTAGAGCACCACTTTGCAGAAGACTCCTATTTTCATTCCCAAGTTTTCATTTTGATATATGGTGTGTCATTGGAAAAATCAAAAAGTTGATGCTATAAAAGTACAGTTGGGTCTGCCGGCTGTTATGTACTCACCAAAGCTATTTTTGTTTTTAGAAATACTCTCATGTATTGTTACAGCATGTAATCTACTTTCTAGTTTGAGGATTAGTAAATTCAAGGTGAAGCAGCTAATCGGTGGTAGGGTCTGAAGAGGTGTCACATGTCCTAACTTCAAGGACATTGCTCTTCTGTCCACATCCCTCATCTACTAGAGTCTTATTTCCAACTGCATTTGGACCCAGAACAAAACATAAACATGATGTTCTACACATTCCTCCCAAAAAACAATATTGGGGCATAAAATATACTTTTAAAGCCTTCTTGTAATGATAAAATTTTTATTAAAGGTTTTTATTTGTACTAGAAGAGAGGAAAAATTATTACACAAATTTCTTATTCATGAATAACATAAAAACTACGTATGAATCCAAAGGTGAAGATTAATTAAACTAAAAGTATAACTTCAGGGCATTGTAAAAAGGTTATAATATTATCACAAGTTACAAAAGCTGACACTGTCCTTTTCATTTTTATTTCTTCCTGCTATATATTTCTTGAAGTTAAACTGTATTTTAAAACTTGGATATGTCCAATAAAAAGCAGGCACTCTTAAAATAAGTTTTATCACATTTTTCCCTTTCAAGAAAATGCTGAAAAAGTTAATTTTTTAAATACATAAGTATAATAATGCTTTCTTTTTTGAAGAGTTTTTAATGCCTTCCCTTTTGTGCCATCTAAAATAAAGTTTCTTAGCACTGCTTTAGGGCTATCATACACTATCCCCTTTTCCCCATCTATTAATATATCTGTCTTTTTTCTCCCACTATTCCTCAGCACATACCTGTACTTTATCTTGTTAAATTACCTGTTTCCTGAATGCCATGCCTCCAAGGTTTTACTTATGCTGTCACCTCTGCTGCAAATGTCTTTCCATCTTGCCTACATAGTGTTACTTCTAATGTTACTTCTAATGTTACTACTAATTCCTCAATATATTTGCTTAAATGTTACTTCCTGTGTCTAAATATCTCAGGCAGGATCCATCACTCCTCTATGATTCTGCCATTTATAAATGTCACCCTCAGGACTTATGTCTTAGTTATATAAATTATATATTTATGTAATTATTCTATTTGATGACATGTTGCAAAGTAAATTGGCCACTAGCCTGTTTTTGTAAATACAGTTTTATTGGAGCACAGCCATGTTCATTAATTCATATACTAGCTCTGGCTGGTATCATGTTAAAATGGCAACGTTGAGTAGTTGCCACAGAGATTGTATTGGCTCACAAAGCCTATAATATTTACTATCTGGGCCTTGAGAGACAAAGTTTGCCAACCCCTGTGCTAAATTGTGACATCCAGGGGTACAGAGACAGAGATTTATTCATTCCTGAGTCCCTGACACTTTGCTCCAGCTCTTACTTGTTTAACCAGCTATGAATAAGTACATGGCAGTGCTGAAGAGCAGAACCTCTGAGACCCAGGCATCTGAGTTCTAATCTTTCCACATTCTAGATGTGAGACCTACAATAAATTACACCATTCATCTTTACTTCAGTTTCCTTTTCTGTAAAATGAAGATAATGATAATACCTATTTCACACGGCTAAGGTAAAGATTACATCTTGTATGGGCAGCCCTTAGCTTAGTGACTGATGTGTATCAAATATTCAATACATACTATTGTTATTATTCATAGTTAAAACATGCTGTAGTGCTTTAATAATTAATTTAAGAGCTCCAGGCATCATTTTCCTCTCATAAGGTACAAGAGGAATTTTCCTCTCATAAGGTGGAACACTTAGCTTCCTAAGTTCTCTTATACTTCTATAACTTCATGCTGATATGATCCGTCGATGGTTCTCAGTGCTTCAGAAGAGTTTCATAAGGAATTATGGAACAATGAAGGTCAAAAGTGACATCAGCTCAGTCAACAAGAGAAGCTGACTCAGCCACAGCCTCCAAATTACTCTCAGGCCAAACAGCAAATCACCACTTAGAGGCTTTTGCTGGGCAATGCGGCTCATGCCTGTAATTCCACCATTTCTAGGAGGCTGAGGCGGGAAAATAGCTTGAGGCCAGAAGTTTGAGACCAGCCTGGCAACATAGTGAGACCATGCCTCTCCAAAAAATTTAAAAAATTAGCCAGGCAAGAAAATAGGCTCCCATACTTCATGAAATTAAAGACTTTATGGTTCTAGCTCAGCTAAAGCTGGACCAGAGAACTAACCATCACCCCAAAAGGTTTCTAACCAAACAAAAATATTCTTGCCTATCCCCCAAATCTCTGATAAATGTTTAGATGAGTCATTCTGATACGATTATAACTCCAGAGTCAGGTTTGTTTTTGCTCTACATGGTAATTCTGTGTTTCAAAATGTTTTCTAAACTACTTTATACTTTATACAGAGGTTTTATTTAAAAATATAAGCATAAAACTAAAACATCAAAAAGTGACATCATAATTATATTTTACTGTGTTTCTGAAAGTTTCTTTTTCAGCTTCTAGTTATCAAGGAAGATATATAACCTCAGATCCAGGACCTTTCAAAGAACGGACAAAATCTGACTGAGGTGCAAGAAACAGAAAAAAAGCAAACATGCTTCAAAACCTCTGAGAAATTGTGTTGTCAATCAAATACAATGACCTGATATTTAACTCAATCCAGAAGTGAACTCCTTTCTCTTGGTAACAAAGAGGACCTTGCATGCGGAACATGACAGGGAGCTCTGAAGACATATTTCTAAAAGGTTATTTCATACGTAAAGACAATCAATGTCTATAGTGAAGACCAACAAGGATGATTAACTTATAGACCCTTAAAAAACAAAAGAGGCCTGGCGCGGTGGCTCACGCCTGTAATCCCAGCACTTTGGGAGGCTGAGGTAGGCAGATCACGAGGTCAGGAAATCGAGACCATCCTGGCTAACACGGTGAAACCCCATCTCTATTAAAAATACAAAAAATTAGCCAGGCGTGGTGGCGGGCGCCTGTGGTCCCAGCTACTCAGGAGGCTGAGGCAGGAGAATGGCGTGAACCCGGGAGGTGGAGGTTGCAGTGAGCCGAGATAGCGCCACTGCACTCCAGCCTGGGCGACAGAGCAAGACCCTATCTTAAAAAAAAAAAAAAAAAAAAAAAAAGAGTTCAATAAATAGGAATAGGGGAATATATTTTGGAGTACATTTATTGCTGAGAGTGAGAATATCAGAATAAAATACTTTTTCTAATCACTTGTAATATTGGTAATTTTTTAATGAAAAATTACAAAGTAACATAGATGACCACGAAATATATTGGCTTTTGTTACTTGATTGTGATCATATTCATGTCATGTTAACATTCATCATACCGCAAAGTTTACATTTTAAACCAGAGATTACATTTCATACTTACAATATATTTTCATTCGAGATTTGTTTTATGATAGTTAAATAGCAAAAGTGGTATCCATAGATACACCTAAAGTTTACCAATTTTTTTATGTTTATGTATGTGTGTGTGTGTGTGTATGTGTGTGGCACTTACCAGTGTCTATCAGAAAAAGAACACAGACATTTCCAAGACTAGGAATTTTCTCAGTACTTTAAACAGAAATGCACAGGTTGGATAACTTGTGAAACATGTAGAACTTTATAAATTAAAAACAGACAAACACCTCTGCGTCATTTTACTCCACATTGTTGGCAGATAATAATTACATGTTTTGTCTGTTCTTTTTTTTAAGGACTGTGAATTTGAAATAACACTCTTCTCACCTCAGTGTGAGAAATTGAGTCTCTATAATCAGCTCGAGTTATTCCTACTTTACTCCTACCTCATTATTTAAAGCATAATCTTTTCAGTAATTATTATATATTATCTTCCCTGTAATTATTTTTCTTTTTCTGCATCACTTATTTTTAGATGTCACAATTGCACTTAGTTGAATAATAGATAAAAATACATTGAGTTGTTGCAGTCTTGCCTCATTACTCTGCCCTTCCATTGCTCTGAGTCTTTTTTCTTTTTCTTTTTTAACTTCTTGGAACTCCTTCCAATTCATCTCCTCTTTTGTGTCACTTCAATGAGCTAAACTAAAGGCCTGAAGCAGCCTCTGCAAATAAAGGCAAGAATTTCACTGCCCTGGAAAGGAAGCCTAATTCATAGCAGTGTTTTAGGGTGGCAGATACTTGTTAGAACCTTTCTTCACTTATATCTCTTGCCTTCAAAGTCTCCAAGGCGAGACTCTTAAATTTCTTGGCCATGCTACCATGCATAATATGCTTTATCTTCAGTAGGGTTATTGTAAGTGTCCAACCATAGTTAAAACCAGAAGATTCTCTAAATTTCTGAGCTCTATATGGTATACAGTACTGCTAAATTTGATTCATCATAATCTTCTGTGTCTTAATCATTATTCTGTGTCCACTGCCCAAAGACAGTACCTGGCACAAGGAAGATGCCCCACCATAGTATTCAGACGCTGAATAGTAAAGGAATGAAGGCGATCTTCATAGCAGCGATGTGATGTAGACATTAGTGTTATGTCAGTCAGAGTCCAATTAGGAAACAGAAGTAACACCAGAAATTTTGATCTAGAGATTTTTTAACTTGCTGTAACAAACTATTTGCTAAGTAACTAAAAATGCCACCAGAGAAAACTGAGCTATCACAGTAATTTCAGAAAGCAGTTATCACCATTTGGACTGAGTTTAAAATTATTAAAATTGGAGGCATGAAGGACAGACTCTTGGGGCTGACACTCAGGCCTCCAAGGAAGAGTCACTGCTCAGCTGATGCTCATGTCTCTGGTAGCATAGCATGAATTCCACAGGACTCCTGAGGTTTGAGGCCAGGTATGACTTTTTGATGCGAGTGTCTCTGATGGAGAGGGCTAAGATGAAGCTGACCCTGCAAACACTGGAAAAGCTCCACACTGGATTTAGTTGCTGATGTAGGAATGAACTGCCTCTACCAGGGTGAAGCAGCAAGGCTAGGGTGATTGATGTTCACATGAATAGGAAGGAGACAGGCTTGCCAGGGGAAATAACACAAAGCAATAAGAAAGAAGTGGGTCCCTCCCTTCTCCTCCAGCCTTGCAGTCTCTCCCTAGCATCTGCTTTTGGCAAAACTTAATAAGGAAAAGCTGGCTTAGGGGGAAGTGTGGATTATAGTCCCAGCCCAGCTGGCTTAACTGGTGATGTTCTGATTTTACAGATAAGGTACTAAGACAGAGATAAGTTAAATAACTTACCCATAGTTTTCTAAGTTCACAGTTATGAAATAAAGAGGATAATAGCCCACATTTCAGTCATTTCCCAGTGAGCCATATAACATGATATGGGGTTGTATTAGTCCATTCTTGCACTGCTGTAAAGAAATACCTGAGATTGGGTAATTTACAAACAAAAAAAGAGGTTTAATTGGCTCACAGTTCCACAGGCTATACAGGAAGCACAACGGCTTCTGCTTCTGGGGAGGCCTCAGGAAGCTCCTAATCAGGGTGGAAGGCAAAGGGTAGCCAGCACTTCCCATGCCTGGGAGGTGCTACACACTTTCAAACAACCAGATCTCATGAGAACACTATCACAAGAACAGCACTAGGCAGATGGTGCTAAACAACTCATGAGAAACCACCCCCATGATCCAATCACACTCCACCAGGCCCAGCTCCAACATTGGGGATTACAATTGAATATGAGATTTGGGTGGGGACACAGATCCAAATCACATCAGTAGTTATGATAAATATATATTATAAATATACTCGTTATATGATAAATATACACATTATAAATATTCAAATAAAACAGAAGAGATTTCAGGCACTTGTGTAAAGCTGAAAAGGAAATATTTTTACTCATATTAAAATGTGTCAAAGTTTTACCTCTTGCCACATCAAGTCACTAAAGTAAATGTCTAGGAAAGAATGACAAATCAAACAATTCTGTTCATCAAATAACTATTTTTTGTTTTAATTTATACTATTTTCAGAGAATATGCTTTCTCATATGGGTCTGCACTTTATTTTAGGGCCATGTTTTTAAGTAGTCATAATTAGTTCATTTAGGAAAAACAAACTTAAGAATAGAACAGTAATTTAGCAGCATCTGTTATCACTGACAGTTAGAAATCTGTCAACAGGTGTTTCTAATTGTAAAATTTTCCCTAATGTTAAAACTGAGTACAAGATAATTGCATAGAAGCAATTTTCTGCTACTAAATAAATTTTGTTTATATTGATTCGGCTGTTTTTAGCACAGGCTCACATTAGTCTATGCTATTGACTAACATTTACTGTTGAAAAATATTTGCTAGTTTGGAAACAAAAGGGCGTTCAAAGAGGGTTGTGCTTACTGGTGGCTTGGACAAGAAGCCCAGAAGACATCACTGTTGGATACGTGTGAGCCCAGGCTGTGTGCTTTACCATTTTAATATGAATCATAATAATTCTCATTGATACAATGACTGTTTAACAACAGCCCTCCGGGAAATCTAGTTGTCTAAAAATCTCCACTAGTCAAAAGAATGTTTCTGGTAGAATTGGGTGATGATCTAGAGTTCCAGGTCTAAGATTATACCCATTATTCAAACACTTTTAAACAAAGCATAAAAATGATAAATGGGCCTAAGAAGCCGTACACAAGTTACGCCCATTTCAAGAGATTCTCTTGTGTTAGGAAGACAGACTACTTGACATTTACAAAATATTAGCAAACATTACTTTTTAAAAATGTGTTTAATCATTCATATAATGAGAGCTTATTAATTAAATTCTCTATTTTTAGCATTGCTAAACGCCAGGGAGTGCAAAAGATGACCAGGATGGTGACCGCCCTCACAGAGATATCAATTAATTATGGAGACATTTTTTACTCAGAAAACAAGTTGAGAACAATTCAGGGCACTAATTAATTACAGCTGACTTTTCATAGTAACCAGGGAAATGATCTATAGTGGGGTTAGGCTGGAAGTGAAAGGTTATTTCTAATTATTTTTGGTTGGAAAGCTCTAACGTGCATGGGGATTCTTCCAATCTTTTCCTAAATATCTCTTCCTTCAGAATGACTTTCCTGACTCTCCCTGGAAACATTTCATTCCCTTCTACCTGCCCAACTCCTTGAGATTATGTCATGTGTCCTTGTTTTGATTCTCTATCAAACTCTCATTATACCCTAATGCAGACTTTACAATACTGAAATTTCTGTTTTTGTTTGCTGTTTTTGAGGGCAGGAACAGAGACTGCCTTGCTCTCATGGTCTCCCTGTGCCCCATGCAGTGTCTGCTCACAGGCAAGCCAGCTGACTCATGATGACTGGTCCTGCTTCACCTGTCCATTCTGTGCCCACTGTATCTGCTATTCTGGTTACACGAGGAGTTTTCATGCAGCATCCAGACTTTTGGAAAGAGAACTTGGTCCCTAGGCAATTTTGTGGGAACCTGTCTCTTCAAAGTCGACACTTCTCAGGAATGGAAACTGGACTGCCCACACATCATCACCAGAATCTTCTTCCAATCTTTTGCAGAGATAGTGGTCATTTATGGGAAAAAATTAAAATCATGCACAGGTGGAGGAGAGCAAGGTCAGGCAAAGTCCAGTTGTTGGCCAAGACTCATGTCCTATGTCAAAAGCATGAACATTTGGTTTGGCAGCAGCAAACACCATCTTACTCACCTGGGAGGTAAAGTTCACAACCACTGACCTAGGGCCAAGCTCAGTGTAGAAAGTGGATCCCTGGCCAGATATAGGAATATATTGTAAGCCTTTCCTATGTGTATCTGAGGGGCTCCAGGATCACCTGGGCTTTCCTGAAGGCCTGGAACCTTTATTCCTGGGCTTAATACCATCTGGCGCTGCCCCTAGGTGGCCACAGTGGTTCCCACGTTGCCTGCACTGTGCCTGATGTGGGCTCTGCCTTCATTGACCTGTTCTGGCCAGAAGAGACATTCTAGAAGATTCTTGAGTCATCAGGAGACCCTGAATCTTGCCTCTTCCCTCTGAGAATGGATCATAGTAGCTTTCTTCCTGTCCCTTCACAATTTTTAAGATCGAAACAGTATATACGATTTTAACACATCATAATTATGATAGTAATTGATTCAAATTAGTGACAGAAAAGAAATACCATTATTAAAGCACAGGCAACATGAAACAAACACGTGGAATACGTCATACTAAAAACTTTTGCACAGCAAAAGAAACAACAGAGTAAAAAAAGGCAACATACAGAATGGAAGAAAATATTTGCAAGCCATGTATCTAATAAGGGGTTAATCTCAATTACATAAGGAACTGCTACAACTCAATATCAAAAGACCTAATCAGCTTATTTAAAAAAATGAGCTAAGGACTTGAATAGACATTTCTCCAAAGGCGGCATACAAATAGCCAACGGGTATACTAAATCATCAGGGAAATGCAAATCAAAACCACAGTGAGATGTCATCGTACACCTGTCAGGATGGCTATTCAGACACACACACACACAAGAAGCATCGCTGAGGATGTAGAGAAACTGAAACTCTATGCGGTTGGTTAAAATGCAAAATGGTGCAGCTTCTATGGAAAACAGTATGGAGGTTTATAAAAAATTAAAAATAGAACTATCTTGTGTTCCAGTAATCCCACTTCTGGGTATTTAACCAAAATTATTGAAATCAGGACCTAGAAGAGATATTAGCACTCCTGTGTTAAGAGCACTTCTATTGATAATGGCCAAAATGTTGAAACAATCTAAATGTCCACTGACAGATGAAGAAAGTATGATATAAATGTGCAATGAAATACTGTTCAGCCTTAACAAAAAAAGAAGGAAATTCTACACTATGTAACAATGTGGATGAAACTTGGGGACATTATGCTACATGAAGCCAGTCACAGAAAGACACATACTGCATGATTCCACTTATATGAAGTATCTGAAATAATCAAATTCATAGAATCAGAAAGTGGCATGGTGGTTTTCCAGGACTGGGAAAGGTGTACTTGGAGAGTTACTAATCAACACCATAAACTTTCAGTTAAATACAATAGGTAAGCTCTAGAGCTCTTCTGTACAACACTGTATCTATAGTCAACAATAATGTATTATACATTTAACATTTTGTTCAGAGGTTTGATCTCATGATAGATCTTCCTATCATGATTAAATAACTTAAAAAATATCCAGTGGGCACCAATTCTTACAGGACACAGAAAACTGAAACCCTATGATGTCTGAAGTGACTATACTATTCACATGGAACCACAGGGAACGAGGGACTCTCCAGTGTAATCTCTCAAACATGGGTGTTATCCCACGTTTTTCCATTTACCATTTCTTTGTGAGTAAAAACATTATGTAATGGATTATATACATAAATTATATAAACATTTTTACATTATTTAATACAATATTAAATTATATAAATTAAACATCTGAGAGTGGTCTTACCAAGCAGGCTTATAAAAGCTTCACTACTTGGCACCAGCTGAACAAGAATAATTAGAGATTTTTATTATTTAACTAGCAAAAATCTAGGAAAATGCATTTATTGCATACATTACCCATTTACTGAAATGATATGCCATAAATATCCTGAACTGCTAGGTAAGATATTTTCACAAGCAATACCTTTTTTTAATCACTAACTAATTCATAACTAGTGATTTGGAGTAAGAAATAATATGACAGAAGTAAGATACATTTCATTATTATTTAGTCTTGACCATCTGCATCACCAAAACATACATTTTTAATATTTTCTACAATAAAAAGACAAAACCAAAGTGAATATAATCTGTAGATTATTGGTCTACATTAACTCAACAGTTTTAAAAATTTTTGAAAGCTTTAAACAAACCACAATATCTTGCTCTTTCACTGAGGCCTTATATCCTTAATCTTGGTTCAGATGGGATTTTTATACAAGTGCTATGAAGCACTGAAAATAGGATTTTTAATGGAGAGACTCTTAGGTTCTTAGTTGCAGAATATGGTGTGCAGTGCTATAACTTGGCACTTATATGGCTTTTGTACATTTTGAAATAGTTCGTTTAAAACTGTTCTAACGTGTTTATAGCTCTTTTTCTATCAAACCTGATTTAAACAGTGCCTTATCAAGTTTTTACTGCAAGTACGGGTGAGGGGGAAATAGTTTGTATAATTCTTTAGCTGAAGTGCATCAAGAAGATACCCACAGTGCAACTGTAGAATTGTATTGGATTTATAATAAACTTTAGAAGGCTTGAGTCACTGTAGACTAATGGCAAAGTATCTTTCCTGGAATTACCAGAGTACTAAATAAAGGGAAAAGTAGAGGAGGGAAAAGCAAGAAAAAAAACAACCCCCCCCCCACAAAAAAAAAAAACCCACAGAATACATGTCACAGTCTTAGGATCATAGGTCTTGCTTCAAAATCCATTCTACTGAAATTTGTTATTGCAAATGGTAATTTTTTTCTAATGTTTTTGAATATGGTGGTCTTGGACCAAATCAGGAAACTGTTTAAATCTCAAAAGGTTAGAGTTTGAAAAATTTCTGCTTGTTTTACTATTAAAGACCCTACATCCTTTATTATCACAAACCACAAACAAGTCAACAATTTTGAAGCTTAGTAGTTGTTAGAGAGATTATGTTGGCAATTCATAAAGGATTATGTAAGTGTGTTTACTGACTACCTGGAAGTCTGTCTTCACGCATTCAGCCAACCCCATGGGCACTATGGAAATAAATAGGGAAAATTATATAATAGCCTAGTCAAGATGGTCAAAACTGGAAGCATAGCTGAGATGTCTGATTTCATTTATCTTTTACAATTGCCTAAATGATCATAAAATATGGCACATATCTATATACAACATATATACAACATATACATTATATATGCCATATTTTATGATCATCTAGACAATTGTAAATGATAAAATCAGAGATCTCAGCTGTGCTTCCAGTTTTGATCATCTTGAATATGCTATAATTTTTTTAATTAAAAAATACATTTTTTATTTTTAGAGACACAGTCTCCCTCTGTCGCCCAGGCTGGAGGGCAGTGGTATGATCTCGGCTCACTGCAACCTCTGCCTCCCAGTTTAAGCTATTCTCCCACCTCAGCCTCCTGAGTAGCTGCAATTACAGGTGTGCACCACCACACCCGGCTGATTTCTGTGTTTTTAGTAGAGACGGGGTTTCACCATGTTGGCCAGGCTGGTCTTGAACTCCTGACCTCAAGTGATCTGCCTGCCTCAGCCCTCCAGAGTGTTGGGATTACAGGTGTGAGCCACTGAGCCCAGCCAAATATGGCTTATGTTTATTGGACTATGACCCAGTGGGTCAGATTGATCTCAGATATTGGGTTTGGTATCTAAAATGAATAAATAATTTCGTGATTATATTTTCCTAACAAACATTGGGATTCCAGTTCTGTAAAATATAGTGGAAAGAAAGGACATACTATTTGAACTTGGGGCCGTCATGGAATTTGGGGGATTTCTTTCCATACTATTTTGTATTCAGTTTCCAATTATCTAAGACACCTTCCAAATGTACATTATAACAAATATTAGAGAAAGGATATTAGAAAATAAAATATGAAGGTAAGTAAAAGCTAGGGCTACCTCTGATAGACACAATTCATGCATATGTTTAAGTTGGTGCTATTTAGCATCTTTTAACACTGCCATTTCCAGCCACCAGGTCTTTATCCCTATCTTTTCCTCCCTCTGGAATGCTGCCCATTCCTTCTTCAACTGCTGGCTTCTTCTCATCTTTCAGGTCTCCACTTAAATGTGACAGCTCCCGTGAGGTCTTACCTATCTTAAATGCTTCTAAGCTAACTAAGGGTGGCTTAATTAAAGGACAAGGAAGTCCCAGGTTTATCAGCCCAGAAGTGCAATCCAGGACCTGGCCCTGTTCATCTTTCTGCTCTGCTATCCTCAGCATGTGGCTGGACACAGAATATTGTTACTTTATGATTGATTGGAAGTTGTTTGCTGCAATTTCAAGCATCTCCGGCGTTTATGGTGACAATCACACCGAGAAGAAGGGGCGTTTATCTCTGTATATCTTTTTTTATTAGGAAGACAAAACACTTCCACGAAGAGGCCCTGCAGGTTTCCCTAAGGTTTCCCTGTACCTCTCATTGGATAGGGTTTTGTCTCATGCCCAGGCATGGCTGATTCAATGTACAGGGGATGGCATAACCGTGACTGGCTTAAAGCCATCAACATTTTCCTCCTGGGACTGGGATGAGCCATTTTCATGGATTACATGGAGACATACACATGTGAACTAAAGCAGACAAGGGAATATGAGGGAGGCTACCCAATCCGCTCCCACACGTCTGCTGTCCCACGGAGCTAGAGTAGCCTCCTCCTGTTACTCTTCCTGGCATCTCCCAACTCATTCCTTTCCTAGCACCAGAAATCCTCTGTACTTATTTGTTCATTATTTTTTGAAATTTTCTTGCCAAAATGGAAACTCTATAGAAGTAGGGATCTTCTTCACTGCGTATCATTAGTACAAACCACCATGGAGATGATTAGCCAACATTTTTATTGATCAAAGAATTATAAACATATAATTATAAAATTCACAGTATCAAACATTAGCCTCTTTAATTAGGAGAAATAAAGCCTTCCCTTATACCAAGATATAAACATTTTTAGCTCATAAAAGAAGTATTTTGTAGTAATATCTAACTGAGAGTATGTTATTCCCAAAGTCTTGGATCACACTGTTTACAGCTGACTTGCTATTCACAGCCTCAACAACTGTATCAGTCAGCCTCCTGGTAGGAAATAGATGGCACTTTCTGAGTGAATTGAACAGAGTTTAATGGAGAGACCAGGTGTACAGATAAGCTAAAAAGCAAGCAGTGGTAATGGTGGATCTCTCAGAGTCTGGGTCACAGTGGAGAGCTTTTTACCATTCCAAGGCCTGAGGGCAAGAAGGAGCTAGTCTGGAATGCTGTACAAGCTTCAGCAATGGCAAGAGCATTATGTAACAGGAGCTATGGCTGAAGGTGGACAGCCACAGCCAAACTACAGCCTAGTTGCCAGGGAGCCAGTAGAATAAATATCCCAACCACCCTGTCTTCTCACCTTCGGATTGTCAGGACCAAACTGAAGCCAAAGGGAGAGGGAGCCCAATGGCTATTTTCTCCTCCAAGACACACTCAGAAAGAATAGTGTGCATCTGGGAAGGCAAACAGAATTCCCAGCTCAGTTCCCCCATATTTCAGTTCTAAATCTATTATTGCCTTTTGCTTGTTGTACTTAATTTTAAACAAAACAAAACCAAAAAACTTACATCCCCAATGTGGGGGAAACACAAAATCCTCACTAACTACTGTATTATTTCAAGGGATGTGAATTCAGTCATATGTCAACAGAAATATAACCTGCCCTCTCCAGACACTCAAAGCTTGCATTTTCGGGAGCAAGAAATATAAATTGCATCAGAAGGCTACCTGGTATAAGAGCGAAATTTTTCATATCCATTTTAACTATTAGTTTCCTGACCAAGGATACCATATAAGAGCTGCTGGTTTAACACCACTTTGCATCCTGTACGAAAGCCAATCAGCCTTGCTGGTTACGGCCCACTAATTGCATTGTGGCTGAGTCTTCAGTAGCCATTATATCATTCTATTACATACACTGGTCTTACTTTGTGCCTTATCTTACTTTGTGCTAATAAGGCACAAAGTAAGACCAGTGGGGTGAGCCTGTTGCTGTACTACCTTCACCATAAAGTAAGTCCCTTGGGCAGAGGCGATATTGCTCAGTATACCACGATGATAAAGACATGTTATGGTTTTAGCAGAATCTTTGTGAATAGGGAAGAAAAATCCATACGCAGACTCAATATCTTTTTTTTTTGAGAAGACAGTTGTATGTTTTCATGAGGAAGTTAGCCCCCATGCCTCTAAGTTAGCCCCACCCTGCCTCTAACCGGTATGGTTTGGATGTGTCCCCACCCAAATCTCATCTTGAATTGTAGCTCCCATAATCTTTAAGTGTCATGGGAGGGAACTGGTTGGAGGCAATTGAAACATGGGGGTGGGTTTTTCCTGTGCTGTTCTCGTGATAGTGAATAAGTCTCATGAGAGCTGATGGTTTTATAAAGGGCAGTTCCCCTGTGCAAGCTCTCTTGCCTGCTGCCATGTAAGATGTGCCTTTGCTACTCCTTCACCTTCTGCCATGATTGTGAGGCCTCCCCAGCCATGTGAAACTGAGTTCATTAAACTCCTTTCTCTTTATAAATTGCCTCGTCTCAGGTATTTCTCCAAAGCAGTATGAAAATGGACTACTACAGTAACTGGCTGCCACATCTGGGGAGTGATGCCGTATCAGACTTTAGTGTTGACTTCTGCTGTTGGGAGATTGACATTTAGCTTTAGTAGCAGCCAGACCGGGTATGGAGAGGAGAAATTCATGCTATTGGGCTCATGCAAAGGCTTATTCTTGCTACCAAGACCATTTCATATATGGGACAATTGAACAAGCACCCGGGTAGCCACAGAAAGAGCACACCTTATGGCCAAAGAAGTAGGCCATCTGTTCCTCTGATTATTGAGGGTAGCCTCAGAAAAACTTGTAGAAAATAGTGCTAACCTCATAATGAAATATTTATAACCCTTTTGAAAGTCATATCCTGTCCCTTGCAGGGTACAGTGAGGGGTGGCTGAGCAGTTTGCATATATTAGGTCAATTCCCCAAGCTGCTGGCCTCATTCATTCACAATTTACCTTGGAAATTTCATATTTTAACCTTTATTGTGGATGTCCATTGATAAAAAAATTAAATATCAATCATGGTGGCTGCTAACAGCTTTTCCAGGTGCTTGAGTCAACTTATTAAGTACCAAATCCCAAGAAAGCACATGCAGATAAATAAATGTAGCTCAAATTTAATATTCTATTCCTTCATTTGCTTCTGATGGTGAAAGAGGGATTTGAACTTTCTGAGCACTCAACCTCAAAAGTATGCTTTACCTAATTCAGTATCCCGAGTGTCAGGATTCTACTTCTTTTAACTAAGGCTTTACCTTCGCATAAGAGACCTACAAGTTGCACATTTGGCTCTACGGGACAGACATGGTTGAATATCAGACTGTAAGACTGACAAGGCTGCAATGATGAAAGCTATGAATTAATGAGTCAATGCTTTGCAAGCATCTCCCTCCATGTGCACATTTCCCAGGGCAGTCAGGGATAGTTTCCCCACCTCATTATCTTGGTGAATATCACTGTTGCTTTGGTAACTAAGTACCAATCTTGCCCTCTACCTGACCTTCACCTCACATTACCAACAATCTTGGATTGAGTAACAGTGATGGCCCTGCAGGCCACAGATTTCCAAGGTCTATTTTCCCCTTCGAGGAGGAATTCTCTGCATTGATGAAATATATGACATCTCTATCCTGTTATCTTACTTGGAAGGTGTGCTTTGGGACTACCTCTGGTACTCATTGCTCAAACAATCAGGGCTTTCTGCAGGATACAGTTATCACAATCAGACTCCATTGAAGAGAGCTTGAGGATATGCTGTTAAATCACCAAAGGGACTAGTAACTGCAGAAAGAACTGCAGAAAGCTACCTCCGTCAGGCCTGAAGATCTGTGGAGGGGAAGCTGTTACTGGAGTGAGAAGGAAGCTGGAGCAGAGGGGGAGCCGCCACACCAAGTCAGGGGCTGTGGATAAAGGAATGCAGTGACTGCCAAAGTTATAATCTGGCAGGGAAGGAACAGGAATGGAGATGATCCCTTGACTTTTCCTTCTCCCACAGTTCCTGTTCCTGCTAAATCTACTTGGTAGTCGGAGGTTAAGAAAGCCTGGGAGTTATAGCCTGGAGATGTCGGCCTTGCAAGGCACGGCACAGAGCAGAAACGAAGGAGAGAAAACATGAAATTTAATCAGAACACCGTGTTTATTTATTGTCTCTTGAGAGCAGGAGAATATAAACAGGGGTGGAGAACATTTTACATGTTTCTGAGAGTACTGTATTTATAAAATGAATTAAATGCTGTTGAGTTATGACTTTGTAATTATTTATGTTATTTTTCTAAAAGCTTTATGGGGAATTGAAATCAGCAAATTAGCAACCTCGTTTTGATTTTTCTAAGGTGTTTAGATATATATATATATTTATATGTATATTTATATATATTTATATATATGTATTTGCTATTGGGCCAATGTCAAGGTTCTGAAACATGAAGCTTGGACATCATTGTTCAAAGTATGCTATGTCAAGTGGATTTCAGTTAGTTGCCAGTAATTCTAAACAGTGAAACTCTTGTGAAAGAACCTTTGGGTTCTTACTCGATTAGCTGGTGAGCCACGAACAAGGGCGGACAATAGAGAAACGGGACTTACCGAGACAGTGTGGCAGAGCAGAAAGAGTTATTTCCTGGGACCTGTGATCTGGTTTGTGGATCCTGACTTTGTCAATTGCAATGTGAACTGAGGAAATTATTTAAATTCTGAGTCACAGCTGAGTCATCTATGAAATGATAATAAAATCATAATCCTCTTAATATTAGAGAATACAAATGAAAGTAAACACATTACAAAGTGTCTAGCTTAGCACCTGCAATATGCAGGCTCTGAATCATTGCATCTCTTTTTCTCCAGCTTTTTCTCCACTTCTATTCACATTTTCTGAGCTGTCTCAAAAACTTTTGGGAACTAGCAGGGGTGTCTGTTTCTGGAAATGAGATGAGGTATAATATAAGCAACACATATTTTCTATTTCAATGCACTGTTCTCCGGAGTAGAATGGGGGGGAAAAAAGAATGGCTGAAAGTACACAGCCTGCCTCATATAAGAAGATATTCAGGGCAAGAGGACATACCGCCTTATTATTTCCCATTCCCATGGCATGACTGGCAACCAGAGACTCAGAATTAATAATAAAGAAATAACTCTTAGGTGAGAAAGCTTCGGAATGCATTATAAAGGAGACGTGGTCAATTTTTCATGCAGACAGACGTATAATGTTCCCTTGCTAGCAGTTACATTTAAAGCTGGCATGAAGTGAACGAGAACATAAAATTTTGATATCAGATTACAAAGGACTGTAGTGGTGACTTCATTCCCTTTTTTTTCTTTTCTTTTTTTTTTTTTTTTGAGACAACATTCCTAGGTGCTAAGATGGGAGAGAGAGAAAGAGGGAGAGAGTTTGCTACCATAGGTATTGGCATTTAGTTCATGGTAGACTTGGCAAGTTTTGCTAGATTGGTCAACTTTGTTTGTCTCCCAGGACTTTCTCCAAATTTTGCAGGACCTTATGGATTATAAGCATCATACAGATATTCCTGTGATACTGCAACTTGTAGTACTGTAATAGAATTCCAGAGTGGAAATAATTTTAAATCTAAGTATACCAAATAGAAAGTTAAATAAATTCATCCAGTTTAACTTTCTAGCCCAGTATCTATCATCACACTTACCCAAATGCATTATATTGAAAAGTATTTTTAAATTTTTATTCTGGTATTCGGTCTACATTTATTGAGAATTTTCAACTCACAATAAACTGCATTGTCAGTTCTGAGTTAAAAAAAAAAAAAAAAGGTAAGGTAAGGTTATTTCTTCCAGAATGTTTCGATGTAGTAATATATTTAAATATATCCAAACTATGCATCTAACATACATCTTCTACTGTAAAACTGAAATATTAAAATGTATATTTAATCTGCTTAATTTGATGAAGGAACAATTACAATACCACATTGTATGATAAATTATCTTCTTTTTTTTCTTTTTCTTTCTTTTTTTTATTATTATACTTTAAGTTTTAGGGTACATGTGCACATTGTGCAGGTTAGTTACATATGTATACATGTGCCATGCTGGTGCGCTGCACCCACTAACTCGTCATCTAGCATTAGGTATATCTCCCAATGCTATCCCTCCCCCCTCCCCCTACCCCACAACAGTCCCCAGAGTGTGATGTTCCCCTTCCTGTGTCCATGTGATCTCATTGTTCAATTCCCACCTGTGAGTGAGAATATGCAGTGTTTGGTTTTTTGTTCTTGCGATAGTTTACTGAGAATGATGATTTCCAATTTCATCCACGTCCCTACAAAGGACATGAACTCATCATTTTTTATGGCTGCATAGTATTCCGTGGTGTATATGTGCCACATTTTCTTAATCCAGTCTATCATTCTTGGACATTTGGGTTGATTCCAAGTCTTTGCTATTGTGAATAGTGCCACAATAAACATACGTGTGCATGTGTCTTTATAGTAGCATGATTTATAGTCCTTTGGGTATATACCCAGTAATGGGATGGCTGGGTCAAATGGTATTTCTAGTTCTAGATCCCTGAGGAATCGCCACACTGACTTCCACAATGGTTGAACTAGTTTACAGTCCCACCAACAGTGTAAAAGTGTTCCTGTTTCTCCACATCCTCTCCAGCACCTGTTGTTTCCTGACTTTTGAATGATTGCCATTCTAACTGGTGTGAGATGGTATCTCATTGTGGTTTTGATTTGCATTTCTCTGATGGCCAGTGATGATGAGCATTTTTTCATGTGTTTTTTGGCTGCATAAATGTCTTCTTTTGAGAAGTGTCTGTTCATGTCCTTTGCCCACTTTTTGATGGGGTTGTTTGTTTTTCTTCTTGTAAATTGGTTTGAGTTCATTGTAGATTCTGAATATTAGCCCTTTGTCAGATGAGTAGGTTGTGAAAATTTTCTCCCATTTTGTAGGTTGCCTGTTCACTCTGATGGTAGTTTCTTTTGCTGTACAGAAGCTCTTTAGTTTAATTAGATCCCATTTGTCAATTTTGTCTTTTGTTGCCATTGCTTTTGGTGTTTTAGACATGACGTCCTTGCCCATGCCTATGTCCTGAATGGTATTGCCTAGGTTTTCTTCTAGGTTTTTTATGGTTTTAGGTCTAACGTTTAAGTCTTTAATCCATCTTGAATTGATTTTTGTACAAAGTGTAAGGAAGGGATCCAGTTTCAGCTTTCTACATATGGCTAGCCAGTTTTATACACCAACAACAGACAAACAGAGAGCCAAATCATGAGTGAACTCCCATTCACAATTGCTTCAAAGAGAATAAAATACCTAGGAATCCAACTTACAAGAGATGTGAAGGACCTCTTCAAGGAGAACTACAAACCACTGCTCAAGGAAATAAAAGAGGATACAAACAAATGGAAGAACATTCCACGCTCATGGGTAGGAAGAATCAATATCGTGAAAATGGCCATACTGCCCAAGGTAATTTACAGATTCAATGCCATCCCCATCAAGCTACCAATGCCTTTCTTCACAGAATTGGAAAAAACTACTTTAAAGTTCATATGGAACCAAAAAAGAGCCCGCATCGCCAAGTCAATCCTAAGCCAAAAGAACAAAGCTGGAGGCATCACACTACCTGACTTCAAACTATACTACAAGGCTACAGTAACCAAAACAGCATGGTACTGGTACCAAAACAGAGATATAGATCAATGGAACCGAACAGAGCCCTCAGAAATAACGCCGCATATCTACAACTATCTGATCTTTGACAAACCTGAGAAACACAAGCAATGGGGAAAGGATTCCCTATTTAATAAATGGTGCTGGAAAATTATCTTCTTTTGTAATTTCTTACGTAGGAAAAATGCACTGAGCTTTAAGAGTTGGTGTATGTAGATTACTATACACTGTTCAATAGACTAATGGCATTTCTCATGAAAGATACTTATTTGAACATTTCTTCTGACTGGTAGGAATTCAACTTAACTCTTTTGAATAATTTATTTAGAACATAGAAAATTCTGTTGTAGATCATTGCTCTTTTCAGTGCAAACCTTTAATATTGTTATTAATAAAGCATGAGTTACAAATAAAATTAAGTATGTTAACTGGGAAACGAGTACACAGCCTAGAACATTTTTTATGTTCATTTTTTTCTTGGACAGGGTGCAGCTTTTACTTAGCCTGTTCACTGGTAATACAGAGCAGGTAGTAGTGTCTGATACACTGCTGAAGTGCTAGTTCAGCAAAAGCTAAACCCAGAACTTTCACGTGTGTATATTAAAAACATGATCACATTTGGTTTGTAATTCCATATTGGAAATAATCTACCCTTAGAACTCTCAAGTAATTTTTCCAGTATCTTTTCTTTTTGGTGTTTGAGAAGCCTGATGCCATGTTGATTTTCAATCTTTTCAAAGATTGAAGTCATGTCCCTCTGGACACTTGGAAATATTCTTGTTTGATTGCCTGCCTGATGTGGTTTATGCCTTGTGCTGGGTTTTGATGAGCCTTCTCAATTTGGAAATTCATGTCAGTTTTGTGGAAATTTGTTGAATGATTTTTTGAAAATTTCTTCCATTTAATTTTTCCATTTTTTATTTGTGGAAATATTACTTGAATTTGGATCTCCTGGATAGATTTTTAAATTTCCTTGTCTTTTCTATTTTCTATTTCTTTGGTATTGTTATTGTTGTTTTACTATCTTAATGGAAAGTTCCTTTGGTTTATCTTTCAAACTTCTTTTTGCGTTATTTCTATTATCATATTATAATTTCCAAGAGGTATTTAGTGATTTACGTATTTTTTAAATATATTCTCCTGTTCTTGTTTCATCAATAAAATATCCCCTCCAATAGCTTTGAGGATATCAATGACATTGTTTTTTCTACTTTTCTTCTCGAAGCACCAATTTTTTTCTTGTTTCGGTTTTGTCTCTGTTGTTATGATAGAAGCTTTATCTGAATGTCCACTGGTATTGCCTATCTACTCACACTTACGAGAAAGTTACTTAAAAACATTTGGAAGCTCGGGAGTGGGGATAACATGAGCATTGTTCCCTAGTGGCCATTGTTCCCTAGTGGCCCTCGTTTTATGGTAAACCAACAGAGATACTTCACAAGGGACTCCCAGCTGTCTGCATCTTGACTTGGTGTAACTTCCAGTGGTGTTACTAGGGCTTTCCCCACCTTAGCTTTACATGATTCTAAAGTACAAACCAGTCTTCTGAGTTCAGTGGCTTAAAACAATAACAATGTGTTATTTCTCACAATTATTTGAGCAGGCTGTGTGTATGTGTCCTTCTGCTGGTTTTGCACATACGCCTGTAAGATTGCCTAGGGAGGGGCTTCACTAGAACAGTTGAGCTGGACTTTGTCCCTCCATCTCTGTGTGGACTTCTATAACCCCAGGGATGAAACTGGTCTTCCTCACATGGTAACAGCCTCATTCCAACATGGCCCCAGTACCCCAGTATTTATTGAGCTTCTGTTTACCTTAAATTTGCTGATGTCCCATTGGCCACACAAGGCACATGACCATGCCCAGAGGTAAATGAGAAGGTAAATGGCAGTCATGAAAGTAACCATTTAGGCTCAGTGATTGCACCAATTTAAACTCCCACCAGCAGCATAAGAGTGTTCTTGTTCCATAGCCTCCCGCATCTTTTCTATTTGCCATTTTTAGTGCTTTCACCATTTTTATTGAGTCTGGTGTGAATGCACTCTTTTCTCCTTGTGATTTTTTATTTTGATGCCAGTGAATAATATGAAATGCCTCTTTACATACTCGTATTGTTTCCTATTGCTGTTGTAACAAATCACCAAAATTTAGTGTCTTCGAAGAGCAGACATTTATTATCTGATAGTCCTGTAGGTCACAGGTCCTAAAAATCAAGGTGCCAACAAGACTGCATTCTTTCTGGAGGCTCCAGAGGAGCCTTTTCTATCTTCTAGGGGCTGTCTGCATTCATTGGCTCTTGGCTGCTTCCCTTGTGTTCAAAGTCAGCAGCATAGCATCTTCCTTCCTCTCTTTCTTCCTCTTCCTTCCTTTTCTTTCCTTTTTCTTTCTGATCTCTGCTTCTGTCATCATATCATCTTCTCTGATTCTGACTCTCCTTCTTCTATCTCTTAAGCTTCTTTGTGATTATTGGACCCAATCAGATTATTCAGGATAATCTCCCTACCTTAAGACCCTTAACTTAGCCGGGCCTGTAAAGTCTCTTTACTAGGTAAGGTCACATATGCACAGGTGATGGGAATTAGGATATAGTTGTCTTTGGGGAGGCAGGTGGAATTATTCAGCCTACCATGATACCTTTTTTGGCCTATTTTGATATCCTCTTTTATAAATAATGTTTGCCTTTGTCCATTTAAATTAATGAAAATAAGTTTGACCTATGTGTTTATAAAACATTTACATTTGTTAATCATGGCTTCCGTGGAAACCAGAAATTTAATGTCAATTTTGTCTATATAGTAACGTAACCTATGATAATTTGGTGAAAGGAAAAATCCAATGACAAAATGAATCACTTTTAAAGTCTTTATGGAATCAAACTTTAAAACAATGGCCAGCATTTTCTCTATGGCTTCCTACTTAAAATAGCCTGAAAGGGTAGCCAGTAGAATTGCAGGTTCCTCTCATTCATCAGTGCATGCAATTTCTTTTCCCCAGCAGAAATAACATAAGAACTTAAAGAGTAGGAATGGAGTGACCTGGATCTGTTGTGGTCTTTCTTCCAGGAGAAAAGGATTAATGATTGTTTGTTGACTGAATTAATGAATGGTTAAAAATACTGGTGTTTATTTTCTGCTTCACCACATTGATTTCCTGTGTGTCTTGCTTTAAATATTTATCTGCCTCTTCCTCTCTTCAAGGTAAATATTCTTCTTTAGTTTTTAATTATGTCTTATCAGTTCATACCTATGCTAATCTTTATCTCTCAATTCCTATCACATATCTTTCAATTGTGTATAAACTGTTTTTTTAGGGGCTCAAATATTCGTTCTTGAAACACTTTAAGTTCCTTGAAAATAAAATTTCTCACTTTAATGCATCTTGTAACCTGCATCTTTAACATTTTGATATGGTTTGTATCTGTGTCCCCACCAAATCTCATGTTGAATTGTCATCTTCAGTGTTGGAGGTGGGGCCTGGCTGGAGGTGACTGGGTCATGGAGGCTGATTTCTCATGAATGGTTTAGTACTGTTTAGCACCATCCCTCTTGATACTGTCCTTGTGATAGTGAATGAGTTCCTGTGAGATCAGGTCATTTAAAAGTGTATGGCACCCACGCCCCTGCTGTCTCTCTCTCCTGTCCCTGCTGTGGTCATGTCACATGTCTGCTCCCCTTTTGCCTTCCACCATAATTGTCAGTTTCTAGAGGCCTCCCCAGAAGCTGAACAGATACCAGCATCATGCTTCCTTTACAGCCTGCGGACCTGCAGAACCGTGAGCCAATTAAACCTCTTTTTCTTTCTTTCTTTTTTTTTTTTTTTTTTTTTGAGACAAAGTCTCGTTCTGTCACTCCGGCTGGATTGCAATGGCATGATCTCAGCTCACTGCAACCTCCCACTCCCGGGTTCAAGTGATTCTCCTGCCTCAGCCTCCCAAGTAACTGGGATTACAGGCGTGTACCACCACGCCCAGCTGATTTTTGTATTTTTTGTAGCGATGGGGTTTCACCATGTTGGCCAGGCTGGTCTTGATCTCCTGACCTCGTGATCCACATGCCTTGGCCTCCCAAAGTGCCAGGATTACAGGCGTGAGCCACCACACCCAGCCCTCTTTTCTTTATAAATTACCCAGTCTCAGGTATTTCTTTATAGCAATGCAAGAATGAATTAACACATATTTCTTGGCATTTTCTTAGGAAGTCAGCATTTGTCTACCTATCTGTCTGTCTGTCTGTCTATCTATCTATCTATCTATCATGTATTCATTCTTCCCTCTTTCTCTCCTTTTAGGTGTGATATGTTTTTGCTGTTAGTATTCAAGTTTCAATTTAATTTTGTAATTAACAAAAGTCACCAAATTCATTACAGAGCCATTCATTTGCAATAATTTATTTGAAATATTGTATGATAATTTTAGTGATGAACTGATTCAGAGGAAAATGGCTTGGTGTTGTACTCTCTCGACATACACTCTCCTATAGAAGGGCATCAACTAGTCTGGGCAGAATGCCCTAATTGTTGCTAGTTCATAATTTGCATTAATGT
This sequence comes from Homo sapiens, assembly GCF_000001405.40. Classification (NCBI taxonomy): domain Eukaryota; kingdom Metazoa; phylum Chordata; class Mammalia; order Primates; family Hominidae; genus Homo; species Homo sapiens. The sequence goes on along the minus strand of NC_000016.10, from coordinate 76,948,310 downwards.
ATAAAAATCCTCTAGTGATCATATTTGTATCAAGCTGCTTGGGATTTGCAGAAAACTATGAGACAGAGAAGGAAGCAATGACAGATGGGTAGAGAGTCTCAGTTATTGGAAAGAAACATCTTTTCTCATGAATGTCATTTTCTATTTAATTTCATGTTGTCATTCAAAGACCCTAATGCATCAGTTGAAAGAAACGCCTTGTAGGAAATGACATTGGGGAGAGAGCCAACACTACACACAACCCGAGGCTGCAAATGCTGGTCTGTTTGGCAGCTGCAAGGAGAGCAACTGTTTGGCAACAAATTACTTGGTAGAAAGCCCCTAGAATCAGCAAAGGATTAAAAATAGAAAGAGGGGATGGGTTTCTGTGGCTTTGGAAAGAGAATTCAGCTCCTCTGGCTGCAGGGATAAATCTGCAATGCCAGAACATTTCTTAGAGTTTATATGCTGCAGTGTTAGATGACAACCAGGCATGGCCCCAGTAAAAGACATAGTTAATTCTGTTCTAAATCACTCTGCCCGTCACGCTCCATGACCTTGCATATTACTTAATTAAACTATATCTGAATTGGCTCATAGCATTATAATGCTATTTCTCCCTCATAGGACACATTTCAAGGCTATTTAACTATAAGATGTGGGACTGATCATCTTGACTTGACTTTTCCATAAAGCAGGATCCTCAGTCTACGGTTCATTTTTTTTTTTTTAATTGGTTGGTTTCCTATATTCTTGGCATATATTTGTATTTATTTTTCAGAATATTCTCTCCTGTGACTAGAAATGCATTTCTCTATTACAAAGCCAAGAGCATTATTTTCTTTACCTTGTTCTTCTGAGAGTGCAGTTGGTAATTGCCAATGAATCACAGATCCATGCTTCTCAAAATTTAATTTGCAGATCAATCACCTGGGATCTTGTTAAAAGACAGATTATGATTCAGTAAGTATGGCGTGAGTCTCTCTCATTGTTTTCAGTTTTTTAAAAATGCAAACTAGTGTCACCAACCCCTCAATTTCCCACCCTTTGTCTCCATGTGGTGGTCTCCCAGGATCCACAGATACTAATTCAGGTGGCTGAGACTATGGTGGCGATTCCTCTTGCATTTTGGTTTCCTTGCATCTGGTGACCAACTGGATTAGATTTGGTTGAGGTGGAGAGCATGCTAGATAACTGAGCCAAATTCAAAGCATACTGTCAACAAACTGAAGGTGATTCATAGCAGCCCTGGCATATGACTCAGCAGAAGTCGTTTTACAACATCATCCTCTTCCTGTCATCAGAATCAGTGCCTGTTTCTCTTATCTCTGTCCCCCCACGCTTGCTGCAGCAGAAAACAGGACTTGTGCACTTATTTCCAAATTGAATTTCTTGTGGATTAAACTGTATTGTTAAATGAGACAAAATTTGGTAATATCATGAAATTATTTTATAGTCCACATAAGGTGATTAATAGTGCTTTCTTATAGTGTTTGTATTATAAATTCATAGACCAAAACTCTGTCTCTTTCCTGATCAGCTAAGGTTTGATAATTGCATGCAGAATTTCAAGAAATTTACTACATGGGTATAATTAACACTATTTTTTTCCATGGGAAATAACTGAATTTTATGTGTTGTTAAAAGTTTTGTAGAGGTAAACTAATTCAATATTCAATATGCTACGATATAGTATGAAAACACAAATCCTGAATAAAGTAGGTTTCTATAACTGTTTTCCCTTAAAAATTGTATCAAAATTGGTAAAAGGGACTATTTATTATTCCTGATCCAGACAACTGAGCTTGTTAGGACAGTTGTTCTTTTCCCACTATGTAGTTTGGGAGTCAAAATGTGCATGTTTCTTTGCTCCTTGTCTAAGATATTAGATATTAGGGGTATCACTCAGCAATACCAACTTTAGGTATTTTCAACTGAAAGGTATTTACTTAGGGAATTTTATGTTAACAATTGTCGGAACGACTGTGGAAGCCATCAGAGACTGAAGCTTGTTTTCAGGCTTATCGCTACAGTTCTGGTCCAGAGAGTCAGGAAGGTTTTGGTGCTGCCCAGGTAGGGAAACCATAGGAAGTCCCTGCTAATGGTCACTGAAGTGAATCAGTAACAACCTGTAGGGGACAAAACCGCTTATCTGCTACAGCTAGCCTTTACTCAACAGAACCAAAGGAAGAATTATTTTACGGCACCTGTCATCAGCATTTTCAAAATCTCTTGGGAATGAATCCCACTGGCAAAAAGCAAATTGAATCCTCAACCTTTGGAGTTAAGGGAATCTGAGAAACCTAACACTCGGGTGACACTAGGGAGAGCCAAATTATGGATTCAAATAAACACAGTTGTCAAAACAATATCCATTACACAGAGAATGAGGGGTTTACTACTTGTGGGGCTTAAGGTGGTAAGATATTTTGTGTGATGTTTCATGGAATCTATGGAAATGTAACCAAGGCTATCAGCTCTATGAGCACCCTTTTCTGAGCATCCAAGCTAACCTTCACTGAAATAACTAAACTTTATAGTTTTCCCTGTATTAGTGAGTGTATTTATAAATTATGTTTATAGTCTCTAGTAGTTAAGGGAAACTCTTGCTTCTCATGGTGACCTATATAGTGCAGAACAATTTTCGAGAGTTCCAGGTTCAGGGGCTTTTCTTCCTGATGTGACAAGGTCTGCTGGTAAATGGTATTCACTCAGCTTTACAGGCTCAGAGGAAATGCTGCAAGTAAATCTGTCCTCCAGGCCAGAAGCACTGTTCCTATAGTGCCTGGCTTATCTGGTGGCCAGGCTTCTGAGAGATTATGCCTCATGTGAATATTTACCAGTTTTCTCCTCACCAGATCACAGGTTCATGATATTTTTCTTGTGGATTTGCTAAAACAAAACTAATAATCACAACCACCAGTAACGAACATGAGAGATAATATAATTTTTTAGTCAAAAGCCTATCTAGGCCAGGTCCAGTGACTCCCACCTGTAATACCAACACTTTGGGAGACCAAGGCGGGTGGATCACTTGAGCTCAGAAGCTGTGCAACATGGCAAAACCCCATCTCTATAAAAAAAATACAAAAATTATCTGGGTGCGGTGGTGTCCACCACCTACAGTCCCAGCTACTCAGGAGGCCAAGTAGGAGGATTGCTTGAGTCTGGGAGGCAGAGGTTGCAGTGAGCCAAGATCACACCACTGCACTCCAGCACTTGTCTCAGAAAAACAAAACAAAACAAAAGGCTATCTAATACAGTGGGGATAGTAAACATGTTAGTAGAGACAGGGTATAGTTTATGTTGACTTGATATTATTATTGTCCTATAACTTGATACTTTTCCTTCCTTCCTCTCTTCTTCCCTCTCGCCATCCCTCCCCTACTTCCTTCCTTTTTTTCTCATTTCTTGCATATTCAACAATGGGTCAAACACAAGACCCCATTTCCTTACCCAGTCCAACTGCTATCAGGAAAAGGAGTTTTAGAGGTTGGTGCCTGCCTGCTGGTGGGAAGTGTAGAGGTTTATAATTCCTGAACGCAATGATCCTTTATTTTTTTTTGTTTGTATCATTTCAATCTTTTCTGTTGTCCTGGAGGCTTTAATTATCCTATATAACTTTTCTCTATTGTTTGCAGTGAACAGGCAGTCAAATATTGACTATATTTCAGGCAGCAGGGAATTCTGGGAGTACCTGCGGTCTTTTGCCACTGTGACATCCTATGAGGGCTCTTGAAGTAGAGAAGTAAGAATGTACAACTTTCATGGGTACAAGACTTCTATGTTTTTATATATTGCTGAGATTTCTTTCCCCCAGTGTATTTTTTATCTTAAGAGCTAGGGGCATTATTCTTGTTAAGAAGATAGGGCGGAGGTGACATCCTGGGCATATGAAATGGCAGATGCTAGGTTTTCTTTCTATATTATCTATATGCACATGGGTTTCAAGTGTTTCTGCAGACCTTGTGAGAAATACAGCTTGTTGGGTATTTCATTTCTGCACCTGAAGTAAGTTCTTGTTAACCATCAATACTTGAAATACTGCTTTCATTTAAAAAGGAACTAAAATCTACTGTTGTAACTCTTTTCATTGAAAGAACCATCAGAGATTCTAGCGTGCATGGTCACATGAAAGCATCTCATTGAAAGGCTTGGCTCAGTGAGGAGCAAGAATTTGTTATATTTGCCTCCTCATTTCCTCCTTACAAAATTTATGAATAGCTTATGAATGGACACCATGGGCAACAGATGCACATTACAGAGATGACTTTTAAAAACTGTAATTATCTTTTGGCTTCTGGCCAAAGACAAAATGCCGCAAAACTGCTTAAAGGTACATGCTAATTTTTCATTGCTGAACTCCAAATGGCTTTGCTTTTTGTGCACTTTTCTAAGTGTATTTGTGAAATTGAAAGAGGAGAGAGAGAAAGGAAGAGGAGGAGGAAGAGGCAGAGGGGGAGAAGGAAGAAAGGAAAGTGAAGGGAAGGAGAGAAGGAAAGTGAAGGGAAGGAAAGAAGAAAGGTAAGTGAAGGGAAGAAGAAAGGGAAGGAAGGAAGGAAAGAAAGTCTTGCATTCAGGATACCAATAATAATAATAATAATAATCATTCAGTAAACAATGAACTTGCTAGAGAGAACATGAAGTAATTCTTGTATTACTCATGCTCTCAGACCCCATCCTAAGGGTGAACTCAATAAGCTCTTCAGGGTTACTTGGAAGAAGTTCAAAACCAAAACAGGGTTGAAAATATACCTTCAACCCAGATTCCAAACAAGGAATTGGAAAAGAACTGTTACCAAAAATTCAGATATATGAATTCGAGAAATAGAATTCAATCACAGTAACACTTTGGGCTGTATAGCATCTCTTATAATGAAGTGCTTTTATTTATCCACGATCTCATCAAATTCTCAAAATGATACTGTGAAGGAGGAAGATGTAGGAGAGACTGCGATTCCCATTGTAGCAGGAAGAATTCTAAGATGACCCACAGTGATCCAACTCTGTCATAAACCATCCTTTCAATTCCGAGGGGGATCTATAGATATGATAGGATATCACTTCATGATTAGGTTATGTCATTTGGTACAGCTGACTCTAAGAAAGATTGTCCTCCATGTGCCTGACCTATTCCCGTGAAACCTTAAAAGAGATTGGGCTTTTCCTGGCGAGAGTCAAAGCAAGGGAGGGACTCAACACAAAGGAAATTCTCCCTTGTTGGCTTGAAGCTAGAGGGGGAACAGGACAAAGAATGAGGCAGCTTCTAGAAGCTGAGGGTGGGACTGGCCAGCAAGCAAGCTTTTCAGTTTAATTTGCACTACTCGTATTTTCTCCATTAAGAGTTAGAAAACATTTCTTATAAAGAGCCTGGTAGTAAATATTTCAGTCATTGCAGCTACTTATGAAGGCCGGCTGGACTTCCTTCCTTCCTTCCCTCTCTCCTTCTTACTTTTTCTTTCCCTCCCTTTCTTCTCTCTCTACTCCCCCTTGTAGCAATGCTTTAAAATGTAAAAATAAAATAATTATTTGTTCAAGTATTAAACCAAAATAAGTTGTATCTGGTTTGCCAGCTCTGGGTTGAAAAATTAACAGAACAATACATCACAGTGTTTGCTGATTTCTACCATAACTGATCTGAAGCTACCAACATAAAATTTCTTCACTGACACAAAGAGATGTGCGGTAGTATGCCATTATATTGTGTTTCTATATACTCACAATAGAAGTAAATAACCATACAAAAATAGCAGTAAGATATATAATTAGGAAGCGCTGAGTTTTGAGTACCTGTTGCCCTCCTTTTTAATATAATTGTAAATTTATTTAATTTTTAATAAAGGTTGTGTTTAACAGCTCACACAATTCCTGAAAATTGAACAACCGGCCCTCATGAGCCAGTACAAGCCAGCTCTAACACAATGCTGAGTATGCCCATAAAAGATAGAAGTCCTTGTTTCACTCCCCTTTTTTCCCTTCTGTCAGCTGGAATGTGGATCCAGCAGATCCAGCAGAATGTGATGATGGGCCACCTACCCCAGACAGACTCGGCTACGTCACTGGCTATGGCACTGGCAGAACAATGAGTTCCTAACACTAGAGCTTCCATATCAGGGGCATGGGTTTCTCAAGCTCTTGTTTCAGGAATAGAGGAAATAAATTTTTGCCTTGCTCTGCTACTCTTATTTTGGGTTTCTGTCGCAGCAATTGGTCCTATAGCAATAGAGCAGATATTAGTATTAACACAGCAGATATTAGAATTCCCTTGTTTCAGTGAGGAAACTGATGACTACAGCGGTAAAATTCCTTTCCCAACATCACATGGCTGAAAGTCTCTTACTTAGTATTGTAAGCCAAAATTCTTTTTTTTTTTTTTGATTTTTTTAAATTTTTATTGAGACAGAGTCTTGCTCTGTCACCCAGGCTGGAGTGCAGTGGCTCAATCTCGGCTCACTGCAAGCTCCACCTCCCGGGTTCACACCATTCTCCTGCCTCAGCCTCCTGAATAGCTGGGACTACAGGCGCCTGCCACCACACCTGGCTAATTTTTTGTATTTTTTAGTAGAGACGGTGTTTTACCGTGTTAGCCAGGATGGTCTTGATCTCCTGACTTTGTGATCCGCCAGCCTCGGCCTCCCCAAGTGGTGGGTTTACAGGTGTGAGCCACCGCGCCTGGCCATAAGCCACAATTCTTAATTCCAAGTCCTTTGTGATTTCCATTGTATCATGTCACATATTAGGTCAATCAATGAAATATGTATTCATTCATTTATTTCATCAGTACTGACAGATGTGTTTTACATATAAATGTAAAACATTTTGTATTGTAAATGTATATCATTTACAATAAATGATGTCATTTGGAGAAGGCAACCCCTGAGGGGCAAGAGGAAAAGAGGTCCTATCTGGTCAGTCAGGGAGGAGGACAGGTTGCAGGAGTATCCTTTCATATTTGAAACTTTACTGAACAATGAACTCATTGCTGTGCTACATGCCATGGGGATTATAGAAACACAGAGGGAAAAGTAACCTGATATCCAAATGTTTGCCTATCCCACATGCATGAGCTTTTTCTCATATTAGCATGCTTCAGGATCACTTTTGACTATTACCATCTTCCAAGACCATGTGTGCCCTTAGGACCCGACTCATTCATAACCCAAAGATTGACACATAGAAATGCCTTATAATCATTTCTGAATCAAAATTTTCTAGGTTCTAATAACACAAATACATGTTAATTAAAATAATGTTATCGGTATTTTCTCATGCAATTAGTATTTCTTATTCAAACTAGCATTTCTTTTCCCAGTGAAATGGTAACAGCTAAAAACATTGTGGCATCACATTTAGTACGGATTTTCCTTGAATTAATGCTTTTTCCTTGTCGTGTGTAGGTATATATTTATACATCAAACACAATATTGATCTTTTCTCTCAAAATAACTACTTTCAGACATAAAATATGTTTTATGTTTTCTCTCTATTTTGTCTTAGTCTGGTCAGCTTAACTAAAATCCTCAATCTCAGGGGGTAGATTAATCTAATTTTCACTGTTTCTCTATATTCACACCAGCTGAAGACAAATGGTTTAGGGGGTAACATTATTAAATATTATGATTTTTATTTTATTCATTCTGTTGGGAGGGCAGGTGGCTACTTATTCCAATAACATAAATTCTGGGATATACAGCTTTCTATTTCTCCTTTTGCAGGAATTTAATTTTTTTCAAGATGCTTTATTTTGTTGACTTTCATTTATCTCTTTTCCCATGTTAAACTTGCATAGGTCACATTTCTCCTGGCCTCACTCTGTCATGGGCTACTGACTTATTCATGGAAAGTCTCAGCTTTTATAGCAACCTCCAAACCACGGCCACAGACACATTGTCTAATAGCAACACAAGCTACTTTGTTCTCCCCCAGAGGAGGGCTGGCTTCTGGAAAGGACTCTTTTTTTTTTATCACTGGATGGGAGACACAGAAGGTCCAGCAGGAAGTTTTCACCTGATAGACTCACTGAGACTGTGACTCTTCCCACCATTTCTGGGCAGCATGGAGTGCCATGCCACAGGAGTGCCCTACGGCTTCACCAGTGGGTACCTGAAAGGCTCAAGTGACCCATGTTGGAAACGGGGAGGGACTCACTCCCAGTGGGGCAAACTTTGACCATTGAAAGACAGGAGATGAGAGAGAGCTGGAGAATACATTGTCCTCTCTGTCCTCTGATACGTTGATCTGAGGTAGGGAGTTGCTGTACAGACAGCACAGAGATGCCCTGTGTGGCTGATGACTAGCTGCCTCTCAGTTATGCACCACTTTGTCTTTGCTTCCTAGTACTCCTTGCTGCTCTTCTTGCCCCCACCTTCTTTTTTCCCTGAAATTGTGTGTTAATTTTTTTGAGAAGACGCATTTCTTTAAATTAAGAAACTTTAAGCCTTAATCTGCATATTTTAAATCATCTGGGCAGAGACAACAGAGAATCACTGGGAAACAACTTCTTAGTTTTCCTTGTGAATGTGGCAGAAAGTGAAAATAAGAAACTGTATGTGAGTACATTTCAGTTCATAGCACATTGGTATTTATGAGTTGGAATTCACATGGAAGAACAGAAATAAAAATACAGTCATGTGTCACTTAGAAATAGGGGTATGTCCTGAGAAATGTGTCATTAGGTAATTTTGTCATTGTATGAACATCATAGAGTGTACTTACACAAATGTAGAGGATAGCCTACTACAAACCTAGAGTATATGGTATAGCCCTCTACTCCTAGGCTACAAACCTGTACAGCATGTTGCTGTACTGACTACTGTAGGCAATTGTAAGGCATGGTGTACTGCAATACAAGGGTATTTGAGGGTACATCAAAATACAGTGTCATAAGCTTATGAGATCCCCATCGTATATGCAGTCCACTGTTGACTGACACATTATTATGTGGTGCATGACTGTACAAGCAAGCAGCATAGGAGATGACCTGAAAATAACACTGGTTTTAAATAACAGATTAGAGGAATCCAGTTGCCACTGTACAGGTATTTACAAAGTTGGATTATGAGTACAGAGAACATATGTTGAAAAACGGGACGAAATATTGTAAAACCTAAGTTACAGAGAAGAATCAGCCACTGAAAACAGCAATAGCAGAATCTATGTTTCTGCTTATGGTACAGTTATACTGAAATCTCCTTTATGAGTTTCAGTCAACTAGAAATCACTGGTTCTTATTGCCAGTGAACACTACCCAAATGAAAACAAGCAAAGGATAGTAATTTAGAGCGTGCTCTAAGGGAGTCAGCCACCATTATTTGCAACTGGTAGAGATTCAAAAGCAGGTGAAGGAAATTTTTGTAATGGAAAAAAGACAAGGCGTTGGCTATGTCCTGATGGGAGGCTGTTGGCGTGGGTAAGCTATAAGCCGGCTAACCACAGTGGGGCATCCTGTGTGATTGGTAAGGGTGCATTCTCTCATTGCACTCCCATTGGCATTAAGTGGGAAGCTGGGTCAAAAATTAGATAATCTGTCAGTTATTAATCAAGTCCTGGCTTTTTGGGGGCAAGTGTTATGGGGTTGTTGTTTGCCTTCCTAAACTGGTTATTGCCTAAAGTGGGTTGGTAGTTGCTGTAGATTATGGCTCAGAGTTGGGAGTTGTGCAGATTGTAGGTGCGGCACGTTGTGGCTCAAAGTTCTAATTTTATATATCTTCTGGCCATTGTCCATTTGTGTGTTCCTTCAGTCTCTCCACCACAAGCACAATGAAGTGGTCAAGAAGGAAGGGGATGGCATTTAAGTGCTATACAAATGAACGGATTTGAAATAGTGAAGTTAGACCATAATCTATTTTTAATTATGTCTCTGGAGAGATACATCCTCAATTTTTGCTAAAAGTGGTTTTCAGAAAAAAGTAAATCTTGATATTATTTTAAATAAAAAAGAAGGGATGGGTGAGTTTGGTGAAGCTAGATAAAAAGATTAGAAAGTTACTAGGGACAAATTCCATCCTACATAGTATAGTAGCTACATGATTGACAAGCAAAAAGGCAAACTCAATCTGAAAAATAAAACATTTAAGCCATGAAGTAATGTACCTTGACAGCAATTTGCACTGGATTTGTGATACTTAAAAAATTTTGACCGGGCACAGTGGCTCATGCCTATAATCCCAGCACTTTGGGAAGCCAAGGCGGGCGGATCAAGAGGTCAAGAGTTCAAGACCCACATGGTGAAACTCCATCTCTACTAAAGAAAAAGAAAAAAAATTAGCCGGGCATGGTGGCGGGCACCTATAATCCCAGCTACTCAGGAGGCTGAGGCAGGAGAATTGCTTGAACCCGGGAGGCAGAGGTTGCAGTAAGCCAAGATCCCGCCACTGCACTCCAGCCTGGGTGACAGTGCGAGACTCCATATCAAAAAAAAAAAAAAAAAGAAACATTTAAAAATTTAAATAAGGTATTTTTTTCTTAGCTATAGAAAGGTTTTTCTTCCTGATTTTATTATATAAGGCTCAAAAATTAGAGATCAGTGGAACAATACAAATCACTTCAGAGGTTTGTTTTGGTGCAAAGTCAGTGAATGACAACTCAATTGTTCAATTTAACAGGTAATTACCTAAACGTTTACAAACATGATCCTTGTACCTAGTGATTTTATAATAATTTTGACAAAGGAAGGACATTTGGATAAGAATATAAGAAAACAAATTGAAGTCTAGAGATAAATTTAGAAGGAATCCCTATATGTCAAATAAAAGCAAGCATAACATTCATATCATTTGCAACTGAAAATGGAAACTCATGATTTAATCTAACCACTAACCATGATTCTGAATTCCCACAACCTTCAGATTCCCCACAGAAAAATCTACATTACATATTTGAAGAGACACTTGAGTAAAATATTTGGCTTCATGAAGAAATTTTTATTAGTAAATAAAAATTCCCTTATATAAGATGGTGCATTGGTTTCCTAGGGCTCTTGTAACAGAACTACAAACTGCATGGCTTAAAACAACAGAAATGTATTTTTTCACCGTTCTGGAGATGTGATGTCTGAAATCAAGGTATAAGAGTGGCTGTTGCTTTCTGGGCTTCCTAGCTTCTGGTGGTTGTAGGTAATCCTTAGTGTTCCTTTGTTTATAGACATATCACTTGAGTCTCTGCCTCTATCTTCCCATTGCCTTCTTAGTGCTTCTCTGCGTCCTTTTCTGCCTCTTATAAGAATCCTCGTTGGATTCAGAGCCCATCCTAATCCAAGTTGACTTCATCTCAATCCTTAACTAATGAAGTCTGCAAATACCCTATTTCCAAATCATTCTGAGGTTCTAAGTAGATGTGAATTTGGGGAAGACATTATTCAACCCATTAGAGATGAATTGTATGAAATAATGATCATGGGAAAAGACTCAAACAAGACACAACAAGGTTCTTAGTTCTAATTCTGGCTCATTATCTAACTGGGAATATGACGTTAAAGAGCCAATCTTGCAAATCTCTATATCTGGATTTCTGTCTCTGTGAAATATAAATAGTATTGAATTATCTATCAAAAATGTGGTTATTAGCCTTGAATGAAACTCTAATTTTAAAAGTTCTTTGATAAACATAGAATACTATTAAAATAATGAGCTTAATTTTGCTATTATTGTTAATTTTACTTATTTTCTTCTGTTTAACATAAGCCAATCTCAAAAACTTTTGGACATACTTCACCATTTTGCATATTTATGTAAAATTTTAATTATTCAGTAGCTGTTTTCTATTCTTCTCTTTGCTTATTTTCTTACATCATTGATACCATCAGAGAAAGAAAATGTAGAAAACTCAAATGAGTTAATCGTAGTCCATTCTCAATAACTCTGGAAAGTGGACTTTTTATAAAGGACCAGAATTATTTGACTCAATAGTGGTTTTCCTGTTCTTTGTATATTCGGTCATTTTTGCTGTCTTCAGCCCAGAGAGGCATGGATAATTTGACTGACATAAGCTTCTTTGAGTTTCTCCCTAGATCCACTCCATCATTGTGGCTTAATACCATCTTACATGCTGTCCAGACCTTTTCTGTGAGCCCCAGATACATATATTCAGCCATTTACTCAGTATCTTCTCTTTGACATCTCAAAGACATTCCAATTTCAACAGGTCTAGAATGAAAACCATGCTCTTGGGCCCCATCCTTTTTCCTAATCTCTACCATAAAACCTTGTCCTTGCATGTGTTTCCTCTCTCAGTGAATGACATCCCTGTTCACTCAGGTATGCAGCCTGGAAACAGGAGTCAACCTTGATGCTTCCATCTCCTGGTAACCTTCATACCCCCCATCACCAATGTCTGCCACTCTTATCTCCTGAAAAGCCCTTAATCTTTCTCATTTATCTTCATCTCCATCAGCATTCTAGTATAGCTTCAACAATTATTAATTCACGGCCAGTCTTGATTTATTTGTACCCCCACACTGCCTGCTCTATTATTTTTAAAACATTCCAATGTGTATATTATTTCACCTCTAAATATTTCTATATACTTATGAAAAAATCTTCTAGAAAACATATCTGCAATTTTATTGTCACAACTTAAATACGAAAACTAATTCCTTAATAATATAGCAGTCCCCCCTTATCCATGGGTGATATGTTACAAGATATTCAGTAGACGCCTGAAACGGCAGATAGTATCAAATGCGTTCTCTCTCTCGCTCTCTCTCTCTATATATATATGTTATATATTATATATTATATGTTATGTATTATATATATGTTATATGTTATATATATGTTATATGTTATATATATATGTTCTATATTATATATGTAGGCTTTTTTCCAGACATATATACGTATGATAAAGTATAATTTGTAAATTAGTCACAGTACGAGAGTAACATTAGAACAACTATAACAATATATTGTAATAAAAATTATGTGAATGTGGTCTCCTTCTCTGAAAACATCTTATTTTACCGTACTCACCTATTTTCAGATGCTATTACTGCGAATAACTGAAACCATGTTAAATGGAATGAGGGGGAACCACTGTAATACCAGTATTTGTTAACTATTTAAATTTCTCCAATTGTTTCTCTTTTACTCTTATAATTTTTTTGACTCAGAATTTTTTTTTTTTTTTTTTGCAAGCAATGATCACAGCAGCTACATGATTAGAGCCCTTCCATGTGGCCATTAGTCTCAGAAGGAATACAACCCTCTTTGCCAGCGCCCACAGGAAAATCAGACTTTGGATCCTACATATACTTTCCTCCTCACTTTGTTTTTCACATCCTCTGTTCTCTCTGCTTCAAAAAGCCTGGAATTTTGTCAGTTATCATTGACTTAGTATGTCTCTGCCAAAAAGCTTTACACAAACTATTCCTTCTGCCGGGAACATCTTTCCCTTCTTTTTTTACCTGTTCCTCACCTGTGAGATCTCAGTTCAACGGTGCATGTTCAGAACCACTCCCCTGACTTCGCTGCTGAGGTCTAGCTCCTTAGCGTACAGTCGGTGTCATGGATTTTTCCTTTGGAGCCACTTAGACACAAGTTGTGCAAATAACTGTATGCCTAGTGCTTGATTTTGTTACGTCTCCTCTCACTGGCTTTATTCTATTTTCAAATTGGTCTGTAATTTTAGAGCACTAGGTTTCTTTTTAAAATGTAACCATGTCTTTAAATATGTAGGGTTGTTTTCAGCATCGTTGGAGACCATTTGCACAGATAAGAAAATAATGTTATTAGGAATAATGTAAAGAAACAAACATCAGCAAGTTTCTCAACTCTTTAAAACTCTTGGTGATTTGTAGTTAATATTCAAAAGCTTATTCAGGGACAGTGAAATAGTCATCTGTTTTCCTCAGAGGCCCTAAAATATATGACATTCTAGATTTTGAAGTTCGACAATTCTAATAACTCTTAATATTATGACACAATTTTATCCACAGTTTATTACATTCCAAATGCCAGAAATGATGAATTAAATCAAATTATGTATATTTACTTTAGGATCAACAGAAAATTTTAGTATGCACTAAAAGTAAAGAAAAAGCAGCAAAACGTAAACAGGTATTTTGAAGAAAACAACTTCCCAGTTTTTTTTTTTTTTTTTTTTTTTACTTTAAGTTCTGGGACACATGTGCAGAACGTGCAGGTTTGTTACATAGGTATACATGTTCCGTGACGGTTTGCTGCACCTATCAACCCGTCATCTAGGTTTTAAGCTCCACATGCATTAGATATTTGTCCTAATGGTCTCCTTCCCCTTGCCCCCCGACCCCCAACAGGCCCTGGTGTGTGATGCTCCCCTCTCTGTGTCCATGTGTTCTCATTGTTTAAATCCCAAAACCCCCCACAAGTTCTGTAGTCATAGCAACCCTACAAAACACCAGCAAGATATCAGAATGGCCATAAGGAGAACTTAGTTTACATAGAATCAAACATACAAACAACAACAAAAGCTGGGGAAAAGTTTTGTATCATATAAAGCCAAGGAAACCGAGGAAATACTATTTCTAAGAATGGTAACGACTTCTTTATTATTTCTAAGGACTGTAACTACTTCTTTTTTAAACTTTGTAAAGTTTGTATAGCAATATCAGAAGAGAATTTAAGGGAAGCTCATACGTACTTTGAACCATGCATAAATGCATCATCTTATGTATACAGGTGTGATAAGACATATGTCTAAAAATTATTAAATATCACAACCTCAAACTTAGTACACAACAGAACCTCAGTTCATTGCTTTCTGGAGCCTTCACATTTGTTGTTTTACATTAGAAATTGCAAGTCAAATAAAATTACCCTATGATAAGTAATATTTAGTAAAAGAAAAAACGTATCTTAGAAAACTTCTATTTGTATACATGTGTGATCTGTTGAAACCAGTCATCATGCATATTATTGTGTTATGTATTTAGCCACCAAGTGACCCCTTAAAATGTAACAGCACTTGCTCTATCATAATTTTAACTTTTTGGAGTAAATCTCTTATCTTTATTTCCTCAGATCTTTAATGGAAAGAAAATCTCAACACCTTATTTGATCTGGAAACAAAACGTGGAAACACAGGAGGGATGTCAGTGGCTAAACAATACTGCCATGTGACAACAGGATATCTATGGAAATTGAAATATATGTGAGAGGGAAATAGAATAGGCTAAAGAGAGGGACAGAGAGAAGGGATTCTAGCACTGATCTAATTCATAATCATATCTTTAGTTTCTTAATACAGTACCCTGTAACAGACCAAGCACACATCAAATATATGTTGAATAAATGCATGATTAAAAGATGTTATGTTTCAAGAGCATGTCAATGATCAAGGATGACTCTAAATGAAGACTGGGTATTGCTAACCAGACAGATGGCTCACCAGATGAGTTCCAATCCCTTCAAATGCTCCAATGATGATTCTCAAGCACAAAGCCTTTTGAAATTCTTACATTTATATCAGGACTTGAGAACCATTGTTTTGAATGTTCCCAATTATATTATCTTTTTTCTTTCTAAAATGGAAAGTTTGATGTTTTGTAAGAAGCTAAAAAGCCATTTCAGTGACTCAAAAGGAAAAAACTAGACCATGTTTTCTTAACTCTAAAGTGAAACTACACAGCAGTGAGTCATTTCTGCCTCAGAATGAAATTAGGAAAAAGTGTGTTAGCATTGATTAGCATTATTAAAATAAAGACTTCAAAGTTTGCTACTTAGAAGGTCCTGATAGAAGGTTTAAGAACCGCTTTATTTAAAGACTACCATTTAAAAAAAAAGTGGTTTGTAATATTCTATGTAGAGGTCTTACATGGCGTTATAATAGACCAATGCCTGCTTCTATATATTTTGATTTTATAAATTTCTACATTTTTGTTTTTATTGTGTGTACATAAACTGAATTTGCTAAACTGACATATTAATTAAAATAGCTTATATCTGACTTATTTTGAACATTCTATTGCTATCAAGTCATCTATAAATAATGGCAGTTTTATTTCTTCATTTCCTAAGCTTGCCTTATTGTGCTACCTAGGACTTTCAGTAAAATATCAGGGAAAATTGGTGATGGCAGGCTTCCTTGTGTTACTCCTAATCTCAAGGGAAAGCTTTCAATATTTCACAATGAAATGCAAGGTTTGCTGAAAGATTTTTACAGAAGTTCTCTATCAGATTAATGAAGTTCCCTTTTATTCCAAGTTTGCTAAGAAAGTTTTCATTAACAAAGGCTGAATTTTCTAATTGATTTTTCTGCATCAATGGTGATGCTTTTATTAATTTCTCCATTATTCTGTTAATGAGATAAATTAAATTGATTTTTAGTGTTATCAATGTATAACATACATGCAGAAAAGTGCAAAAATCTTAAGTATATAACTCAGTAAATTTTGACAAATCTAGAGTGACCAACTCTCAAAAAAAAAAAAAAAAAAAAAAAAAAAAAAAAACCCAGCCATTACCAGGACACCTGAAACATGACTCCTTCCAATATAGAGACTGGGTGACCAGCATATTGACAACTTCTTTTGCTTTTTTTTTTTTTTTTTTTTTTTTTGAGATGGAGTCTCACTCTGTCACCCAGGCTGGAGTGCAGTGGTGCGATCTTGGCTCACTACAGCCTCCACTTCCTGGGTTCAAGCGATTCTCATGCCTCAGCCTCCCCAGTAGCTGGTACAATAGGTGCACACCACCATGCCAGGCTAATTTTTGTATTTTTTTTTTTTTTTAGTAGAGATGGGGTTTTACCGTGTTGGCCAGGCTGCTCTTGAACTCCTGACCTCAAGTGATCTGCCTGCCTTGGCCTCCCAAAGTGCTGGGATTATAGGCATGAGCCACCACGTCTGGCCACCAGTATATTGACTTCTAATGCCACAGATCAAGTTTGCCTTATTTTGGGGAAGGGAGCATCTGGTTTTATTCATTCAATATCATGTTTGTGTGACTCATCCTTGTTATAGCAAGCAAGAAGTTGCAGTTCATTTATTCTCACTACTGGATACAATTCCATTGAATGAGTATGTGGTAAGTTATTTACTCATTCTACAGCTTTTGGTTTACTTATTATGATTTATTCTATTCAAGATTCACAGACAGGTACACACACATACACACACCCCTAAGAGTGAAATTTCTGGGTCAGAGACTGTAGATATATTCAACTTTAGTAGATACTTTCTAACAGTTTCCCAAAGTGATTGAAACAATTTACATTGTCAACAACAGTATATGAGAGTTCACAGTAGATTCTCACTAAATAGGTGTTATGATTATTAGTAAAGAATATCCTTCCTCCTGTAGAGGCGACAGAGGGCAGTAAAAAGTAGTAGGGTTGGCCACAGGTCTCATAGAGTGAATTACATAGTGTCTGGTACTTATATTTTCCTTCCATGATGTTGAGTGTATTACCTTGCCACAAGTAGCTACCAAGTAAGCATCAATTGAATGGAAAGCTATTAGTAAAGATCAGCTTCATGACATCTGGCTTCTGGAGTGAGCAGGTGTATAGGAAACATATTGGTGAACTTGGGAAGCCTGTAAGCATCCTCACAGTTATGAATCATGGGGGAAAAAGAAGAGTATACAAATACATTATGGAGGGACCTTCAAGATATGCTTCCTACCTTGATTTTTTCTTAGGGCTGTTTATGATGAATAGTCAATGCTGATTATTCCATATATTTTTCTTATCATAGAATATTGTTTTAAAATGAATTGTTTGGGGCTGGGAGGTAACCTTAGAAGGATAAGTGGGAGGTCCAGTATGCAGGAATTCACATCTTCCACTTTTTCTTCTACCCACCGCTACTCAACACAATCTGCCAGGACATTGCCACCCATTTCAATGGACTACCATAGAGAATTTTAACTGACAGTTTTGCTTTGCTAAAAAAGATAAAGAAATCATTGATATGGTAATATTTTTCCTGATTAATGCTCAGTTCTCTATTTCCTGTCTTGACTACATGTTGACCATTTGTAGTTTTTCTTTTCAATTATCATATACTAATAATGCAGGAGTATGTTTTTCTTGGTACAAGGGTCATTCTGACATTGTTTTACAGTCACAGCAGGCCTTTGCTTTGCTCATACTGTCAATGCATATCTGTTCTCCCAGTCTTTCAGTGATACCTGACTGTGGGATATTTTTACTATTTCTCATATCCACCATTTTTTGCAACATCTTTATGTAAAGTGCTCACATTAGTCAAAGCTCCATTTTGAGGCTTTACACTATTCCTGTTTCAGAATGGCAACCTCTCACAATGGTTCACCATGTTTTATGGTAGAGGTTCCTTCAGGGAGTGAGAGGCTTCAGGTCAGGCGGAGGTTGCAGTGAGCCGAGATCACACCACTGGACTCCAGCCTGGGCAACAAGAGCGAAACTCTGCCACAAAAAAAAAAAAAAAAAAAAAATTCTTACTTTCCTACTTAACCTTTCTTGTTTTAGCATCTTTCCTGACCCAAGCAGAGGACACACCTTCTCAACATCATTAAGATTCTGCCTCTCTTTATGGCAGAAGGGGAGGAAGACAGTTGTTGTTGGAAATTCAAGTGGTGGTCCTGGGAATCATGGAATCCCTTAGATGAATGCCACTGTATTTAAAAGTTAAAACATCTTTTCAAATCATCAGGTATCTGTTTTCTCATGGGACAGTGTGGTATTTGCACAATCTTTCCAGCAAATAAATTGATAAAATCTACACATGTAGTATTTGCGGAATAAGATTGCTTTGCTATTAACATGCTGCAGAGTGAGCCCACATGGTATATAGGTCTGTGTTCTTTCTCTCCGGGGGATTGGCCAGCTGGCCATGAGAGTATTGTTGGTGCCACAGTTTCAGAACTTTCTCTGCAGTGGTGGTAGTGAGGTGCGTGGAGGGTTATCAAAGTGAGCTGTAGGTATAGCTGTGACCCTGCAGTGGTGCGGTTGTCTAGCTAGATGAGTGCCACAGCAAGGGTGGCCAAAGCACTATTCGTCCGTAGCAGAAACCGAATTTTTCTCTACCCCGTTTCTTCCCTCACTGCATTCAGAACAACACTTGGAATCAGTTTCAAAATGTCAACTTCCAATTTTGTTTTCTAATTTTGTTGTGGATAGGTAATAAGGATTTAAAAAAATCTCAAAGGATCTTCACTTCTTTCAGGGCATATTTCGTTCTTGCAGGGTTACACATGTGCCCAAGGGGCCTCACATATTTAAAAAATACATTTCCTTTTCAGTTTCTTAAATCACATTTTTCCTTTGATGGAGCTGTTTAAATCTTCACTCTACCAACTCCTCAAAAAAACAGGAGTCTTCGCTTTTCCACGGCTTCACTTTCCACAGTTTCGGTTACCCGGGCTCAACTGCAGTCTGAACATATTTAATGGAAAATTCCAGAAATACACAATTCATCAATTTTACAGGGTGCGCCATGCTGAGTAGTGTGATGAAATCTCATGCTGTCCTGCGCCATCCACCTGGGACGTAAATCATTTCTTTGCCTGGCATATCCATACCACCTGCCAGTTGGTAACTTAGCAGTCCTCTGGTTATCAGGTTGACTACCCTGGTATCACAGTGCTTCTGTTCAAGTCACTCTTACTTTACTCACTAATGGCTTCAAAAGGCAAGAGTAGTGATGCAGGCAGTTCGAGTATGCCAAGAAAAAGCCCTAATGTGCATCCTTTAAGTGAAAAGGTGAAAGTTCCTCACTTAATAAGGAGAAATAAAATCACACACTGAGATTGCTGAGATCTACAGTAAGAATAAATCTTCTATCTGTGAAATTGCAAAGGAAAAAGAAGTCACATAAGTTTATCACTATGGCCTGTGCTTTCAACATCCATTATTGATTAATTCAGCAGAGCTTCAAAATTAAAACAAATAGACATTAATTAACAATGACTCAATGGTTTAAAAATATATGACTTAGCATTTCAACTATCTAAAAGTAACATCTAGGCCATTACGTTCGGGGAGCAATTATGAATGTTTAAGTGTGGAGTCCACACAGAGGAAGCATGGATTTATTTTTAAATCAGCTTAATTGTTGCCAATAAAACAAAGGGAGGGGAGAAGACATTTATCTTCCACGCACAGAGTAATTCTAGTGTTCTATGCCACTCTTCATGAAGCAAACAATTCTAGCTTCTTATTAGTTCCAGAGAAACTACCCAACCCCCCTACAGAACTACACAGTCACAGAGTGAAGAAAGCTGATAGTATTGGTGATATCCTAGGTGATATCATCATCCAATTGGTCTGGGCAAACTTCATCATGGGAAATGGAGGGAAATGGAGAAATTTCAGTTATTGAGAAAAAGCATAAGGAAATGGACCTATTTAACAGTGTTGAAGGTATTTCCAGGCTTGTCTTTGTCTCCGGATCCTGTTTTTTCTCTGTTTATGTAGTATTATTGCAGAAACTGGAGGACGTGGAAACCAGTGACTTAATTTGCTTCATATAATGCAGTTCTGTAAAGAGTTTATAAAAACTTTAAATTCAATTTTTTTTATATAAAATAGAATGTGGAAATAGAAACGGGTAGGGGAAGCAAAAGAAAACTCAGATGACAGAAAATAAGCTAGGAGTCAAAAGGAGAGGAGAAGAGACAATAAAAAGATGATTCACAAAAGAAGATATAACATTTAAACTTAATCATGAAAAATCCAATACATTCAAATTAACATACTATTCATAATTTTACTAACATTTATTTAGAGCTTAGCTAATATCTAACACCATTCTGTGACTTCCTATGGATTCATTCAGTGAGTACCAACTATGGCCCTCTGAGGTAACTGCAGTTATTATTCTTATTGCCAATATTTAATAAAGGAAGGTAATACACCTGGTTGGAGAGAGCATGGTGCATTTGTAATTGATAATGGAAAGTAGAACAAATATTTTGGAAAGCACTTTGCTAACAGGCCCAGAGGAACTTAAGAATGATTGACCCACTAATTTCCAATTAAATCAACTCGCCTAAGGAAGCAATCTTGTATATAACAAAGTTTCCATAATTTGAAAATGTTTAAATTAACACACCATAACAGCAAGTCAGAATGTTATGCAGGCTTAAAAAAATGGCGTTTAAGAATAGTGCAAGTTGTGAAAATGAGTACGGTAGGATAACTGAAAATGGGAAATACATATAATTATAGAAAAAAAAAAGCAGAAAAGAAATACAGCAGGGTATTTTTTCCCACATAGTTAAATATAGTGAATTGTAAGCCTTTCAGAATTGCTATAATTTCTACCATTAAACAAAGAAAAATTAGGTGGTATAGACTGAACGCCTGAGTGGCCTCTATTCCCCCATATGCAAACCTTTCCCTAATTCTGTCCCACATTTATTCTGGACTTACGTAACTTGCTTTAGCCAATGGATCACAAGCAGTTTGAAAGCAAGCAGCAGTATGAAAAATGTTAGTGCATTTCTGTGCTCTTGTATGTTTATCTGGGTTCACCAGGAGAATACTCCATGATAGAGAGGTGTCAAAGAAATGTGGAGCATTCCTTTATCCCAGCCAAGGCCATCCTAGATCTGCTAGCTTCCAGCCAACAATGCAGCTAACACAGACACCAGACACATGAGCAAACTCATCAGGCAAGCCTGGCTCAGATCAGCAGAACTGCCAGCTGACTCCCAGCCACATGGAAATTAACAAATGACTGTTATTTATGCCACTAAGACAACGTAGGGTCTTTTGTTATGTAGAAATAAGTAACTTATATAGGAAGGAATTGCATTTCAGTGCTTTACTGAGTAGCAAATCCAGGTTTAGAAGCATTCCTCAACAAATATGTATACGAGATATTCCATTATTAATTTTTTTTAAAAAAACTATCCCTTTATATGTTGCAAGGTAATCTGGCTTTATATCCTCTATTGATCGGCTACCTTTACTATCTTTTTCTAACCACTGTATTTATGATTCTTTTCAAGGCACCCTCAGCTTTCTCTAATAACCTGGGCTGAATGTTATCTAGTGAGCTTCATGAAATTCTCCTTGGTCCCTAAACCCTTAAAATTCATAAGGAGAGCTGATTCTACTTAGCCTTTGCCCTGCTTGCTACTATGTGTTATGAGCTGACTGTGTTTACTTTTCATCTGAAGAGCAGTGGGACTTTGGCCACACAGACTCTGGGTGCTTCTTCTCTAACTTGAGCCATCACTCTGTGACCCACTGTCACACTCCAGTGAGCTGATATCTGCATTTCGGGCAAATCTTGCTCCCATAACTGACATTCTCCTTGACCTCCCATTACTGCCCCTGCCCATCTGTTTGCCTTTCCACCCTCCCTGGGTCTCGAGCTCCATTCTACCCTCTCTCATGCTAGTCCCTAAAGGGCCCTCACTCTAGTTTCTGCCTCACGTTCTTTACTTCCATTTGACTTCCACAGTCTTAGTCAACCACCCACTCCAATATTCCATACCATATCATGCAATTATCTGCCACACACTTACAAAGTATTCATGAGATAGGCAGTTTTATGGGGTTTGTGTATGAGCCTGAAGAGTGAGTATTTCCTGATTAAAAAAAAAAAGCAAAAATTCCAAACCTGATTTGAGCAGAAATAGAGGCATAAGCACACAATTTGGAAGCAATATATTAGTACTGGTCAAATCAAAGACATTTATAAAATTCTACTTTCATCTTTCATCTCCATTTTTCACCTTTCCCTTCACATTCACCGTGTGTGTGTGTGTGTGTGTGTGTGTGTGTGTGTGTGTGTGTGTGTGTGTAAGTGTGTGTTTCTGTTTGTGGTGGGAGGCTACTCTGATTGCAAGACAGAGAACCAATTATCGTGTTGCATCGTAGAGTGTGCGAAGCTACCTGGTCTTGGGCTGAGACGGATGTGCTGGTTGAAGCAAGGTCATTTACAGAGGTGGCGGCAGTGAGAAGTATATATCATGAAGCCTAATCAGCTATGGCAATAATTAATCATTGCCTAGTTACGTGAAGAGAGAATGGGGTCATCAAGGACATCTAGGTGTGTTGAAGGAAGCACACTGGTGTTTTGTTTGTTTGTTTGTTTGTTTGTTTTTACTGAGGAGTTGAGCAACAGTGATCCATCCTCCTAGGTCTGCCATCTGAGTTTCCATAAGCTAGCTTGTGCTGCTGGGTCTATGAGCTATTTTTTTTTTTTTTTAAGATAGGTCAATTTGCTTCTACTTGGAGGAAAAAATTGCCCAAGTCAAATAAATTCCCTCAATGGCCCTCTTCAGAGCAAGCCCATTAGGTGCCCTGGGTCTAAGGGTGAATAAAGCTCATTATGACCTTTCCAAAATTCCCTTTTATAGTTGAATAACTGTGGTTCTTACCACTTCATCAAGAAGCAGGGAATTTCCAAACGGTCCAGATTGTTCCCTTTAGATCAATTAACTCAATGGATTATGTACATGTGTGCACGCAGACACATCCTAAGCCAAATTGACTCCGTGAGAGTGTGGTTTGGCCTTATCTCACAGAATTTTATTTGCCTATGGATAGATGACTGCTTTCATGTGGACTTTTTGTGCTTGGTGTATCCCCAGTGCTTTGGAAAAATGTTAGAAAGTATCTCACGACGGAGAACTATTGCTTCTAGTGTTAACACAGTATCCATCTTGCCCACAGTTCTCAAAAGTTAGTTATTAAATTAAGTGAGAAGTAGAAATGTCATATATGACCATCTTAGGTGAGCAGGTGCACAAATTAAGATAACTTTAAAAAATATGCATGATAGTTGTATGAACAGGATATACTGCTCTAGTTCTCCAAGGGCGGTCTCCAGGTAGTAGCATCAGAATGACCAAGGAACTTTTGAAAAATGCACGTTCCCAGTTCCCAGTCCTACCCACAGAACCAAAAGCCCTGGGAGCAGGGCCCCACAAACTGGTTTTACAAGCTCTTCTGTGATGCACACTCAAGTTTGAATCTTCCTAATTTGAGTGATTAGAATCTCTTTGTAACACAGTTGCAAAATTATTTACTCTAATATTAAGTTTCTTCACTTTTCCAAACGAATGGAGAATGTGTAATTGACTAAAACTGTATTAAAAATGTAAAAAAAAAATAGTCCCAATTCCTCAAAAATACATGTGATTATCTCAACAGGCACAGAAAGGCCTTTGTTAAAATTTAAAATCCCTTCATGTTAAAAACCCTCAAACTAGGCATTGAGGGAACATACTTCAAAATATTAAGAGCCATCTATTACAAACCCACAGCCAACATCATACTGAATGGACAAAAACTGGGATCATTCTCCTTTGAAACTGGCACAAGACAAGGGTGTCCTCTACCACCACTCCTATTCAGTATAATATTGGAAGTTAAGGTCAGAGCAATCAGGCAAGAGAAAGAAATAAAAGGCCTCCCAACAGGAAGAGAGAAAGTCAAACTCTCCCTATTTGCAGATTATATGATTCTGTATCTAGAAAACCCAAAAGCTCTTTAAGCTAATAAACAACTTCAGCAAAGTTTCAGAATGCAAAATTAATGTGCAAAAATCTCTAGCATTCCTATACACCAACAACAGCCAAGCTGAGAGCCAAATCAGGAATGCAATCTCATTCCAATTGCCACAAAAATATAATACCTAGGAATACAGCTAACCAGAAGGGTGAAGGATCTCTATGATGAGAATTACAAAACACTGCTCAAAGAAAAAAAGAGATGACACAAACAAATGGAAAAACATTCCACGCTCGTGGATAGCAATAATACCATTAAATTGGCCATACTGACCTAAGAAATTTACAGATTCAATGCTATTCCTATCAAACTACCAATAACATTCTTCACAGAACTAGAAAAAACTATTTTAAAATTCATATGGAACCAAAAAACAGCCCCAATAGCCAAAGCAATCCTAAGCAAAAAGGAGAAAGCTGGAGTCATCATGTTACCCAACTCTAAACTATACTGCAGGGCTACAGTAACCAAAACTATATGGTACTGGGACAAAAACAGAAACATAGACCAATGGAACAGAATAGAGAGCCCCAAAATAAAGCCATACAACTATGACCATATGATCTTCAACAAAGCTGGCAAAAACAAAGCAATGGGGAAATGATTCCCTATTCAACAAATGGTCCTGGGATAACTGGCTACCCATAGGCAGATTAGATCCTTTTCCTTACACCATATACAAAATCAACTCAAGATGAATTAACTGTGAAACGACTTAACTGCGAAAACAAACTATAAATTACTTAACTGTGAAAACAGAAATGACTTAACTGTGAAAACAAACTATAAAAATCCTAGATGATAACCTAGGAAATACCATTCTGGACAGAGGAACCAGCAAAGATTTCATGATGAAGGTGCCAAAAGCAACTTCAACAAAAGCAAGAATGGGCAAATGGGATTGAATTAAACTTAGGAGCTTCTATACGGCAAAATAAACTACCAACAGAATAAACAAACAACCTATAGGAGAAACTATTTTCAAACTATGCATGTGGCAAAGGTCTAATAGCCAGAATCTATAAGGAACTTTAACAAATTTACAAGCAAAAAACAAATGACCCCATAAAAAAGTGGGCAACAGACATAAACAGGCACTTTTCAAAAGACATACATGCAGCCAATAAGCATATGGAAAAAATGCTGTACATTACTAATTATTAGAGAAATGCAAATCAAAACCACAATGAGATACCATATCACACCTGTCAGAATGGGTGGTATTAAAAATAACAGATGATGGTGAGGTTGCAGAGAAAGGGGAATGCTTATATACTGCTGGTGGGAGTGCAAATTAGTTTGGCCATTGTGGAAAGCAGTGTGGTGGTTCCAGGAAGAACTAAAAACAGCATTATTATTCAACCCAGCAAATTCATTATTGGGTATATACCCAAAGGAATATAAATTATTCTACCATAAAGACACATACATGTGTACGTTCATTGCAGCTCTATTCACAATAGCAAAGACATGGAATCAACCTAAATGCCCATCAATGGTAGACTAGATTAAAAAAACGTGGTGCATAAACGTCATGGAATACTATGCAGCCATAAAAAGAATGAGATAATGTGCTTTGCAGCAACATGGCTGGAGCTGGAGACCATTATCCTTAGCAAACTAATGCAGGAACAGAAAACCAAATACCACATGTTGTCACTTATAAATGGGTGTTAAATGATGAGAACACATGGACACATAGAGGGGAACAATATATACTGGGGCCTACGATAGGGTGGAAAGTGAAAGAAGGGTAAGCATCAGAGAAAATACCTGTCGAGTACTATGCTTAGCACCTGGGTGATGAAATAATGTATACAACAAACCCCTATGACAGAAGTTCATGTATATAACAAACCTGCAGGGGGGAAAAAGCTTATAGATATTTTTAAAAACTGTCCCAATTCCCAAATCCCATTATCCATAACTTATTTAAGTATATGAAGGTGCTTAACATCTCAACAAAATTTACAACGAGTTTTATAAGATACATTGGGTCAACTGGAAATATTTCCAATTGGTTTAGATTGCTTATTAGATAATGTTATGAAACTACTGTTAAACTAATTTGTGATATAGCATTGCAGATGCAGAGATGTGCTGGAGCACACTTAAATGAAAGCATTATTACTATAAATACACTCAAGTCAGATTACATGCAAAGTTGTGAACTTTAAACATGATATCAACACGTTAATGGCTTTGAGACATAATAATTAAATTATTCCAAGTAAGTAATATAAATCAGAGTAAAAACTTCAAGATTCTGAAGTTTAAGAATGTCACTTAAAAATTTAATATAAATAAAAGTATTACTAATATTCAGGTTTTAAGTACATGCCTAAGAACAATAATCATTAATGTTTATCTGTTAGATGTTATTCTGCATGTCATGTCAGAATTTGTGCCTTTTTTTATCTCTAGGACATATATTTGTTGCACCCCTGGCTGGACACATGGTGAAAGTGTTATACAGAGAGATAATTAACTTGTTAAAAATCTTTTAGCCAATAAGTGGTCCCATCAGGATTTATGATAAATTATCTAAACAATAAACATTTACCCTAAATATTTTTTAGTTATAGCTATGATTTGAGATTTCAGAATCAAATTTCTACGGAACAGATTCTTTCCATCTAATATGCATCTTGAAAAAGGGGCTCATCAGAAACAGCTGCACCTTTGGTTTAAATGCAGTACTGTTGCCAAGAGTAATTTTGGACACACGAAAATAAGCATATACATATAGCTTACTTAATTGGGGTTGGTGGTAGGGGTGGGATTCCAGGGAACAAGCAAAACAAGTCCTTAGGAATATGTAGTCTATAACATTCCTGGGGAACAGACAGATGTCAAGGCCCATAATCTGGAGAAAATTATCATCAGCAAAATGCTACCATTTTTGTAAAGGGACACAAGGTCAAATAGAAAACACTAAGAGGCTGGACGTAGTGGCTCACGCCTGTAATCCCAGCACTTTGGGAGGCCAAGGTAGGAGAATCACCTAAGGTCAGGAGTTTAAGACTAGCCTGGCCAACATGGCGAAACCCTGTCTCTACTAAAAATACAAAAAATTAGCTGAGCTAGGGAGACTGAGACAGCAGAATTGCTTAAACCTGGGACGTGGAGGTTGCAGTGAGCCGAGATTGCACCACTACACTCCAGGCTGTAATAGAACGAGACCTCATTTCAAAAAAAAAAAAAAAAATACTAAGAATGAAATCTAAAGCCTTTACCATGGCCTCCAAGGCCCTACAACAGCTGGCCCCTTCCTATCTCCTGGACTCCTTTTTAATCTCTGTCCCTCTATCTGCCCAGCTCCTATCAACTCCCAGGCAGACAATGCACCTGCATTAGGGCCTTTGCACATGCTCTTCCCTCTAGATGCCCACAGATTTTCTACTTCACTTACGCATCTGCTCAGCTCTAATCCCTCAGAAAGTCCTTCACTGGTGACAGAAACTAGACCAGCATCCCTACGTTTCTTTATTCTTCACCCTGCTTTAGTTCTTTTCCATGTTCATCTCACTACCTCACACTGTGTGACATGTTTAGCTGACCATGTGTTGTGTTTTTCTTCCATTAGAATATGTTACATGAGAATAGGGACTTGTCTTTATTTTCCTCTTTATCAAGAAAAGTGAAGTGATGAACATAAATATTTGTTGAATGAATGCACAGACTAAGTCAATCAACCTATGAATGAATGTTGCTTATGTGGTGTGGACACTTCACTGGCCCTCCTCTCAATGGTCAGAAAACCAGGAGTCCAGAGCAAAGTCTGGGTTCATTTTCTTGTCTTCCAAATATGTTCCTTTTTCTTGGTCGGCAAGCTGCCACCCTCTCAAACATCTGCAGCCTTCAACCTTGGAGTAGCATTCCCCTCTCTTTCTCCTTCACTCCATTTATAAAGTCCCACCAATTCTGCTTCTTAAAGTAGCACCTCATCTTTATTCCCACTGCTGTGGGTACCTTTCAGCTACTGTATTTGTCTATTGCTCAGCTTCCTGTTTCTCTAACAGATTGAATTTGTTAGATTAAATGTCAATTAGTTAATTAACAGGCAAGGTAAATTATCCAAAAATAATTGCTTGCAGGGAGACTTTGCTCCAATAAATAGGTAGTTATTTTCTCTGTAATTTGCTACGTGTAGCAGAAAAATTTTCTGTCAGTGAAGACAAAGGGAAATAAAATGAATCATATATTTCTTAATTAGTCAATAAAAGGAAGTGTTCCATTTTATAAATAAACTTTTTCTGGTGCTAAATTACAAAAATCCTTACATGAGGGTGATCAAACTACACCATAGACAATGTTTTGTACAAGAGCTTTAACAGAAAGGGCAAAAGCATGTTCATATGGCTGCTTCCTTAACCTTCTGCAGCCAAGCCTCATATACGGCATTTGTTTAGAATAAATAGGAGAATGGGTTCCAATAAACAAATATGCTTGTACAATATATCAAGAGGGCAACTTAGATGAAATAATCATTCTCAAAGTATGAATCTTTTTATCCAACTAATACTTGCACATATGATGACTGTCATGGGTTGAATAGTATTCCCCCAAAAATGCATGTCTACCCACAACCTCAGAATGTGACATTGTTTGAAAATAGAGTCTTTGCAGATATAATTAGTTAAGATAAAGTGATACTCAGGTTGGGTCCTGGATTTGACATGACTGATGTCTTCATATGAAGAGGGAAATATGGGGACACACACACACACACTCTCACACACAGAATGCTATTGTGAAGACAGAGGCAAAGATTGGAGTGATGCAGCTACAAGCCAAGGAACACCAAGGTTTGCTGGCAACCACTAGAAATTAGAGGAGAAGCATGGGACAGGTTCTCTGTCAGAAGCTTTAAAAAAGAACTAACCTGCTAACCAACCAGGATTTTACAGTCCAGCCTCCAGAACCGTGAAAAAATGAATTTCTTTTGTTTTAAGTCATACAGCTTGTGATCATTTATTGTGGCAGCCCTCACAAATGAATACAATAACAAAGCAAAAAAATTCAGAGGACTTATAAGAAGAACTAACTCCCCCCTTTCTAGGTCCCCAGCCAATATAATCTTTATCACTGTTTCTAGTTATTCTAAATAATACACAGTCATTCTAAACAATATGCTTTCTAGTATACTTGGGGCAGCCAACTAGGTAAGATTAAACAATTAGCACTCCTATCCTTTCCTCTACATCTCCTCTCCTCTTTTGTGGTTGATAATATTTCGAAATTGACAATATTCGTATCTTATTCTGTAACCCTAATTTGCTTTTCGTGCTTTGTCTATTAGCAGATTCTAGACATTATAAATCAACAAATATTATTTACACAGTTAATACTATGTAAATATTGTTTAAGACAAGCTAAAATGTTTGTATTTATTTTTCATCTCAAAGAATCCAATTTCTGACTCTTGCACCATTTACAATAGAGTGCTCCTAAGATCTAGATCAAAGAGATTCTCTTTTCACCAGTTTTTAAAATTCTTAATATATTTTGTTGGTTTTATATGGACAATGTTGTACTGAGGTAGGAGGTGGAATTTGACTGCAGATGCAGGCTTGACTCTGGAGGTGGAGCTCAGACACTGGACCAAATTGAGGACTAGCTAAAACATAGACAAGGTTGAAGCACCTTGCCATGAGACATGCCCACCAGTGTGCCATGCCAGTTTGCCATTGTCATGGCAACACCCGAAGTTACTGCCCCTTTCCATGCCCCTTTCCATGACTCAATAACCCGGAAGTTACCAACCCTTTCCTAGAAATTTCTGCATAATCATCTCTTAATTTGCATATAATTAAAAGTGAGTATAAATACAACTGAAGAACTGCCTCTGAGCTGCCACCCTGGCCACACTGCCTATGCAGTCACTCTGCTTTGCAAGGAATGGTATCTCTGCTGCTGCTGTACACCATCGCTTCAATAAATGTTGCTGTCTAACACCAGCGACTTGCCTTTGAATTCTTTCCTGGGTGAAGTCAAGAATCCTCAGGGCTAAGCTCCAATTCTGAGGCTTGCCTGCCCTGCATCATTACTTATCTAATTTTTTTCCAGAAATTCTAATTGACCTTTTGTTTCTGAAGACAAGCAAATACATACCTTATTTGCAAAAGCACTCTGATCCCTCCATTTTTCGCTCCTGCCATCTATTGAACACAGTACATTCCATTGTTCTCAAACTCACTCTTTTTACTGTCCTCTGCTTTCCTGTTTGTTTATATTTAGGTGGATGTCTTCTTGGAATCTCCGTTTAGCAACACCCCAGACTAGCTTCACTCTTTCTTATGATAGCCTTGTCTTGTGTGTGTGTGTCTTAGGGTGGGTAGAGAGAAGTCAATTTTCTGAGTCCTTGTGTGTCTGAAAATATCTTTGTCTATCACACTTTGTCAGCTGGGTATGGCATTCTATGATGAAAACAATTTTGCTTGAGAACATTAAAGAATGAATTCTGGTGTCTTTTAATAGCCAGCCAGCGCTGATAATCGTGAGTCTGACGCAACTGATTCTCATTTCCTTGTAGGTGTCTTCATTTTCCTTTAACAACTTTTTTTTAGCATCTTCTCTTTTGCTCTGAACTATGACAAGATTGTGTGAATGCAGGGATTTTTTTTTCATACTTAGTAGGCCCTTTTGATCTGAATATTAATGTCTCTTTTCAGCCTAATAAATTTTTCCGTGTTAATTTTTATTACCTTTACATCCTCATTGTCTTCAGTCTATCTTTCTAGAAATTCTATTAGTGGAAATAGGAACCATTTGAAATCATTTTCTGTTTCTCTTATCTTTTCTCTCATATTATCTTGTTCTCTTTCAGTTTTACATACTGAGAGTCATCCTTTGCTTTGTATAGAGTTTTTTTAAATTGATATTTGTTCATTTTTTTTAGATGACATGTTTAATTTGCAAGAATTATTTTTTTTGTCAGTTATAATCCCCTGGGGTTTTAATTTTCTAGTGAAATAACTTAAGTGGTTCAAATGATCTAATTAATTAATTATAACAACCTTCCAGGATTATCACTAATAAGCCATAAAACATTCCTAAACTGTATACTACAGAAGTCTTGTAGTGTACAGCTAATAGGTACCTCTATGTAAAAGCGTTTGGAGCTTAAATAAGCTTCAGAAAGAGCTGCATGTTGTCTACCACTCTTGATGACTTAGCTGCTGCGTAAAGGTTCCAAGAAGTGCTACTCTAAAAAAAACTAGTTAAATTTGTTTAATTCAATATTTTTAATATTTAATTGTGAAACTTCTTCCTGCATATTTTTTTGTCATCTTCCATGGCATATCTGTTTTGGGCATGTGAGATCCAAGTCAACTAGCATGACCCCTCACCATGAGAAGCTGCACAAAACTGTCTGAGCCCCACACCTCAAGAGTCGAGTCTGCCTCTGGAGTCAAATTCCCCCTCCTATCTCAGTACAACATTGTCCATATGTAAAGCCAACCAAATATTATGAATTTTAAAAACTGGTGAAATGAAAAGAGAATCTCTTTGATCTAGATCTTAGGAGCACTCTATCGTAAATGGTGCAAGAGTCAGAAGCTGTACAAATATATGTATGTGTATGTATGTGTATATATATGTATACACACATACATATATATACACACACACACACACACACATATATATATATATATGTATATATATATATATACATATATATATATATATGGCTAGATGTTCCTGATAGTTTACTTCTGATGCTGTTAAAGACACATTATTTATAATAAAAGCATTAGGAATACATATTAAAGTCAGATGGGCCAAATAATTGGGTTCCTAGAATCTGAGCAAATGACTCAATGAGATGTAATTCAAAACAATTCTCTCCAATATCATTATCTTAGCTTTATTTTCTACATGGCATTGGCAACAGTCAGTTAAGAACTGAACTCTGTGACAAGTGCCTGAAGTCCTAATTCCTTATCTTATTGATTATAGAAAGTACTTAAAAATCAGATGAGCTACTGGCTAGGCCAGCCTTCTGTTATTCCCATTAAGGACTCCGACTTTGTGCTTGGTAGACAAAAAACTATCTGCTCCATTTTAAAACAGAGGAGAGCTGTGAAGTGCACATGGACAGAACCTGTTTTTAATCACATTTCAGAAATGTAGTTTATTAAACATTTAGGGGAAACATGCTTAACTTTTCCCTAATATATACATACAGGGCTATACACTTCCTTTAAGCCTGGTTATAATTGCATTTCTTAGGGTTTTCAAAACAACTTTAATGAGGTAAAATTGAGATACACTAAAATGCACATCAAGTATACAATCTGATAACTCTGAATTATATTTATACCAATGGGACTATCACCACAATCAAAATAATGAACATATGTAATCTTCCCATTCGTGTTTCTAGTCTCCTTTTAATTCCTTCGTAGTAAAACTTCCCACCTTAACTCCCCATACCTCCCATCCTTGGGTAAATCTTGATCTGATTTCTGTAATTATAATTTGCATTTTCTAGAACTTTTCATAAATGAAATTATGGAGTATGTACTCTTTTCTTGGTGGGGGAAGGTTTCCATCTTCTTTTGCTCAATGCAATTATTTTGAGATTCTTCCATATCATTGCATGCATCAGTAGTTAATTCCTTCTATGGCTGAGTAGAGTGCCATTGTGTGAACATACCAAATTTTGTTTATTCATTGACCAGTTGATGGACATCTGGGCTATTTCTAGTTAAAACTACTTTGAACATTTCTGTACAAGTATTTGTATGGACGTATGCTTTTATTTTGGGTGGGGTAAATACATAAAATTGGAATGCCTAGGTTATTGGTAGGTGCATATTTACCTTTTTACGATGGTGCCTGTTTTCCAAAGTGCCTGTACCATTTTACATTACTACCATCAGAATATGAGAGTTTCAGTTGCTCAATATCCTCACCAATGCTTAACATAAAGTCTTTTTAAATCTACATATTCTAATAGGTGTACTGTAGTATCTAGTGATTTTACTTTATGTTTTCCTAAAAACTAATGACATCTGTATCAGTTTTATCCCTAAGTACTGTGAATTTTGATGTTATTAAAATATTTTTATTTATTTATTTTTGAGACACAGTCTCACTGTCGCCCAGGCTGGAGTACAGTGGCACCATCTCAGCTCACTGCAAGCTCCACCTCCTGGGTTCACGCCATTCTCCTGCCTCAGCCTCCCAAGTAGCTGGGATTACAGGCACACGCCACCACACGCAGCTAATTTTTGTATTTTTAGTAGAGACGGGGTTTCACCGTGTTAGCCAGTATGGTCTCAATCTCCTGACCTTGTAATCCACCTGCTTCGGCCTCCCAAAGTGCTGGGATTACAGGTGTGAGCCACCGTGCCTGGACCAATATTTTTATTATCAATTGTTAGTGCCTAGTAAGTAGAAAGGTGCTTTTTGTTTATTGATTTTTTAGATCAACTTTGCTAAACTTAAAGTTTTAGGAGATTTTTTATGGATTTCGTGGCATGTTCTACATAGACATGTACATTTCGGAATAATGTGTAGTATGCTATATTTGGTGTAATGGTCTATAAATGTCAATTAGGTGAAGTAGGTTAATAATGTTCAGGTCTTTTATGTCCTTCTTGAATTTCTATGTACTTTTTCTATCAATTTTTGAAAGAGTATTTAAATATTTGACTAGAACATGTGGGTTTGTCTATTTCGCTTGTAGTTCTATTAGTTTTATCTCCTTATATTATAAAGCTCTGCTATTACTTGAATTAAGGTTTAGGATTATGTGCTCTTGGTGAATTTTTTATTATGACTGCTTTATCATTATGACCCTCTGTCTCCAGGTATATACGTTCTGTAAAATCTACTTTGTCTGATATATTTTCATACTTTTAAATTATTTATATTTAATGTGGGCTTCTTGCAGGCACCCTGAAATGGAGTATTGTTGATTTTTGTCCCATCTGGAAATCTCTGTCTTCAATGGTTTAACTGTTAACATGTAATGTGATTATTGTGGTTGGGTTTAAATCCACCATCTTGCTTTTGTTTTATGTAAGTCTTACCTAGTAACTCCTTATTTTTTATTCTTTTTGTGACTTCTTTTGGATTGATTGTGTATTTCTTCCTTTCATGTTATATCCATTGTTTATGAATCATTATTTGCCTTGTTATTTTAGGGTTGCTTAGGGTAAGTAACGTGTATCTTTATCTTGAACTCTCAAGTGATATTATAGTTTTTTGAATATTATTTAGGCATATGATAGCTATACCAGTTTAGAGATAAAGAAAACTGAAACCTAGAGAAGTGAGGTGACTTGTCCACGGACAGAAACCCTGGTTGGGGGCTAAAATAGGAATTCTAGTCTACTGACTTCAGACCTGGTGTTTTTCCCACAGTGTAATGCTACGATGAGAACCAGGGTACTTTCTTTGGAGAATACCAAGTCACCAAAATTAGGAATTATACTTACAATCAACAGTGGGGAAAGAGATGACATTTTTGTTTTTCTTGTTTAGGAAAATGTAAGCTTGAAACATCCAATAGAAAATCCCTAAAAACTTCCCTGAAGACCACTTGGGTAAACATCACACATGGGAATCAATCAGGTCAACAGCAAAAGATGAATCTGTGAGCCAGCATTTCAGTCAAACCCCTGGAGGAGAATTTGGATTCCTTTGGCTCTTCGCATTAGTCACTCCAGGAGAGCAATTCACATCCCATAAATCACATTCAGACTGTGACTTGTAGGGTTGTCTAAAACTGTATTTACCCATCTTATTCCATGTGCCAGAATTAAAGAAAATCTGAGACCATCAGTGTGATAGGTATGTCTACCTGGGCCTGCTTATGTAAATAGTGAATGCAAGATGCATACATTTGTAACATGAGGATTGCATAATTGATCTGGTAATATGCTCAATTTGAGCAAACCAGATTATTTAGTTCCCTGTATCATCACAGGAATAAAGAAATGTGTCTATCAATAATATAAAGGAACATGTCAATGTTACTTTTAAACACAAGTATGGCATAAATACAAACCAATGTTGTTAAGATTCAAAATAAATGTTTGAATTACCACAGTTCTCTTAGATACACTGTCCTTTTTACAACTGCGTTTATGTCCAACTTTTTTCCCAGTATTATATATTTGTATAAGATTAAAATAAAAAGTTCTTCTAGGTATTTACATGCTATCATTTTTTCTCATTCTTATCCATGGGTATCTACTATTTAAAGCTCAATCTCTAAACCTATGAAACATAATAAGTGTAATCACTTGTTATATCTAGTCTGATTCCTGCTTTTCTCTGAAGAAAACCAACAGAATTCTTAGGCTGAAACTAAGTTTGTCAGACCTAGAATCAAATCAACTTATTTATTTTTCCAGAATCTGTTTTTATGGACTATTGATGCCAGAATACCTGAATTTCTTTCCTATATTTAGAAGAATATTATATAAAATAGCTTCAAATAGCATTTTGACTATATAATCAGAATTGTCACACTTACTTGTTAAGGCATTTGATAATATTCACTCAGCTTCTCCTAGCAGTTTACAATGTCCTGAGAGAAAGAAAAGAATAATCACAGTTCACTAGTTTTTCCTATAAATGCACAAGAATGGCTATGTGTGTGCAGGCAAGCAATCATCACAAACATAATCCACCGAAGACAATAGTAAGAAGAGATTCTGTGCTCAGTGCACACGAAAGGAAAGCGGAAAAAGGTGAACAGTGAAAATG
This sequence comes from Homo sapiens, assembly GCF_000001405.40. Lineage (NCBI taxonomy): Eukaryota > Metazoa > Chordata > Mammalia > Primates > Hominidae > Homo > Homo sapiens. The sequence continues at coordinate 76,912,175 of NC_000016.10, read as the reverse complement.
AGAGGAGAGAAAAACAAGACCACTTTTTCCGTCTAATCACTTTTCCTGTATAGCTATGCAACTTTTTAGCCTACTTGCAATTCTTTACAGCCTTTCCTATATGATTTAATAAAAACAAGAAGTATCTCCAGCATGTAGTTGTCTATGGAGATAGATGTTTACCTGGCAGTTTCACTCTGATTTCTTTAAAAGAGACATTTTCTTAGTGCTCTTTTGCATTTCAGTTTCAGGAAATTGCCTTATTTCATGTGGCGGCTATTTGCCGTATGAGACCTGATGATAACACGATGACATGTTTTTCCCCTGCATGTCCACTGAAAGCAAATGTGATGAGTCCCATCCTGGGAAAGGCTTTGACTTCATTCCCTAAAATGTGCTTTGCACAGGCTGATCATTTGGGTGAATGATGACACAAAAATTCCATAAAAATTAAATGTTTGCTCAGGAAAAGTAAGAATGGAGAGTGAAATTTTATAAAGGATTTTAGTAAAAAACTGGTTTTGATTAATGAGATGTTTATGAATTCATTTATTCAAAAATATTTCTGAATGCCTTTCATGTTCTAGGCACTGTATTTTTCTGGTAACAAGTAAGTGAATAAAGTACATATAACCACTGCCCTGAGCTCAAAATTAAATCTAGCAGTCAGTTAATAAACAAGTAAATAAATACAAATTTAAAATTTATATTACAGTACAATTATATTTGATGAGGTTTTTTTGATAGGGTCTTGCTCTGTCTCTCAGGCTGCAGTGCAGTGTTGCAAGCACAGCTCACTGCAGCCTTGAGCTCCCAAGCTCAAGCGATCCTCCCACCTCAGCCTCCCACGTAGCTGGGACCACAGGCATGCACCAACAGGCCTGGCTACTTTTTCTTTTTTGTAGAGATGGGGTCTAGCTATCTTGGTCAGGGGCTGGGGTCAAACTTCTGTCCTCCAGCAATTCTCCCGACTCAGCCTTCCAAAGTGCTGGATTACAGTCATAAACCGCGCTTCTATTCAGAAAGTGTGGTCCTGGAAATTCCCCCAAGTGGGTTGGTATTTAAACTAGGACTCAGTGAGATGACTAAACCACCATGTGAAAATTGGGCAATATCATTCTAGGGCAAGGAAATACCATGAGCATAAATCTGGAGATAACCAAAGCTTAGCCTAAATATGGACAAGGGCCAGTGTGCTGAGAGAGAGGGAGAACTGCAGTTGGAGAATGTCATTTGGATTATGTAGAGCCTTGTAATTTATAGTAAGGTTTTTGAAATTTATACAAAACATGGATGGGTATGGAAATTATATTTCTTCATCACTAATTAGTATTTTTCCATTATTCAATACAAATTATTGAATAAAATATTATATTATTTAGTACAAACAAATAGATATTTCCTTTTATCCTGAAAAAATATGATTTCAGACCATGGAAAAGTAAGTATTGTGACAGGACTGACATGCTGAAGAATGTGGTGATGACTATGAAATGATATGGACTAAGATTAAGGAGTGGAAACAGGTTTAGATCTCGATTCATGTTTAATTTTTTAACATGATTATGTTGAACATCAATGGATTAGAAAATAAATCCTGGACTTATTAATGTATCATGATATAATGTATTACATGCTCGATGATAAAATCGTATGAGAAGCAGGATTCAGGAATTGATAATGTAGCAGAGATGGAATGGGTTTCTAATTTGGAGCTCTATACTTTGAAAAGAAGACGAAATAAGTAGAAACAAAATATTATGAATATAGCGCAACATATATGTGTCAAGAATGTTGATATGAAGAGCTGTACCATGAAATGTCTCAAATTAGGTAAAGCATTTACTAGAGTACTGAGGCGAAAGGCATGCAAGATGGGTCAATATTGTGGATAAATAAGAGTTTTCATCAAAAGCATGTTTCCAGTTATTTGTTTGCCCTCCTTTCAAAATGTTTTATTTATTTTTTAACCATTTTTCCTTCATGTCTTCCTATCCCTCAGGCTCTTTGTTTCTGAGTTCTTCCAGGAGTGTTCTAACATATCTTCACGCAGTAGTTGTTCACACAGTAGTTCGCTATTTATTATTTATTATTATTTTTGTGAGGCAGAGTCTCGCTCTGTCACCCAGGCTGGAGTGCAGTGGTGCGATCTCCGCTCACTGCAAGCTCCACCTCCCGGGTTCACGCCATTCTCCTGCCTCAGCCTCCTGAGTAGCTGGGACCACAGGAACCCGCCACCACGCCCGGCTAATTTTTTGTATTTTTAGTACAGATGGGGTTTCACCGTGTTAGCCAGGATGGCCTCGATCTCCTGACCTCATGATCTGCCCACCTCGGCCTCTCAAAGTGCTGGGATTATAGGTGTGAGCCACCGAGCCCAGCTGGTATGTCACTTCTGATATTAAGTTACAAAACATTGCACCTTCTATCTTGGTTGTTTGCTTGTTCTCTCCTGGATCACTTGCTCAGGGGAGAGTCAGCTACCATGACATGGGTAGCCCTATAAGTAGGGTCTACATAGTGAGGAACTGAGGACTCCAGCTAAGCCATATGAATGACCTTGGTAGCAGATCCCCAAACCCTAATCGAGGCTTCAGATGACCACAGTTCTGGCCACCACCTTGATGGCAACCTCATGGGAGAGCCAGAACTAGAACAACCCAGCTAAACAGCTAAACTGCTACTGGATTCTTGATTTTTATAAACTGTGTTAATTTGTAATGTTTTAAGCTGCTAATTTGGGGGAATTTTTTAGAAAACATCAATAGATAGCTCATGCAATCCCTAACATGTAGAATAATAAATAATTTTCTGTGTGTTAGAAAAGATTTCTATACCTAGAAAAGATTCTCAATAACGGCTTAAAATGTTTAATAAATAAAGTACAAACTAACTTTTTAAGCTATTCACCAAGAGCTATTTTCTTTTAGCTTAAAATATAGCTCCTCTCTCTGGAGAGCCCAAATTATGTTTAAGTATTTTTTTTTTGCAAGTTAGTAAGGATCTTCATTTGAAAGTATTCAATGCACAACTTACTTCTGATGTGAGTCCCTGACCTTCAAAATACAGATGTTGGCTGTGGGGTAAGATTTAGTTTTCAGCAGCCAGTTCTATTTTATGTAGAAGGCTATTGTGCTATTTTTGCTTACCACATATAATTTTTATTTTATTCTTAAGAAAACTAGGAAAAAATGGCTCATGAATATGTTGACTTCTAAATGCAAAATTCCTAGGTAAACATGTAAGCATAACCACAGAACTCACTGTTTGGTTTTGTCAAACATTTCTCTTTGTCTTCCATTATCTTTAAAAGTTCCTTGTCATGAGTTTTTCTGATATCAAACTTCAAATATTATGTGTACATAATCACAGTGAAATGGAGACTTTGGACATTCTGCATGTCTTAATCAACCCTTTAATTTTAATATTTAATACTGAGATAATTGATATAAATGTGTGTTTATAAGTTATCCACATAAATTAGTGTGGCAGACCCTACAGTGATCCCCAGTGATTCCCACTCCTGGATGTTTATGCCTTTACATTATCTCTTCTCCTTGAGGGCAGGCAGGGCCTGTAAGATGCTTCAAACCTATAGAGCATGGCAAACCTGATGGGCTGTCGCTCCTGTAATTACATTACAGTATCTAAGACTCTGTATTAGACAAATGGAGCTGGAGAAGTCTATATATTTCCCTGATCTATGATACTACGATATCCTTGAGGGCAGGAATATATTTGCTTTTCATTCTCTGTCTAGGACCTTTCTTCTCTTTTTTCTTCCCCACCACTTTTTCAGTTGCTATTGTCAAGTACTAAAGTTTTCTTGAGACAGGGTCTTGGTCTGGCACCCAGGCTGCAGTGTAGTGGCTCACTGTTGCCTCTACCTCTTGGACTCCAGTAATCCTCCCATTTTCAGCCTTCTGAGTAGCTGGGACCACAGGAATGTGCCACCACCCCCAGTTAATTAAAAAAAAAATTGTAAAGATGTGGTCCCACTATGTTGCCCAGGGTGGTCTTGAACTCCTGGGCTCAAGTGATTCTCCTTCTTTGACTTTCCAAAGTGTTGGGATTATAGGTGTGAGTCACAGCACCCAGCCAGGTGTTCCATTGGGTACCCCCAATAACCTTATATTTTAGGTAACATCATTGCCGATTTAGAAGCAGGGCAACTGAGGCTTAATAGATTAAACATTTGAAGCCCTTGGCATTGGAAACATAGTTGGAAAAAGACAAAAACAGACAAACACACACACACACACACACACGAAGGAAAAGAGAGGTAAGTTATTTTAAAAAAGAAAAAGATAGTGAGACCAGTGATAGTATGCAAGAGATTTTTAGGACCCTGATCTAGACTCTGTCAAGGTAATATACAAGTACCACATAATGACAGAAATACAGACTGAGGGAGGACATTGAGAGCTATGGGAAATCACAAATGGAAGTTTTTTAAGTGGAGGGCTGCATGCTAAGCTTTGATATATTAGTATGATAATACTGTAATATAGTTTGCATAGGCAGAGAGTGAGAAAGCATTCTTATACACCGGGAAAATTGGGTCGCCAGTAGTGGAAAAGTAAGTAAGTGTATTTGGGGAAAATGAAAAACAAAATAAGATAAATTCAGAAACGAAAGCAGAATAGAAAAGGGCCTGTGCATTTCTATCCTCTTGAGGTCAATATCATAACTTTAATCTCACCACCATTGTCATACCAAGTATATTAGTCTGTTTCAATTGTTAATATTGTCAAAATAACTGAGATAAATATACACTTTCTATGAGAATTACATAAAATCTTTAAAGCTCTAGTTATTCTTTTGGGTTATCTTATGTGGGCATATGCATGGCTTACTTGACTACTTAACATTTGCTTCTTGAGGGCAGGATCTATGAAGAGTTTGTATTATTAAAGTGCCTGCCACAGGCTACTAAACATGGTGAGATCTTAGTATTTGTTGAATAGTCCTGGGATTGAGGTTGAGAGGAAGTGAATTATATGAAAATGGTTGAATTAGAAATTACCTCTTGATGGGAAAAGGAAGGGAAGTGTTGAAAACACAGCTGGGGGACAGACACAAGAAATCAGGGTTATATGGGTTTCATCCTATAGTCCTGAGCCACCACTGAAAGTGTTTTTGAGCAGCAGAGTGGTAATGAACAGAACTGCTCTTTGAAAAATATAGTTATTCAGGTGGTTAAAGGAGGTAGGATGCTATAATAGCTTAGGAGGAGGTTACAAGGTCTAGTCCAAGCAGTAGGAAGAAGAAAGAGATGACAACATTAAGATCCTATGAACAAGGGTAAAGAAGTTAAATTCTAATTCCTTAAGCCTCTCTTAAGTGTGAAAATCAAGTGAGTTATTTCTGTTGTTGACATCAAGAATGAACCTCATGTTACTTTCCTTTGGTGGAACAGGTGTTGAATTTCAGTATGTTGATAAAATGTCATTGATCTTGTTTAGCCTTTCACAGTCCTTGACAGCTATTCATTTTCGGTAGAATGTAGCATGGAAGAAAGTGCTCCAATTTTGGTCAGACTACCTAGGTTCAAATCGGTGCCTTCCCACCTGTGTGACTTGAGGCTAAAAGTTAACCTCTCCAGTCTCAGCTGGTTTGAGAGCACATTAGGTTAGTGGGCAGCATGAGTATAGTATGGTCCCTTTGAGGATTGAGGGGTATCCACGAAGCACTGAGTACGTAGTAAGTGCTCATGCTCACTAACTAGGATGCCAGTTGTTATCCAGATTCATGTTTCTCAAATTCTGAGCACCACATTCAAGTGACAAACCAAGGAGCATCTCATCTCTCTTGACACAGTCGGCCTGTATGGATCATGTTCTCAAATACTGGACCTGCAATTGTTTTTACAATGGGATCTATTAAGCTCATTTTTCTAAAGAACAAAATCGGCACTGCCCATTTTCAGTGAACAAAATACAAGATTCATTTTAAACAGTCTTTGGAGTAAGAGGAAAATTTCCACAAAATGGAAACTATAAATTTAAGTGAAAGAATACACTTTGGAATTTACAATAGATGGCAGACTGTGTTCTTAGTCTTCTGAAGGTGTGAAATTACAGTTAATTGCTTTGTTCTCAATTTTAAAGAGCAAAGAGTTCATAAATAATAAGCTCAAGTAGTGGTTTGCAAAGGCTCTAAAAAAATCTCTCAATGCATTTTTCATTGCCAAAGATGTAATTCTTCTGGGTGTTGATTATTCCCACGAATTTTAAAATACTCAACAGAGTCTAACTACAGAGGAAAATTATCTCTAAATTCCATGTTAATAGAGTTGTATGTGTCAATAAGAAACCTTTGGTTTCCTGACACATGCATCCTTTAATGGGATATAATACTTCTGAGAAGTATAATGTAGGGTGCTATAATAAAATTACTAGATTATTAGAGAGATTATGAGACAGAGAATCCATTTTCTTCAGATCTTGTAGTTATTTTGTTCATTGAAAATATCAATCATTAAGTGATAACATTTCTTCAACATCCTAATTCTTCTGGGTTATAAAGTTCACCAAGAAATTTAAAATGCTTGTGTGTTTAGTATTATACTACCTTCAATAGGATAAATAGACATCATATTTGTCCCATTCCCATCAAAAATGACCACAAATTACCTCATGAAAACCCCACCTATCTGAGGTATCTGAAGTAAATATTAATTTTTTGAAAACCCCAGCACAATAAGATTAGTTGAAAATTTCAAGGCACTATATTCCTGGTCATATTGTATTATTGTTTTGTTTTATTGTCCAGGAAGGTTTTCTCTTAACAAAAACCTCCAGCTGTAACAATGTAACCAGAATCCTTTTTTTAAGTTATCATAGGTTCAGCAGACACAATAACAGTAGCAGGTAAATAATTAAGCAAAGAAACCAAATCAAGACATGGGTAGAACAGTTGTTTTCAAATGCAGCTCCCTGCTCTGTGAGTCTGTCGAAGGGGATAATAAGGTTTGTCCCACTTAAATTACTAAGAATCCCACTTTTCACTAGATTCTTCAAACCCTACAATCTCCCACACATATAATTAGAAATCAGACTGGAAAGCATGGTTCAGAAAGAAAAAACAAACAATAAATTACTTAGTCTGTTTCTTAGATTTAAGATAATTTCAACCATGTTTTTGTCTCTGGGAAATTGCAGAAGAGGAAAAAGTAAATTTTAGGTCACATTAAATATTGCAATGGCCTTACCATGGGAATGAGGATTTTGCAGAAGAAAGTGGCCAGTACTCAGGTTCTGAATATGGCATTTGTGTCCCACCTTGACCACATAGACACCTGCATCATTTGGCTTCGCTTCCTTCTTTTAATAATGTTTCCTTGATGAGGCAAATGCTTGAAAATGGTTTGTGATTTTAAAATGCTATGTAAAGTCTAACCACTCATTTTTTCTAATTTCAAAGTCTTTTAGAAGCTACCTTTTAAGCTCAAACTGAGTGTGATCCATCCTCATTTGATATTTCAATTTTAAAAGTATTAATAACACCATTGATGTAGATGTTAAAATAACACTTACGTCAAATAGCTGACATATCTGGCACAATCATGAGTCATTTCTGTTTCATTAGACTCTGTAGAAACCAGGCTTAGAAGCAGCTGCTTTTCTTTTCACTCTTAATTTCTTCTTCTTGGTTTAGTCTAAATGACCATTAGAGGATATACTGTAAAGTATACTGGAAAATTGTAAGATGGTTGTACTCCAACTTAAAGTGTCTCCATCTTATACATACAACTACAAGTTCTACCAAAAATCTTTATGAAAGAACATTCTTCAATATCATGCTAGGTTACTTCAAATTTAACTAGTTGTAATGATTCCATGACAATTAATTTTATAGGACAAAACCATGCTGTATACTTTATTTTCTTGAACCTGCATCATCTGACAATTTTTGTCTCCAAAACAATCAGACACTTCACTGTTTGCACTTGTAGGGAATAGATGACTAAAATAAGATTTGTTCTCTTTTCTGGTATTTATCAGATTCTAAGTGACAAGTTCTTATTTTCCTCCATTTTCCTGGGTTTTGAACTGTTTCCTTCATCAAAAACAAAAATAATGTCTTAAATAAAAACTTGCACTTTAAAGCTTACGAAGTTTTCCTCATAAAATACCTAAAACTATCTCATCTCCCCAAGTTATAATATATGCATATATATGAAAAAAAGTTCAAGGTCTAGAAAAAAGAAACAAGAATTGTGGAATAAATAGGATACCTTTCTGATTTCCCTGAAACCAGGAAACCTTTCTCGCTAATTTACACCAATAGGCTTGGTCCAGCTTTCCCTTCTACTCCATGCCCTATAGAGCAAGGGTGCAGCTGCAGCAGCATATAAATTATAATATGATTAAAGAAAAAAAATTGGGACACACTGTGACGTTCAGCATAAAGGGACGGAATTTCACTTGTACTTTAACAAGGTAGAAATAGTTTTGGCCTGTGGCCTCTCCACTCCTATTTTATAAAAGCCTCATGTTGAGCCACTAAGGACATAGGGAAGTTGTAACCTTTAAAAGTAAGTAGAGTTTAGTACACATTTTATACATATCTATTTATTAAAATATTTTATAAAATTAAATAAGAGAAATTGTTTTACTCACTAGGATTCACCTATGTTGACTGTGTATGTCTTTGCATTCAAAAACCTCATGATAGCTTTTATTTATTTTGAATTTCTCTTGCTTGCAGAATTTAAAAGCACATATGATACATTTAATCAGATTATTTCTAATTGGTCTGTACCAAATATTGACAAGTGGCACACCTAGCCTGTGCAGCTTCTCCAAAACTTCATTAAGGTTATCATAGATGTCCTTTGCCAAAATGATCTTGCTTGCAGATAAGACAATATTCTGATTATATTGCCTACTGTTACACAAAGGTTATTTTCTGACATAACAGTTGTTCAGATGGGGTAGTTGGCTTCAGGTCTTGGTAATGCAGCCTGTTATTGACATCTTCATAGACTTCAAAGCCTTCTGTTTCTTTACTCTGTCTTCTGTTTTTCCTAACAATTTCCCCTCATATGTTGTAGGATGGCTACACGTTCCTGGTATCACAAAGACAAGTTAACAATGACTGAAGAAGAAAGGCATTATCCTCCCTTGAAATTTTTTTAATTTAGGTTTAAATGACCTTTGCTAAAGCCAGCCCTGTGCTGCACTAGGCTGTAGCAGCTTGCACCACCTCCCAGGATACCTTAGAGAAAGCATTTGCACCTGCATCATCTCAGCATCTGCCATCCTTGCTCTAAGCAAAGGAAAAACTGAAAAAACTGTCACAGATTGGAGGATATAAAAACTAATTGAATATGCAATTGTGGATTGGATCCTAAGACAAAAAAGTACACTAGTGGAAAAACTTGAAATGTAGAGGTGTATTCTTTAATAGTATTGGAAAATTAAAGTATTGTAATTTGGTTAATACTGTTATATGGGCATTAATTTCTTGGTTGGTTTTGATCATTGTGCTTACAGTTATGTAAAAAGTTAATATAAATGGGAGCTGGGTGAAAGGTCTATAAGAATTCTTGTTATTTTTAATTTGTGATTTTGGAGAAAATATTATGTCAGGGGTCTACAAAATATTGCCTCTGGGCCAAATCCCACACTCAACCTGTTTTTTTGTAAATGAAGTTTTATTGGAACACAGTTACATCTGTTCATTTGCATATTGCCCATGGCTACATTTGTGCCACAGTGACAGAGTTGAATAGTGGCAACAGAGAACCCAAAATATTGACTACCTGGCTCTTTACAGAGAAAATTTGGCAACCCCTGTATTATATCATGCGTAAAAAGCCTATGCATTGCCTTGCTTCTCTAAAGTGGGAGTCAGGCTGTGCCAGCGGGAAAGAAAAGTCTCCGATGACTTTGAATTCATGGCTCTGTGCCACCTTCTGTTTCTTAAATGCATAGAACCTTCTCAGTCTTTGCCATAAGTGACCTGGCTGGGTAACATTGACTTTACCACACCTCCAGCTCATGGATCTCCTCCTGACCTTCCACTTGCTCTTCCTAGTTTCCGGGACAGGACCCCTTTCCACTGCCCATTTTTTAAAGGCCAGTGTCCCTCAGGGTTCTCTCCAAGTCCGTCTCTTTGACTGGTCCCCAGCTAGTACTTCTTAACTGGAGTCTCATCAGAATCACAATCACAGGGATTTGCTGATAAAAACTATAGTTAAGTAAAAGTGTCTAACAAACCAATTGCCCATGTTTCTCCAGGAATATCATCACTTCCATTTACCACTATCCTAACATCACTTAAACTTGTCTTTCCTGCCCACAACTCCAATATACAACAAGCTTTTCCTTTTCAACGAAACATGTTTCAGATGCACTTTACCAGCACTTCTCAGAAACATGAATTTGCTTTCATGTTTCCCACTTGAACAAATGGTATCATTAAAAACCTATGGAGCGTCCCAAGCCTGTAATTCATTCTTAATTCGTCTTTCTTCTTTACCTCCAGATTACATGAATTATTGAGACCCGCTCCTTCTATCTGCTAAACGCATTTTCTTTTCTCTATCAAACTGGTCCTTGACTTAGTCTAGGCCACTCTTATCTCTTACTTGATCTGGAAAAGCCTCTTAATTTGAGCTCTTGGCTTCCAATATACTTCTTTCTGAGAAATAATGTCTTTACATGAAATCTATAGAGAATTTTGAAAAATCTATACCAGATCTGTCACTCCTCTGTCTAAAACTCTACAAGGAAATACTCTTTGACCCTGAGAGAATTATTTAATGTGGTTTACATATTATACACGTTTACAAGACCTACATGTGCCAGCCTCTGTTTAAGTCTCCAGAATCATCTCTCCCCATACCCTTCTCCCCGCAACATTCTAAACCTTACAACATGAATCTTAAATTTTTAGCTGAGCCTCACTCCACACAGAGGCATTTTTGTCTCTGAATGGACCACTTCTCCTCATCTCTTCATCTCATTAACTTCTACTGGATCTTCAGATCTAGGCAAGTGTGTCATCCCCATTGGAAGCCTTCTCTGATTCCTCTGTGGTAGCCCCTATGTTTCCCTAGCCCAGCACTGATCATTCCATGGTAGAATTTCTTGCTTAATCATCTCTACTCCCCATCAGACCTTAGGATTCATGTTGGCCAGGCTGTAATATGTGTCTGGCATAGAGTAGTCAGACAGACAAACAAGAAATAAAAGAAGAAAATGGTCTTATTCTTTGTCTTGTTTTATCCAGAACATGCTTCTTTCTCTCCTTGCTGTTCTCACTTTTAGCTCTGCTTTTAACACTATCTAATTAATCCCTTCTTTTCTGTTCTACTCAGATATTTGCATTTTCACAATGAACACTTGAGGACCAAAAGCTTTTAATAACACCTAGATTAATATGTTGGGGAATTCCAGAGCTTGCATACTAAGGTCACATACTAAGATAGGAAACATTTACCAGTCCACTCGGAATGTATCCTCCAGGTGGCTGGCTGTTGGTAAGGCCACGCTTGATACAAGTTCTTTTTTTTTTCTCCTAAAATGCAAATTAAGTACCACAAGTAGCTCAATTTTTATTGCTTGATACTATCAACTAATTTATTAATTCCTTCAGTTCATTTAACAACTTCATATTTAGAATCACTTTGTGCTAAGCTACATGTTTGAAACTTAGAACGTGAAGTTGAAAAAAGAAACAGCAAACTCAGACTTCGGCCTTAAGTTAATAAGCTACTAGAATGACAAATATAGAAAACAAAATTCCAATACAATCACATAATTGCTACAATGGATCACTGCACAGAGCACAGGAGGAGCATATGGTAGGAGCGTCTGTTAGAAGTGCAGGAAGAGGAGGAGAGTGCTAGTTCTATGCATATTAAATTATGAAAACATCAATTTTTGAAACCGGATAAGTATTTGAGGTCATCTGGTGTATCCTTCCTACATTAAATTCACACTTTTTTTAATTAATGAAAAATATGTGTCTAGGGAGATTATATGGTTGTCTAAGATTGCCAAACAGTGTCAGAATCATAATTACCACACAGGCTACCTCTCCACAAAATCAAGTTTTAAATTTAAAAAAAAAAAAAGTTTTCCTGATCTTTAATTTGTCTTAGGAGTCATATCTTTGCAAACTGCCAAGCTTTAAAAATCTTCCATTTGTATTCATGGAAAAAAAAAAAAAGTCAAGGCTGTTTGTGCAGTCAAGGGCAATTTACTCTTCCTTTCTACAAGTGAGTTAACAGACCAGAGAAACTGGCCTTAAGCACTGTGCAAAAAGAAGAAAATGTTAGGATTTCAGCCCAGTGTGCCAGAGAGATCTAGAAATCTCAAAAGAAGAGTTCAGGTAGCTTTCTTATGCTTGTCAGGATAATTGATGCCCATATAATTAGGAGGCTGGTTGGAAATTTTACTTCTGGATTACATTAGGCATATACAGCTAACTATATATACTGTTAGATATATAATTGTACGTATTATACAAAATTATACATGGCATTAATTAAAATATTCTTTTTTTATTCTGTCTAATTAAAACACAGATGTTTATCCAAATTGTTGTTGTAGTTCTGAAAGTATAATGCCTGAAGAAAACACAGGTTGAGGAAACAACACAACGTAATGCACGCGTTCTGTCCAGGTAATCATGTCCAGTCAGGGTGCCCGTGCTTAAGAAGCATTGCCACACAGAGGTCCACGTAGCCATCTTGCGATTTAGCATCCTGAAGATATTAACATGACTTTCTTCCACATATTTGAAGTGTTGACTTCTTCCACGAAGGACTTCTAAAAGGACATGTCATTCATTTCTCTAGTACAGAAATTTTCAATTTTGCACAAAGCAAAGTGAGGAGGAGGATGCAGCCTAAGAGCGTAACTATCTGCACTCACATCTCATAGAACACTCCGGAAAATGCGGGTATTTCAGTAGAAAGGTCAGGCGTCTTAGAGAATACCAGTGTGCGATGTAAACAAGGATATGGATCCACATGGACGTTTAAGCCTTCTCTATTCTGCTACCCTATTTATTTGTTGCTTATATATATTTCTATTTCAAGAAATGTGAAATGTTTATGGCACATTATTTTAAGACCATTCGATAAAGCCAGAATTCCACCATCACCACCCCCCACATATACACAGGATTCCGGGCAGGAGAAAAAGTGAGAATTGGATTGAAAGGTGAAACAGGCCTGCTCGTCTTCTGCAAAGTCTGTGTTTTGGGTTGCAAGTAAAGATCCTATAAAGGAAATCTGTGCTTATCACCTCCTCTCTCTGGCTGAGTCGTTATTAATATAGTTGCAGTCCTTTTGTGTTAGGATTTTACCCTGTAATATCATAATGTTTGGCAATAGAGAACCTGCCACTTTACATTGGTGCATTTTTTTTTTTTTTTTTTTTTTTTGAGACAGTCTCACTGTCACCCAGGCTGGAGTGCAATGGCATGATCTCGGCTCACTGCAACCTCTGCCTCCTGGGTTCAAGCAATTCTCTTGTCTTAGCCTCCCCAAGTAGCTGAGATTACAGGGGCACATTGCCACTCTGGTCTAATTTTTGTATTTTTAGTAGAGACAGGGTTTTGCCATGCTGGTCAGGCTGGTCTTGAACTCCTGAACTCAGGTGATCTGCCTGCCTCGGCCTCCCAAAAGTGCTGGGATTACAGGTGTGAGCCATGGCACCCAGCCACATTGGTGCATCTTAAAGCTATCCTTAATGCCAATTTATTGACAGGGCTGCCATGGGCTGTGGCTATGGGTTAGACTGGGGAGAGTATTTTGAGGATTGATCTGTGGTAAGGGTTTTTGCCAGAAAGAGAGGCAATGGAAACAAGCCCTTTATTGGAGGGACACTTGAAATCTCTAAGAAGAATTTGCTTGCATCCCAGGGTATTTCAGAGCTGACACCAGCTTCAGTTACCTTGAAAACTGCCCACATGACTTCTGTGTCACTCTGTCATGATTTCCTATTGTTCAATAAATAATAGTGTGAGACTTCACTGAAGGGCATCTGTGCTTTGAATGAAAAGTCCTCCAATGTGTAAGGGAAGCAACATCAGCTTCTTTGAAACCCTCCTTGCAAAAAGTTGGTCTATAGACATTTTTATTTTAGAATTAGAAAGCAGCCTGAGAGATCTGCAGTAGAAGAATAGAGTTTGCACTTGGAGAATCATAGTTAAATTCCAGTTTTGCCACTTACTGGGAACATGACTAAGGGTGTGTTATGTTACTACACCTATAAGCCTGTTAGCTCTGTTTTTTTTTTTTTCTTTTTCCAAATAGCCCTTTTGGTTTACAATTACTATATAATTCATTCATTCAAAATGTGCAATTTGATGTTTTTTAGGAATATTCGCAAGGTTATACAACCATCACCACTATCTTAAAATATTTTGTCTCCGCTTCCCAAAAAAACAAAACAAAACAAAACAAAAAACCAGGCCCATTCCATTCCCTCCACCCCAAGCCAACAGACAATCACTAACTGAATTTCTAGATCTATAGATCTACAGATTTGTCTATTCTGGACACTTCATACAAATGGAATCAAATAATATGTGACACTTTGAGACTGACTTCTTTCACTTAGCATGTTTTCAGGGTTAATCCATGTGGTTGCATGTGTTAGTACTTACTTTTCTTGCTGAATGATATTGTGTTGTATGGATAGATCTCATGTTGCTTATCTACCCGTCAGTTAATGGACATTTAAGCTGTCTCCACTTTTTGGTTATTACAGATAATGCTGCTATGAACATTTGTGTGACATTTTTTGTATGGAATATGTTTGTAATTCTTTTGCGTATATACCTAGGAGTGAAACTGCTAGTTTCACATTTCGAGGGACTGCCAAACTGTTTTCTGAAGTTTCAGAATTTTACATTTCCACCAGCAAGGAATGAGGGGCTCCAATTTCTCCACACCCTTGACAATATTTGTTACTGTCTGATTTGTTTAACTGTAGTTGTGTTAATGGGTGTGAAGTGGTCTCTCATAATCTTTTAGTAGTCTTGATTTGCATTTTCCTAATGACAGACGATATTTAGCATTTTACCATGTGCTTATCAACTATGCATATATCATTTTTGGATAAATGTCTATTCAGATGATTTGTCTATTGTAATTGCATTATTTTGCCTCTTATTGAGTTATAATAGCTTATTATATATTCCTCATATAAAATCCTTTATGTCTCATATACATAATTTATAAACATTTTCTCCCATTCTGCCAGTAGTCTTCACTTCACTTCCCTGTTTCATTTTCTTGATAATGTTTCAGAGGACATTTAATACATATAATTTTATAAATATACAAAAATACATTATACAAATATGAATAAGTATATAAATATATTGCAGACTATATAGTTTTATATATTTCAATTTATCATTTATTTTGTTTCTAGTGCTTATTGAAAGTTATTGAAGTTTCCAACTATTACTGTTGAATTATCTATTTATTCCTTTAATTCTACCAATTATAACTGTTTCATCTTCCTGATGGAGCGACTTACTGTAAAATGCCCCTTTTGATCTCTAGTAAGATTTTTTGCTTTGCCTGATATTGGTATAGCAACCGTAGCTCTTTCGTGAATGCTATTTGCATGGTATGGTATAGCTTGTTTCAACTTTCTACTTTCAGCCATTTGTATCTTTGAGTATAAAATATGGCTCCTGTAGGCAGCATATGGTTGGTGATAATTAAAAGGACCCTTGCTTTTATTTAATATAAAATGATAATCTGTTTTTTATTGCGTTTTACTGTTATATTGTATGGTTACATTTATATCTGAAATGTTGCTTTTTGTTTTCTACGTGTCTCATTTTTAGAAAAATCCCTGTTCATTCATAATTGTCAAGTTGACTGTTTTTTTTATATATATATTTATTATACTTTAAGTTCTAGGTACATGTGTACAATGTGCAGGTTTGTTACATATGTATACACGTGCCATGTTGGTGTGCTGCACCCATTAAGTCGTCATTTACACTAGGTATATCTCCTAACGCTATCCCTCCCCTCTCCCCCGACCCACAACAGGCCCCGGTGTGTGATGTTCCCCTTTCTGTGTAGCATAACATTTTAATTTTAAAAATGTTTAAAAATAATTCGGGGTTATTTTACTAGTGGCTGTTCTAGGGCTTACAATATACATCTTTTAACAAAATCTACTTCATATGTATACTAAATTAATTGCAGGGATGGCTCTATTCTTTTTTTTGTGCTATTACCTGTGCCATTATATCTATATATGTTACAAACCCAACAATACATTTTGATAGTTATTACTATAGTTATAGTTATTGGATGCATTTTAAAGGAGCTGAGGGGAAAAACAGAGTATAATATATACACAGAGTTTGTTCTATAAACCTTATTTACTTTTTCCAGTTCTGTTCATTTATTCATGGATTTGAGTTATCTTCTTGCGTAATTTTCTTATTCCAATGAAGCTTTTCTCCAACTTGTCTCATTTTGGTCATTGTCAAATATATTACATTTTTTTAAGTTAGAGGGTCATACTATAGTCATATACATATACCGACACATAGTCAGTACATAGATAACATATATAAATTATTTTATGCAATTACTTTTTAAATAAGTTAAATGAAAAAAGAAGAAATATACAATTAAACCAT
The DNA here is from genome assembly GCF_000001405.40 of Homo sapiens. Classification (NCBI taxonomy): domain Eukaryota; kingdom Metazoa; phylum Chordata; class Mammalia; order Primates; family Hominidae; genus Homo; species Homo sapiens. The sequence goes on along the minus strand of NC_000016.10, from coordinate 76,895,555 downwards.
CATTTATAGTTACCTTTGCTGGCAATCTTTAATTTTTTGTATAGATGAGAATTATTTTCTGGTGTCCCTCCTTTTAGATTGACATAGTTCCTTACATATTACTTGAAAGGCAGGTCTGATAGCAACGCATTCTGCTTTCATTTATCTGGGAAGAGTTTTTTGTCTTTTTTGAAAGGTAGTTTTGCCAAAATAACACTTTTGGTTGGGAGGTTTTCTTTTTTGTTTTTGCTTTTTACTTTCAGCACTTTGAATACGACTTCCTTCCATCTAGTCCCACAATAGGGGCCATCCCACTACTTTCTGGCCCCCATTGTCTCTGATGAGAAATCAGCTGTTAAGCTTGTTAGGTATACCTTGTCTGTGATGAGTTTAAGATTTTCTTTATCTTTTCATCACTGACTACAATGTGTTTCAATGTACTACTTTGTGTTTATACTACTTCGATTTTGTGGAGCTTCTTGGATGTGCAGATTAGTGTTTTCTCATCAAATTAGGGAAGTTTTCAGCCATTCATTCTTCAAATATTTTTTTCTGTCCCTTCTTTTCTCATTCTGGCATTCTCATTATGCATATATTGGTATGCTTAATGGTATCCCCACATTTCTCTGAGGCTCCATTCATTTGTCTGTTTTCTCTCTGTACTTCAAATTGCTGAAACATTATTAATTTGTCTTCAAGTTGACTGGTTCGTCCTCTGCCAGCACAAATTTACTGTTGAATACTAGTTGAATATTACAAGTGAATTTTTTATGTCAATTGTACTTTTCATGCCAGAATTTGTATTTGGTTATTTTTCAAAGAATGATGCTTTCACTTCAATAATATTTTCTATTTTGGTGGCATTGTAACCATAGTTCTTTCCTTCTTTAAATGTGGTTTTATTTTTTACATATATTCATAATAGCTACTTTGAAGTCTTTGCTACATTGACAGTGTGGGTCCCTTCAAAGGCTGTTTTTATTGCCTCTTTATTTCCTGCATATAGGCCACTTTTTCCTATTTATTTGCATGTCTCATACTTTTTTCTTGAAAACTTGACATTTTAAATAACATGTAGCAGTAACTTCAGATAGCAACCCTACTCCACCCCTAATAGTTGTTCTTGTTGCTTGCTCTTTTTTTTGTTTATTGGCTTACAAACTTGGCTTAATTCTGGGAAGTCTGTTTTCCCCACAGTCTGCAACCTGTCATGTCCTTGCAGAGACTGTTTTACTCCCTTGTTATCATCCTTCATCCCAGCTACTTAGGCTTATCCTGGGTAGAATAAGCCAATACTGGTCCAATGCCATGCTTAAATATTCTTTGCCAATTAGATATTTTTTACCTTTATCATTAGATGTGTCTATAGCTTTGAGGCTGCTATTGTAGTTAAGAGTGTTTACATATTTTGCCTCATCTTTATTCAGGAACTGTGATGAGTCTATGTGTAGCTTAAGGAATGCTTTCAAGACCTCCCCACACCCTGTTCTGATTACTTCTGAGTGTAGTCTAGTACAGGTGCATACTCTTCCCAAGCTCAATAATTGAAGTGATCCCAAGATCTTGGATGTCTTTTTTCTGGGCTCTGTGTTTTAAAGTTCTAGCTGCTCTGCCACTTTTATTGTATTATGGAGTTACCACGTTTTTATAAACTGTGCTCTACCAAGATCTCCATTGTTTCTGACAAAGTTCTTTGGCAGGAAGTTCTCCATGAATGATTCTAAATAAAGTCAGTCCCCTCAGGCTTGCATAGGTCTTGGTTTATGGCCTACCTTTCACTTTTGACAGAACCTCTAGTCATTGTACTAGAGCTAGGGGTGGGGAACTGCTTTTCCCGATGATGGTAGCTTATGGTCTTCCTGGCTTGCCCCTTCGGAAATGGAATATTTGCCCTAGGAGTGAGATAAAATGAGGATGACTGGGGCCCCAGCATTCTTGGCCTGCAGGGCCTAGAGTTAAGCTTCCACCCTCTGGGAGTGAGGGGGTTGACAAGTGAAGGGAGATTGGTCCTCTCTTTCTCACCTAGAATAGAGACTCTGCAACATGGGATTAAAGTGAGGTGAGAAACACTGAGATCCTGCTCTCCCAATGGTGAGGTCTGGTTCTGTATCCCCAGAAGGCAGATGCGGGAAGAACGAGCTTTATTTTTGGCCACTGTTGTCCAGAGTACAGTACCACAGTTGAGATGGTGGGGAGCACATCATGACTCACATGCCACAGACTCACTGTTCTTACTGAGACTTAGCAGACTTCCTTGAAAGCATGTCTCTCTTTACTGTATACCCTTAGGACAATTTTAACAACTTTTACAATTAATTCTCACCATAAAATTGTTTTACTGAGGAAAGGTTTGCTGAGCTACTTACCCTACCATCCTTGAAGTTTTAACTCCTCTTGAATCCATTAGCTTTATCATAATGTAGGAATAATGACATTTTACTCAGAGTATTTTTAAGAATTAAATTAAATCATATATGGTCAATATTAGCAATAATTTGCATATAATGCTCAGAAAAAATATCATTTGCTCTCTCTAGGCTATAAAGTTGGCTACAGTGGTTAACCTATGGATGTTATATGCTCAATGAACAAAGATCTGTTGCAGAATTTATATATGTATATTACATATAATTCACAAATCAACATATCATTCATTTGTATATGTATATATTGTATATATTGCATTAGGTTGTTCTTGCATTCCTATAAATATCTGAGACTGGATAATTTATAAAGAAAAGAGGTTTAATTGGCTCACAGTTCTAGAGACTGTACAGGCAGCATGGTGCTGGCATCTGCCTGGCTTCTAGAGTGGCCTCAGGAAACTCAACAGTCATTGCGGAAGGTGAAGGGAAAGCACATACATCACATAGCCAGAGCAGGAACAAGAGAGAGGGGCAGAGGAGGTGCTGCACACTTTCCACAGCCAGGTCTCATGGGAACTCTCACAAGAACAGCACCGAGGGGATGGTGCTAAACTATTCATGAAGGATTCACTCCCACGGTCCAACCACCTCTTACCTGGCTCCACCTCCAACACTGGAGATTACAATTTGACACGAGACTTGGGCAGGGACACAGATCCAAACCATAGCATACAGCTATGTATATAATCAAAACTAGAAAGCAGTGGTACAGTTTGTTTTTAGAACCCACGTAAGCTTTTCTTTCCTCCTCTCATCGATCCTAAAGAGTCAAATCAATAGGCGCTCTCTCTATATATCTATATACACTTTTTTCCTCCATGTATATATTTTTTAACTCAACATACAAATGGAGAAAAACATTGGAAGGAACCAATGCCTATTTAATATTGCTGAGGATATTAATGCCTTTAATGATTGTAAATTTAGATCTGATTAATTTGGATTTTCCTACAATTTTACACTCATCTAGTAAAAGGGTTCTGTCCTTGTTCTTGACACAACTAACAAAATCCAAATCATGTTAGGTTGTTTCTGAGAATGGGCCCACTGAGCTTTCTTTGCTTGACTCCTTTATCATCTGCCTCCTAAATGGAGTCTTTGATGCTCAATAAAACAATCTTATTGAATTTTGCTTTGCATCTTTTATGTATAAAAGTAAATTTGTTTGAAAAATATGACAATAGTGATTTTAAAAAATATTTGATACCTTCTTACAAATACATCTCAAATGATTGGAGCTGGGTCTTTTATATGTCTCAGTGTGCCATCTAAGTATCAACATTGTATGTGGATGTAAAGTATCAACATAGCATAGCTTTCTGGTAAAAAGAGAAAAATTCCCAACTGAACACCATCCAACTATACCGTTACCAACAAGTCATCCAAAAACAGGCCCAAATCCTTGTATCTATCACTGATTACATGAATCTGTTCTTATAGTATTACAACAGAAAGTCTGGTCAAGAATAGAAGAAATGACACATAAACAAGAAAATAAACATTGATAAGGTTTTGGTTAGAGGAAGCAAAATACCAATATACAAGATGAAATTATCCTTACAGGCACAGATATTTTCACATCATTCTGTCAGAAAAATAAGAGCACATGCTTCAGCTAAGTCTTTGGAGGATCCAGAGAGAAATATTGATGCAAAGAACAAACCACGTATACATAATACTCCTTCAAAACTGATGCAGATGACGTTTAAACACCAATGGGTAAAAATGTCATGTCATTCATATGAAGCTCTTATATTGTTTGCATTGTACTTTTTTGTGAGCCTTGTCATGTTCTCAAATAAGGTAGCCTTTTCAGGAAGACCAGATATATCTTGCATAGCAACAAGAGCTAATGTTGCCAAACTCACTTGAAAGTTGATGTGCAAGTGAAGAACAGGTGTGCCGGTTCCTTTACTCCAAAAATAAAGACAAATAATGCTTCTAGCTTGTCAGCATTTCAAGCTGACTAGAAGAATTGTTTCATTCTTCATATATAAAGAGACATGTAATTGATAGTTACATACACATATGGTTATAGTCACATATATATGATACTGTTTAATATTTATGATGTTGCTTTATATACATGATATACATATATAATATATATGATATATGTGATGAGAAGACAGTTACTTAAGGAAACACTCAGATGGTATTGTATTGCTTATAATACAATGGATAAATGCTTCAGGTAATGGATATCCCATTTACCCTGATATGATTATTACACGTTGCATGCCTGTATCAAAATATCTAATGTAATCCATAAATATATACACCTACTATGTACCCACAAAAATTAGAAAGAAAACACTTAGAAAATTATGTTCAGGTTATTTTTAATGATGGATTCTTTTCTTCTTCCCACTGATCATACTTAAAAATTAGAGCAATTAGGTTAGAAGGATAGCAAAACTAAGAAACTATGGAAAATATTAACTGGAAAGAAAACTAAAGACAAAACTAGACACAGATTTTTAAGTGTGTTTTACATCTTGAACAAGTTCTAATCTTTTAATTTACAAACGAAAGTGACTCAGGACAACTTACAGCAATAGAGTTTAAATTTAACATTTAATATTTGTGGATACTCATATGTGTAGCATCTGTTGTGTTTGTGGTCTGCATGTGTCTTAATTTTGTGTTATGAATATGTGTGAGTGTATGTTTCATGTGATGTGTGTGAGTATGAGAGTGTGCATTAAATTTTTTTTTAAATTTTTTTCCAGGAATGTCTCCTGAGCATGCACTGATGTTTTATGAGATGGGTGTCATTATGTACAGTGATTCTAAGGGGTCACCTACCATCCTGCTATATGAACCAAATGGGCTTCACTGGGAAGGTAGTGCCACAGCCATGATCCCCTTACCATGGAGGGGGCCCCATGGAGGACTGAAATTCTCTTTTCCCATAAGATCTTTAGAATAACTATAGGGCTTTGAGTTTGGAACCAAGTGAATAAAATTAAACAGCTTCTTACAGATGACTTGAGAAATGAATCTCCACTTTGTTTCCTTAGCTTTGCACAGCTGTTATGGAAGAAGGTATTTCTTAGGAAGAAAGTGGCCGTTCATTACAAAACAACCTATCTAGACAGCTCTGGGTACCTGGAAAAACAGTCTCAATGGAAGCAAGTTTCCTAGTTTTAGTGACTTTTTCTGCTGGTGGCTACATTCACCAAAAGTGAATGTAATATTTTCTCTTGTTTAACTTTGGCTACAGGACACTAAGGAGTTCCTTTTTATCAACACTGAGATTAACTGTCTCTCCAGGAAGAGAGAAACCAAGTTACTCATGATTTGGTCATGTCAACTTTTTTGACTTTCTGGCCAGGTTCTGCGCATGTTAAATTTTCAGTCTCAGACTGGGACCAGCAGATTTTCTCCCCCAGGCCCCTAGGGCTGTGCTTGATAATGACTCTGCAATTTGTCTCATGCTTCCCAGAGATAGGAGCATTTTTCCCCCCACTGTTCCATGCTATTTACAAAGCACAGGTATTATGATTTATTTCCTTCTTCAATATTTATCAATATTAATGAGTATCGTGTGCAGTTATTGGATGAGGCACTTACTTAAGTGGAAAGAGATTAAAAGTGGTGCTGTTATTTGGTATCAAGGTGGTTTAGGCCTTGAGGAGAAAGCTACCTGCTTCGATTAGCCTAATGAGACAACTTAATGAGAAAGTGATCTGCTTCAGCTATATTCTTATCAATACAAACAAATGGCATAGTTAGGGTATTTAGCTATATTCTTATCAATACAAAGAAATGGGATGGTTGAGACATTTGTACGTAGCCATTTTCAGTATACATATATATTTATTTTGCTTTAAGTTCTGAGATACATGTGCTGAATGTGCAGGTTTGTTACATGGGTATACATATGCCATGGTGGTTTGCTGCACCTGTCAACCCGTCATCTGTGTTTTAAGCTCTGCATCCATTAGGCATTTGTCCTCATGCTCTGCCTCCCCTGGCCCACCCCCCCAACCCCCGACAGTCCCTGGGTGTGTGATGTTCCCCTCTCTGTGTCTATGTGTTCTCATTGTTCAGCTCCCACTTATGAGTGAGAACCGGCAGTGTTTGGTTTTCTGTTCCTGTGTTAGTTTGTTCAGTATACATTTTTATTATTAAAATTAGTTGTATTGTGAAAATAAATACTTATAATGAATTAAATGCTATAAACGTACATTGTCCAATCTGGTAGCCAGTAGTCACATGTCACTACTGAGCACTTGAAATGTGGCTGGTCCACAGTGATTGACTATAAACTATACAATGGAGTTAATCATTTTATATTGATTACACAGATAATTTTGATGTAAGTTAAACATACATTTAAGTTAAATTTCACCTGTTTTTTAAAAGGCAACTACTAAAAATTTAGAATCACATGTGGTTCTCACATTTTGATTTGTATTGAAATGGTTTAGAAGAATGCAATAAATAAAAATCAATAAAATTAAAAAGTGTAAACATAAAAAGTTCTATTTTATCATCTCCTCCCAACCCCAATGCCTCCCCTGAGAACTGAGATTTGTCCTGCATTTAAAACTCCCCACACATATGTACATAAACTATGAAATATATATAAAGCTTTGCAATTTGCCTTTTACTGTTAAAAATATATAATGGAGGTTTTTTCATAAAATCTACTTTTTCAAATTTGCTCTTTTCATTTACATGTGTAAGGAAACCAGCAGGCCTGAGGAAGAGTGCATTTAGTGCCTTGGGGGCATCTTCCCAGATGGCCCTGGCAGTGGATCCTGCACTGTGTCTACTGATGTACTCCCAGGGGTTTCAGTCACCTAGCCTGGTCCCACATTTATCTTCCCCTGTTCCCAGCCTAAGGCACCCAGCTCCTCCATCACCTTTCCTTCCAGAGCAGCCTCCTCTATGAGGCCCCCTAGAATCTCAGGCTGTGTGTGGAGGACTCAGGTTCCTGGTGAATCCTTCTACACTGCCTCTGAGAACAAGCCCAGAAAGCTTTTGTATTTAAGGTCTCTACCAGGCCAGATACAGTGGCTCATGCCCGTAATCTCTGCACTTTGGGAGACTGAGGTCAGAGGGTCACTTGAGCTCATCAGTTTGAGACCAGCCTGAGCAATACAAAGAAACCCTGTATCTACAAAATAAAATAAAATAAAATAAAATAGCCGGGCATGAGCATGCACCTGTAGACCCAGCTACTCAGGACATTGAAGTGGGAAGATTGCTTGAGCCAGGGAAGTCGAGGCTGCAGCGAGCTGTGATTGTGCAACTGCCCTCCAGCCTAGGCAACAGAGACCCTCTATTAAAAAAATAAATAAAATAAAATAAAAAATAACAGTGTAACTCTCAGTGCCCCTGGAGTAACAAAGTTTAAGTAACCTTAGGAGAGAAGCCACTGGAAGAGTGGTTCCAAGTGTCAAAAATATAGTCAATTACTACATCAGTTAATCATATAAATGCCTCCCTATTAAGGGAATTTGTATCTAAATATTTAATGAGACTGCTAAAAAGAGACTTTAAGCTCTGAAGCATCAGATGGAAATGAGGGTAATATGAAGAGGTTTTACTGAAAATTACCAAAAATAGCAGGATGCTTGGTTCCCAGTATTTTAGAGCCAGATTTAACGCTGCCAAGGCAGGAAGATTGGATGATTCCTCTTTGAGGAATTAGGTATTTTTTTTTTAACATGTAAGGAGAGGGTCTACTTAAAGTCAAGAATAGGCTACCCTGTGAGCCCTGAGGAGTGAACAACCTACCACATCCTTGATGTTTAATTCAGGATTGAACACGTCAAATCGTAAGGTGATTCCAGGGTGATGCTCGATTTTGATAATTGAAAAATCAGGGTTCCTTAAAAAGATAAGCAACCTCATTTTATGACAACACTACTTTCGTTATAGGCTTGTCCTCTCGGGAAGTTTCCTATCAAGGAACTCTTCTTCCTTGCCTCTGACAGCAGTGGAGACTGAAGCCCGTGCTTGTCCAACTCCCAGTGTCTAATCAAATGCAGGTTTTTCCTTTGGATTAACCACATTGAGAGTGTTTGCTTTGGTCCCCAAGGCAAATATTCAAGGACATTAAGTAATAAAACTTAATATAGGAACAATTAAAATATGGAATTTATGAAATATTAGAAACCAAGTTGAATGTTTATTGTCACAAATGTTAATAAAAAGTTAATTGTGCCCTTTAGCAATTAATTTATGCACAATTATCTCAAACTGTTACTGGGCCTTCTGAACTAATTATATCGAGGTATTAAAAGAAAATGCCCAAGTATCTACAAAATAGCTTCATAAAAATCTGTGTGCTTAGCTTGATGTGGAAGCCCTTAGCTAAGTAAGTATTATTAAATGAGTTAAGACTATACCCCAATTACTCTATAGGAGTTGATTATTTAAAATTAGTATGCTGTGGTTGGGTACATTTAAAGAGCTTTAAAAGCAGCGCAAAGCATTCTAAACAATTATTGCCTATTGTACCTTTTATTTAAGCACAAACTCAGTCTTGTATGTTATAGCTCCTATGTTCTGTTTAATAGATGCTAAATTAATGCACTGGAATAATGTAGAAATATGCAGTACTATCTTCATAGCTGCATTTTTTAGGCTTCAAAGTTAAAAAATAAAAATTAGGCAGCGGTTTTCAATTGGATTCATTATAATACTATATTATTCATGGAGAACCTATCAGGTGTCATGTATTTTACACGTAACAAAGGACAACTCTTGGCTCTTACATCATGCTAGGCTCTGTTCCAAGCACCACTATATATACATATGTATAGAGCCTATTTTAGTAGTAGTTCCATCTGCCTTATTCTCTCTCTCCCTGTTCCCCTTCCTTTCTCTTTCAATCTCTCTCTTCACACACACACATGCTTTATTTTCCGAGTCATTTGGCCATTTATAGAGCAAGTTGCAGCTATGGCACCCTTTTATCTGTGAGTACTTCAGTATGCGCTTCCTAAGTTCAAACATATGCTGTTAAATAAACACATTTATTAAAGGAGGAAATTTAATGTTGATGTAATATAATTTAGTTCTCAGTCTATAATCAAATTTCACCAGTTTCCAACAAAATGTCCTCTATGACTATTTTTGTTCTCAGCCTAGCATCTAATTCAGGCTCTTGCTTTCCATTTAGTTGGCATGTCTATTATCTTTCAAATCTGCAACAATTGCTCAGCTGTTCTTTTTCACGACTTTGAAATTTGGAGGTTTAACAGGCCAGTTATTTAAATGTGTTTGATGTTTTCCTCATGATGGGATTCATGTTATGCATTCTAGGCAGGAACACCACAGCAGTGATGCTGTGTTTTTTCTCAGTGGATTCTATGAGCAGGGAATGATGTCAATTTGCTTCATTACTGGTGATGTTAACTTTGACCATCTAGTTAAGGTGGTATCCACCAGGTATCTCCATAATATAGCTACTCTTTTCTGTAATTAATAAACATTTTGAGACTATGAAAATACCCCATTCCTCAAACTAATACTTAGATAAATAAACATCATGTGTTAGCAAACTAGGACAATTTTGTGAAATAGATGATATGTGATAATTAATTGATGGAGAAAGCAAACTTACTCAAAGCTAATATTTAAGACATCTATGTACAAATAAACATGCATAATGCATTATAACAATATACAGCGGTGTTCCATGCAAATATAAGCCATTTTCCAATTCATTTAGGAATTTTGGCAAGTCAGGATTGTACAATTTAATTACATTTTTAGCCTTCAGATGGGCTAAGAAAATTAAGACCAGGAAAAACAGACACAGGGAGAACAGTTTTCTCCTCAGAGTCTAAATCTAACAAATCTGAGAGAAGGAATAACCAACGTCCCTTAGTTTTAAATCCTTCTATCTTCTGCTAGATTATTTTTATTGGTTTGTGTGTTTGTATATTTAAATTAAGTTATAGAACAAAATATTTCCCATCATATTCTGCTTTTTAAATGGTCATGCAGTGTCTAGACAAATAATATAATCAGGTCACTTTTAGAACATAAAGGGATATTAAAGATCATTTCATCAACCTTATTTTAGAGACAAGATAAGTTGAAACCGAGATAAATTTGAGTAAGTTAGTTGCAGAGTACTAGGAACTAGAATTCTGATTCTTGACTCCTCCATCTGATGTATTAACCATGACATAACCTTATTTCTTGAAGACATGCTGCTTTATTACAACTGAGGATTTAAAAAACAAAACACTGGGCGAATTTATAGTGGTGTTTGAGTATTCCTTCAAGTACATACTTTAAATAGTATGTGTCCTTGCGTCTCTACTGTAATAGCTTCTCTACTGGAACTAAAGGGGCACAGGTGAGACTTTGTGACAGATTCTTAATGCCATTATTAATTACATTGTTTTCCCTTTCTATAGTGTATTGGCTGATGCTGGGGAAATATATACTCTTGACTGCCCACTCCTTTTAATGAAAAACTGTATCCCCTGAACCCATCATATAAAATCCTAATGAATTTCTCCAAATAGATGTAGGTCACCTCAACTTCTAATGTTATCTTCACTTTACGAAAATCTCTAACGCAATCTGGATTATTTAAAAAATATCATTTGGCTACAGAGCTTAATAATCCTTTTAGAGCCCAAGGTACTTGAGTCTCCTTAGGTCTCAACGGTACACACTTTCTCCTTGGAATTGTACCAGAAAATCCGTTTAAAATCAATATTTTATTAGAAGCAACATTACTCTCATAATTTGCCTTACACCCAATTTGTTTGGAAAATTGAGAGCCCATAAGAGAGGATCTGTTTGTACTTTATATGTCTTCTACTTTTCCAGTTGGATGAGACTTTTATAAATGCATGAGCACTGCTACCAATAAGGATTTGTCATTTTGACTATTTTGTCAAAGTCGTCACACATAATTTTTATTTTGAGTTGAGTTTTAGATTTCCGTATACTTTTCCCCTCTTTGGCCCCACTGGCTTAATGTTTTCAACTCTATAGTTATGTTAATATATCTTCAAGTCCTATTTCTAAATCCATCAATAACATAATCCAATTCTGCAAAAGAAATTATTAGTCAATGCCTGTATATTAATCATTCAAAAGCAATAAAAATAAAATTGAGGGCAGAACACTAGTTGCCTTGAAGTACTGAATCAGCAAACTCCTATGAGAGATTTATCATCAGGATTTACAATTATTTTCCCTGATGAAATTGAGCTTTGTCTGTTAGAATTAAAGTGAAGATCACCTTTCCTGAGTCCTGTAACCATAAAAATACAGTCTTGAAGAGAATATTTGGAACAGGAACCACCTATATTTAGTATGATTTCTTTGTGCACCTTTTCCATTGGTCAATAAGATAGAACCTATTTCTTATAAATACAGTGATTGCATAGATATTAATTTATCTGAGTTTATTTCAGCTAGGGATTTTCTGATGAATGAATACACACCTTAATCAAAATAATCAATGAATTGAATAAAACTGTCTATAAACAGATGTCAAAGACTAATGATACGTCACTGTACATCCTACTGTACAGAATTTCAAATAAACATTTAATATCCAAAATATACCTTCTTTTGATATACAATGTCAAATTTATAAATTACAAGTGCAGGGTCAAAATTCTTTAATTGCAAGCAATAGAAACCAAACGAGGCACAGATCAGGCGACACACACAGGAAGGCAAATTCTTATTTAAATAGCTGCTCCAAGGCAGATGGTTTCGGCTTTAGGAGCATTGAGATCCAGAAGTGCCTTCATCTTTTACTGTGCATCACTGAGCTCTGCTTTTGCGTTCTTGCTTCCATTCTTGGAATTTTTCTCTGTGATAATGAGTCCCACCATCCAGGCTCATGTTTTCATTGATTCCAGAGAGTATATGGAGAGGCACTGTCTCCTAGAATCTGTCAAAAATCTCATGAATGTTCCATTTGGTCCTGTTTGGTCACATGCTCCCCCATTAGGCTAATCACGGTAGACTCAAAGGAGACATAGCACAATGAGTTAAATCTGGGTCAGAGGCCATGCTTTTGCCAGGAGACAGAAAAAGCATTGTGATTGACATTACCACCTGAATTACATGGGATAATGAATGGGCAGCTGTGCAGTTGAAAAAGGAGTACTGGACAGAATATAATGTCCAGTAAGGTAATACTACCTTCCATATGTAACCTTTATTTTTTAAAAGAGCTGTGCAATAGTTACTACCTTGTCTGCTATTGACATTCTCAATTCTAAACAATGCATCATTTGAATGAGCCTCCCCTTGCTCAAGCAACTTGAGTGAGGCTCTTTCTCATAATTGGGCAGACCATCTAGAACTACTGGAGGGAGGTTCTTCTTTGTACTTACATAGACTGCCCAGAACAACAGGGACCTCTCTTCCATAGAGCAGTGCTGCTCAATTGTACAATCTCTACTTTCTATTTCTTTAGAGTCCCTGTTTTCAGGGTATATAAATGTGGGGAATAATAGATTTTATCCATTATCTTTTATACTCAAATCAAATTTGATAGTCAAAAGCTCAGGAATGATTGATTAAGCTCATATTTTTTCCTTTCCCTTACTGTCCTTCTGGGCAGTTTCTATAGCTCTCTAATTTAACAAATATGAATGCCCATATGAAATCAACCAAAAAAGGTATTCTGGTTACCCTGACCGCAAGAGCACTGGAATACAATTTAGGGAATCTGGATTTCTTTTCTAGGCCTATTTATTAGGAGAAAAGCTTTAGTAAGTTTTTAATAAACTCTAAGAATCTGATTTCACATCTGTGAAATGAAGAGTATATTTTATTAATATGCCTTGAGCACCTAGTATATCCCAGGCACATGGTAGAGGTGGAATACAGCCACAGGGGGGAGAAAGAGGCCTGTGCTCTGATGCAGGTTTCATTCTAGCACGATGGAGTCCAGAAATGAACAGTTAAATAAATAAGCAAATAAGGTAATTTCAGTGATAAGTGCTGTGAAGAAACTGAAAGAGAGTAAAAGTGATAATAACTGGTGAGGGACTATTGAAAACTATTTAACTGGAATTGTGAGAGAGGTCTCTTTCCTTCTTTTACTCTCTTTTATTTTTGTTTTGTTTTCGATACAGTGTCTCACTGCATAGCTCAGGCTAGAATGCAATGGTGCGATCATGGCTCACTGCAGTCTCAACCCCGTGGGCTCAAGCAATCCTCTTACCTCAGCCTCCTGAGTAGCTGAGACTACAGGCACACACCACCATGCCCACTTAATTTTTTTATTTTTATTTTTTGTAGTGACGGGGTCTCACTATGCTGCCCAGGCTACTCTCGAACTTCTGAGCTCAAGTAATCCTCCTGTCTTGGTCTTCCAAAGTGTTGGGATTACAGGCATAAGCCACTGTGTCTGCCTGAGAGAAGCCTCTTTATGTTTGAGCTGAGACTTTAATGATGACATTAAGCTGGTCATGTGCAAAGGTGCTAAGTTGAGAAGAAGCTGGGCTAATTTAAGGACTATTAAGAAGGCCCATGTGTTTAAACCATAATGAATGATGGGGAGAACTGAAGAGTAGAACTGAGTTCTGGGAAGCTGACAGCGGCCATCGTGGGATGAAAATTCATTGTATAGTTTCAGGTTGATAGTTTCAGGGATGGTATGATCCAATATATGGGTTTTTTTTTGTTTTGTTTTGTTTTGTTTGAGACGGAGTCTCACTCTGTCGCCCAGGCTGGAGTGCAGTGGCGCTATCTCGGTTCACTGCAAGCTCCGCCTCCTGGGTTCATGCCATTCCCCGGCCTCAGCCTCCTGGGTAGCTGGGACTACAGGCGCCCGCCACCACAGCCGGCTTTTTTTTTTTTTTTTTTTTTTTTTTTAGTAGAGACGGGGTTTCACAGTGTTAGCTAGGATGGTCTCGATCTCACCTTGTGATCCGCCCACCTCGGCCTCCCAAAGTGCTGGGATTACAGGCATGAGCCACCGTGCACGGCTCAATACATGCTTTTAAAACAACTTTAGCAATTGCTTCTCTGCAGGGGTTGGCCAGGGAGAAATGGTGAGTTCAGTCAATGGGTTGTGGTAACTGCTAATCAGGGTAAGATGTGTCGGTAGCTTGAAACAGCTTTAGAATAAAGATGGTGATAAGTGGTTATATTTAGATTTTATTATTTCCAGGGTTTTGTTCCTGAGCACCTGGGTATATGATGATTATATTAAATTATAGGAGGAAGACTGGAGGATGAGCAATTGGGGCTGGGCCTTCTTGATATAAGATACCATAATTACATGACTGACTTTGAATTTATAATGAGCCTTGGGCAAATAAAGGTAGAATTACCTCTGTTCTGTCTCTCCCTGATCATTCAGGAAACAATAAAGTAGAACAAACATTCAAGAGCTCAATGCTTTTCAACACTCGAGCCCAATCGTATGGTAGATTTTTGACAACAAATATGCAAATGTCAGATATCCTTTTTGGCTTGCTGCCAGATTTTTTTTTTTTTTTTTGAAAGTTGAAATAATCAACTTTTATTTTTATTTTTATTTTTTTCTTTTTTAAATTATACTTTAAGTTCTAGGGTGCATGTGCACAACGTGCAGGGTTGTTACATATGTATACATGCGCCATGTTGGTGTGTTGCACCCATTAACTCGTCATTTACATTGGGCATATCTCCTAATGCTATCCCTCCCCCCTCCCCCGACCCCACAACAGGCCCCAATGTGTGATGTTCCCCTTCCTGTGCCAGATTTTTTTTACGCCCTTCTATAATTTCTTCTGTTTCTAAATTTGTAGGCAGACATGTATTTGACAGTTGCTATAGAGATGGGAAAATTATAAGATATGATGAACTTCTCAGCGACTAGATTTATCTTTGAAATGCATTTTCTCTACATTCTTGCCTCCTAATTAATTACAACTTTGAACATTTAGGTAGCAGATAAATTGACAGAAAGCTTTTCCCCCTCTGGCTGAAATGATCATAATATAATGAATAGTTCTTCAAATCATGCATCCCCAAACTGTGATAAGTAGAAGTGTGCTTTTCACAGCAAAAAAGGCAAAGTACTTCAAAATACCCTCGACAGTATTGACATTGTAACAGTTGTATGATCCTGATGAAGATAACTAATAGTAAAGATTTCTGTTGGGTAGAATACATATAAAAGTATCTTTTAAAAGTTAATAGAATTCAGTGTTCAAGGTAGCTTATGACTGATAACCTTAAACAATGTTTACTTGCATGCTGTTGTTTGCCATTAGCTTCTTATAACCAGAAAATTCAGGTATCGGTGAGAAAGGGGGAGAAGAGTTCTCTGAACTATTCAAATGTGTAAGTACACGTATCATTATGTACCTCCCCTTTCCTATATATCTGTTAACATCTAGGTTCCAGAAAGGAACACATGAAAGCGAGTGTTGGGGGATGATTAGCAAAGAGGAAAACAGACCCTGCCACTCAATTTCTTCCCCTTTGAGAATTTATTCTGCAGAACAAAATAGGATCAAGGTTTCCAGGGACTGTAAGCAATACCTTGGCAACAAGGTGGACTCTGCACTGTGGATCCAAATAATGTCAACTGCAACACCAAATTAAGGCAGTGGGACTGGGCTGAGATTGATGACACACCAGCATTGCTGGATGTTACCCGTTTCTGTACTGTGAGTCTAAGGAGCGCAAAACCGTCTCACACCAATTTCATTCCCATGTCCTGGCTTGCTGTTCAAGCAAGACATGTTTGCATGGGTTTGACATTCTAAATTTATTTTTTGAAATATTTCTTTGTGTCCTTTGTCCTATTTTCTATCTTTTTAAAAATTTAAGAACCCTTTATAATTTCAGAATATTAATCATTTGTGTAGCATAAGTTATAAATATCTTTCCTAGCTTTGCACACATTATGTAATTTTATGGTCTTTTAAATATATAGATAATTTAGTCTGTATGAAGTCAAAACACACTCTTCTCCTTCATGGACATATTTAGGGACTTATTTAGGAAGCCTACCACCAATCCAAGATTCTAAAAGTATTTACCTGATTTCTGTCTAGGCCAGTTTTTTTCTTTTTTTGTAGCATAATAACTATTGTTATTTTATCATTCCATGACTGACTGTAATGCAAGGTGAGAAATAAAATTCAAATTTAATAATTGTTAAATAATTATTAACCTGGTAATTTTTGAAACAATTGGTCAACAGCTGCAGTGGGACCTGTGAACATTGTCTGCCAGGTAAAGGCATGTATCCTGGTCCATGGGCCTGCCCATGCACTAAAGCTTTCCTGGGAGAAGGATATCACCTTGTGCAGGAGTGCCAAAATCGTGGTCAAGTTCTTCTCATTTGGCATCAACAGCATTTTATTTCAGCATGGCATATATCCATCTGGAACATTTACTCCAGTGTGGAAATATGGGCTCACCTTGCTTGTAACCACTAATCTTGAGCTCATGAAACACCTAAATAACACGGTGGAACAACTAAAGCATTGGCTATACAAACGTTCAGGTCAGAAACTGATTGGAGTCATCTCAACAACTGAAAGTGATGAGGTCCTTCAAAGATGGCAGTTTGACCCTAAGTGTGATAAGACTGCAAAAGATCATCTTGGGCCCAGAGAATAGTCGCAGAAAACTATCCAGGATGAAATCTGTTTAGTAATCAGATCACAGCTACAGTGACATTTCTGCCACTGTTGGAAGTTGTTCTTTTGATCTACTGATTTATAGAGATTTGGTTGTACTTGAAAAATGGGAAGAGGAATGACCTTTTTCTTTTGATCTACTGATTTATACAAAGATTTGGTTGTACCTGAAAAAATGGGAAGAGGAGTGACCAATTCTGAGGAAGTCTGTCTTTCTGCATTTACTACCTAGTCCACAAAGTAAATAGCACGGTGGCTTACAAAGTTCCTGTCAATGACTGAGGATGAGATGAAGAAAATAATATACCTGTAATTTTCAAATGATTTTCCTGAAACCAACTCAACCATAGTTGATGTCTTATTTCACTGGTTAATTTTTAGATGGGAAAAACCAACATTGTACTTTACTAAACTGTGTGTAATTGTTCTGTTCTTTGGTACTTGTTTGACCTACCTTGGAGTTAATGTAATGAATTGATTGCACATTGTTGAAAAAGAACCGGTAGATTTTTGTCAGCACTGTAATGTTACTTCCTTTGCTGACGGTAACTGTAGCTGAAAAAACTTTTGCTATAAAGCTAAATGTTTTCGTAAATCAGACATTTTTACTAAGTAGCTTTACTCCATACAGGTAGAGCAATATATAAATATAAAATACAACAGAAGTCTGAATACTCAATCTTTGTTTAGATCCTAAAACTAATAATTCACAAGCTGTGAAATGCTCTGGTAGGTAATTTTGTCATTTATTTCATTGTATAGTTTCCATGTTGAATAAATTTTCAATTATTAGATTTCAATTTGTGTAACTTGAATCTATGAAGCAGTGGATTATTTATACCATTTAATTTCTTGTGATACAGAACTCTTCACATTTTTGTGTGTTTGTGTGTTTTATAAAATTAAGCTTTAAGTAAAAATGAGGAAATGAAGTTAAAGTTTCTGTATGTTTAAAAAAAAAGTTTTTAAATAAAACTGGTTAACCATATGAGACCAGGGACTTTGTGTCTCAAGACCTGATGCAATGTGTAGCACATGGTGGACTCTAAACACTAACTCAAAGAATGAATGAAAAATAGCACATCTAGCACCTAATGGCTCCCAGTGGTATACAGGAGTCACAGACTTGCAGGTTGATAGTAATCTGATAACTATTCGGTTACAGAAGGAATTCTGAGAGATCTATAGTATTTAGTAAAAAAAAAAAAAAAAAAAAAAAAAAGAAACCTTAAAAATATAGGACCTAGATACTATATGGATTTTAAAGGCCTTTTAAAAATATAAAGACATGTCACATTTATTCTAAACAAATAGGACAACATGGAAAGGGGAAAAGCTGAGTGAGACATTCAGGTTGAAATTCTAATCTTCTAATTTCTTGTTTTATAATCTGAATTTAGTTACTGATCTTCTAGACTTTTTTTTTCCATCTTTAATGTGGGAATAAAATGCTTTTTCAGGGAAGTCCTGGGAACTACATGTTAACATATACAAAGCACTTCATACAGTGTCTATTAGAATAGATCTTGTATTAATTCTAATGGTACTTTCCAAAGCTTTTCTCTCTAAGCATTCTTCTAGGGTTCTGGGAATTTGAGAGTGCTGTCATTATGTGACAGCATGTAAATTTCAAAACTTGTCTTCCTTATATAAACTTTAATATGTGGGTCATTTTAAAATATCAGTGTATTACTCTCTCATCTATCATTATAGACCAAGTGTAGAATTAGGTTGAATTAAATGCAGACTACAAAGTTTCAAGTGCTTTGCAATTAAATATGTTGTTTTGCAAATTACTCCATCACTAATGAAGCTGTGAGGAATCCTGGGCAACACCATACTGCTACAGGCAGATATGTCTGATGCTCCAATTAAACAAATGCATATTTTCTCCAATATGTGGACAGTTAGCAATGTTTAAATATGGCTTTTGAATTGCCCCTTTTCAATGAGGCAGTTATATGTTCACATGTTCACATAAACTAAGATGTTCAAGTGATACTCTGTTGCCCAGGGAAAATGCTAAGTTAATTGCTAAATGAGCTGAAGTATAACAAAAATCAAAAGAAACTAATTGTGTGCCTACTGGATAGTTGTGATACAGTCACTGTTGATAACATGTGCCAAAGAAACAAATTACACACTAAAGCGATTTCTCTTGTTCTTCTCCATAGACAGATGGACCAGTTGATATTACTCTATTAAAAGCATATTGCGATTAGGAACAAACAATATTCTTACATCCTTTTTCTAAAAGGCTCAACATGGTTCTTTTTACATAAAATAAAAATCTCTAACAAATTAATGAAATACAGAGAAAAGAAAAGAATATCATCAGCAGTAAAAAAAAAAAAATACAATTTCTGTCACTCTTCCTGCTGTAGATGTCAACTGTTAAACTTTCCAAAGGAAACTTGACAAGATTAAATGCTACCAGAAATAACTTAGACAAACCAATCTGGGCTTCTGCATATTTTACAAAAACATCCACTCCCAAGCAAAACGTTGAGCCAATCTAGTTTTCATCTTCTGCTGCATTTCCTTCCTTTCAGCAATGTGTGCTTTCCTTACAAATGCTTACAACTCACTTCTGTAGGTAAAAAAAGGTAATTTGTTTTTAATTTAACTTTAACTTTTCCACTGAAACCTGCATGTGTTTGCATTTTTTTGAGATTGACACATTAAGATCTTAATAAAAGCTACCATCCCAAATGCTGGAATGCTGGCATTGAAAAAATATTTACAAACATTTTTGTTATTCTTTATTTTCTTTAGATATAATTTGAAATAGTGGAGAATTTAAAAGTATACTCAATTTTATATGAAATATATTAACGTATTTACTCAGTGAGCATGATTGTTTTTAACCCTTATGATATTAATATCATATGTTAAACTAGTACATGATATTTGTCAATCTGTTTTTCATGCACACATGATATTAATGTTTTAAGGGTCATCAAAAAATAGTCAAAATTTCTTTTTTTCACATTCTACTACCTATTTAATTGAGATTATCTGGTCCCGTGTTAAAGTATCAAGTTTCTCCAACTGGATTATCTGCAGGTAATTATTGCACATAACTGGAAGAACACTTAAATAAAGAACCCTACAGGTGAACAGTATTCATAGCATGAGATCGTATAGTAGTATCTTTGTATTAGCTTAAGACTAATGTTTATGTATAAACTTTCAAAAAATGAATTTGACCTTTCATTTTTATGTCTTTATCTCCTACCACATTTGACACAATGTCTTGCACATAATAGGATGACCATTTGTGTTGAATAGATGAATGAGTGAATTAAGAAAACACAATAAGCCCCAGCCACTTTCACAATCTTTGGTCTAAGCTAATCAATATGACCCATTCTTATTCTGTACTGTATCATTTGGTAACTAGATATTTGCCAGTACAGGAAATCAACTTCAAGTGCCAATAGGCAATTTCATGTACTTTTATTCAGAAAAGCAATATAGAAACTATGTTTCTTTAATTAATATACTGTAATTTTAGCTAAAATCATTATAACATGGTTTTAACGCTCATTCTATTTTTTTTCTTGAGCCTAACCATACAAACCTAAAACCAAACTTTTAAAAAGTGGGACTTTCTTTGTTTCAACAATATGGTGGAAACTGAGCTGTAAATTAAGTGAACTTTCTTCCCCATTTAGAGAAAGTCAGTAAAATAAACAGAAGAACTATTAATAATTGACATTAAAATGTACTTGTCTAGATGAGTAGACACACACACACACACACACACACACAGGCATTGCCATAAAAGTTACTTTTGAGGAAAGGATTCTCAGCAAATATATTAAACTACATTTCAGCTGAATTCTTATTTCCTTTGTGGTTTTACCACGAGCCATGTAAGAATTCTGATCAAGGTGCTTGGTGACATGGTGCTGAATCCCGAAGCCCCAGCACAAGGTTGGTAAGACTTTCTAGTGCCCAAATACAGACAGCGGCTTATGGTCTCTATTATCTGAGTTACACGGGAGTCCAGAAGAGCTGCCTTTGTTGATATCTGGTCTCAGCTGCCTTCTCTACTGCTTTTTCTTCATGCTGTGATGAGCACTGTGTGTCTTACCACCGCCCAACAAGCCCCGGTGTGTGATGTTCCCTTCCCTGTGTCCATGCGTTCTCATTGTTCAACTCCCACTCAGGAGTGAGAACATGCCATGTTTGCTTTTCTGTTCTTGTGTTAGTTTGCTGAGAATGATGGTTTCCAGTGTCATCCATGTCCCTGCAAAGGACATGAACTGTTCACGATAGCAAAGACTTGGAACCAACCCAAATGCCCATCAATGATAGAGTGGATAAAGAAAATGTGGCACATATACACCATGGAATACTACGCGGCCACGGATTTTTCACAAGGGTGCCGAAAAAAATTTAATGGGGAAAGAGCAGTCTTGTCAACAAATGGTTTTCAAACAAGTGAATGATTTACAAACTTGGCTGCCTCCATGCCTCAGCAGCAGGCCTGGCCCAAGCCTTGATACTCCACATTTATAGAGACCATCTGTGGTCCTAACCCTGGTGCCTACCAGGACTCCTACACTGGCCTCTGTGGAGGGCTCTCTCATTCTTCTCATGGGTAAAGATACTGCAGCCGAAGTCACGCAGCACCGAGTCCATGGTGACGGTCAAAGAGGATCTGAACTCAGAACTGCCAGAGGGAAACTGGAGAGTGTAGTTTTGCTTCAAGAAATAAAAGGTACCAAATTCAGCCACAAAAAGGACCTATTTCTTCTACAGAAGCAACCACACTTCTGGAGATGACTGTGGATTGAAATTCATCCCTGGGAAAACCTAGGAGCCATGTGTTGAAGATCACAGGGACACATGATAGACACATCTTGGGTCACCAAGTCCACACTAAAGAGGGGCAGCACCGTCCAGCAGCACTTGGTTCAAACTAACTCTGGGGAAAAATCAGTGAAATTGTGAGATATTGCCAATTCTGACTGATTTCCCTCACATTCTTGCAGTGGAAATCTAGGTCGGTGATTGATATTTTTGCCAAGGTCCTTCAGGCCACTGCCCCAGCCGCCTGGACTGACAAATACAAATGAGGAATGGAACCTATAAAAGGAAAAGAGATTTCTGGGAACTTTGCAGCCGGGATCCAGCTTCTAAGCTGTGGATGGAAACTTTCAATCAGAAGAAGGAGGTGCCTTATCCAGGGACCTAGGCACAGAGAGTTCCTTACTGCAGTGCCCCCCGACAAATCTGCCCTGACATGGCCGTATGTGGATAATGGTGATAGCACGGCACTGCTTTGATTCACTACAGTCTTTGTAAGACCAGGTAGGACCTACAGTGGTTAGAAGTCATGGTCATTTTTTTCCTGGCAACCACCAGCTGTTTCTATTTCCCCAGTACACTGTACAAATGTTATGCCTTTCTATTCATTCACTGACCAGGGCAAAGTTGGAGAGCACAGTTTCATTGAACCTGACCTCCCAGTTGATGGCTCTCAACTGAGCACAGCCCTTGGCTGAAAAGTACTGCCATGTTTAACGTAGCATCCCCTTCTGGAAACAGCATGCATTCAGCAACTAGTCTATGATTTGATAGATTCATCCCCAAACTCAAGGTGGGAAAACTCAGAACCCTCCCATTCCCCACTGTAGATCTCCTAATAGGATTAGCTGAGGTTTTTATTGCAAATGCATCACAGCTCACTTTCTCCCTTTCCTGGTCTTACTTCCTTCCCAGTGCTATAAGAACAGACACCAAGAACCCATTTCAAATTCGTGCAGCAAAGCTGTTTTATAGCCTGCATCCCAGAGAGTCCTACTTAAGCAGACAGGAAGCACAAATGGACTGGAGTAGGGGGTTTAAATACAGGAGCTGAAAGTAGCATCAGGCATGACCTGGCCCTGTCAATTACTAGCTGTGTGCTTTTGTGCCAAGTCATTTAACCTCGGTATGCCTCAGTTTCCACGACTGCAAAATAGAAATATTAATAGCACCTAGTTAATTGAATTATGAAGATTACATGATATAACAACAAAAAATAAAGTAAAAATGTCCTGGTCCATAGCAAGAAGTATAATTGCTTAATTAAATGAATTAATAAAATAGAGCAGAAGAGATCTGTTTTTTCTGTCCTGCTTTGTCCTCTGTCTCTCATCTCTCTTTGCCTCGGGGAAAATTCATTTTCTATTTCTATTTATACTTTTATATCGTTAGCCCTTGATATTCAGTTAATATCTTTATATTATACTTTCCTTTGATTACCATGAAAGGCAGAACATAGAGGGGGGAAAAACCTTGCTATTGAAATATTCCTCCTAAAAGATACAATAAAAAGCATTTATTCACGAAGTTCAGAATACCACTCTTTATAAATTATTTCTTTGTCTCTTTTTTCCATAGACATATAAAGAACACTAATGCTATAGGAAAAGAATCAACATGCATTTCTTCTTCACCACTGAAAAATAACCCAATAATGTGTCATGAATCTAAAAATGACCATGTCTTTCATTTGCATTAGTTCTCAATGAGGAGCAATTTTGCCACCCCACTCCAAGGGAACATTGGGCAATAGCTGGAGACAATTTGAGCTGTTGGACTGGGGGAAGGTGCTAGAGGCCAGGGATTTTGCTCAACATTCTACAATGCATGGGACAGTCCCCTTACAATAAAGAGCTATCCTACCCCAAAGGTCAACAGTGCCAAGGTTGAGAAACTCTGACCTACATGGAGCATCTGCATAGTTTATGTTTACTCCCTATGAATTCTTAAGAAATTTATTCACTTTGATGACTATCTTTTAAAAATGAGAAGATATGCTGACAACATATTGAACATGATTATGTCAGAATTTTCATTATCAAAGTGCTAATGGCTCCAGTCTGATGTCAATATTGCCTTCTGTCTAGCTGAACAGGTTTTTCTGTCTTTTTCCTTTCCTTAAATGCAAGGTAACCCCTTAAATTGTAGATTCTTATCTGCTATGTGCTGTGCAAGCAGAGATTTGAGTTGATTTGAATCACATGGACACACAAGTTGGAATGGATAGAGAACCTCGCTTGACTTGATAGTGTTGTATGTACAGTCTGAAATGTCAAGAAAATCTGAAATGTCAAGAATATAAATACTTTCAAAAGACAAGCATCAAAAGCCTTCTTATCACCTCTTTTATAACGCCAATCATGTATTGCCACATTTGAGCTGTTATGATGTGATATGGCTGAATGGAAAAGACACTGGCAATGTTCTAACTTGCTCAGAGGTCATATATAAAACCTTCGTGGATGCTCTGGACTCATCCTTGAGACAGGACATCCTATGGTGTCCCTGGGCATTATTAGCTTCACAAAATTACCCTAAGACTCAATAATTATTTTGCACTCTGTCTTAAGATAGGGCCATCCTATCTCAGAAGATATTATCAACTAGCCTATCCCAGATCACCTAGGTATTACACCCCGCATGCATTAGCTATTTATCCTGATGTTTTTCCTCCCCTTGCACCCCCAACAGGCTCCAATGTGTGTTGCTCCCCTCCCTGTGTCAATGTGTTCTCCTTGTTCAGTTCAATTCTTATTTTATCTTGATTTTTTGTTTAATCTAAGAGAAGCCAGTCAAGGACTTTAAGCAAGAGCATGATATCCCTGGGCATTATTTGTTTCATAAAATTATCCTAAGACTCAGTAATTCTTCTCGACTCAGTGTTGAAAGTATGCTCTTAGGGCATACTTAGGCATGCCCCAAGTTATCCTAAGAATCAACAATTCTTTTGGTTTCTGTCTTCTCTATTATAAGCTGGGTGTCTAAGAGATAGACAGTATATGGTGGTAGAGGCACAGGATACACTGGTGCCAGGAAAAGCAGGCACAGGAATTTCATCTATGATGGTAGAATTTGGGGAGACTGATGAGTCCTTAATCAAATTAGATCATAGCATTTTGTAGGTGAAGAAAATGAGATGCATCTACCCTTTTCTCTTTCAGTCAAAATTTAATAGTTCAATTCTAATACGAATTTTAATTTAATTTTATGTTGTGGGATACATGTGCAGGACATGCAGGTTTGTTTCATAGGTAAACCTGTGCCACGGTGGTTTGCTGCACCTATCAACCCATCACCTAGGTATTACACTCCGCATGCATTAGCTATTTATCCTGATGCTCTTCCTCCCCTGGTGCCTCCAACAGGCTCCAATATGTGTTGTTCCCCTCCCTGTGTCCATGTGTTCTCAGTGTTCAGTTCAATTCTTATCTTGATTTTTTTTTAATCTAAGAGAAGCCAGTCAAGGCCTTTAACAAGAAGTGGGCAGCAGTGGAAGATGGGTAACTCGACTTGATTTTTATTTTCCAAGAATATGGTAACAACCCTATGAAGAAAAGTTGGAGGAAAACAGGACTGGAGGTGGGGAGATCTGTTATATATTCATTAGAGTAATCCAAATAAGAAGCGATGGAGACTCAAACTCAAGTAGTTGCAGCAGTAGTGGAGAAGAAATAGATTGGGCAGTTATTATAGAATTAAAATGTATAGGTCTTGGCAATCAGTCAAATGTAGAAAGTGGAGAAAAAGAATGGATATGGAATGTGAGGAGGACATGAGGCTGAGACTGGCTGAACAGGCAAGATGTAATGCCACTTATTAATCAATAGAAATTAGAATCAGCCTAAGGACTGAAGGGAAAATGACAAGTTGAATGGAGATGTTGATGCAGAGGTGACTATGGAACCCCTCAGCAAAGATAATGGAAAATGCAATTCAACAAGCAGCTTTGCTACTTAGAAGAAATGACTTTCAAAGTTCCTATCCCAGACATCAGTATTGTCATCAATAAAACCAAAAGGTATTAATTTACTCGTCAAGGTCTCAAACCATTATAGACTAAGACTGGTTTCTTGACTTGGCTACAACTCTACACAAAATAGCTAGTGTTACATTTACAGAAATATTAAGAAAATATAGGTATATGCATTAAACTCAATTTCCCCTTCATATTCTGGATGTATTTGAGATTGCCATATATCTACATAGTTTTAAATATTTAAACCTAAGTAACTATTTAATATTCAATAAATGTGTCACATTTTATCTTGTCTTATATCAGATGTTTTGCTGTTAGTTTCTTGCATTTTATCATTAATGTAATTCATTTTCACAGAGTAATGCCTACATTCATAAAAAGAAAAATCACTACTTGAAAGACTTGATGTTGTCATGTTTGTTGAAGAATGTTCCTGAGACAATCTTGGAAATGTGAGTGAGAAGTGGGATTTGGCAGAATCTGGAAAGTTGGTCTTCAATCTGATTGTAATCCACTTGGAAAGAAGAACATCAACCAGTGAAAGACTTAATGCATCTGCATGAATGTAAATCAATCAAATAGATATTTAAGAAACTTGTTCCTTTGCTGCCATTTCAAAAGTCAATACCATGTAATATTCTAGAACAGGTCATGACAAAGTTCAACATAAAAGGAAATAACGTTTTACTAAATGCATAAAGATTTATATAATTTAAGGCTTTTGCAAACGTATAGTTTTCACAGTGATGACCTGCATATTATAGATTTGTGAAATTTTAAGTTTTAATGTAATCACAAATCTATAACATACAAGTCATCATTGTGCTTTTCAGCACTAAGAAATCTATTCTTCCACTGATGTGTGAAAGATTTAAGTGACCAGACACTCCTAACAGTAATAGCTTTGCTCTTTTTCCCTCATGCATCTGTACCAGATATTATTGCCCAGAGGACTCTGAGCAGTGTTTCTGTGTATATTTAAGAATTAAACGGTAAAATTCTACTAAATCATAATGCCAACATGATAAAATATCTGCAGTAATCATGTCCATCAGATAATGACAATAAAACATTATTATTCCATTAAAACTAAGGAGAGAAATCAACTAAAATTTGTATGCAGGAGTATTAGTTCTTACACATTTTTAAGAAACATTTGTTTACAAGTGCTGGTAATTTTTAAAAAGTTAACTAAACTGCTTAAATTGTATTAGTAACAATTTCAGGTTTACTAAATTGTTTATAAGCACCGCAGCTCTATCATTTTTAACCTTGGGTTGTAAATATATAATATAATATAAACATGTAAGTGTGTTTGTATGTATGTCTGCTCAGGTGATAAAAAATAAAAAAGTAAACAAGAAAAAAAGTCACTTAACCATTTCTATATAAAGCAGTAATGTCAACTGAACATCAGGATAAAATCAAGCAACAAGAAGACAGACTGTCACATAGGATATGTGTTATTTGTATCTAGAGAGAGTATATTCCCTTCAAATCTCTTTGGGATGACAACTTCAGTCATCCCTAGAGAACACAGATTTCACAGCACCAAAACTTCTGCTGCCAGAGTGTGTGACGTGGAGGCAGCTCCATGTACTAGAGGAGAACTTGCCTACTGCAAGGTGCACTCCTGCCCATCCCTCCATGCCAACACACTGGGTCACTGTCTCTCATGTCAGTGAGAACTGCTTAAGAATAAACCCTCTGAGGACAGCATGATTCTCCTCTGCATGGAGAAAACTAGGTTCTGCTGTCCAGAATTATGTCCACAGAATATCCCTGGTTCCTCCAACATTAAAGGGCCTAGTTGAACTCTAGAAAAGAAAAAAAAGCAATCTTTTAATCCAATCTGCTACCTTCCACCAAAAGACAACTGAGAATGATAGCAGGGAAGAAGAGGGGAAAATACCTGTAATATACTCAAAACTCTTGATGGGAAGCCAGTATCGTGCAAGGCATGCAACATATTTTAAATCTATAACCACATTTAACCTTCATAAAAACACAGTGAGATGGGCATCCTCTCCATTTTCCACACGATGAAAACTAAAGCTATCAAAGTTAAGTAGCATATCCTGTTTATACAGCTAACTCAGGGCCAGGGCAAACTCAAACTTTAGATCATCTGGCACCAGAGCCCATGTCCTTTAAGTTTCATTGTTTTGCCAACACGTCAAGTGATTTTTTTAAATTTTAAAATAATATTATGTATTTTGACTTGAGTATATTACTCAAAACAGAGCCTTGTATGTGGGATAGTGTAAAATTCCTGCTTGTTTTAATATTTTTATGCACATTAACATTTGGGAAAAACAGCCCTTGCCACTTTGTCTCCATATTTGTTGCCTACAGATGACCTGAATAAATTTAACTCTCTACTTTCTTCAAGTGTGAAGCCATCAGCACTGCTAATAAGTGATGAGCATGGCAGATAGTCCCTTCTGTCAACAGCAAGCTGCTTAAATTAAAACCACTCATTTCCATCTGAGGCCACCCTCATCCACGTGGGATATTCAGCTTTCTCTCTCAGCCAGGTTTTCAGACTCAAACCTGCAAGTCACTTGCATTGATTTTGTCTTGTTTGCCAATTTACATGTAACTTTGGCCCTGGACTTCCAGTAATGACAACAACATTATGCTTTGATGCTATCCATTTTCTTGATTTATGTGGGAATACTTTTCTGATTGTCTCTAAGACTCATTATATAAGGTGTGTGTAGCCCAGTCAATTGGCAAGGGTACCAAGATATCAATGGGATTGCAGAGTTTTCCTTCTCTGGTTATTCCCTGCAAGTGATGAAAAAAAAATATGCATTTTCTCCTAGTGCTCTTTCCTAAAATTCCAAGTGAAATATAAAATACTTTCATTTGTTTTTGCCAACTTAGATTTATGGACTCTGCTCGAGCTCCAAACAAAATTTTAATTTGGTCTAATCTTTATTTCCTAGGTTTTTATTAACCAACTATATGTCTGAGATAATTTTATAGCTAATTATTATAGTTAGGGGAAGAACACAACAATAAAAAAAACCCAGTCATCTCATTTAGACACCAAGATCTGCCAAGAAATATTTTACTAAAAGCAATAACTTGTGGTTAATATCACTAACAGTCCTGGTAAATAAAAAGATATGCAGGAATTACATGAAGAGGATACTATAATAGCAATGATTCTATTTCAGAGATCTACAATATGCACTATAATATTTTCCTGATAAGTCAATATTGATACTATAGCAAAAACGTAATAATGGAGGTTATCAAAATGTTTGATATGGTCTGGCTCTGTTTACACACCCAAATCTCATCTTGAATTGTAGCTTCCATAATTCCCACATGTTGCGGGAAGGACACAGTGGGAGGTAATTGAATCACGGGGGCAGTTTCCCCCATACTGTTCTCTTGGTAGTGAATAAGTCTCATGAGATCTGATGGTTTATATAAGCAGAAACCCTCCTCGCTTGGCTCTCATTCTCTCTTGTCTGCTGCCATGTGAGACATGGCTTTTGCCTTCTGCCATAATTGTGAGGCCTCCCCAACCATGTGGAACTGTGAGTCCATTATACATATGTAACAAACCTGCACATTGTGCACATGTACCCTAGAACTTAAAGTATAAAAAATATATATATAAAACCTTTTTCTATATAAATTACCCAGTCCCTAGCATGTCTTTATCAGCAGTGTGAAAACGGACAAATACAATGTGGTAGGCCAGTTGTCTAAGCCCGGTATTAGGAGTTTAATGTCTCTATCCTTTGAGAACTTACAAATATATAGGTAGAAAGGTATATGTATATATATATATACATATATATAAATCTTATGATGAACCAAATACATACTTTAGAGTCAAAGTGAGAGAAGACGATGACTTGACCATAGAATTTCAAGCTATGAATTTGCAAGCTTGAAAATGGAAGAAGGGGACCCCTTCTTTCGCTTCCAGGCAGCCTTTAGAAGCAGAAAAAATCAAGGAACATTATGGACACACACATGCATATGTATATATATATTTATATACATATAAAAATAGATATATTTCATCCAATCTATAGATTAAAAATTTTTGAATGAAAATATATTGCTGGAAGTATGAAATCTGTGGGTATTTGCTTTTTCGAGTGAAAAAATTATCTGTCTTAATTGCTGTGGTGGTAAACCACATGCATATATTTATCAAAACTCAGATTACATATTTTGTAAAAATCTATGCATTTTATGAATGAAAATTTTACCTTAGAAAAATATTGATAAAGCATATTCAATAATGTATACTTAGACTTAAGTCTAACTTACATGGTCACAAAGGGGCAACTGAGATGCTCTATTAGTCATCTTATACTTTTTTCGTTATGCTCACTAATGATTTGAATGAGAATCTCCATCTTTAATTCCATTTCCTCTCCACACTTTCCCCTCTTGCAATCTCTCTACTATCCATGTGCATTATAACTGCCTGTGATGTGGTTGGCAGCATAATGACCCCCAAATATGTTTGATATGTTTATCTGTCTCTGTGAAATTTTCTTTTGAATCCCCAGAATCTGTGATTATGTTACCTTACATGGCAAAAGGGACTTTGAAAATACAATTAAGAAACAAAATGGGGACATTATCTTGGACTATCCAAGTGGACCCAATGTAATTACAGGGGTCCCTAGAAGGGAGAGGGCAGTAGAAGAGAAAGTGAAAGGTCTGACCATGGAATCAGAAGTCAGAGTGTTCTATCTGCTAGTCTGAAATTGGAGGAAGGGAACATGAGCCAAGCAATGCAGGCAGCCTCCATAAACAGGAAAAGCAAAGAAATCTTCCCTGGAGAGCTCTTCCCAGCTTTCCGAAGGAACACAACCCTGCCAGCACATAGATGTTAGCCCAGGAAAACCCATTTCAGACCTCTGCTATCTGGAATCCTAAGAAAATTAATTTGTGTTAAGTGACGTTGTGAATTAGGGTTCTTAAGAGGGACAGAACTAACAATACATATACATGTATATATAAAAGGGAGTGTATTAGAAAGAATTGGCTCACATGATCACAAGGTGAAGTCCTATGATAGGCCATCTGCAAGCTAGAGAAGGAAGTCAGCAGTGGTTCAAAGTCCGAAAGCCTCAAAAGCAGGGAAGCTGGCAGTGCAGCCTTCAGTCTGTGGCTGAAGGCACAAGAGCCCCTGGAAAACCACTGGTGTAAGTCCAAGCGTCCAAAGGCTGAAGAACCTGGAGTCTGATTTCCAAGGGCAGGAGGAACCAAAGGAAACATCCAGCATTGGAGAAAGATGAAAGCCAGGAGACTCAGCAAGCCAGCTTATTCCACCTTGTTCTGCCTGCTTTGTTCTAGCTGTGATGGCAGCTGACCGGATGGTGCCCACTCACATTCAGGGTGGGTCTTCCTCTCCTACTCCACTGACTCAAACGTCAATCTCTTCTGGTAATACCTTCACAGAGACACCCACAAACAATATTTTACCAACTATCTAGGCATTCATTCAATCAAGTGACATGTAATATTAACCACCAGACTAAGTTTGTACAAATTTGTTTCAGCAGCAACACAAAATATATTGCCCCTAACTTTAGAAAATCCATTCTGCCCTGACAATTATGACACTGAACTTTCCTAGGTTTTATCTTTACCTTTTGTTACCCTCTGTCTTTGTTAAATTTTCTTTTGGAAGAGGGATTTTAAAAACCCTAGAAATCTAATATTGGATAATTTGCCATCACTTCAAACACAGCATTCCAAATCTTATCTTTTTATATATTTTTAAAATTAGAGCCCCTTCAGTCTTCCTTATTGCTGCGGTTTGGCTGTGTCCCCACCCAAATCTCATCTCGAATGGTAATCCCCACGTGTCAAGGGAGGGACCTGTAATAGGGATTCTTACATGGAGACCTTTAACCTTCATGTGTGGAGAAAGGGAGGTGTGGATTGTAGGGGAGGTTCCCCCATGCTCTTCTCATGACAGTGAGTCTTCACAGGATCTGATGGTTTTATAAGGAGCTCTTCCCCCTTTGCTCATTCTTCTCTCACCTACCATATATGTCTGATTCCCCTTCAGCCATAATTGTTAAGTTTCCTGAAGCCTCCCCAGCCATGTAGAACTGTGAGTTAATTAAACCTTTTTCCTTTATAAATTACCCAGTCTATTTTTTTTATAGCAGTGTGAAAACAGACTAATACACTCATTCTGTAGATGGCACTATCACTTATCACGGTTAGGACAAGCAGCAAAGCACATGGCCCCGTCTCTCTTGACATGGGCTTCCTGTGAGAATGGCCATGTGGTGTCACTGGTGATGGGGAGAAGAGTACTATGTACAAAAGGGTATTTGTCACTATGAAATAATATAAAAAGAGAGGCATTACAATCATGTAAAAACTCTCAGCATTATTATTTTTTTGTGTACATATCTTGGTCCTTCTGTTAAATAGATTTCTAGAGGTAGCCTGTTCGAAATATGCAAATAATATGGATATCTGGAAATTGCCTAGTGATTTGCATTACTCAGATCCCAGGCATTATTTTATAAAATGTTTCTATGATTATGCCATAATTTTATTGCCAGATTATGTGAGCAAAATAAATTTGTATCTTCCCAAAGGATTTCAGAGATAGATTCTGTGTACTAAAGAATTTTTCTTTCCTTTCTTCAGTAATGTTTTAAAATAAATCATTCAAATGAGTTCTGCTGCATAATGTGTTTTTTATTTAGCTTTTTACTTTTTTTCCCCCATAAACCATGCTTGGATAGATACTTCTAGAAGATTTTAGCAGTTGAAAAATATTCAGAGCCAAACTGGAAAGAAGCATTTGCCAGCCTCCTCCATTAATTTGCCAACTTAATGCTGGGGTGTCTGAGGAATATTGTTAAAGAAAATAAAGGCCTCTGAAGCTGATAATTAGAGGACTACTTCTTGTTTCTTCACTTTTTTTTTTTTTTTTTTTTTACTCAAGGTCATATTCAAAGTCTTACCCCACTAACCGCTAATTTTTGTCTTGAGTACATACTACCAAGATTGTGATTAATAAATATCTACAATATTCATGACAATAGATTGGTCCATCAGGAAGCCAATTTTATCATTTTAACTGAGTAGTAACAGAGCTTATGAGAGACCCTCATTCAATTTAATGTTCTGAATGCACTGCCTTTTTTGCCTTTCATTTTCAGGTAATTGATAATTTTTAATATTTTCTAAATAAAGCAATACTAGCACAGTCCTTTAGGATAATATAATTTGCTTAAGTTATTCTACTTTCAAGAGTACTCTCAATATAATTTGTAGCTAGTTGTTTGACTTTTTTAAAAAACAATCTCAAACTTACACAAATGCTGTAAGTACATTTTGTGGATTTTTAAGTTTTTCCTACAAGTATGTGTAAGTTGCTGCCATGATGTCTCCTCATCCTCCAACACTTTGGTATGCATTTCTTACATTAAGTACATTATTCTACATAACCATAGCACAATCAACTACATCAGAAAATTAACACTGATGTTATAACTATTGAATGCTCAGACTCATTCAAGTTCTGCTAATAGATTGGAAGGTATCCTTTATAGCAAAGGTAATCAGTTTAGAATTTAGTTATCCTCTCTTTATTCTCCTGCAACATAATATGTTCTTCAGTCTTACTGTGTCTGGAGTTTGTTCCTGCTGGTAGGTTCGTAGTCTTGCTGACTTCAGGAATGAAGAAGCCATGGACCTTCGAGGTGAGTGTTACAGCTATTAAAGGTGGTGCGGACCCAAAGAGTGAGCAGCAGCAAGACTTATTGTGGAGAGCGCAAGAACAAAGCTTCAAAAGCATGGAAGGGGACCCAAGAGGGTTGCCGCTGCTGGCTGGGGTGGCCAGCTTTTATTCCCTTATTTGTCCCTGCCCATGTCCTGCTGACTGGTCCATCTTACAGGGTGCTGATTGGCCCATTTTACAAACCTCTAGCTAGCCACCGAGTGCTGATTGGTACGTTTTTAGAGAGCACTGATTGTAGCTAGCCAGAGGTTTGTAAAACACACCAGAGCGCCGAACGGTGCATTTTACAAACCTCTTGTAAGACAGAAAAGTTCTCCAAGTCCCCACTCGACCCAGGAAGTCCAACTGGCTTCACCTCTCATTACCTTCCCATATCATGAACCTACTACTTTTGAAAATCCAGGACAGGTGCATTAGAGAATGTCCCTCAATTTGGATTTATCTGATAATTTCCTATGATTAGAATTAGACTCAGGGTAGATATCTGTGGCAAGAATGTCAAAAGCGGTGCTACAATCTTCTCATTGTATCTTATCACTTGATGTTTGCTTTCTATTTGTGCCACTGCTGGTTGCTGTTCACTGGATCTCATGGCAAGATGGTGTCTAGCTTGAAGTATACTTAGTTTTCCCTTTACAATTCATAAGTATGTAACGGGGAGTTACTTTAAATCTGTGCACATATAGAAAGTTCTATAAGAACTGGACTAAGAAATGTATTTATTCATTCAAAATAAAGTTTGGATTTGTTGTTTCATTTTTTATTCAATGGATAAATTTGTTCCTTTCATTACGTATGTTGATTCTCAAGTTTTCCCACCAAATAAGCCTTCTGTATCCTTCTATGAAATTATCTTTATGTCAATAGATTTAGGGGTACAAGTGGTTTTTGGTTACATGGATGAATTAAACGGCGTTGAAGCCTGGGATTGTAGTGCAACCATTGCCCTAGTAGTGTACATTGTACCCAACAGGTACTTTCCATCCCTCGCCCACACCCTCGATTCTTCTGATCTATGAACATACGATATATTTCCATTTCTTTGTGTCATCTATGATTTCTTTCTATTGTATTTTATAGTTCTTCCTGTAGAGATCTTTTACCTCCTTGGTTAAGTATATTCCTTTTTTTTTTTTTTTTTTTTTTTTGTAGCTATTGTAAATGGAATTGAGTTCTTGATTTGATTCTCAGCTTGGTCACTGTTGTCTTACAGCAGTGCTACCGATTTGTACACATTAATTTTGTAACCTGAGACTTTACTGAATTCATTTATCAGATTTTAGAGTCTTCTGAAGGAGTCTTTAGGCTTTTCTAGGTACAAGATCATATTACCATCAAATACAATTTGACTTCCTGTTTTCCAGTTTGGATGCACTTTATTTCTCTTGCCTGATTGCTCTTAGGACTTCTAGTACTATGTTGAGTAGAAGGGGTAAAAGGTCATCATTTTCTTGTTCTACTTCTTAGGGGTAATAATTTCCACTTTTCTCTGTTCAGTATAATTTTGGCTGTGGGACTGTCATACATGGCTTTTTATTATTTTGAGGTATGCGCCTTCCAAGCCTAGTTTGTTGAGGTTTTATCATTAAGGGATACTGGATTTTATCAAATGCTTTTTCTGTGTCTATCTTTTGAGATCATATGGTTTATATTTTTAATTCTGTTTATGTGATCAATCACATTTATTGACTTTCCTATGTTGAACCATCCCTGCACGCCTGGGATGAAACTCACTTGATCATCATGACTTATCTTTTGATGTGGTATCGCATTCAGTTTGCTACTATGTTATTTAGGATTTTTGCATCTAAGTTCATCAAGGATATTGGCCTGTAGTTTGGGGGTTTATTATGTTCTTCCCTAGTTTTGGTATCAGAGTGATACTGGCTTCATATAATGAGTGAGGGTGGACTCCTTAATCTTTCGGAATAGTTTCAGTAGGATTGGTACCAATTATTTGAATGTCTGGTAGAATTTGTGAATCCATGTGGCCCTGGGCTTTTTATTGTTGTTGTTTGCAATTTATTTATTACTGATTCAGTCTCATGGCTTATTTGTCTATTCAGAATTTCTGTTTCTTCTTGGTTCAAGCTAGGAGGGTTGTATGATTCCAGGAATTTATCAGTTTCCTCAAGATGTTCCTGTTTGTGTGCACAGAGATGTTCATAATAGTCTCAAATGATCTTTCGTATTTCTGTGGTATCAGTTGTAATATCTCAATTTTCATTTCCAGTTAAGCTTATTTAAATCTTCTCTCTTCGTAAATTAGCTAGAGATCAATTTTGTCTTTCCAAATAACCAATATTCTGTTTCATTGATCTTTTGTATTTTTTTGTTTCAATTCCATTTAGTTCTGCTCTTATCTTTGTTATTTCTTTTATTCTGCCAGCTTTGGGTTGGTTGGTTCTTTCTCCACTTCCTTGAGGTGTGATGTTAGGTTGTCAATTTGGGATCTTCAGACTTTTTGATACAGGCACTTAGTGCTATAAACATTCCTCTTAGCACTGCTTTTGCTGTATTCCAGGTTTTGATAACTTGTCACTGTTTTCATCTAAAAAGAACTTTAAAATTTTTATCTTGATTTCATTGTTAACCCCAAAAATCACTCAGAGCAGACAGTTTCATTTCCATGTATTTGCATAGTTAAGGGTTCCTTTTTTAGTTGATTTCTAGTGTTATTCCACTGTTGTCCGAGAAGATACTTTATATAATTTTGATTTTAAAAAATTAAGACTTATTTTGTAGCCAAAAATATGCTCTGTCTTGCAGAATGTTCCATGTGCTGACGAGAATAATATATATTCTGCAGTTCTTAATGTTCTATAAATATTTGTTAAGTCTATTTGTTTTAGAGCACAGTTTAAGTTCAGTGTTTCTTTGTTGACTTTCTGCCTCAATGATCTGTCTAGTGCTATTAATAGAGTGTTGAAGTCCCCCACTATTACTGTGTTGCTGCTTATCTCTTTTCTTAGTTGTAGTAGTAATTAATGAATATGGGAGCTCCAGAATTAGGTGCATATCTATTTAGAACTGTAATATTCTCTTTTGAATTGATCCTTTTATCATTACATAATGACCTTCTTAGTCTTTATGATTGTTGCTTTAAATTCTGTTTCATCTGACTTAAGAATAGCTGTTCCTGCTCACTTTTGGTTTATTTTCATGCAATATTTTGTTTCACTTCTTTCCCTCAAGTCTGTAAGAATCCTTATTACGTTAGGTGAATCTCTTGAAGCTGTTCCATATTGACCTTTTGTTGCAAAATTTAGAATTCCTTTTATCATTTCTTGTAGGGATGGTCTGATAGTGACAAATTCCCTTGGCATTTGCTTGTCTGAAAAATATTCTGTTTCTCTTTCATTTATGAAACAGTTTTGCTTATACCAATCTTTTCACTTACACTTATTCTGTTTAAGGAGGCTAAAAATAGGACCCCAATCACTTCTGGATTGCAAGGTTTCTGTTGAGAAGTCTGCTATTAGTCTGATAGATTTTCCTTTATAGGTTGGCTGATGCTTTTGTCTCACTGCTCTTGGAATTCTTTCCTTCACATTGACTTTAGATAGCCTGATTAATATATGCCTTGATGATATCCCTTTTTTAAAAAAAATCTCCCAGGAGTTATCTGAGGTTCTTGTATTTGGATGTCTAAATCTCTAGCAAGGCCACGGAAGCTTTTCTCAATTCCTTCAAAGGAGTTTTCCAAATTTTTTTTGTTTTTCTCCCTTGGGCATATCTGCAATTCTCAGGTTAGGTCATTTTATGTAATTGTCTATTTTATGGAGACTTAGTGCAATTCTTTTAATTCTTTTTTCTTTTGTTCGATTGGGTTAATTCACAAGACTTGCCTTTCTGCTCTAAAATGCTTTCTTCTAGTTGGTCTACTGTTAAAACTTTGCATTGCATTTTGCAGTTCCCTAAATGTGTGTTTAATTTCCAGAAGTTCTAATTAGTCTTTAAGACAGCTATCTCTTTAGAAAATTTTCATTCATACCCTGAATTGTTTTTTAAATTTCTTTATGTTGGTTTTCACCTTTCTCTTGTATCTCGAATAACTTAATAATCAATCTTTTGAATTCTTTATGTGGTATTTCAAATATTTCATCTTGGTTTGGATCCACTGCTGGAATATAGTGTGATCTTTTGGCGCTGTATAGAACCTGGCTTTTCCATTTTGCCAGACATATTTTTCTTGTTTCTTCTCATTTGGGTAGGCTATTTCTAATTATTTTTAACTTATTGTTGATTGACTGGAATTTTTAAAAACTTTTTTCCTTTTGAGGATGTGACTTTAATGTTTACAGCTTACTGTCATCTAGCTTCAGCTCTGTGCTTTCAGTGGTGAAAACTCTGTATGAGTTCTTGGTTATAGAGAACCTGTGTGGTGGCTTTCTCAGATACTATCTGTAGTAGCAACATGCTGGTTGTGTGCACAGCTTCACTGCATCCTGTGGGAAGTTTTCTGCTTCGTTTGTGGTGTAAACTGCTGCCTGCTACCCTTTCAGAGGGTTTAAGGCTTCTTTCAGTTTTTAAGTTCTTGTGTTGCTTCTTGGAAAAAAAAATTTATAGTGGGAATTTCTACACACTATTTTGTCTTTCCAAGTGGGAGAAGAATGCTAACAATACTTCCAAACCAGCCTCTTGGAAAAAACTGTAGTTGGTTATTTCACTTTATGAATTAGAGGGCACTAGGCCCCTCTAAATAAGCGCTAGTTTCTAATGGAAGTAATCAGAAGAGCTGTGAGAAATATTAGAATACATGTAATTTATGATAAATAATCTGGTCTTAAGTACATTTTTGGATTTTTAATTAGCTTTATTACTTTTTCACTACTAAAATTCTGTATACCATGTAACACACCAACTATTTGAAGAAGTAAAAATTAATAACATGAAAAGAACAGTGGAAGAGAGTTTTAGATCTGCTGGGATTTTAGGAAACCTCTGATTTGGGTTCATTGTACAGATAGAGAAGCTGAGATTCAGAGGGTGAAATGCATGGCCCCAGCTGGTTTTTCCTACAGGCTAAATGTTAGCGACCTATTATCCTAGATTAATGACTAGATCCAAGGATGTATCCTAGAGGTCTAGAGGTAGAGAAGGGAGCCCGATATTTATCTATCTTCCATTATGGATGAGCTACTTCAAGTTCACACTTATGCATCATATTACATGATAGTTTAAAAAAAATTCAAAGGAAGAGCCCCTGTCTGTTTTCAAGTATCCACTTTAAATGGGGAAACAAACTGAAAGTCTGTTACTGTGAACCGAATGTTTGGGTCCCACTAAAATTCATATATTGAAGTTCTATCCCCCAGTATTATATTTGGAGATAGGGCTATTGGGAGGTAATTAGGGTTAGATTAGGCCATGAGGGTAGGGTCCTCATGATGGGGTTAGTGGCCTTATAAGAGGAGGAAGAGAAATCCCAGTATGTGTGTTCTCTTTCAATCTCTCTACCATGTAAGGACATCGCCAGAAGGAAGTCATATAAAATCCAGGAAGAGAGCCCTTCCCAGAACCCAACCATGCTGGGACCCTGATCTTGGACTTCCAGCCTCCAGAACTATCAGACAATAAATTTATGCTGTTTAACTTATCTGGTCTATGATATTTTGTTATGACAACCAGAGCTGACTAATACATCTGTCAAATAAGTCTTCTCAAGTGTCAAAAGTAAGTGCTGAGTAAGCTTCCATAGCAGATGGATCTCTATGCAGCACGTCAGTCTGTTTCTGGGGGCTTAGCAGTCATGCTCTGAGAGGCTGTTTAGCACTTTCTCTGGATATTCATCACTACTTAAACTATTATGTCATTGTAAAAATAATAACACAGGTAAATTAAGACTCACATTTGTGAAGTCTCTACTATTGCCAAACATTATGCTTAATAGTTTATAAAAGTTTTCTCATTTAAGGTAACTTCTTGATTTTCCTACTTGTAGTTTGTTTTCCTCATTCTAAAAGATAGCACCTTAACTTCTACCTTCTTCAATAATTTATCTTGTCTGTTTTGGGGTGGGGGTGGAATTACAATAGGGTCTCTAGGAAAGAAAACAGTTTATTCATAGCTACAGATAAATATCATTATGATTTTCTTATAAAAACACCCTGTGTGCTGTTATGAATTTGCGTAGGTAGTATTTCTTCAATTAAAAAAAACTCTACTCTTTAGTACATTTTAGTGTTTACTATGAGCCATCAACTAGGAGAAACTGGACAAATTATAAGATTTATTCAACATGTATAATTGTGATTAAGTAATTTCATTTCTTGATCTTCCCCAATTGTACTATCCATCTATGGCTGTTTCTTATAAGAGATTACATAAAAGAGTACAATACTGCATATAAATGTTTAGCCAGCATCTTTAAAATAGTGTTTCAGAATAGCCACTGAGGAGTACACCAGTGAAGGAAGACTTTCCACACAAAAGAGCAGAGAGTCCTATGCTTGGCGCCACTCCTCATATCTTTCCTCTGCCTGTGTTCAGGATTAGCAGATACACCTCAGGGCAGCTCTAGGCATCCAAGAAAATTTAAGTAACCTGCCTGGCAAAGAAGCCTTTTAACAAGTTCCTCACTAGAGCCTGCAGAGATAAAAGGCTGATTAAAATGAATAGATAGAAGAGATCTAAACAGTGTCCATAAGCAAAGGAACTATGATTTATGGTGAAGAGTAGAGATTCACCCACATATTCAGCACACATGCATTGGTGTTATATCAGGAGCTGTGCCAGCGGCTGGTAAGGATTGATCAGTGAAAAAGGCATGACCCCAAAGAGTTGTGGTCTGTTGCAGCACTTCCCCAACAGAGTTCCGCAAAAACCTGTTTACGAAGAGCTGCTTTCTCATTCTTACCTGTTGGGAATGACTTTCATAAAATGATTCCTGTGGACTTAACAGCACTCCAGTTTATACCCTCAGATAGGGAAGGTTAAACAGCATCATTTAGGAGGATGAGTTTTAAAACCATGGTATTACATGTGAGATACTGAGATAGTTAAATATCCTTAAACTTCAGTTTTTGTCCATGCAATGTGGATAATCCAGTTCCAGCCTTTTGCTTTTGTTGAGAAGATTAAACAAGATGGGTGTTAAATGCCTGTGACCGTGGAGATATATATTATACATTCTTAAAAAAAAGACAGTGCTACTATTGGGGTTCTTATTATTGGCTGAAGCAATTTCCCAAAAGAGACAAGATAGGAAGAATATCGCTGCCTTACTTTGGGTTGCCCCAAAGCAGACCCTGAGACTCTGATTTAAGTGCAAGTAGTTCATTTGGAAATTGATTCCAAGAAACATCGAAAAAGATTAGGGAAGTAAGATGCAGAAGGGAAGGAATTCAATAGAAAGGGTATTATCATGTCTGTCCTGTGGGCCACTGGAGTTTAGCCCTGTCAGAGAATGCTGAGCGCTAATGAGAAACACACGGCTCAGCATGTGTATGAGAGAGCCGGGGTATGTATCTACCAACTGTGACTCCTCATCTACCATCAATTCCCTGGCAAATAGTTATGCCTTATAGCCTGCTAGGGCAGAGCGGGCTCTGGTGGCCACAGAAACCTTAAGAGAAA
Source organism: Homo sapiens (assembly GCF_000001405.40). Taxonomy (NCBI): domain Eukaryota; kingdom Metazoa; phylum Chordata; class Mammalia; order Primates; family Hominidae; genus Homo; species Homo sapiens. The sequence goes on along the minus strand of NC_000016.10, from coordinate 76,854,425 downwards.
AATATGTGACACTGCCAGCTGGAGGTTGGTCTGAGTATTGGTTTTCCATGAAAAATAACTACAAATTTAGTGGCCTTAAAACCCCAACCACTTATCTCATAGTTCTGTAAGTTAGAAGTCCACGGACAGTGTGGCTCAACTGTGTCCTCTACTGAGAGTCTCACAAAGCTGAAATTGAAGAGTCACCTAGGATGCATTTTTTCCAGAAGCGCTATTAATAGTTTACATGTTCATTCAGGCTGTTGGACAAATTCACTCCTCTACATTGTAAAGTTCCCTTTGCTCCTGGCCACACATCCCTTCTTGATCTTTCCATGAAGCTTCCCACTGGTAATGGTGGGTAAGGGCCTCTCTCATGCTTTGAATCACTCTCTTCTGCCCCATCTCTCAGACCACAGCTGGATAAATTTCTCTGCTTCTTTTTAAAGGCTGATACAATTACATTGTGTCCACCAAGATAGTCCAGGATAATCTCCCCGTTTTAAGGGATATTTAGGGTCTATAACCTTAATTATATGTGCTGGGTCCCTTTTTTCATGTAACATAATATACACAATGGTTTCAGGGATCACCAAGTGAACATCGTTTTACCAGTGTCATGCGCTGAAACGGTCAGGCCTGGGCAACTGCAATGTTTGAAAGTTCTAGTAGATGCTGTTTGTGGAATGCCCTTATTTATGGTGATACAAACAGCAGCTACTAGGTAAGTACGTTCCACAAACAGCCTTCTTCTAGAACTTTTAAACATTGTTCGAGTATCGGTATGTGCTTAAGCTTTGAGGCACAAGGGAATACTATCAAATGATATTTCAATAGGGAAAAGGGTAACAAAATGTGGTCTTTCAAGTCTCTCTGATTAAGAAAAAAAATAATTTGCAAAAAGGAATATAGCAAATGACTCTTACATGGGAAACCTGGGAAGACAAGGGTCTAGAATTCATAGAAACGTACACTTTATTCCTAGTTTTGTTGCTGGGAAGCAGTCATTGAAAATGTCAAAATGGAAGTGGAGAGAATCCATTCCAAGATGATTTCATCATAGAACTTGGGGTAGGCTACATTGAGGACCACCTCTGTGAATTCTGATAGGTATTTCTAGAATAGATTTATACCACATGTTCTAACAAGCTGAAAATAAGGGCTGACCCACTTGTACCCATCTAATTTGTCTCCGTGAATGTTTGCTCTCTATTTGTGATCACTTGAAGATGTCTTATCCAAACCTATCGGTGACTAGGATAATGTACAACAAAACTCTCCCCCACCTTTCTGTAGGAGAGGAGAACCAAATAGAAATTGTTTGATCTTTGAGCATTTTTAAATGTTTTACATGCAAAGGTAAAGAGTGGGTTAAAGCTTTCTTATTTCTTCTCACTTGTAACTATGCTGGACTCAAAACACCACTGAGACTTCATAAAAATGTCCCAGGGACTTCAGAGTTCCAGCAAAGAGAGGTATCGTGTAATAAATAGCATGTCACTATAGATTGATTATCCAAAATGGGTGAGGGACAAGAAAAGTTTTGAAGAGTATGAGAGAAAAACATTTCCTGCTGTTTGCTACTGCTGGAGACTCACTTTACTCCCTATTTCATCTGACTGCACCAAAATGTAGCCTCTGCAAAATTTTTATAATGCTTTTAAAAGCATAGTTTTGACACACAAATGCTGGTTAGCATTTTCATACCCATGTGTAAAGTGGTAGAAAATATAAAGCTAACACTATGTTTCACTGTGTATCTGAACAATTTTTTACATATCATCAATTCTGTTGACCTTATATTTGCTTCTAGAAATATACTAAGAAAGATGTCAATGATTTTTATCTAAGGCCTCCTATGGCTTAACACTTTGCTGGAAACATTCTCTCATAATACAGAGTTTATTCTGTATGCTCACTTATCCTTCCTTAAGTCTCTGATGTATACTTATTTACCAGCTTATTTGGTTTGCTTCTTTCTTATTCCCCCTCAGGGGAGAAATCTAGACTAGAACCACCACCGCAGCAATAAGTACAAAGAATAAACACAGATAAAACTTCAAACCATGAAAACATTGCCAAGTTCCCAGTTAATTTTATCCCAAAAGGGAAAACAAAGAAAAACTACCCTTAAAGTAGAATTAAAAACAACAACAGAATACTGAACGGGAGTTGGCTTAATAATTTGCTTATTTGTCCATAAGCTTTGCTTTCACATATGTGGATGTATGTTAGCAAGAATCAAGTGCTGCTACTAAAAAACATTCACTCTCTAGCATAATAGAGTTCAGATTTCCTTTTGCTGTCAGCTTTATTTCCAAACAGTGTAGTCTCTGATTCAAGAGGCATATTAAAACAATCCTATGCTTGTTTTTACTCCTTTTATTTTTTTCAACATTATAATGAAATGTGTCTCCGAGCCAGGGTAAGTATGTTATCTACAATCAGATTGTTTATACTATAAGAAAGCTTTAAAGATAATACTCATTGTAATTAACTAGATTCTTTTTAGAAATTGAACTTAATTAAAAGAATGCAAATGGATTCACAGGTGGCAATACTACCTCGATCAAGATGAAAACATCATAGATGTATCCCATTAGAATGTGCTTTCTTTTTATCAACTTTCCTGAGCAGCCTGATTTATTAGGAGTTAACAGGTAGCCTAAAAGAACCTATAATACACATATGTTGTAACATAATTTGTGACCCATTCAAAGAAATGTCCCTGGATGGGAAGCTGTTGAGAGTGAAATAAAGAACTGGATATATTTTATGTCACCGCATGCAAAGTAATTATTAACCAATATTTCTCCTTTCAATGTTTTGTAATTGGTATTTTTTGTATTTGCCAAGTTTTTAATCATTCATGATCCCTTAAGGGGGAAAAAGGAAGGACATTCAACATGGGTCCCTTGCTGAGAAGTAAGAGTACAATCGCAAAACCCTCTGGCTACACCTGTTCTTTCATAATTTTTTTTTTTTTTTTAGTTACTCAGAACAAAACTTTCTCATTGACATACTATTTTATATTCAAGCACGGCACATTTCTGGGTGAAAAATAGGAATGCAAACGGTAAACGAAGAACGTATTCTAATAATTAATATGGTCAGTCCTCCATCAACCCTAATTTGAAGAACTCAGGTCTCCCTCACTTTCAAATTCCCTGCATCTGCTGGCTTTCTCCCCCTTCTCTAATGGCATGTAGTATGTGGTCACTGCAGGACTTCCACTGGTGATTATCCTAAAATTTAGCACCAGAAAATATCTTTTTTTTAAAAAAAAAAAAGCAAACATGCTCTCCTTAATCAGATAATTAAAGAGTCCACCTGAAAATTATCAGAATCATATTAGACTGATAATCTCATCTAAATTTACAGTATTTCCATCTACTTCTATTTTTTGTGCTTTTACAGTGAGTAGTAATCTTGTATATATATATATAGAGAGAGAGAGAGAGACAGAGACAGAGAGAAAGAGACAGAGACAGACACAGAGACAGAGACACAGAGCGAGAGACAGAGACAGAGTGAGAGACAGAGACAGAGCGAGAGACAGAGCGAGAGACAGAGCGAGAGACAGAGAGAGAGACAGAGAGAGAAACAGAGAGACAGAGAGACAGAGACAGAGAGACAGAGAGATCTTTTGTTTAAACCATTTTAAGATCAACTTGAGGTTCTGTGAATTGCACGACATCAGGTACCATTCTCCACAAATTGAGGCTTCCAGAGCAAATAATTGAAGGCCAAACACAAGAACCACATGAGGGAATCCACTTTGGATTAAGAGCCGTCTCGCCCAGAAACCTGCTGCTTTAGAAATTAAATTTTCAAGAACAACAACTGTTATGTTTGACTGGGGCCTAAACTTGAGCCAATTTAGCACTAACTCAGCTGCCCTTTTTCTCTCAAAGCAGGTTGATAGAAAAGCTTGAGATGAATGTTACCCACGTTCTTTGAAGAAGGTAACAAGCCCAACTAAGCACAGAGATAAAAGGAGAACTCTTAACCCATGCCTTCCATAAAATAATCTGTGGTGTTGATCCGAAGTCAGATCTTGCAAAATCTGAAGCTTTTCTTTCCTATTTGCTTTTATCTTTGATTAAGAGTTAGATGTGACCTATATTTATGGGTGTATACAATACCACATCAGCGAAGGTGGGTTGTGCTGCTGATGGATTCATCTCTTTGAAGGTGATCGTGTCATTGGGGTCAGGGAGCTATTGTGATAGCAGGTGTGCTTCTCAAAAAATCATTTCATGTGCATGTTTGCCAGTGACCACTGTTTAGGTCAGAAAAGGAAATAAAATGTTAGAATAATCACATTTGCCTTAGTCCTCCCTCTTTGTGCTCCAGGCCTAGGTTCCAAAATCAGCCATGCTTAATGAAAGTTAGGGCTCCCAGGCCAGCCATCACCAAGCCTTCTCTTTATGATTTCAACACTCTTATCTTGCTGCACAGAGCTTTGCTACCCACCTAGTAGCCCTTTGCAGAAAGTTGGGCAGCTTCCTCAGCTAAACTTCATTCAGTTCCTGAACCCAAAGGGCAAAACCCAATGAAAAATTATGTGTAACAGAATACATTCCTAGTGGACCAGTGTATAAATTAGGATACAAATGTCATAACGACATGATGTGGTTTTGAACAGCATCAGGTTTAATCTGATTATTCTTACTCTGTTTATCCTATTTTTATTCCCTCAACATTCAAAGCTCAGTGATACTATCTCTATTTTCAGCCCTTTCTTTCCTGTCTCAATCAAGTAATAATCAAAACTGTATCTTCGATCTTTCCTTTTATTTCGAATCCCACTAGGCTGGTTCAGGGCATTATCACTGGATGGTTGGAGGAATGTTCTGGCCTCACAATGGTTCAAGACCTTCAGAGATTTTCATTAACTTTGGAATATCTGAAAAATTATTCAATGTTATATTTTTTGAGCAGTGATCATCACATACCATTTCACATACTGGGGATAAAGTAAATAGATAAGAACCCCAACTTCAAGGAATATTAGCAAGTTGATAGCTATGGATATACTAAGGGGAATAAATATTTTAATATAAGATTTATGATGTAGAAGTTGCACACAAATTTGGAAGTTGAGTCTGGAGTACTGTCAGGGAAGAATGAGGACAGAATGCGGACTGAGATATCTAGGCAGGTAAGAAGCATTGAGGAAGTGCGAGAACATTGGGTGGAGGAGCCCACGACAATGGGTGCCTAAGATGGGTCCTACAACGGTGATGTGGGGTACTGCAAGGGATTTAAAAAGTTAATACTATTACTTTAAAATGTTACTATCTTCTCTGCCTATGCCCTCATTCCTGCCTGAAATTTCTGGTTAACATTAGCTGGAAAATCTAACAAAACCAAACTGAGTTGAGCTCCTTATTCCTCAGAACAATGTCATGGAGAATCTCAGGTCATTCCCTCTGTCCTCTGTGTGGCAATGTCAGCTGTGACATGGGTAATTACTGCTGACAAGCATTTGGGAACAGTCATCAGCATAATGAAGCCCTCAGAAGCCATTAGGGAGATTCACCCTTATGTTCTTTTACTATGGAAATGTATTTAAGTTAAATGTTAGTTTATAGGTAGATGAAGTTGTTTATCTAAAGCCAGCCCATCAGAATTACAAGGAGCTGTCAAAATCAAGTAGACCCATATTTTTTTCATGGTTTCTCCTACATTGGCATAGAATAAAATTAGATAGAGTCAAACCAAAACATAGCTTTACCAGGAACTTCTACCTCCAGTGCTTTTCAAGACTCTGACAAGTTTGCTGGGGGCTCAATAGAGTATGCTTGTGCATATGGCTTCTCTTCTTCACTCCCAGAACTGCCAATGGGACTTCCATTTTAAATTATCTGGGGTGCAGAGATCGTTATTTCTGCACTATCAAATCTTAAAGATGTGAAATAGCTTTCATCACAGCTCCAAAAATAGAGCACCAAAAATGGAACTAATGAGACCGTAGGCATTTTGAAATTAGGAGGAAAAAAAATGAAATGGCTTGTTTTGTTAAAATCAGAAGGACTATTTTAAAATGTTTCCTAGGGATTTGGGGGGGGGCTCTTCAGGTTTTAAAAAAAAGCTTTATCCCTTTGCTTATTTTTGTGTACAGTTTATAAATCAATAAAATTTTTGTTATTATTTTCGCAGATACTCATTATATTTATTCAGGTTTTGGCTGAGAAAAATCAGATTATTTTTCAACAATAAATGTGTGTCATGTACTTTTCACAAAAGTAATCACCTCATCAGATTTTATGATTCATATTGTGGTGGGCAAAAGAGACAAATAGATATCAGTTTTAAAATAAATTGTGTTGGCCTCTGTATTCTAAGCATAACTCTGAAAGGGGAGGAATCGTTAAAAGATACGAATTTGTGTGTTTGTTTAGCCATTTTGAGAAGAAAGCATCTATATTGAAGCCAGGTCTATGGAGCTGATATTTGGGGTTTACTGATTAGCTCTCACCACCACCTCCTGCTCTGCCATCAGACCCTACAAACCCAATGGGAAAAGGAGAAAAGTAATAAATAGGGAGAAACAGCAGAGATGTATAAAAGTAGAAACGTGTGTCTGTGCTTGTGTGTTTTGATGCTGGGATGGTGAGGATTAAATAAAAAACCACTGAATAAAATAAAAGGAACTCTTTCACTCATCTCATTTCGGACCTTGAGTAAAAAAGTGCATTGTATGTGAAGGGCTGTTTACTTTGTGAATCCTGGTAGACTATAAATTATCTGGGAACAGAAAAAGGTTGGTGGATACTTTGGCTTACACCTGTGTTCCCAGCAATTTGGGAGGCAAAGGTGGAAGGATTGCCTAAGCCTATGAGTTCCAGACCAGCTTGGGCAACATGGGGAGACCCTGTCTCTTAAAAAAAAATAATAATAATAATGTTCAGACCTCACAGAAGCTTGTATCTGGTCTTCATACAAATACCAAGAAGACTCAATTTACATAATAAAACAAAGTTTGGGGGGCAAAGGGTTTGGACTTTTAACGTTTTCTTTTAAGTTGTATAGCGGAAGAAAATGGTTAGGAAAAGGGCTTTGCATTTTAGGAGGACAAAGTTTTGCCAAGAAGTAAGTCAAAGGCAAGAATCTGGTACTTTTTTTTTTTTTTTTTTTTTGAGACGGATTCTCGCTCTGTCACCCAGGCTGGAGTGCAGTGGCACCATCTTGGCTCACTGCAAGCTCCGCCTCCCGGGTTCATGCCATTCTCCTGCCTCAGCCTCCTGAGTAGCTGGGACTACAGGTGCCCGCCACCACGCCCAGCTAATTTTTTTTTTAATATTCTTAGTAGAGACGGGGTTTCCACTGTGTTAGCCAGGATGGTCTCTAACTCCTGACCTCGTGATCCACCCGTCTCAGCCTCGCAAAGTGCTGGGATTACAGGTGTGACGCACCGTGCCTGGCCCAGGTACTTTCTTTTTTTTTTTTTTTTTTTTTTTTTTTTTTGAGACGGAGTCTCGCTCTGTCGCCCAGGCTGGAGTGCAGTGGCGGGATCTCGGCTCACTGCAAGCTCCGCCTCCCGGGTTCACGCCATTCTCCTGCCTCAGCCTCCCAAGTAGCTGGGACTACAGGCGCCCGCCACTAGGCCCGGCTAATTTTTTGTATTTTTAGTAGAGACGGGGTTTCACCGTTTTAGCCGGGATGGTCTCGATCTCCTGACCTCGTGATCCGCCCGCCTCGGCCTCCCAAAGTGCTGGGATTACAGGCGTGAGCCACCGCGCCCGGCCGGTACTTTCTTTTTGATGTGACCACCTCATCCCTCTATAACTTCACTTCCCTATTTCCCCCAAGACAATGTCCAGAAAATGATTGAGGGGTGTTGGAGAAAAACACCTTTTAAGACTTGTCTTCCATGACAGCCAGGCTCGTAGTACCACTGGTTGTCTTACTGATATTAAAGTGCAGTGTAACTTTTTGGCAAGTATCTTTTTCTCCCTCTTTTTCCATTTGGTCATTAAGATGTGTGTGTGTGTGCATGTGTGTGTGTGTGCATGTGTGTGTGCACATTTAAGAGTGCACACTTTTTCTCAGAGAAAGAGTATTAGCTGCCTGAAGGCCAAGTACATGACCAAAAATACAAGGGACTAGACACATTTCCTAGAGAAAGGCTGGTGGGATGAATGCATTCTTGAAACTTCCATCTTACATTTATTTTTCTACCAGTGATAATACACTGTTATTATCTAAACTGTTGTCTGCTCAGTTGTATTGATTAGTTATAGTTCTATTTGGAAAAATTAAATGGAAACAAGGAATATCCACCAATCACATATTGAGAGCCAACCACCACTTAAAGTATCTGCAACAAAACTTAGGTAATATATTCCAAAGCTCTCCTTAACCATTATCCTTCAACTGTATAATCCTAAGGAGGGCATAATAGGATTTGTATATATTATCAGTATTGCTTTGTAAAGGTTTACATTAAACATACATCCTACAATGAACCTCCCCTTTGGTCACATATTAAACCTAAAATCAGAAAAGAATTATGATGTTCACTTCTCATTTCATAACTGATCAGGAACTGATCAGTTACATAGATCACAACTCATCTATACACATATATACCAATATCCCACATCTCAATTTGTATCTATTTATCTTCTCTTCAAGGAATAGTTTCTTGAAAACATTACAATTCAGTGAATAATATTCAGATGCAAATTAGAGACTTTAATTTTGTCATGCTCTGAAGGCAGCTGAAATATGTTTTGACCTAATTGCTTTTGTGCCTACGATCACAATAACTAAAGAACTGAATAACTGCTTCCAGTGCTGAGTTTCATTGCTTTTCCTTGAAAAGCTACACATTTAATGTGTTTCTTAGCACTTAATGAGCTATCTTTATTAGAAAAGTTTTTCCAAGATAATATTATAGACCAAATGCTGTAATAACTCCTCTAATCATTTTAAAACTGGGTCTGTGATGCTACCTGCCAGGATTCTCTAGAAATGAAATCTTAGACATATTTTTGAGTTCCCTTTCCTCATCCAGGATCTCAGATTTTCTGGGAGCTTTCCTGAGTGAAAATGTGCGATCGACCTGTTGTTATAGTTTACAGTGTGACTACCACACTATTGATTTTTGTGCCAAAGGATGAAAACTCCTGTCCAATTTCCATCTGCCCTTTGTATTTATCATAGAAATCCCACAAAAATCAGATTAATCCAAAGTGGAAGTACCACATAAAATTATCCCAGCTAATACCTTGCTGAAAAATATATTTTAATCAAAAATGCATGGTATTCCCAGAGCCTGGTTTTACCTTCACTGTAATGCATTTATCACAAACCTCAAAGATGGTGGACCAGAAAGACGCATGGAGAGTTGTTGAATCTCTTCAGTAGCTCATTTACATTACACCTGAAATGTATGTTTCCATGGGTGAAGTTTGGAAGAGCCATCAGCACTAATATATCTGTATCAAGATTTCTAGAAAAAATGAGCATTCACTAGCAACTTTGACAGCGACATCTATTGTCTTACTTCTGGGAATGAGTCTAGGAACTAGCATGCCACTATGATGTACTTATAAACATACTCTCTGCTTGTTTTATATTATATACATATCGGACAATATCCCAAGTGATTATGACCCTTTCTCAGACAAGGTGTGGACTTACTGTAGGCAAGCTGGATGAAATATATACATATATGTGGGTCTATACAGAATAGACCAAGCTGAGAAAAGAACCTTAGAGTTTGAATACCAGTTCTTTGAATCAATTCATTCAGACAAAAAAAAGAAAAAACTGCCAGGAAACAGGATTATGTAAATAAGCCAAACCTGCAACTCATTGATGTCCATGAAAGAGGGAGAGAGCAAGCAACTTGGAAAATATATTTGAGGATATTGTCCATGAAAATTTCCCCAATCTTGCTAGAGAGGTCAATATTCAAATTCCCCAACTTGGAGAACCCCTACAAGGCACTGTGTCAGAGGACCATCCCCAATACACGTAGTCATGAGATTCTCCAAGGAAAATGCAGAAGAAAAAAAATATTAAAGGCAGCTAGGGAGAAGGGGTAGGTCACCTATAAAAGAAAACCTCATCAGGTTATCAGTGTACCTTTCAGCAGAAATCCTACAAGCCAGAAGAGACTGGGGGCCTGCACTCAGCAACCTTAAAAAAAATTCAAACCAAGAATTTCATATCCAGCTAAAACAAGCATCATAAGCGAAGGATAAATAAAATCCTTTTCAGATAAGCAAATGCTGAGGCAATTTGTTACCACCAGATCTGCCTCTTACAGAGTGCTCAACATGGAAACAAAAGACCAAACAAAACACCATTACTAGCCAACACAAAAACATACTGAAGTACATCAACTATTAAATTTATGAAGCAAATGCAAGATTAAGTCTACATTACAACCAAGTAACAAGAAAATTATAGTATCAAATCCTCATATCAATATCTTGAATGTAAATACACACCCCAATTGAAAGGCATAGAGTGGCTAGTTGCATAAAGAAGCAAGACCCAACTGTACGCTGTTTTAAGAGAACCATCTCAAATGCAATGACACCCAGAGGCTCAAAGTAAAGGGATGGAGAAAAATATATCAAGCAACAGAAAACAAGAGACAGGTTGCTATTCTAATTTCAGACAAAACAGACTTTAAACCAACGGTGATCAAAAAAGACAGAGCATTACATAATGATAAATGGTTCAATTCGACAAGACTTAATCTTAAATATATATGCACACAACATCAGAGCACCCAGTTTCATCAAGTAAGTTCTTAGAGACCTACAAAAACACTTAGATAATCACACAATAATAATGGGAGACCTCAATACTCCACTGACAATATTAGATAATTGAGGCAAAAACCAAGATATTAGGGATCTAAACTCGACTTTTGATCCAACAGTCCAACAGACATCTATAGAACATTCCACTCCGCAACAACAAAATATGCATTCTTCTCATCTGCACATGGCACTTTCTCCAACACGGACCATGAAACAATTCCAAGCAAATTAAAAAAAGTGAAATCACACCAACCATACTTTAGGATCACAGTGCAATACAAGAAGATATCAATATAAAGAAGATCTCTTAAAACTGTACAATTGCATGGAAATAAAACGACCTCTTCCAGAATAACTTCTGGATATACAAACAAATTAAGGCAGAAATTAAGACATTCTTTGGAACTAATGAAAAAAATATGAAAGACTAGAATCTCTGGGACACTAAAGTGGTGTTAGGAGCAAAGTTGACAGCCCTGAACTCCCATGTCAAAAAATAGATCAAAATTAACCTAACATCACACCTCAAGGAATAGAAAGACAAGAGCAAAGCAACTCCGACTCCAAAGCTAGCAGATGAAAAAAAAAAAAACCAAAATAAAAGCTAAACTGAATCAAATTGAGGTGCAAAGAAATCATACAAAAACTTTTGGAATGGAATTACACAATGAAACCAAAAGTTGGGTTTTTTTTAAAGAATAAATAAGATTGATAGATGACTCGCTAGACTAAAAAAAAAAAGAGAAGATACAATACAATCAGAACTGACAAAGGGGACATTACCACTGACCGCATTTTAAATATAGAAAAAGAAAAAACCCTCAGAGTATGAGAAAAACCTCTACGCACACAAACTAGAAAACCTAGAAGAAATGGATACATTCCTGAAAGCATACAGCCTCCCAAGATTGAACCAGGATGAAACTAAAACCCAGAACAGACCAATAACGAGTTCTGCATTTCAATCAGTAATAAAAAGCCTAACAACCAGAAAAAGCCCTGGACCAGATTCACAGCTGAATTCTACCACGTGTGTAAGTAACAGCTGGTATCAATCCTACTGAAACTATTCCAAAAAACTGAGGAAGAGGGACTCCTATGAGGCCAGCATCATTCTGATACCAACGCCTGGCAGAGACAAAACAAAAAAAGAAATCTTCAGAACAATATGCCTGATGAAAGTAGATAAAAAAATCCTCAATAAAATTACCAGCACACTGAATCCAGCATCACATCAAAAAGCTAATCCACCATAATTAAGTAGGCTTTAATCCTGGGAGGCAAAGTTAATTCAATATATACAAGTCAATAAATGTGATTCATCACATAAAATAAAGAATAAAAACCACATGATTATCTCAATAGACTCAGAAAAGGCTTTTAATAAAATTCAACATCCCTTCACGTTAAAAGGCTCAATAAACTAGACATTGAAGGATCATACTTCAAAATAATAAAAGCCATCTAGAACGAACCCACAGCCAACATCATACTAAATAGGCAAGAGTTGGAAGCATTCTGCTGGAGAGCTGGAACAAGACAAGTACACCTACTCTCACCGCTCTTATTCAATACAGTACTAGAAGTCCTAGCCAGAGCAATCAGGCGAGAGAAAGAAAGAAAAAGCACCCAAATAGGAAGAGAGGAAGTTCAACTGTCTTCACAGATATGGTTTCATATCAAGAAAACTCCATAGTCTATTCCCAAAGGATCCTAGATTTGAAAGACAACTTCAGTGAAGTTTCAGGATATAAAGTCAATGTACAAAAATCAGTTGCATTTCTATAACCCAACAACATCTAGGCTGAGAACCAAATAAAGAACACAATCTCAATCACAATAGCCACAAAAAGAATAAGGTATCCAGGAATTCAGCTAATCCGAGAGATGAAAGATCTCTACAATAATTTAAAAACTTAAAAAAATCATAGGTGACACAAACAAATGGAAAAACATTCAGTGCTCATAAATAGGAAGAATCACTGTTGTGAAAATGGTCATACTGTCCAAAACAACTTATAAATTTTAAGAAGAGCCTGAATAGTCAAAGCAATTTTAGCAAAAAGAACAAAGCCAGAAGCACTGCACTACCCATCTGCAAACTATACAAGGCTACAGTAACCAAGACAGCGTGGTACTGGTACGAAAACCAGATACGTAGACGAATGAAATGGGTTAGAGACCCCAGGAAGTACAGCTACATACCTCCAACCATATAATCTTTGGCAAAGTCAACAGATACAAGTAATGGGGAAAGGAATCCCCAATTCAATAAATGGTGCTGGGATAACTGCCTAACCATATACAGAAAATTGACACTGGACTCCTTCCTTAAACTGTTAACAAAAATTAACTCAAAATGGATTAAATACTTATATGTAAAACCTAAAACTATAAAATCCCTAGAAGACGACTTAGGAAATACTATTCCAGACACAGGCCCTGGCAACGATTTCATGACTAGACTCCGAAAGCAACTGCAACAAAAATAAAATTGACAAATACACCTAATTAAACTAAAGAGTTCTGCACAACAAAAGAAACTATCAACAGACAACTTGCAGAACGAGAGAAAACATTATGAGACTACATATCTGACAAAAATCTCATATCCAGAAATCTATAAGAAACTTCAATTAACAAGCAAAAACCAAAGAACTCTGTTAAAAAATGGGCAAAGGATATGAACAGAAACATCTCAAAAGATATACATTCAGTTAACAACTATATTTAAAAAACTATCACTAATAGAGAAATGCAAATCAAAACCACAATGAGATATCATCTTTCATGTGTCAGAATGGCTATTTTTAAGAAGCCAAAAAATAACAGATGCTGGTGAGGTTATGGAGAAAAGAGAATGCTTGTATACTGCTGGTGGGCATGTAAATTAGTTGTCACTGTGGAAAGCAGTTTGGAACCTTCTCAAAGAACTTAAAACAGAACCCCCATTTAACCATATATTGCCAAAGGAATATAAATCATTCTACCATAAAGCCACATACATGCATATGTTCGTCACAGCACTATTCACAATACAAAGACATGGAACTAACCTAGATGCCCATGAAGGGTGGATTAGATAAAGAAAATGTGGGACATATATACCACGGAATACTATGCGGCCATAAAAAGAACTAAATCATGTCCTTTGCAGGGACATAGGATAATGGTCTCCAGCTCCATCTACCTAAAGCAGGAACAGAAAATCAAATACCACATGTTTTCTCACATAAGTGGCAGCTAAATATTGAGTACACATAGACACAAAGGGAACAACAGGCACAGGGATCTACTTGAGGGTGAAGAATGGGAGTGTGAGGATTCAAAAACTACCTATTGGGAACTATGTTTATTATTATCTGGATGATGAAATAGTCTATACCAAGCTCCTGTGACACATTATTTACCCATGTAAAAAACCTGTACATGTACCCCATGAACTTAAAATGTTGGAATGAAAAAAAGGCAACGTAAAGCATTCAGCAACAGTACCCAAAAACATAGTAAGTCCTTGTTGAGCAGCAGTAGACTTTACAGTTACTTAAAAGACTATTTGGGTTGTTGGAAATGTCACAATGACATTCGGTTGAATTAAGAACTATTTGCATAATTTAACACTTTGTCAAATCTGAGATTTCAATCTATTTTAGTAAAACATTCTATGAGTTTATTATTAATGTAAATATTTGCCTTTTAGAATATGGTAAGCCTTTATAAAGTGTTACATTTATATCCTAAAGTACATATTTATTGTATGTTAGGAGGGTGACAAAGCGTGATGGGGAGAGAAATCCACAGGAAATAAAGAGGTAAAACTTATTTTGTTTTCTTTTCAATATCAGTGTGAAAGGGGATACACTATTGATCTTTAATTGTCCTCTGCCAAAAAAAAAATTACCTTTTATTCACATATCATGCTCCCGAACTTTGTGTCATATTCCCAAATAAAAAGTAAACAACCTTTTAACTTCTCTTACATTGTTTATCTGCAATAAGTTAACATTTCTATTATATAATTTGTATGTGTTATGGCTATTGGAAGACCCTGAAATATACTGGTTTTTTTATTATCATTCTAAACAAAATGTGTCTCCTACATCTCCTAGCAAGATTTAGCACCCAGTGGATTTCTGCTTGAGGCATATATTTTAGATTCGAGATATTTTAGATTTAAAATTCAAGTAGAAATTAATTAGGAACCTATCAGTTATTCTAAGATTTAAGCTGACCTCAATTCAAATTCAAGCTAATGATTAACTTAAATAAAACACACTGATGAGTACATTAAAAAAATAGTAATAGCTAGTTACCAGGTAGACATTAAGGTATAATTGCACCTTCAATGACAAATGGTCAAGAAGTCTTAATTCTACACATATCTATATTTAATTAAGAACTTTTTAAATTTTTGAACCATAATTTTGAAATCTTACTTTGTTCTACAATTGATGACTTCCAAGATAATCATTTCATCCCAATATTTTTTCTACTTTGAGCAAGTATTCCGCAGTTCTGTATTCCCTGGAAGCTAATGAAATCTCTCAGGAGTGTAGTTTTCTATGATGACTGGTGTTAATGTCTGGTATTATTTTGTATTACTGGCTTCATGTATTTGATCTTATACTTTCTGCAATGGTTAATTCCAGCCCTATCTATGATGTGTGACCAATGATGGACCATTTGATTATTGGAAAACCTACCCAGCTATTCATGTGATTGTGACAGTGAAGCAAGTTCATTTTCACTTAATCTAATGAGCAAACCTCATTGGATCAGAAAGATTTAGTTGACTTGCTATGCTGCGCAATGGTTGTCCTTGCTTACAACCCAGCCATTTATAATTTCCTTTTATCTATTAATTACCACTTTTTAAAATTCTTTAACTCAGTAGAAACACAATGTCACAAGACATTCCATTCATTTGGTATGTGAATTCATGGTTTCCATTAGAATTCACTGACTTGAAATTTATAAAAGCACAAATAATTGGAATCAGAAATAACAAGGTTGGCGGGAATGTAGGTCATACATTGCTGGTGGGGATATATAACAGCATAGCTACTTTGGAGAACAGTTTGGCAGCTTCTTAATAAAGAAATATGTACATTTGTTATACACCTCAGGAATTCTACTCTCAAGAATCTACCCTAGAAAAGAGAAAGGTATTTCTACACAAACGCTTGTATGCAAATTTTTACAGCAGCATTATTGTTGATAGCCAAAAAGTAAAAGCAGTCAATGCCCATCAACTGAATGAACAAACAGAACACTATTCAGCAATAAAAAGGAAAAAAAATACTGATGTATGCTGCGATATGAATGAACCTCAAAAACATTATGCTACCTTAAAAGAATCAGAGGCAAAAGGCTATATATTTAGGTAAGTGAGTAATTCTGGAAATATTTTAGAGTTAGACCAATACATTGCATGTAGGAAACGACAGAATAAGAATGTAGATGACTTCTAAAACATAGCCAAAAAAGGCAGATGTTGAACCCATTTAATGAGATGAAGACAACTGTGAAAGGTAGTTACACCTGAAAGCAAGAAGTCTGAGATGCCCTACAGAGATCCAGGTGAGAAGTCACAATGCGGTCGGCCTCCAGCTGTGATGAGTCATCAGGCCTGAAAATATAGCGATGATATTTAGAGCTATGACTTTTTTTTTTTTTTTTTTTTTTTTTTGTGACGGACTCCTGCCCTGTCTCCCAGGCTGGAGTGTAGTGGCACAATCTCAGCTCACTGCATCCCCTGCCTCCTGGGTTCAAGTGATTCTCCTGCCTCAGCCTCCGGAGTAGCTGGGATTACAGGCACCCACCACCACACCCAGCTAATTTTGTATTTTTTTAGTAGAGATGGGGTTTCACCATGTTGGCCAGGCTGGTCTCAAACTCCTGACCACGTGATCCTCCCACCTTGCTCTCTCAAAGTGCTGGGATTATAGGCATGAGCCACCACACTCAGCCCAACAGGACTGATTTTTATAGGAAATGTATAGCTGGAAAGAAAGACTGAACCCAGAATCTTAGGACAGACCAGCAGGTAGAAGCCATATGAAGAGAAGCCAGCAAATGAAAGTGAGGAATGAACAGAGGTAAAACCTGGGTCTCCTGGTGAATAAAATAGAGAGAAGACATTTTAATGGAATAGAAGAGAATAAATACAACTATAGAAGAGTAGAATTCTGCTACATTTATTTTAATTGACTAATGTGTATTTCATTATTTCTTACTGGTAAATATATTCTGCTAATTAAGCTTTGCATTTTGACTTTTAATTTAACAGAATTTTCTCTGCATTCATAATGATGCCATAAGCCTGTTTTAGAAATAAATCATATGCAATGATTATTACTACAAGTATTTGAAAATTCCAAGCAGCTGTAGTCAAAAATTCTCACCAGTCTAAAGCTTCAACAAATTATCAGTTCCCTTATTTACATAATGTATTCAAGAAAAGGTGCCAGTATGACAATAAAGCAATTCCTGTAGAGAGGGCAAGAGTAGGTGAGAGTCTTAAATGAATTGGGAAGTCTATTGAAGAAAAATTCATCTTGAATGTTCATTAAATTTTTTAGATTAAAATGCATATACAAATGAAGATCAGGGCCGGGCACGGTGGCTCACTCCTGTAATCCCAGCACTTTGGGAGGCCGAGGCGGGCGGACCACGAGGTCAGGAGATTGAGACCATCCTGGCTAACACGGTGAAACCCCGTCTCTACTAAAAATACAAAAAGCTAGCCACGCATGGTGGCACATGCCTGTAAGTCCCAGCTACTCGGGAAGCTGAGGCAGCAGAATGGCATGAACCCGGCAGGCGGAGCTTGCAGTGAGCCGAGATCACGGCACTGCACTCTAGTCTGGGCAACACAGCAAGACTCTGTCTCAAAAAAAAAAAAAAAAAAAAAAAAAACACTACTCCTAATAAAGATCAGTGGATTTCTTTTATCTTTCCACATACAGTTTTTCAGTCAGCTACTGTCTAAACATGCAATTAAGTTGTTATAGGCTAAAAAGCCAGTAAACAAATGCACTCAGAGGGAGGAGGTGTGGTCTTTCTCCCTTCATTCCAGTTCTTTTCTCTGTGCCTGGTATAGAATGCCTAGGTCCTTCTTGCCCACCCTCAGAATCAAGAGACAATCATCACTGATTAGGGAAGAGCCACCTGATGTCCAGTCCATTCCCTTATCCCTTGGTTCAGTTCAAGAACTAGTCACTTGGTTTTCCATGGAATGATCCACATGAAAGTGTTACATTCTTGTTATTTTTAACCATTTGAGCTTAGCAATAACTGAACAAAGAGTAACCATTAACTACTTCTGGTGAAAAAAAAATTATGATACAAATTCATGAACTCTAGTTGCTTGTTACTGAGCAAAAGCAGCTCTTAACATAAATGCATATGTCCGACAGTCACCACTGAAAGGAAAAACAAGAGAACAGAGAAAGCAAATTGTGTGTCTGAATGTGTTATTTTCCTGCCTTATAATTATTTCCCCAGAAACCCACTCCAGGATAAACTTACGCTATGAAATACAAATTGTTTGGCATATTATATTTTCTAGAATACATATAAAATTGGCCCTTATGGCTCCTTGGAGAAATGTCTGATTGTATGTCTGAGGCACGAAATACAAGATGA
Source organism: Homo sapiens (assembly GCF_000001405.40). Classification (NCBI taxonomy): domain Eukaryota; kingdom Metazoa; phylum Chordata; class Mammalia; order Primates; family Hominidae; genus Homo; species Homo sapiens. Next base: position 76,836,009 of record NC_000016.10, on the reverse strand, counting down.
GCCTGGAGCATCTAGCAATGCCAGAAAATTAGACATTGCTACAGAAGAAAAATATGAGCCACGTCAAAAGGACGTAGGAGTCAACCTGAAGGAGCTCCCAATGGCCAAAGCTGAACAATGTTGAGCAATAAAACAAATTATAGCATTTTACTGTAACTCAAAGAATATAGAAAAATCTCTAAGTCAATATTGGTATAAATAAATGATTGGATAAGTAAATGTCACAAGGGATAAATTTTCCTTAAAAATTCTAGATAATATATGTAGATTTATTCCCTCCAAGGGGTATGACTTAATTCCCCTCCTGATGAGTGAGGGCTGGATTTATTCACTAGTTTCCAAAGAATAGAAAGAAAAGGAAAAATAGAAACATTACAACGAAAAACCTTGGCAATGACCAATATTAACATCAGCATTTCAAAGTCATGTTGACGTCATTTGCCCCGAGATAATGCAATGAGCGGGCCACCTCACTCCTGTAATATTCTCTTTCCAAACTCATAACCCCAGTCTAATCATGGGAAAACATCAGGAAGTCCAATCTGAGGGCTAGTCTACAACATATCTCACCAGCACTCTTGAGAACAGTCAAGGTCATGAAAACAGAGACAATCTAAAAGTCAACAGGAGCCTGAGTGTAATGTGGCATTCTGGGTGGAATCCTAGGATAGAAAGAGGGCATTAATTTAAAAAAAAATGAAACCTAAATAATCCTTGTAGTCTAAGAGGATTGTGTCAATGTTAATGTTTTAGATTTAACAATGTACTGTGTCATGTAATATGTTATTTGAGAAAGTTGGGTAAAGGCTGTATGGAAATTTTATTTGCAACCTTTACGTAACACTAAAATTATTCCTAGTTTATTAAAAAAACATGGCTTTATGTACTACATAAATAGATGTTTGTCAAGAAAGTCACAAGAGTCCTCATTTCACTTTCTCTGGGGATAAAGGCTGGCAGGGAGTAAGGAAAGAAGGAGAGAAGCAAAAATGCAGTCTCAGGTGAGGTCTAGCCTGGCCTCCTCCCCGTGGATGGCACTGCGGCATGAGTCACCTTCACACAGCTGTCTCCACCTTGTATCAAGGGGCTTGGCCTTTCGTACACCCCCTATAAGGTGGCAGTCATTGGCCATTGCTGCACCTGGGAAGTTGTGACATTTCTGGCAAGATGGCACCCATCACTGAAAGAGTAACTCCCCTTCTCTAGAGTTACCCAACACCTTAGAAGCCAACATTTACAGCAGCCAGCAAAAGGCTTCCTAAGGTGATCAAGAGTCTGGGCTGGGCTCCCCTTGCTATACAGAGATCCTTTTCTCTCTCACATGAAGTTCAATTCATCCAGGCATAGCTTCTCTGAAATCCTATTTGGCTGTAATACTTACAGAAATTTGTAAGAGTAGAGTGGGGCAAACAATGGTCCTATTGCTGCAGATGATTCCTAAAGCTGTAACTGATTCTTATCTTCCTCAGTATCTACTGGTTGGAGTAATTGCCATTTTGAATCAAAACCAGGTGTGAGAAATGCATTCAGATTTTATTAATCTGTTGAGCAAAAGAGGCAAATAATGTCATAAATAATGAACCAAAGTTGATTATTTTGACATTATATTCAAATTCTACAGAATAGCCAAGACGTCTTAAGACCATAGTGTGATGGAGAGAAGAACTAACCTCCTGGAGGAGGCAGCTCCCAGCTCAGAGCCATACCCAGGAGGTGAGCATGTCTGATGCTTGAGTGGCCAAAAACAAAAGTGATTGGGAGATGGGTGCACTGGGGACCTGGAAGGGCACCAATTATACCTACAATGAATACCATGAACAAAAAAGAAACTAAAGAAAAAAAAACATGAAACAAGAAGAAATGAATCACCATGAATTAAAATGAGAAGATATTTTGGGGAAACGAGTGACAACATTATAATACCAAAAAGAAGAACCATTTATTTGTGGTTCATTGAGCCATGATGAATTTCAAGAGGTTTCATTTATATTTACACTTGTAGGACGTGGATTGCATATGACTTTTTTTTTTTTTTTTTTTTTGAGACGGAGTCTCACTCTTTCACCCAGACTGGAGTGCAGTGGCGCTATCTTGGCTCACTGCAAGCTCCACCTCCCAGGTTCACGCCATTCTCCTGCCTCAGCCTCCCGAGTAGCTGGGACCACAGGCGCCCACCACCACACCTGGCTAATTTTTTTATTTTTAGTAGAGACGGAGTTTCACATTGTATTAGCCAGGATGGTCTTGATCTCCTGAACTCGTGATCCACCAACCTGGGCCTCCCAAAGTGCTGGGATTACAGGCATGAGCCACCACGCCCGGCTGCATATGACATTATTTTAATGCTGATAACGAATGAAAATATCAAACAGGATAAACACTGAAGTTTTAATAGTTCAGTATTCCAGTGGCAATTATTTAGTATTTTGAAAATCCTGCTGCAAAGATAAACTCAAATTGTCAAGACACATTTTAAAGTGTCCAATACCCAGATCAAAGACCTTTTTTAAAGTTTGTATTAAATATAACCCTGAGATAATTCTTCATAAAGTTGTTTTAATGGGAACATCACTGGAAGGAGCACCGATTGGGCAGAAAGGATCAACTCTTTGGACATTTTAAGCATTGAGAAAAAAAGTAAGGTGACTCTTGAAATGTGCATGGCTTGGCCACAGGATGAGAATCTGGGTGCTAAGTATTAATAATTTTCTAATTAATACTGACCATGTTTACAGGGGTTTGTTGGCCATTTTAGTGAGCCGATTAGATAGCACGCATGAACTCTACTGGAGCCGCTGGGATTTTGCGGGTGATTGCAAAGCACTTTGTAAAGATTTGTGTGACATCCAAGCCACAGTAAGCACTTTGGCCTATGAAATGTTGGCAAAAGGGAGATTGCACAAAGTCAAGCCTAGGCCTTAAAACACCTGTGTCTTTACTTGTCCTGTCCTTTTGTGTCTGCCCTCACCACGAGAGGAAGATGCTATGGTCCACCACCATTCGGGAAGGATGGAAGACATGTGGAGCCAAGCCACCCCAGTGGCTGCAGCATGGGGCAGAGCTCCTCAGCTGAGCCCAGCCTCGGTCAGCCAGACCCCAGCTAACCTGCACATCCATGCAAATAGATGTGTATTTCCATATGCCTCTGCAATTTGGTGTTCATGTTTCATGTGGCAAACACTAACGGAGTCAGCCGATTTTGCCCATGTCTACTCTCCACACAGGTATCTTGCTATGGATCTAAGTTTCTGTCTCTTTCAGCCCTGCCTCTGTTCCAGGTGCAGTAGCACCACTGGGAATGCAGCCATCTCAGGCTTTCTGACCTCCCGTCTTTTCTGACGACCCGATATTGAGGCCTGAACCTGATATAAATTATGTAAGTCTTCATAGGAATTAGTTGCAGAGAGAACTGCGGTGATTATCCAGTAAATAGGATGCTAAAGGATACTTTTGTTGCCTGTTACCTGTGTGGGACGGGGAAGTAAGTAACATTTAATGAATACCTACTATTGATGCGTAGGTTATTTTGTGGTGGGTTCTAACGCCCAGTATCCCCTGCAATGTTTTTACCGTGTTCCCATGGGTATCATCACCCTCAGAAGGGAATCAAAACTCAGAGGTTATATTATCTGGTAAAGGTCAACCATCTGGGAACTGCTGGACTGAGCTGCAGACCCAGGGCCATTTGGTGCTCAAGTGCATTCTTTATCCACCATTCCAGTATGGAACTTCACAATGACGTCCTGGTTGTGGTTTACCGAAGTCTCTAATACACTGACTTGCAAAAATCTCTTATAAGATAGAACAGGAAAAATCTCCATTTTGTTCTCTAAAATGACATATGAAAATAATTTATTCTAATACCTGGTTCCTAATTTGCTAGCTATCGCTAAGGGTTAGCCCTCAATATTGTTGCTAATATTGTTAACACAAATTCAAATAAAAATGTGGGAAGAAAAGTCTTTTCCCGTGTTGTCTCCCTTTGACAACATGACAAATACATCTGATGATCTAACATCAGGATTTCTCTTTGGAAGAAACGTTTGTTTATAAAATATTTACCACTCTTTCCTGGATAGAAGAAAATCCAGGGACCTGAATGTTAACAGAACGCTAAGAGTGCACAAAGGAAAGGCTATATTATTCTACATGGAAACAATGTAAAGTGATAACTGACACTAGCATGGCACTGACACTAGCATGGCACTGGCCACGTGCCAGGAAATGAACTGTGTGTTTTGTGCTTTAACTCGTTTGATCCTCAAATAGACAATGCTTTAGGTGGACTTTTACTTACTCGCTTTTCCAAATTGGAAAACTAGTCACAGAGAAATTGAATAACTTTCCCAGGGGTATACAGCTACAAGTGGAAGGATTAGAACTGAGAACCAGGCACCCAGCCCCTGCTTCAGAGATTGTTACTCACATAACTTGAGTTGATATTGTATAACTATACAAGTTTGTCAAAATTCATAGACCACAACAAAAAAATGTAATGGCTCTGTACTTACCCACTCTAAATATTTCTCTTTTCATATAGGGAAAATAAAAGACATTTTAAACTTCAAGTTTCTTCCTCTGGGGGTTACCCAATGGTAACTTCACAAGATTGTCATGAGGATCAAGTAGTATGATGCCAAAATATTTCCTAAACGTACGTTACATGCAGCTTTGTTACCTGGGTAGACAGCAGGTCACACATTGTTGCCTCTTTCCCAGAGGAATTCTGTTACTTGCCCATCTGCACTTATTGGTACAGTCTGTCGTTTGAACTAACCTCTAGACTGCATTTCTATGAGTTAAATATTTTCTTTCCATATTTTTGTTTGCTTCCATCCTAGGCAGTAAAAAATAACCCAGTAATTTTCAATCTTAATTCCTTTGAAAAAGGATATTTTCTCCATAAAATTGAACATATAAACTTTTATATTCAACTATAGATGTTCCACAACAATCCTGGGGGAGCCCGTTTGCTTGGTTCTGTGTTGTTCCTTGTAAAGTAGTCCTCTCAACAGCTGTTTTCCTTTCCATGGTTTCAGGTACCCATGGTCAACCACAGTCTTAAAAGAAATGGAAAGTTCCACAAATCAATAGTGTGTACGTTTTAAATTGCATACTTCTGAGTGGGTTGGTGAAATCTTGTGCCATCTTGCTCTGTCCTTTCATCAAAAGAAGCATAAGGTATCTTGAGAGGGAGGCCAGATTCATATAACCTTTATTAGAGTACAGTTGTAACTGTTCAATTTTATTACTGTTCATTTATTGTGCCTAATTTATAAATTGAACTTTATCATAAGTATGCATGTATAGGAAAAAAAAACACGGTATATACAGGGTTCAGTACTATCTGTGGTTTCAGGCTTCCACTTGGGGTCTTGGAACGTATTCCATGTGGATAAGGGAGACTATCGTACTCATGAATCCTCCCGTCTGATGGAAACACACTCTCATATCCCGTTTTAGGGAAAGACTTCCCCCTCTTTCACCCTAATTTTTTGTGGTAAGACGACTTAACATGAGAAATATCCTCTTCTCATCAAATTTGCAAGTGCCCAACGCAGTACTGTTAACTATAGGCAGTGTCTTAAAGCAGATCTCTAGAATTCATTAATCTTGCATGACTGAAACTTCATACCTGTGGAACAGCTACTCCTATTTGCCCTCCCCTCAATCCCTGGCAACCACCTTTCTACTTTGTTGTTATGAGTGTCACTATTTAGATGTCTCATCGAAGTAGAGTCATACAGTATTCGTCCTTTGGTAACTGGCTTATTTCACTTGGCATCATGTCTTCCAGTTTCATCCATGTTGTAGCATATGGCAGGATTATCTTTATGGCTGAAAAATATTCCATTATCTATACCACATTTCTTTATTCATTCATCTGTTGATGGACATTTAATTGTTGCCACATCTTATCTGTTGTGATTGATGTGGCAATGAACATGGGAGTACAGCTATCTCTGGGAATCTGATTTCAATTCCTTTGGATGTATATGCAGAAGCAGCATAGCTGGATAACTGCTAGTAACTCTGGCTTTAACAACTGCCATTCTGGTTTCCATAGTGGCTCTACCATTATACATTCCCACCAATGCTATGCAAGAGCTTGGCAATCATTTCTCAGATATGACACCAAAAGTAAAATTAGACAAGTAGGACTTTATCAGAGTAGAAGCATTCTACAAAGAACAGAGAGAAAAGGCAACTTACATAGTGGGGAAAAAATATTTACAAGTCATAATCTAATAAGGGATTAATATAAAAGTATAAGGACTCCAATGACTCAACAGCAAAATAATAATGACCTGATTAAAAATGGGCTAAGAACATGATAGGCATTTCTCCAGAAAAAGATGTATAAATGGTTAACAGGTACATGAAAAGATACTCATCACTTATCTTTAGGGAAATAAAAATCAAAATCATAATGAGATATCACCTCTCACCAGTCAAGATGGGCATTATAAAAAAATACAAAAAGATCCAAAGTGTTGAGGAGGATGTGGAGAAACGAACTCTTTACCCCACCTTGAATGATGTGTTTTTCCCTAGGGATTGGCCAGGAGAGAGAGCAGGTAAGGAAGCCCTAGGTTTTTCTAACTAGAAATGAGTAGACAAGGAGCCTCGATTTTAAAGCCTCTGCGGGGGTCGGGGGTGCTGGTGTTCACTATCTACCCAAAACAGAGCCTCCTACCTGGTAGAAAAAGCCAGGAGAGAGAAGACAGGCAAGCCTGCAGACCATGGAGGAGAAACTCAGTCCTGAGAAACTGAGTTCTACCACTGCTGTCCTGCACTTCACACGGATGACACATCCAATGAAGATTAGGTCCGTGTCCCCTCTTTAGAACGATTTTATCATGAGTTAGGTTTGAAAAGAGTCTGTTTTTTGTAACTGAATGAACCTTGATGAATAGCCTATAGATCCATAATAATCCCCCACATAAGTCAGAGAGTCGTGAACTCCTATACTGAAAGCTAAGACGTTCCATGCAATCACCTATCATTAATTTTAACAAAAAACCCTGGAAGCCTATAATTATCCCATTATCACAAAATATAAATAGCACAAGCACGATTTTAATCAATTGATTTTCCCATTCTTCCAGCAGTGCATATAAGCAAGGAGGAGCATGTGTGTCACCTCAGCCTCTGAGGACTCAGCAGGTGATAACAGCCTGTGCATAATCTCTTGTCCCTTGTTGCTAGTAAGGTTTTTTTAATTAGGAGAATTGGAAATTGGGTTCTACATAATCTGGCTCCGTTTCCTCTGATCTCGATTCTGCTACCCTTCAATTGCTCACTTCACTCTAGCCACCCCATTGTCTGTTTTACAAACCTGCTAGGCATGACCCCCCTAAAGTCCTTTTCATTCCTTGTTTCTTCTTTTCCAAGTTCTCTGCCATTAGTTTTCCTCTTGGCTCACTCCCTCATCTTCAGCATTGTTTTGCCAAATAAAGGCTACTCCGGACATTGCAAATAATGCACATTTCCCTCTAGTTTTTCCTGTTCTCTTCCTCAGTTTTCCTCTAGAAGATATCATTAACATCCCTCACTTCTTATTCTTATTACTTGTCTCCCACACTGGAGTGCAAGCTTCATGAGGATAAATACATTTGTCCATTTTGTTTATTGCTATAACCACAGCCCCTAGGAAAGTGCCTAGAACATGAAGCATTCATCAAAAAGTGGTGAATAAATGAGTAAATAATGAATCCCGCATTTACATTACAATCAGTTTTTGTTCACCGAATACAGAACGCACTGATGAAATATTTGAGGGTTTCCTATTAGTTCTAGTAATAAGAAGACTGCAATTCTACCCAAATTCTACACAGTGAAGACTATCTTTATGGGCAGGAATATCTGTGGCATCCAACGACAGAATACAAAGTAGGTCCTGGTCTTACGTGGTCTGTTCAAGGAAACGGAATACATCAGGACTGAAGCAGCTCCGCTCCCTGTCCACAGCCCATTCCAGAGCCTCAGGGTCTCTCACTCCATTTCTCTGTGTATACGTCCCACTGTCTGCTTCTTGGTAGGCGAGTTTGCTATAGTTACTCCTAGCAGGTTCATAGAACAACAAAAAAGCCAAGTTGTTGACTTCCATTGATCAGGTATCCAGTCCTGTATGATCACTGATGACCAGCACTGGGGAGAACGAGGGAGAATCACAGGAAAAAACAGGAATGCCTCTAAGGAAGGTGGGCAAGTCACATTCCCTACAGAGGACTATGGGCAGATCTGAAGACCTGAAAACGAAAATATCCTGAAGCATATTGTCATTTATAAAGTCACGGATGTAATCCAAAAATACAAGTCGGTGACTCTCAGCTGTTTGACGAGGTGGAAAAGACCTCAATAGATAACATGCATTTTCTCTTCTTCCTATGCAAGAAGAGGAATTTCTAACCCACAGAAGTGCTGAATGTCAATGTTCTCACATTCCTGAGCTTGGCCATTTTAAGAAATTCACCTAAATATCTTAAAAGGTCTCAGTTTATTAGTGAAATATGAATTTTTTAAAACTAGCTTGAAATGAATTCACAAAAAATCTTTCCCACCACCCTTCTCCCACTATTTGTCTTTGAAAGACACTATTTTCCTCTATTTTCCCATGCTTTCCACCCACCTCCCCCCCTTAATTGAAATGAAAGTCTTAATTTTTTAACTGGTGAAAAAGCTCAGGAAAAGCAGTTCCAGAATACAAGGAAAGATTTTGATTAAGTAAAGGCAAGTGTAGGAGTTTCACACAAATGAAACAAGAGTTTGTCAACACTTACAAATACATATCCACAAATATATTCACACTCTTAACATGATTCTTTTGTGAAGAAAATAAATCAAATGTAGTCCCTACAAGCTTTGTTTTGATTTGCAGGAGCAGGAAATAAATGTTTTTGTGTCTTTCCTTGAGATGTATCTATTTAGTTTCCATTTATATTTATATATACTTTATTCTGTGTATTTTTTTCTTGCACACATTTACTCCTATATGCCTCTTAACAAAATCACCAAGAACACTTAAAAGGAAAGCTGCTAAAATGGCAGGCACTGCATAGTCCTTAATGCAAATCAACTTTAAAGAATAATATAATGGAAAAAAAAAACCCGATTTCAATGCCACGAGGCAATCTGGAATCCGATTTGTCTGGGGCGGAGGGGGGGAATCACAGAAGCCAAAATGAACTCAACAGCTATGGTTACAGCTTAATAGACCTTTATGCAGACACCAGGATATTTCTTTGCCAACAGTGATACTTTTGACCACTGTCACGTATTACTGAACTCTGAAGTTGTAAATATTTTTCAGACTGTGTGCACCTTAAAAATAATTAGATGTTGACCTCTTAAAAATATTAACCCATATATTTAAGAAAAATAAACTGCTTAATTTCACGTGTTTCCCAGTTACCTGAGAGGTTACACATATGAACATTTACTTTCCCTGAGTTACTTTGGGTATGTTACCTAACCTTCTTGAACCTAAATTTAGTCAATTCCAAAATAGATACAAACTGTTGTAATTCATATTTTATATTCAGAAAACTTAACACAGAGCCTGGTACATAGTGGTCAATATTTGCTGTTGTCATTTCTATACTTACTATAGCATTAAGATATTTCTGTGGAGTCAAATGGTCTCTAGTAATCAGATTTCTGAAGGAATATTATTTCAGATTGTAGTTGGAAAACTAAAAAAAAATTTCCCTTTTTCATGTGGCAATGAACAGTTTTGAGTTACAAATTAATATATGTCTTGAGATTACAAGGAGGATGTCGGCTTTAGTGGAGAATGAACACATATACTATGATCAGGACTGCATTTACACACAAAATACATGGCTGAGTTTCCGCAGACGGACTAATGTGGCCATGGCAAATGATCTGTTCACGTTTCAAGTCACAGCTGTAACAAACTTGCCTTGAAGAAACAGAAGTTCACATTATTTAAGAAATTTACCCACGTCAGATCATTCCGTATTTCATTTCATTCCCATAGTGGACAAAGCACTAACTGCACACCTCTGAGATTTTATCTTTTCTTCTACTTTGCATTTTTCTGAATTCTGTAAGGAACTTAATATATGAGTAGCTTAAAAATAGTCAAAACAAGTTGCTACATAATCCTGTCCTTTTCTGTTTTTCTCATGGCCATCTTTGACTTGGATAACAAATCACTTCGAACATTTATCAGTACAGACTGGTAAATCGACGGCTAGTGGGGGGATCTGTGTTCGTAACACAAGTCATTACCATCTCCATGGTTCTTTCTAAAACAGGATTTGGTTCAGTTTCTCACTCTTCCATTCAGCTTGCTCCCATGCTGAATCACTATTTGTAGACTACATGTATACAGTATGTCTCTACTGAAGTTTCAAAGATAAATAACAATGACTTACGTGACATATTTCTAGATTATAGAATTTGGGGGGAAAATATAATCTAAAATCAAAACAAAAAGAAACTGAAAGAGTAACCACTTCAAAATTTACCCTGCCAATTTCAGAAAATGTCTTCATTTCCCTTCACTGATAAAACCAACAAGAATCCAATCTGGATGTGTTTATTAAAAATGTATAAGGATTAATAAACTTTTGTATTTAAGAACTATCTTACTTTTTGGTAGAATGCACTATATTTCCAATACTCCTAACATCCTACTTTTCTGATATATGAGAAAGAAGCAAAACTGAATGCATACCCATATCATTAAGATGATATTTGATGCCAATGTCTCTAAACAGGTAGACATTACAGGCAATTACATTCCTGTAAAGTATGCCATAAGTTATTTGTTATAGCCTATGTAATTTAGTTGCCACAATAAAAAGACTCTTAGGGCTAGAAAATTTTGCGAAGAGCTGTAGGCTAAAGCATCCAAAAATACGAAAGAAATGTAAAACATTTAACATTTCTGTTTGCATATGCATATTTAAAATACACAGTCAGCTGGTCAAATCAGAAAGAGAAGTTGGTACACTGAGAAAAGCAAGATGTCATCTCAGGAGTATACAGACCCAAGAACAACACAGAAAGCATCTGTCTAAATATGAAGATTCAGAGTAGAGCTCCCCTGCTTCTCCACTTTGCCATCATGTTTTTACCAGGCCACAGAAATCTTCCAAAAGCTGGCAAACATTGAAAATGTCTTCCATGTGGCAATACAATGTTTACCAAGAAATGAAAAGGAGTTTGTGCCAATAATCAAGTCAACTCTGGCCAGGTGCAGTGGGCTCATGCCTGTAATCACAGCACTTTGGGAGGCTGAGGTGGGAGGATCCCTTCAGCCCAGAAGTTTGAGATTGGCCTGGGCAACATAGCAAGAACCTGTAACTACAATTTTTTTCTTTTTAATTAGCTAGGCATGGTGGTACATAACTCTAGTTCCAATTACTCTGGAGGCTGAAGTGAGAGGATTGCTTGAGCCTGGGAGATCAGGTCTGCAGTTAGTCATGATTGTGCCACTGCACTCCAGCCTGGGCAACTGAACAAGATTCTGTCTCAAAATAAATGATAAACTTTGCTTGGCAGATTGTGTCAAATTTTCCAAAGAACTAGTATCAAATCCAATGGGTATTTTTGCTTCATATTTTAAAGGGTTGTCAGAATACTATTAGCTCTTTTCTACAAAATGGTTTTTTCATGCATTACCCAGTATCAACAAACAGATGGAAGAAAAGGTTATTCTTTCTGTAGAATGCCAATTCTAATACTATCGGGACTACAGAAAAACCATTATTTCAGACTAGCTTAGAAATAACCAATGCAGAAAAAAATTCATTACTGGATGTTAAAACCATTAGGTGAAAGTTGATTTCAGAACAGGATATTTTTGCAGTTTCAAGATTTTTCACCACAGAGAACTTAACAAAACGCACAATGTATCTTTAGTGGAGAAATTTGGTGAACACCACCTTTAACCACTGGTGGGATAAAATGACAATAGGTGTTTCCTGATATGATCTACGAAGAAGGACACGTATCATTTATGCAGTATTCTGCTAAAAAATGCGTAACTCGAATTGAAACAACAGGAAAGATTCAGCTAAACTCTGAATAGACCACAACACAACTAGACTATACTCCTCACAAATATCACTATCACGGAAGACAAAATGTCTGAAGAACTGCCCCAAATTAAAGCATATAAAACATGGCAACTCAATGTAGTATGTGACCCTGGTTGGACCATGGGCTGGAAAAAAAAAAAGTTGCCATATAAATAGAGCGTAATTGGCAAAATTTGAATATGGAAGTATATTGATAACATCACTGAATATTTACTTTTCTAAATTTGATAATTTCACTGTGATTATGCAGAAAATTGCCCTTGTTCTTTGATAAAACATGTTGAATTTACTGAAGAGTCATGATCTCTACAACTTTCACATGTTCAGCAAAAATACTGAATAGAGAAAGCAGATATGACACAATGTTAGCAATGAAGGGAGATGTGGAAATCCAAAAAAAGTGCTTATGAAATTTTCTGCAGGTCTATTTTTTCCAAGATAAAAGAATTAAAACAAGGCCAGGTGCGGTGGCTCACGCCGGTAATCCCAGCACTTTGGGAGGCTGAGGCGGGCGGATTACCTGAGGTCAGGAGTTCGAGACCAGCCTGGCCAGAACGGTGAAACCTCATCTCTACTAAAAATACAAAAATTAGCCAGGCGTGGCAAAACACGCCTGTAACCCCAGCTACTCAGGAGGCTGAGGTAAGAGAATTGCTTGAGCCCAGGAGACGGAGGTTGCAGTGAGCCAAGATCACGCCATTGCACTCCAGCTTGGCCGACAGAGGGAGACTCTGTCTCAAATTAGTTAATTTCAGTGAGAAAGAAAGGAGATTAGTCAATCACTTCAGTTAATGTTGCATTCTATAACCTGACATGTTGGAAACCCAGAAAGAATAGAAATTGACACTTTAAAAAATAAACAGGTTATTTAACCTCTATTGTATCCTCCTTCGACCTGATAAAGCTAAAAGAAAAAAAAAATAAAAATCCCTTATAGATTATCAGATGAAAGTGCAGGCTTCTGATGGGCAGGACCATGGAGAAATGGAGCTTCCTTGCAGAAGCTTTTCATTGCCAACTAAACATCTTCCTGAAGGTCAAGAGGCAGCTGCAGCAGCAGAGCCTTCTGGATCTGACTTTTCTGGAATGCAGTTTCCTTGTTCAATTCTCCACCAGTAGTGGCAGCAGCTTGTTTCCAGCCTAGGTCTAGGTGCAGCCTCAGTGGTTGTTACCCTAGAGCAGTAATTCTTATAGTATGGTCCCCTAGGTCAGCTGTATCAACATCACTTGGGAGCTTTTTGGAAAAGCCAGTGATCGGTCTGACCCGAGACACGTTGAGTAAGAAACTGGTAGCGTGACCCAGCAATTTGTGTTTTAACAAGCCTTCCAGGTGATTCAGATGGAAAGTCGATTCAGATGGAAAGTCAGGTTTGAGTACTACGTTACATCTCATAGGGTCAGTATCCAAGAGATTGTGAAGGACTGGTTTTAGTACCCCCTTTCCCAACCCATGGATACAAAATCAGAAGATGTGTAAGTGCCTTATATAAAATGGCACAGTATTTGCACACAATTTATGCATTTTTCTGTATACTTTAAATAATCTCTAGATTACTTACGGTACCTAATACAAAGTAAATGCTATGTGAGTAGTTGTTACACTGTAGTGTTTAGGGAATAAGGACAAGGAAATAAGCCTATATGCAATCGGTGGACATAACCCAGTGTCCCATGGAAACAGAGGGATACCTGTATGCTGTGTACTGTTCTTCAGATCCTCCAGTGGATTTGTAAACTCCAAAATCCTTGCATTAAATTCCATTCTGTTTAAAATCAGTCCATCAAATATATTACTATTTTTAGAACAATTGTGTAAAGTAGATACTATCCTATGTTCATAGATTTAAAAAATAATGAATTTGTTAGTCATGTTTGGCTGCGTTTCCACCCAAATCTCATTTTAAATTGTAAGAATCCCCATGGGTCAAGGGCAGGGCCAGGGGGAGATAATTTTATCATGGGGGCAGTTTTCCCCATCCTGTTCTCATCATAGTGAGTAAGTCTCATGAGATCTGATGGTTTCATAAATGGAAGTTCCCCTGCACACACTCTCTTCCCTACCACCACGTAAGATGTGACTTTGCTCCTTTGCATTCCACCATGATTGTGAAGCCTCCTCAGCCATGTGGAACTGTGAGTCAATTAAACCTCTTTCATTCCTAAATTACCCAGTCTTGGGTATGTCTTTATTAGCAGCATGAGAACAGACTAGTACACTTAGCATACAATTACTATGTATCTATATAAGGCTGGATTTGATCTATATTCTTATATCCTATGTATTATGTCCCTTATATTTTCTACAGATGATCAATAAAGGCTGGAGAGTATTTTTAAACCTACCGTGCTTCCCACTTGAATACAGCCCTTCTTAGAATACTGGTAACAGATGTAGATGGAGGCCTAAGAACAGATCAGGTGCATTACAGATAAAACATTAGCCCTGGGTTTCTGTAGGCCTTTATTTGGTTGGTGATAACTATATTATCCGTGAAAAAAACTAGCATTAGTTTTGGGTGTGGTGGCTCATGCCTGTAATCCCAGCACTTTGCTTCCAGGAGCAAAGTGGGAGAATCACTTGAGCACAAGATTTTGAGACCAGCTTGGGCAACATAGTGAAGGCTTCTCTCCATGAAAAAATAAAAATAAATTTTAATTAGCTGGACATGGTGAAGGTGGAGGCTGCTGTGAGCTGCGATTACAGCGATGCTCTTTGGCCTGGGTGAAAGAGGCCATCTCAAAGAAAGAAAACTAGCATTAGAAAATTGTAAAGCAATCAACTCAACTACCCATATCCTTAAATAACTGGATATTTTTGTCATTACTTCGTATTCATAGGAAGGATCTACTGCTCATATACAAATTATCAATATTTTGGTAAAAGATCTGGCTATTCTTATTTGATGCTCAATTTTAGAAAATAAAAATTTTCTAACAGTAATGATTTAAAGTGGGACTGCTGGGTTTACTTTTTTTTAGATGGAGTTTGGCTCTGTTGCCCAGGCTGGAGTGCAATGGCATGATCTCAGCTCACGGCAACCTCCGCCTCCCGGGTTCAAGTGATTCTCTCTGCCCTCAGCCTCCTGACTAGACTAGATGGGATTACAGGCATGTGCAACCATGCCCGGCTCATTTTGTATTTTTAGTGGAAACGGGGTTTCACCATGTTGGTCAGGCTGGTCTCGAATTCCTGACCTCAGATGATCCACCTGCCTCGGCCTCCCCAAGTGCTGGGATTACAGGCATGAGCCACCGCGCCCGGCGCGGTTATTCTTAAAGATTTTTAATTGCTTTCAGTGAATCATTTTTCAATAGCCTTTAAAGTTGTTGCCAAAATAAACTGACACTTAATATATGTAAGAAATAAAAATATAATTGTAAGAGCCCTTAAAAGCGCTTTACTGAAACAAGAAACCACCACTTTACCTGGGACAAGAGAGACAAATTCAACTAAATGCAGCATTCCTTTTACACTGAAAAGTATTTTCTGGAGATGGGATTGTATGTGTATTTTAAGCCCTTATATACCCCCAGACTTCCTAACTGTTCAAAAACCGCTCAACTCCTTATTTAGGCTGGATTTCTATTAGCCATCACACACCGGGAAAGGGTGTGCATTAAATGTTTTGAGAGTTAACGAATTAAGAGAGGTAAAGAGAGGAGATTAAATAAATTACAATGCATTATGAAGGCACATCTAAGACCTTTTCTGATCATTAACGCACTGTGACAGCTGATTGTGATTTACATCTCAGTTCAGTCTATATGATCGCCAGTGAGTGGTCCCAGGAGTTTCTACTTAGCATGGAAGCAAAAGAGACTCTTTCCGTACATTCATGTGAGGAAGTTTTCTAGTTTTGCTCCTGTTCAATGAAAATGGTAATAAAGAATATAAAATCTGAGCACATATGTTCTGACCTTGAATCCAATGACTGCAGTCTAATGGCAGGCTAAAAGCTTAGTTCCTAATATCTGCATCTGTGCCTCCCCACATGTTAGCTTGTTTTTAATTCTTACATTGATTAGGTATGATCACAGTATGATTCCTCTCCTGCAGACTACTCATTTGTATTGCAAATTGTTAATAACATCCTAAATTCCAACAATATTATCACAGAGGCCCCCACAGCCTTCATATTCACTTCCGCATTATTGAACTAACAAGCAGGGATGCTGGGACGGCTGCAGCTCCTGGTGAAGCTTATGCAATCAGCGCTGACTTTTCCAGTGGGGACCTCGAACTATTAAAAAATTGTAACAAATTCGGTGAATCTGATGAGTAGAGGTGAAAGTGTTTGCTTCTTTTGTCCTTTTTGCTGGTACACACGGTATCAGGAATGCTGAAATTTCCTCGAGAAGATGAAAACATGCCATTTACATTTATATTTATGTACATACTCACTAGTTTCCCTCCCAAGCTAACTCCGGGTAAATTTATTGAATAGTATATACAAAAGATGTGCCTTTGGGCTTTGGAATCAAATACACTTGATTTGAATTTTGGCTGCTCTAGTTACTACAGTGTGCCTTTAAAACAAGTTTCTTTCCACTCTTTGCTTATTTTCTCATCTCAAAAATATAAACAGCAGTAATCCTTGTGTATTTCATGAGTTGTATTTAATGAGAATGCATATTAAAGTGCTTGTGAACAATAAATAACAGCTACCACTAGAGCTAATTAGGAAAGTGCTTTCTGTGGCAAGAATATGCTGTTTCTTGGATTTCAAGTGAAATAAATATATTATGCGTTCAAATGCATTAAATATATACTAATACTTTCTTAATTATATCTTTCACGTTGGGATCTGGAGGGGCCAAATTAATGTAGCTCCATGAGTCATTTCAATTATCAAATCAGCAAATAATCTCATTTGAAATGTGGTCATACATTGACTTAAATATTTTAGATTGATGGTAATTTTGTCCTATCAATCATGTTCTTTCATTTTTAGGGTTATTTTTGGACTCAAGAGTGTAGTAACTGAAGATTTCTGCTTCTGGTGATGATAGATTAGTTTGCAGCTGACCAAAATGTATGCCAAGAACACTAGAAAAGGAAGTATAATAAGAAACACATTTGTGAAGGTATCAGAGAGCTATCAAGGCAGTTAGAAGTTCTGGAGCCAAGAACCTGGAGAGAAGGAAAGCACATTGGAGATGAGCCCAACATTCCATATTTTTAGTCAAGACATTTGCAGATTGTTAAACAGCATAGGGTAGGATGTAGAAAAGCTGAACAGAAAGTAGCAGCTAAGCAGTGTTTGACAGTCTTATAAGGAGGCAGATTCGAAGATCGGGCTCAGATTTTTTCAAGTAGGCAGGACTTGAGGGGCCAGATCCTGCAGGGAAGGGAAGAGGTGCAAAGTGAACCTGGCTGCTCCAATTTTCATCTCTGAGCTGTTTGTCAATGGAAAAGGGCCACAGGGTGAGAGGCTAAGCGAAGATTGGTCTAGATTTCTAAGAATCAGAACTTTGCAGTTTCACAGCACAGTAAAGTACAAAACTAGAATTTAGTTTCCCTAAGTAGCAAGGCATCCTGATAAACAATTTGTAAGTAGAGTAACCAGAAAATAGGCCAGGTTTTATAAAAAATCTAAACCCACTCTCAACTCTGGAATCTCGGCTCCCACAGTGATGTTGTAAATTAACTACATGCAACTTTAAAAAAAAAAAAAAAAAAGACTGGGGTCTCACTCTCACTATCTTCACCCAGGCTGGACTGCCGAAGTGCAGTGATCATGGCTCACTGCAACCTTGATGTCCTGGGCTGAAACCATCCTCTCTTCTCAGACTCCCGAGTAGCTGGGACTACAGGCGTGCAGCACCATGCCCGACTCTTTTTCTTTTTGTAGAGATGGGGTTTTGCCATGTTACGTACACTGTTCTTGAATTCATGAGCTCCAGCAATCCTTGCTTTGGCCTCCCAAAGTGCCAGAATTACAACAGGCGTAAGCCACTGTGCTGGCCATTATCTTAAGTGAAACAACTCAGGAAAAAAAGTCATACCTCACTTGTAAGTGGGAGCTAAATAATGTGTAGATGTGGACATAGAATGTGGAATAACAGACACTGGCGACTAGGCAGGGCGGGCAGAAGTGGGGAGGGTAAGTTACTTAATGGGTACAAAATGTACATTATTCAGATAATGGATACACTAAGAGCCAAGACTTTACTGCCAGGCAATATATGCATGTAACAAAACTGAACTTGTACTTTAAATTCACACAAAAGAACCCTGCCAGTTTCCAGGAAGGAATATGGCATCTGTAATCTGGAAATTTTTTTTCATACAAAATGAACATTTTATTTAAAAGAGTTTCAAGAAAACAATAACAATAGTAAACATAGCCTGTGATCAACATTTTGGAGTTCACAGAAAGTTTAAAACTGATTTATCACAAAAATATTGGTGAGAGGAATTCTGCAGAGAACTGGAATCCAAAAAAATGTTTTTCATGATTTGGAGTAAGCAAAATTTTCTGAAACTAGATGCAAAAAGCAGTAGTCCTACAGGAAAAGTTTGACAGATGGGATTTCACAAACATTAAGAACATTTGTTTATTAAAAGACACCAAAGAGATGACAGAGGCAAAGCAGAGTGGGAGTAATTAGTAAATAAACTCAGTAAATAAACTCAGTAAATAAAATACTTTCCATCAATCATACAAAAGTGCAAATTACATGACCACCAGAGTGGATACAATTGAAAGGATGGCCATATGTTGGAGAGAATGTGGGGGAAGGTAACTGGTATTCTCCTGGTGGAAGGGAAAATGCTCACTGGTACTTTGGACATCTCTTTGGCCGTGTATACTAAAAACTATGTATTTTCACATTTAGTATGCATATATATATTTCATGACCCAGCAATTCAACCCCCAGGTATATAATCAACCGTTATACATAGAATATATGTATTAAAAGATATACAATAAGATTCATGGAAACATTTGTAATAGCCAAAGCCCCAGATATCCACCACCTGTAGAATGGACAGATAATTCATATTGTATTTATGCAATTGAATATACAAAACTCTAACTCAGCTTATACTTCAAGGAACAACTATAGATAATCTCACAAATTCAATGTTTAACAAGTTTGACACAAGTTTAAGTATGTCATGACATTTGTAAACATTTCAAAAACAAATAGTCAATTGGTTTAGAAGTCTAGAAAATGGCTTCGGCTGGTAGTTTTGAGCAGGAAGAGCCAAGGAAGGATTTTTGTGGTCATGGTACTAGTCATATAGGTATGCTTAAATGAATCAGATTGTACACACTTGTGATATGTGCATTAATATCTAACAGAACTCAGTCCCTCAGTCCGTCAAACTTGCTTTTTAGTCATTAATTTATAATGCATCAAACCAAATCACCAGTTTTTGTAGCTTATCTTTGCATATAAAGAACATTTTTTCTTCCTATCCAGGGTTTATCTATTTCTTAGCTCCCACTAAGTGAAGCCTGCTTTATAACCTTAACTTTCTGAACAGAGAACATTGGGAACTTCACCATTGCTTATGTTAGAATAATTTTTACTGTTATATAAAATAACTAGTATATGACATGGCCTGCTGGATGCAATATGAGATGGATTATGGACATTGGTTCTTCTGATTGCCTGAATTATGCCACTCTACTCTGAAGCTTTCTCACAGCTTTTCCTTCATTTGCCAGTTTCATTATTCATCTGCCTGCAAAAATCTGGAAGAGATGTCCAGGTGGGGAAGGGTATGAACACAGGGACACCAAATTCTCCCCACCACAATTTTAACAAGGACAATGATTTTCCTAAATTTCAACTGTTGCTTATTTTGCTAAAGATCCAAGACTCACCATCAATTATCAGCAGAGTCAACCTAAGCTAACATTAACATTCATATTCTACCAGTGTGGTTTTGTTCTTGCTTTCTAAAATATGTTTATTAGGGTTAACATACCCTTGGTTCTATGCAATAACACTATTTCTCCCCAAAGAGAAGTTAATATGCTCTAGGAAGATGTTACTGTTACTATTTTTGTTTAGATCCTCCAACAATCTCATCATGCTTTATCTATTCTTTTACTTTGCAGCTTTATTGATTCTTACTGTAAATTATTACTATCCTCACTATCCATATTTTCTCTGAATGTTTTTACTCAAAAAATAGTGCCTTAATTGTCAGCAAACAATATTGCAAGACAGAAGCTATTATCACCTTGTCTATCTGTGAATCAATAAACAGGAGGTATTGTAGCTCAAATCAAATGAACTCTGCAGTCTGGTATTTTGTCTGGGGAGAAGAGTGAGATGCAGGGAAACAGGTGAGACCAGCCAGTGAGTGGCTCCCTTCAAAAAGCAGTGTGTGTCTAAACCCTCTGTCAAATCTCTTTTAGTTTTTAAAATCAGAAAAGGGAAGTTCACTTTATAATGGTAGACTAGTTTGTGTGTACAGTAGTACTGTAATGAACTGGACCCCAAATCCTAAGAAACAAAAATGTTTGAAGATACTAGAGAGCTACCTTTAAGGCCATGAGTATTTGTAGGGCCAAGATCTGGAAAAAGAAAAGTCAAGGGATGTGATTGACACTTGGTTCCATCTCCACTCAAGGCAATGCCAGTTCTGAAAACAGTTGCTAAGGGGCTCAGAGGAGTAGAAATGGCCACAGTCCTATGCGACTGGGAGGAGGAAGCAAAGATGGACTTTATATTCACTCAGGAGGAAGGGACTGGGGAAACCAACCAGGCTTTTTGTTGGGTTCCTGAAATCACCTAAAGTTATAAGTGAACCACTGAACCAGATAGCAGTGCTCACCAGTGTTGAAACATCTCATTTAAAATAGACAATTCTCAAAAAGATAAAGGCAAGCTACTCCTAATTAGATATTTGCTTGAAGCAGAAATAAATCTTGAAGTCTTGTATTTAATGTAAACATACAGAATTCAATACAACTTGACATCAAATACGACTTGACTAAAAACTAAAGAAAAACGATAACAAAAACAGGTGCAAAAGAAGAAAAGCAATGAAAAGATCAGATATGTACCCTGAAATAACAATTAGTCCTGGCATAGTAGCTCACACCTGTAATACCAACACTTTGGAAGGCCGAGGGTGGGGTTAATCACTGGAGGTCAGGAGTTTGAGACCAGTCTGGACAACGTGTCTCTTCTAAACTGTCTCTTCTAAAAATACAGAAATGATCCAGGCATAGTGGTGGGCACCTGTAGTCCCAGCTACTCAGGAGGCTGAGGCAGGAGAATGGCTTGAACCTGGGAGGCAGAAGTTGCAGTGAGCTGAGATCGCACCACTGTACTCCAGCCTGGATGACAGAGTGAGACTTCATTTAAAAAAAAATAAAATGTTTAGACTATTAAAAGACAAGATAGACTGGGTGCGACGGCTCACGCCTGTAATCTCTGGACTTTGGGAGGATCACAAGGTCAAGAGATCGAGACCATTCTGGCTAATACGGCGGAGCTTGCAATGAGCGGAGATCACGCCACTGCACTCCAGCCTGGGTGACAGAGCGGGATTCTATCTCAGAAAAGAAAAAAAACTGGCAGAGAACTAGAAGCTTTAATAAAGTGTAAAACCAAAGTTCTAGAAATAAAACCATATACAATGAAAATAATTGCCAAATGAATGCATATAGCGGCAGTTTAGACAGTTTGTGAGAGTTTAGATGGGTAGGCAAGAATACCAAGAATAAGGAAGAGTTTAGAAAATATGTGGTATGAGTAATTTAAAAGATAGTGAACATGGGTAAAATTCTGACATAGTGTAGCCGCAGTCCCAGACAAGAGGACAAAGATAAGGGGTAGAAGTCATGTTTGAAAATCTAATGGCAGAGAATTTTCCAAAATTAAATACATTAAACCACAAACTTAAGGGCTATAAACATGAAACAGGATACTTACCAACACACACACACACACACACACACACACACACACACACACACACCACCTTAACACTGCTAAAAAAAAAAATAAATCTTTAAAATTAGCCAGAAACAAGAATATGTATTAACTTCCTAACAGTAAGAATGGCTGGATTTTCAAAACAAAGCAATGAATGCCAAAATACAACTATTTCTCATTTCTCAAAGGTACTAAAAGAAAATAAGTCAATATAAACATTCAATATAGAATTCCATATCTGGTGAAAGATTCTTCAGAAAATGGAAGCAAGACATTTTGAAATTAAATTTGAAAGCATATGTCACCACAAACCTTCACTAAAAGGATTAGTAAAAAGTGCTCTCAGAAGGAAAACACTAAGAAAAGAGCAGTAAGTGCAACTAAACAGATAACTCTGAGTAAAAGCAAGTGATTACTGATTGTATAGACACGACAATGTCTTGTGAAATTTAAAAGTCATATAATTTATTTAACACCAACTGTCCATGAGTTAGGGAGAAAAGTTCGTTAAGGCCCTCACATTGACTAAGACGGGGCAAAAGTACTAATTTAAATTAGACTTTTAATCCAGAATCCATGCTGCTATCTCTAAAGTAACATCTAAAAAGTAAGAAAATAATGTACTATGTTATAAACAGAGGAGGTAAATGAGAAAATAGTAAATCAAGCTATCTTACTGTCAGTTCCTCCAAAAGAAAGGCCTTTGAAAAAAAAAGACTAGTGAGCCAATAGTTTTTGTGGGGACATTATCCCAGAGAGCAGAGCGATACGGCAGAAATTAAAGTCAGGAAAGAGTTACTACAGGGATGTGCTACTGACTTAGCCACCATGATGGACTACAAGGATACATCCTACCAGGACTGTCTGAAAATTTTAGCGAAATGTCACAGGTGTGTACCTAGGGAATGACAGGGAGGAAGACAGATTCATCCTCCGATTATTGCTCAAGGGTGGTCTCATGGGCATTAGCTTCCCTCCACCCCACTTGGATTCTTGAAGGTATTTCAATTTGCAGTTTCAGGGAAGCTTCTTCTCAGGTGGTAGATTGTGCAAGCAAGTTCAAGGCAAGGCATCCCGATAGCACCTGCAGAAAGCTATCAAACTCTTCATGGAACTGACATATGAAGGAGTGGTTAGAAAAAGAAGTGGGGTCAATCAGATTTTTGAACAAGTATACAAGAAGCTCCGTTGTAAGATTTGGGATGTTGTTCCTGGATAGCCACCAAGATGCGTTCTTCAGACCCCAGAGATCCTGTGAGGTACTCAAATTTTTCTTCAAAAATGCCTTATTTTACTTACATGAGCCAGTGTGTATCTCTTTATGCAACTAAGAATCCAACTGATGGGAAAGAATACTATGAATATTTAGGCATAGTCTTGACTTCTAAGAGCCAAATACTTTGAAGTTTATCTCCAAGAAATAATTAAGACTCCCTAGCAGAGAAAGACATTGCTACAGAACATAGCTTTATAAGTGTTACTTGGATCTTA
This sequence comes from Homo sapiens, assembly GCF_000001405.40. Lineage (NCBI taxonomy): Eukaryota > Metazoa > Chordata > Mammalia > Primates > Hominidae > Homo > Homo sapiens. The sequence continues at coordinate 76,812,538 of NC_000016.10, read as the reverse complement.
CATTAAATGAGCTCAAAGTACTTAGAATTTTGCAAACTGTAAGGAGTCATTTAGTGAAATCAATGTTTCTGAACAGAGAGCCATTTGAGCTCAGATTAAAATATGCTCTAGATATGGAAAGCAAGATAAAGTGTTGATAAAAGATGCTTCATCCTACAGAAACAATATCACAGAGGCTCCCACTAGAACGTATCTAGGCTTATCCCTTTTATCTAAACAAGAAAAGATGTTCTAAAAGTTTCATACGACAAAAAACACACTTGAGTCAGGGTGGAGGCAATGTGTTAAAAATAGAAAGCTGAAACGGGATCCCTTCCTTACACCTTATACTCAACTTAATTCAAGATATATTAAAGACTTAAATGTTAGACCTAAAACCATAAAAACCCTAGAAGAAAACCTAGACAATACTATTCAGGACATAGGCATGGGCGAGGACTTCATGTCTAAAACACCAAAAGCAATGGCAACAAAAGCCAGAATTGACAAACAGGATCTAATTAAACTAAAGAGCTTCTACACAGCAAAAAAAACTACCATCAGAGTGAACAGGCAACCTACAGAATGGGAGAAAATTTTTGGAATCTACACATCTGACAAAGGGCTAAATATCCAGAATCTACAATGAACTCCAACAAATTTACAAGAAAAAAACAAACAACCCCATAAAAAAGTGGGCAAAGGATATGAACAGACAATTCAAAAGACAATATTTATGCAGCCAACAGACCCATGAAAAAATGCTCATCACTGGCCAGAGAAATGCAAATCAAAACCACAATGAGATACCATCTCACACCAGTTAGAATGGTGATCATTAAAAAGTCAGCAAACAACAGGTTCTGGAGAGGATGTGGAGAAACAGGAACACTTACACTGTTGGTGGGACTGTAAACTGGTTTAACCATTGTGGAAGTCAGTGTGGCAATTCCTCAGGGATCTTGAACTAGAAATACCATTTGACCCAGCCATCCCATTACTGGGTATATACCCAAAGGGTTGTAAGTCATGCTGCTATATAAAGACACACGCACACGTGTTTATCGTGGCACTATTCACAATAGCAAAGACTTAGAACCAACCCAAATGTCCAACAATGATAGACTGGATTAAGAAAATGTGGCACATATACACTATGGAATACTATGCACCCATAAAAAAGGATGAGTTCACGTGCTTTGTAGGGACACAGATGAAGCTGGAAACCATCGTTCTCAGCCAACTATCACAAGGACAAAAAAACCAAACACCACATGTTCTCACTCATAGGTGGGAATTGAACAATGAGAACACATGGACACAGGTAGGGGAACATCACACACTGGGGCCTGTTGTGGGGTCAGGGGAGGGGGGAGGGATAGCATTAGGAGATATGCCTAATGTTAAATGACAAGTTAATGGGTGCAGCACACCACCATGGCATATGTATATATATGTAACCTGCACATTGTGCCCTTGTACCCTAAAACTTAAAAAAAAAATAAAGACAAGAAATGATATATGCTTAACTTGCTTTTCCCCTTTGCATCAATTATCACTAACCTTTGAAATGTAAAGATAAAAATATTTAAGTGAAACTGAAAGCATAGGAGATGTGATAAATTATCAGGTACAACAGTCATTTAAGTTTCCCAATTCATAAAATAGCTATCCTAAAAAAACTAGTAAAGTTGTGTTTATGGTAATTTAGCGAAGAAAGTTTAGGCAGAGCTTCCCAAAAATGGCAGTTCATCCAGAGGACCACAAATAAGATGGAAAGTTAGAAAACTCCGGGAGTGATATCGTTTGCATTTGTGTCCCCACCCAAATCTCACGTCAAGTTGAAGGAGGAGCTTGGTAGGAGGTGACTGGATCATAAGGGTGAATTTCCCCCTTGCTTTTCTCATGGTAGTGAGTTCTCAACATCTGATGGTCTAAACCTGCGTGGCACTTCCCCACTACCATGTGAAGAAGGCCTCTGCTTTTGCTTCCCCTTCACCTTCTGCCATGATTCTGTTTCCTGAGCCCTCCCAGTCATGCTTCCTGTTAATCCTGGGGAACTGTGAGTCAATTAAACCTCTTCTTCATAAATTACACAGTCTTGGGTAGTTCTTTACAGCAGTGTGATAATGAAATACAGGAAGAAACTGGAAGAACTATCAACATTTAGGTTACAGCATAGAAAACTAGAGATGGGGAACAAATACACAGGGGGTCTTTAAATGCATACTAGATTGCCACATGCAGGAAAAAGTGCCCATTTTTTCAATTGTGTGATATAAATCCTCCTCTAGATTTCTCAGAGTTATTATATATGACTGAGAAACTAGATAGAGTGGAAATATGCACTTTTCATACGCTTTCATCTTACGTCTCTTACCTAAAGGTTGGCTTTCCCATTGCCAACACAACGATGCTCTGACCATCTGCCACAATTCGCCTATCATTGATGCTGGCAAGGAATGGATGTGCATGTGTGATCTGAGGTCATGCTTGAAGAATGGAATTGCTTATTTGCCTTCACGTAATAGCCATAAGCCACACCCCATCCCGATTATAACTCCAGAATAAATGCGCACATTTAAAATATATGTAAAGTACCTATAAGTTGATGATACTCTCACCTCTTTTGACCACTGCATGCCATGGATAGGAAAGAACAGAGTTATTGATACTTGAGTATAGAGTTTCAGCTTGGATCATGACAAAAGTTCAAGACGGACAGTGGCGATTGTTACAAAACCATGTGGCTACAATCAATGTCACTAAACCGTACACTTGAAAATGGTTAAATTTTGTTATGTTTTACCATGATTTCTCATACTTGAGGTGCACTATCATACACTAAGCCTCTGAATCTCAGAGAAGCAAGGAGGCAGTTCAAAGAGAAAGGAGAATTCCTGGAAAAGAATATCCAATCTCTTAAACTGGGCCCTATGTGGGTTTTCTCACCCACATTGTTCTGTTATACTGTGTCTTATGTACTGTGCTGGAGTTTTTCCTACAGTATTCCAGTCATGGCTTCTGATCCATTCCACATGACAATTTAACTTAACTGCATGCAAAGACCACTGTGTACATTTCTTAATGGATGGTTTAATTACACAGAGAATTGAGTACACGGCAAAGGGCCAATTCTGCTCTCGATTATTCAAAGGACACTTCTGACTCCACTGTGAAATTGTCATTTCTACTGCTCGGAGTTGAACTGTTTGGAAAACTGGAAATAGGTTTGACCACTAAAATGACAGATTTTAGATACAGTTTAGCCTAGTGTTACAGAAATTTGAGTACCTAAATTAAACTAGATGGAATATTTCTCTATCTTTTAACTAATTTCTTAGACACATTTATTTAATCCCATGCTAGCCCTTATTTTTAAAAGGTAATCACTTCCACTCTTATTGTAGAAAATTAATGTCTGCATCAATTATGAGAATTTTCCACAAAAAAGAACTGCTTTCTTCAGGTATAGAAGGCAGTTTAAGCAGGTGCCTGATCCTTCGAGCCAGGCTGCCTGCACTGGAACCCATGGTCTGTTTATCAGCTGCGTGACCTCAGCAAAATTAGATGAATTCTGGATGTCTGTTTCCTCGTACTTAAAATGGGGATAATAGCATACCTTTTCTCAAAGATGAAATGTAATCCTATGTGTAAAATGCTTAGAATCAATTTCACTTCTAGGTATATTCCCAAAGAATTACAATTAAAGGCTCAGATATTTGTACACCCATGTTTGTAGCAGCAATAGCTAAAATGTAGAAACAATCCCATGTTCATCAATGAATAAATGAAATGTGGTATGTACCTACAATGGAGTTATTATTCAGCCTTAAGGAGAAAGAAAATTCTGACATGTGCTATCACGTGAATAAAGCTTAAGGACATTATGCTAAGTAAAATATTATTCCACTTTATGAGGAATCTATAATAGTAAAATTCATAGAGACAAACTAGAATTGTGGTTGCCAGGGGTTGTGGGGAGGACAGAGTTATTGATATGTGGGTACAGAGTTTCAGCTTGGATAATGAGAGTTCTGAAGATGGATGGTGGCCATAGTCACACAACCATGTGACTAATCGATGTCACTAAACTACACTTGAAAATGGTTACAATGGTAAGTTTTATGTGTATTTTACAATTTTTGAAAATGCTTAAAATAATGCTGGAAGAGTGGTTCTCAAATCTGATGCCTAGCTCAGCAGCATCAACATCACCTAGGACTTGTTAAGAAAGAAAATGTTTGGGCCCTACCACCACAGAACTACCAAGTCACAGGCTCCAAGTATGATGCTTAGCATGAGTTTTAACAATGCCTCCCGGTGATTCTGAATCGCTTCCAAGTTAAAGTTTATGCGAGGAGATAAGTAGCTGACAAAGATTAGCTGCAGTAACATCACTTATCTTTTTATATATTCTTTACGCCCTTTTGGTTTATTTTCCAGAAAACATGAGTTTTTACTTAAATTCCTCATTTCCCTTCTTTTTAATACCTACTCTATCTTTTATAGCCAGCATGTCTAACAGGAGATGTTTGGAGATAAAAGGACAGCAATTTATTTGCAAAATAAGGTTTATCTCCAAGGCTTACCTTTTAACATACCTGTCACCTCAGTTACTTTTTGTGTGACAAGAGCAGCTAAAATCTACTGAACAAAGATCTGCAATACAAATTAGATATTTATATCTTGAGAACTATCAGACATTAATGAAGAAGTTGAAGATGTAAATGAAAGTATATTCCATGTTCATGGAAGGGAATATTGTAAACATGTCCATTCTCCCCAGAGCAATATACAGCTTTAATACAATCCCTATCAAAATTCCAACTCGATTCTTCACAAGAATAGAAAGAACAATCCTAAGATTTGTATGAAACCACAAAAATCTCCGAGTATCTGAGGCAATACTGAGAAAGCAAAACAAGTTAGATCCACCATACAATTTAAAATTATATTAAGAGGTTTCATAGTAATCAAAATCGTAAGGTATTAGCAAAAATGCACAAAAATCAACCAATGGAACAGAATAGAAAGCCCAGAAATAAATTCCAACTTATACAAACAACTAGTTTTTCAAAGGACAACCTAAAGACTGGGAAATAATTGCAAGTCACATCTGATATCTTTATCCAAGATTTATGAAGAACTCCTACAAATTCAATAGCAGAAGAACCCAATCAACAAATGGGCAAAGACTACTTACAACAGCAAAGTCATAGAACCAACTTAAGTATCCATCAACAGTTGAATGGATAAAGAAAATGGTATCTATACATCATGAAATACTGTGTGGCTATAAAAAAAAGTACAAAAGTCATGCCCTTTGCAGCAACATGGGTGGAGACGGAGGTCATTATCCTAAGTGAACCAACCCCAGAAGCAGGAGAATCAAATATCACATCAAGTGGGAGCTAAACAACTGGTATAAAGAGAATACAGTATAAGGACTATTAAAAGGTATTGAATGAGGGTTGAAAACTTACCTAAATGGGTACAGTATTCAGTATTTGTGTGATGGGTACACTAGAAACCCAATCCCTACCATTATGCAAGTAATACCCATGTAATGAAGAAGCATGTGTACTCTTTGAATCTAAAATTTTTAAAGCTGTCTAACAGGCAAAGGACCAAACAGACATTTCTCCAAAGATGTTAAAAGGGCCAACAAATACGAAGATGTGCTCAACATTATTAATCCTAAGTGAAGTGCAAATTAAAACCACTATGAGATATTACTTCACACTCTTAAAGATGGCTGTTATCAAAAAGAAAATAGGTATTGGCAAGGATGTGGAGAAAAGTTACATACTGTTGGTGGAAATTTAGGTTGGTACAACCATAATGGAAAACGGTATTGAGATACCTAAAGAAATTTAAAAATGTAACTGCCATGTAACCCAACAATCCATCTCCTGAATACCCAAAGGAGATAAAAGTCACACCCTCAAAGATACCTGCACTCACGTTCATTACAGCACTATTCACAACAGCCAAGACACAGAAACAACCTAAATGTCCATCAACTGACAAATGAATAAAATTGTGATATATATATATATATATAATGGAATATTATTCAGCCTTAAAAACGGAGGAAACCCTGCCATCTGTTGCAACATGAATAGACTTGGAGGACATTATGCCAAGTGAAATAAGCCAGACACCAACAGAAAAATATCACATAATCTTATTTACATGTGGAATATATGTGTATGTATGTATAGATACATAAAACAGAGCCCAAGGATTATCTTTTATGTGTCTCAGTAACAGACCGGAGGCCATTTCCATAGCAACATATACTCTGCGATTTATAAATTACAGTATGTAGGAGAGAATTGAAAAAGCCTGTGGAAACTCAAGTTTTTCAAAGAATGTTAATACCCGAAATGGGCAAGTTCCCTCTCATGATAAAACAGTCATTTAAATAACCCTAACCTCTGTGTTTAGGTATCTGGGGGGCTATTGTAATTCTCATTAAACTTCCATGAACCGTAAAGACCTCCTTAATCTTAAAATGAACATGCTGTGAAGAAAGTCATTGCAAAATACCTAGACTGTGACAGACATTAGCCTCTTACATCAATAGCATCTACTTTCACCGAACTTCTGTAAAGCTAGAAATTCTCAAGTGGAAGTATTTTTCCTTCTGCAATGAAGTTTGCTTTTGTGAACCTATGAATCTAATCTCTTTCCCTGTTCAGAACAAAACCTAAACCAGATGGTTTCATTTTCATCAGGGCCCCAAACTTAGTAAACTCTTTACTCAATTTCTTGATAGCTAGTGGTTGTTCCCTCAGGAAAGCAAGCACGCAGAAGATGTGACTGACTCTGGTCAAAATGTTCTTTTTCCTGTAGAAGTTGACCTGTGCATGATATTCTCAGGTAATGACTCCATAATGGATGTTTATAAACGGAATTCTCGACCCAATGTGTGGTTTTGAAAGCTTGTGCATTTTTAGGCCACTTCCAATGATGTGCCTTAAAGTGTGTATCTTAGGGCTCTGGGCTACAACCAGGAGAACTTTGAGGCTCTGCTGTGCTATTTACAATCTGACCTCTCTCAAGTCAATAGTTTCCCCAGGCCTTAGTTTATGTATAAGATTAGACTAGAAGCTCCCTAAGGTTCTTTCTAATTTTAAATGTTCTATGACACTCAACCCTAGCCCTCAAGGAGAAGTTAATTCAAGGGGAGCAATACGTTTGTCATAAATGACTAATGACTCAGAGAAAATGAAAGGAATGGCTCCTGACTCACCATCAGGTTTTACTATTAGTCACCCTGTAGGAGGCAAAATGAGAAAACCAGAATTGTCTTTCAAGGATAATTTGGCTTTATGAGGGACTTTGAGTGTTAGGTTTGTAGAAACTTCCAATTGAAAAGTGAGCTGTACACGCAGGGACTCCACAGACAGAGGGACCTGCAAGGGAAGGCAGATGGTGGTGACTCCATTAAGTAAGAGCTAAACAATGCAAAACTGCGAGTTGTTCGTTGTCCCCCCCCTCCCCCATCCTGCCCCACCTGTTTTTTGAGACAGGGTCTCCCCCCTCTGTCACCCAGGCTGGAGTGCAGTGGCGCGATCTCGGCTTACCGCAACCTCTGCCTGCTGGGTTCCAACCATTCTCCTGCCTCAGCCGCCTGTGTGCATGTTTTATAGAGGGTTCAGATTTCAATCCTGCTTTAACTGAAATGGTCAACAAAAGCAGTTTTTAAAAATGTTTTGAAAAATGTTTTCTACAACTTGCTCTGGAGACCAATAGTATTCTCCATGCCATGAGTTGTTGGGAGCCCACAACATGACTAAATATGAACCATTTCAAGGCAACCGTTTCTTCCAGGTCAAAGTTCTCTCTCCTGTTTTAACTCTGGTTCTTTGGGAGAAAGCGCCGTCAAACTTTAAACCCTCCTTTCCTGGCTGTGTCTCTATACTCTGTTTTTCTTTCCCCTTCCTCTCAAGAAGGCTGCTGGATGAAGACAGACTGGCAAATCTTAATGATGTGTGTGAAGTCATTCACTGGTCCCTCTAGTCTCCTCTCTAAAGTGAGTGATCTGGCCTGTTATCCCAGAGCTTTGGGAGGCTGAAGTGTGAAGAACCCTTGAGCACAGTTCAAGGCTGCACTGAGCTACAATCACACCACTATACTTCATTCACCCTGAGCGACAGAGCCAGAACTTGTCTGTATAAATAATGTCAATGATCTGGTGAAATTTTGGGGGTACTCTACTATGGGGTCAGCCTTAGAGTGGCTGATCATGCTTCCTATTAACAGTCTGGCACTCACTTCTACTTCTGTTTCTACTCATTTGCCTCCAGTGCGAAGTTCCCCACTCTGCAGTCCCCTGTCCTTCTGAGGCCTCCGCAGGTCATGAGCTGTGCGTACAGCTGGGTATTCTCCTGCTCAAAACACATGGAAACTCCAGGTATTATAATTGACAATGCCATCTGTGGGGGTTTATTAGTCTGTTTTCTGCCTGAGACTGGGTAATTTATAAAGAAAGGAGGTTTAATTGACTCAACACAGCTGGGGAGGACTCAGGCGGCTTACAATCATGGCAGAAGGCGAAGGAGAAGCAAGACACATACATGGTGGCAGGCAAGAGACAGTGAAGGGGGAAACTACCACGTTTAAACTAGATCTTTTGAGAACTATCACGAGAACAGCAAGGGGGAAATCTACCCCCCATGATCCAATCACCTCCCACGAGTCCCCTCCCCTGACATGCGGGGATTATGATTTGACGTGATATTTGGGTGGGGACACACAGCCAAACGCACCCTATCGGGGGGCCTGTACTCAGCGCATTATTTCAAAAGCCTTTCCTAAGAGACCATCTTCCCCCTGTGCTTTATATGGCTTTCATGCCATCCAGAAAACGATATGAAGGTGGTGCCCTCATTGGGAGGGTTCTTACACTCAAAGATGAATGTGAACAACAAACTAAACTCTCATGGGTATGGCGTGCACTGGGTCCTCTCTCTAGGTCCAGCGCTCCAGGCACTGAACCCAGATAGGCCATTACCACTCTCCTTGTATTCCCTAACTTCCTTTTCAACAGGAAACTTTGCTTTCTCTTTCTGGATGATAGAACCATCTACAACCTGCCCATCCTATAGTATCACTTACGGTGAAATCCCATACTCTGAATCATCCTGGCTTAGGAGGTCTTGAAATGCAAAAGCAAGGTTTGGAATTTAGCATATCCTTTTATTGCCAGAGTCTATTCATCTGTCAAAGCTATTTCATCACTGAACTTAAAAATTTTAGTTCAAAAACAAAAGCAGAATACTAATGCTGATTCTTCCTCATCTTTTAACAATCACAGGTTTCCTTTATGCAGCAGATGCCTTTGGTGACAGGGAAAACGTGATACTGATGGGGTGCTTACTGGGTGCTAGGCTTTGTTTTAAAGCAATTTATGTATTTACTCAGTTAATTCTTTCAAGCATCCTAGGAGACAGGTACCATTATTACACCCATTCTGTAGAAGTGACTGAGGCTTAAATGGGTTAGACAGCTTAAGGGCAGTCATCAAGTGATAGAGCTAGTGTCTTCAGCAAAGAGGACAATGGCAGCAGCCACCCAAGAGCCAGAATGACTTCATTTGTTTCCCATATGTAGTTTACTATATACTAAGTGATTAAATTAGCTAATTATTCTCATCCTTTGGGCTTCACACTTTTAAAGCAGAAAGGGCACCTTCATTCATCTCTTGTATCATAAGCCAAAGAGGAGCTACTCAGGTTGAAGAGGGAAAGGGTGAGGGGGTGTCTGCGGATGTCTATGAGTTTAGGATACAGACAGGTCCAGTTTACCTCCTCCAAAGCCACTCTGCTGAGCTTAATTCTTTTCAGAATTCAGTTTGAGTAACCCCTCCCTGTGGGTGGCCTCCACATTATCGAAATACCTCCTGAGCGTATGTCAAAACCAGATTGCCTGCACTGAGCAGGATCATAGAGCATCCAGTTCAGTTTGAGTTGATGGGGTCCTGGTAGTGCACATTTTAGTGGGTTCTAACTCTAATTTCATTCCACTTGCCTCTCCATCTCCCTCCACTTTTGGAGGCCTGCAGGGATCTTTTGAAGCAGAGAGTACCAAGTAGAAACAAACACTGACTTTGTTCCAAGGGCACATTGTTTAACTGTTGTGTTGTCTTGGTTTGCTGTTTTGCAGCAGTATGTGTTTTTCTCTGTTCACCACAGTCTAAACCCCCTTTTCCCTTGAGCTATGAACTGTTTAGCCCCCTGACAGCTTTATGTGTCCATCTCCGACCCACAGTCACTTCCCGATAAACCTGACGTTAGAATCAAAAGTGTTGGCTCCCAACACATTAGAAGACCGCATGCTCTGTGAGGGCAATGACTGTGTCTTGGTCCCTAAATATACCCCCCAGCACTTGGTACACTTTGAGCCATATAGTAAGCACTCAACTTGTACTTTCTTGAATTAACTCATGGCACTAGCTTATGCTTTTAACAGATGATTTAAGTGTCAATACAGTAATTATCCTGAAGAAACAGATGTGGTCTTCGATGCATCATCTACAAGAAGGAGATCTTGATCATCATAGATTTTGTTTACAAATCTTAAAGTAGGAGAGTTTAGTGATTTGATGAACCATGGAATTGCTTGTTCTGCCCGATTTCAGTTACTCTTTTCCAGTGTGTTAAAGATGCCTTTGGCAGCTTGACACTTTGTTTTTTAAGTTTTAAATAAGTCAACTCTACTTCCATTGTAAACCAGGAACCAAAATGGTTCCATTTGATAGGGGAAATTTAGTTACCTTAAAATACATATCCCAGGTATATAAGGAAACTCAAAGCAAATTTATAACCTAGAAAATTCAAGTTTTCCGTATTTCCCAATATAGTTTTATTTGAAAATAAAGTCATCAGGTGCCAATGTTTTTGTATCATTAAAATGTCAACTGATATGACGAGCTACTATTTTTAGTTCCTCTGGGGAGTCTGGAGACATTCACTAAACTCATATCACGAAGTACAGCTCCCTTAAAACTAAAATGCAAACACTTGTTTTTGTCGCACTTAGTTGTCATTATAGAAGTATGTGAGTTAAGTGCTGTTTAAAAAAAAAAAACACTCTTAACCACAATGTTATTTTAAATATGTCAATTCAGAATTCAAATGACTTCAAATCCTCAAAATGCTACAGGCAAGAAATAATTTCCATGTGAAGTTGTGTTCAAGTTTTCTACATCCTAATATTTAGGTCTGCCTTTTCACTTGCACTGGATTTGAAAGAACATTATCAAGGTAAATAAAAAGTTAAAATACATGAGATGTTTGGACCTTAATTGCTATCAAGAGTTACCCAAAATAGGAACACCATTCTTTGAGAAAACAATGTCCCTCTAATGGCACTATCTACTTGACAATTATCATATGGTGTATTGATTTCTACTTTTTAATACATCATTTCTCCAACAATATTCAGTGTTCAAGTAACAACTAGGTCGATACTACAGCAATTAAAGCCAACTTTCCCACAAACTTACCTGGGCAAAGGGCAAGAGAGGCTGACTCGATTCAAAACCAGGTTGTTTAGATTTCAGTATCTGTGGTTGTTCCTTTTAGCCATTTTGCTGCTACATACAAATTGTTAATTCACTGTTTAATCATGTCACAGGTAAGTTGTGCGTTAAGTATTTTAACCACTACACTGATTCACCCGTTTTTGTCATATAGTGGCTGTATTAAATGTTGCAAGTTTATTTTGAAAGAAAGACATAGCTATATTCTTTGTGTAACACTAATTCCTTATAATTTTTTCCAGCCATTTAATTACTACCCCTGGGAAAGGCATGATCTTTCATATAAATACCATGAAATCAGAGGAACACCATTGCTCTGCAAAACAAGTTTTCATTAAGATTGGCCAAAGGGAAAAAAAAAAAACCCACACTGATCTTTCAGTTGGTATCTCTAAAAAAGCTACAAATCTTTATTTGCAATTTACGATGTCTTTTGAAAAAGGCCACAATTCATCGAAATGCCACATTCAGGGTTTTTTTTTCTTTTGATGACTTTCAGAAGTTCATTGTTTTAGAATTTCTAAGACATGGGGCTCCAGGGCATTAATGTGGCCACATACACTGGTAGTTTAGGACAGCGACTCTGTCTCTGGAGGGTGGAGCTCCCTTCTGCTTTCTCTTTCGAGAAGCCCTGAGGAGCAAGGAAAGCAGCAGGTCAGGAGGTACAGCTGACTTAGGAACACTGACAGAGAACTTAAGTTTCTCTATGTTTCGGCAGTAGCGAGTGGAGTGAGTGTCCATTACTTCTTGGAAAGCAGCCTGAACAACTCTGGGATTCTCCTTTTTGTGTGTTTTGTCATCATGAAGATATTGTTCATTTTTAATTTCATCTTTCTAGAGCCAGGGAGTAAATGTGCATGGGTATGTCGTGTAATGCTGAGGTTTGACATATGAATGATCCTGTCACCCGGATAGTGAACATAGTAGCAAGTAAACGCACAGCCACTGCACTTAGTCTGTAAAAAGGTGTTGAGAAATAAATAATATACCCAAATATGCGAGGCAGGGGATGGGGTATTTTACCCAAGAGAAGGTGAATGAATCCCAAACTCTAATCATATCCCTGTAACATTCAGAAAGCAGAGCTGCATTTAACGTTGCTTTCATTTTTATTTCATGAGCGATTTCACTAGGATCCATAGATACTGTTCTATTATGGACCAGTACTTCCAGGGGAAGTATTTGCATGGCGGGATTAATAAATGGTCTGAAATCCCTGAAAGACCCTGCCCATACCAACATCATCTCCCTCTTTCTCATCCACAACTTTCTCTATGTTCTGGTTACAATCCTTTTCTTCCCTCCTACTTCTCAACTGTTTTACCATGTGATATTCCATCAAATTAGAGGACACTTCCTTATTTGTCTTAAAATTACATCTTAAATGTTACTTCCTCAATGGAAATGACAAACGACAAAGTTACGTGCAACGCCATTATTTGCTGTTGTGGTACCATACGTGGTAGGCAGAATCTTTCGTTATACATAGATCAAGTGTCATTAATGGAAAGTTTAATGCCTTCCTCCACAACAGAATATAAGCTTGGTGTAGAAGGCTCACCATCCATGTGTTCCCATCACTGCACATGTTTCCATCACCCAACTCCTCTTAATAGTATATTGGATAAGCTCAGTACTCAATGTCTTCTAACTATGCTGTGGGCCAGGTGAGTAACAATCTAGAGGATTTTACACTCTAAAAACCCTCAGATTCTTTATGTAATTCAGTTACCCACACAAATTGGCAAACAGTATACATTTGCATGATGTTCAGACCAATGCTCTATCTTTAGGTACCTAAAATCTTATCTGCTCCACAATGTTTTCTAAGAACTCAGTCTAAGTATTCTTTTGGGGTACTGTGAAACACTATACAAAATTTTGTGCATGTTGTTTTGAAAATAGTTATTTTTAGAGTAGATCTTAAGTAGTAGCGTGCTGGGTCGTTAAGAGAGGAGATCCTGAATCTTAGTATCTCACTGTTTTGTGACCTTGGGGAAGTGAATCAAACTTCCCTAAACCTAATTCTCCCCATACGTAGATTAGGAATAATATGTGTGATATTGTGAGTTTTAGGATTTGACGATGCCTGTTGCATACTAAGTGTTTGATACATTTTAAGGTTTCCCCTAATTCTAAGCCCTTTTTAATAGGGATCACAGTACTGTAAATCAGAAGCTTCTTTTTCTTTGCAGCACATATAAGAATTGTTCACCTTGCAATCAATGCCGTCATGGACTGGAGGCACTGTAGTATGAGCTTTTCAGTGGACACATCTTAGGGGTACCCAACAATACAGGAGCTCAGTATAAATTGAGCTATCACTTGTGTACATGCACACGTATGTAATAGGTACACACCTTCTGCTAACTGATGAAAAATCTAATTAGCCTACATAAAAACCAACAAAGATGACTTCTCATGATCTAGATGGAAGATTTAAAAAACAAACTTATCCTAATTTGCATACCATGTCCTTTAGTTGGAACATTTAGTATTTACAACTCAAAGGTGCTGAATAATAAAATGTCACTATCTGATTTGGCCAATCCCAAAGGGGCACACATTTATTCAGATTTTCCAAACTAAAGAAATTAAGGCCTGAAGATGCTACAACAGAACCTGGAGCTATCTTTGTTTTTCCCCAGGCTGCTAATTACACTCTTAAAATATGATTAGTTGAAGCAATTTCTATGCAAAGCACATCCTAGCATACAATGCCTTTACATTTTTCTCATGTGGTTACTTAGCTCACATACCCCAACTTGTTAATAACCCATTATTAAAGATGTGGGCACACAATCAATGTTGATTCAAAATGTGTCAGTACATCCAGAAATGTTAATGTCACTACGATATTAAATGCAATTTAAAGTAGAATTTATTGAATGACTAGTTCTCCAGTTGGTCTGAACAACAGATCCAGGCATTTTAAAACTTATCAATGGCCTCAGCTTATACCAATTAAATCAAATGAGGGAAAATTTCTGCATAGCTATGTCTGAGCTGCCCAGGTGATTTTAGTATCAGCCAAGGTTGAGAACTAACGAGCTAAAGTTCATATAAATAGGGTTTTCAGGAATGCAGAAAAAAGGTACCCAAATCTAAAATATATACTGTGATCAAGTTTCCGTAGTAAACGAAATTATGCCCATGGTGTTAGGTGTCAAGGGAGACAAGCACTTGTGTTTGCTGGCTTAATTGTAAGTTGACTGCTTGTACCCAAACATAAGTTTTAAAACTTTTGCTAACTCTTTGAAGAGATGAGCTTTTAAAGTTTCCTGGCAAACTGATTTAAGTAGAGCACTCGTGACAATCTATGTGTACATTCCCAAGTTTTAAACCCGAAAGACAAACATTTGTCATTTGTGGATATTTAAAATACAAGCCTCCAGCTTATTTGATATCGTTTTTCACGGGAAATCTTTCATTGTTCAGCAAAAAGGCAGAAGTGCTATTTCCCTAACATTGGTATGATTTCAGCTCAGAAAACAGGGTGAGAGCTTACCAAAGGGACCTCAGGGAATAGAAATGAGAATTATTTAACAGAAAGCAGATTTATTAAAGGCAGCCACATGCTACCCACACCTGGCTGAAGAGATTTGGATGCTGGTTTGCTTACTGCAGGTTAAAAATCTCAGAAAGTTTGCTATTTTTTGTGTTAATTTTATTATAATGAACTGTAAAGATAGACATGGGAAACTAATTTTATGATTTAGGATTATTTGTGAGAATATTATAGGAGGCATACTTTAGAGTAATGCTAAAAAAACTTGAATAACAGCAGTTAGTCACCTCCTGCAGATGGAATTAAAGTTAGTCATGTTTTCACTCATTCTTTTACAAAGTATGAAAAGGAATCCATATACATTCTATACAGCCAAACTACATAGAGTGAACTAGATATGTTTAGTATAATTCACACTTAGCAATTATATAAAACACTTGCCAACATTGTGCATTTGATTATTCAAGACCCATCTTTCACAGTATAGGGTCGATACAGGCTCTTTGAGTTAATTACAGCAGCAAATAGGTCACAGACTGTTGGAAATCGTGGGGAAAAATAGTTTACCTGAACTCTTTTCTTTTGGTTATGTTGTACAGCCCAGTCTATTAGCCTTCCTGCAGTACTATGATGGCAAGCTTTGCACCGATAAAAGGCTTTTGAATCTGCTAGCTTGTCTCTGGCTAGTTCACGTTATTTCAGCTCTCAGCTCAGAAACAAGCTCTAAAAGGGCATCCTATCTTATTACATTAATTTTTTCCATAGCAGTTATTCTGATGATCCTATTGGTTTATCCTTGTTTATGCTCTAGCTCCGCCTACTAGAACGTGGTCTCCAAGAAAACAGGTTTTGTCTGTCACGCTCACAGTTGAATTCTAAGACTTCATATATACAGTCGTTTATATATAATTTGCTGGGTAAATAAGACACTCCTGCCGTAGTAGAGTGAGAAAGCAGCTATAAACATTCCCTTTCCTTTAGTCTACACATCCTTTTTCAGTGCGTTTTTGCAGCTCTTCCCCCTCTTGTGAAGTTCAATTATTTACCCATTGCTCGAATCTGGGCTGGTCTTATGACTTGCTGTAACAAATAGAAGTCACAGGAAATTTGAGAAAAAAAAAAAAAAAAAAGACTCACTCAGAACCCCTCTGTCCCCTTAAGAGCCTTAGCTAGCCTGTTGCAGGAAGAATTCAAAGGAGCAGTATACAGCCTGTAGCTAAACAAAGCCGAGAAGGAGCACGCTGACTACTTCACTTGGAGTCCCTGTCAACAGATGAGAGTAATCCAGCAGAGACCACAGAACCACCCAACTGGCTCACAGATTTAGCACACCAACAAGGCATTGCTTCAAAATGCTAACTTTTGATGGGGATGTGGGATGCTACCATAGTAAAAACCCAAGATATGTGGTATTGAGAAGTAGGTGAAAAGTTGGTAAGGTCAGTGTTAGCCAGAACCGGGGGCGGTGGGGGGTTGGGGGGGTGGGGAAAACTGTTAAGAGACTTGGTTAACAAAACCTGGAAAAAGGGGTTAGCATAATTTTATCAGATTCCGGAAAAGTGGCCTGTGGTTGAGTGAAAAAAACAATTGCCAAAGCTGTCACTTGTGAATGGAAAAATAGCGTTGGTGAGTTATTAGAAAATTAATGCAGGAACAGAAAACCAAATACTGTATGTTCTCAGTTATAAGTGGGAGCTAAACACTGAGTATACGTGAACACAAGGAAGGGAACAATGATCACTGGGGGTTAGGTTGTGAGTGGAGGGTGGGTGAGGATTTAAAAGCTACTTATCAGATACTACGCTTATTACCTGGATGATAGAATAATTTGTACCCCAAACCCCAGTGACGCACTATTCATCCATGTAGCAAGACCTGTACCTAACATATACCCCCTGAACTTAAGTTATTAGAAAAAAAAGCCCAAAACACGAAGAAAAATGTCACTTGAACTTTTTTCTCAATTTGAGAAGCTTCGGCAAGATTAAGAGACGCTGAAGGTAAATTCAGCACATCTGAATGTGAATTCAAGTCATACATTCTGATACTGGTCAATCACAGCTGACAGGCTTTGAGGGAGATGGAATGATCAAATTTGACACGCTTTTAATTTCATACGTATTTGGAGTTCCGTAGACATTAGCCTTAAGGCTCAACAATCAACTTATTTAATTTAGTGTGTTGTTTACAAAGTATGTTTTGTTTGTATTTATCAAGTGACTTCAATTGTTTTAGCATCTAAATACCTTTTTCCCAAGCAATCCTTCATTTGGTTTTGTACAGTTATTAAGTCCTAAGGTGACCCATAATGCTTGTCTACTGCTGGAAAAGTTTTTTTTAAAAATGCACTCCATTTTTTATTTCTTATTCAGTCAGCCATTACGAGAATTACAAAAGTTGACATCTCCCGAAGTTGGGTAAAGTATTCATTTAATGTAAGAATTGGGGCGGCGGGGCAGGGGGAAGCACTGAATATAAAGCTTCAAAACTTAGTATTTTCACTACCTTTATCTGTTACCCACAGGTTTTCTATGTTATACAGCAGCATATTAAACAATTGATTTCTTTGGTGCCATCTTGTCTCTATAAAAACTAAAGGCATATAAATGGGTATCTTTGAAACTTGACAAAGTTAAGTATTGTACTGATAAGTCAATGTTTCTTAGAATGATTAAGCAGACGAATTCAATTCTGTATGAACTCACTATAGAGTTAAGATAAATAACTTCTCAGTATTTAAGCAGAGCAGATATGCCCTGTTTCAAACACCTATTTGCAAAATTGTTTAAATCATGTAAAAGCGTTAGTGTTGTCCACATTTGTTTGCTGATATAAGATAGATAAGTAAGCTATTAAGATGCTTTCCTCATACTGTTACGGGAAGGAAGGCCTTCAGCGAGTTGTCTGCGTTCTTGGCGTTTGGAACAAAGAATGTAGTGGTATATGCCTACAGACCCAGCTATTTGAGGGTCCTGAGGTAGGAAAATCGCTTGAACCAGGGAGACAGAGGTTGCAGTCAGTTCAGATCGTTCTGCTGCACTCCGGCCTGAGCCAGAGTGAAACTCCATCTCAAAGAAAAAAAAAAACAAAGTAACAAGGAATGACATCGGAGGAAGCGGCCGAAGCAAGGATTTAAGAAGGAAAGCACTCCACAGGGCAGGAGTGGACCCAAGCAAGCCGCCCAAGAACCTGGGTACAAAGTTCTCCAGATTTTAAATACTCCTTTAAAGGTCCCTATCGACTACCACTTATGTGGACGAGCGATTTGTTTTGTGGCTCCTAAGAGGCTGAGATGAACCGGTGCCCTATAATGATAAAGCAATAGCCTATGTGTGGTCCGTGGCCAATCCAAGTCACTTTCCATCTGAGACATAGTTGAAACGGGAGAGTTATAGAGAGAATAACTTTGGTTTTTTGCTTTTTCAACAGGCCAGGGGGAGAGAGAAGTTTCTTTTGATTTAGCTTTGGTGTTAATTGGTGCTAAGTCCCCTGCCTAGAGACCCAGGTGTTTTCCTTTTGATCCAGCTTTGGAAATTCAGCACTAATTGGCCTTTAGTTCCCTGCCTCCGGACCTTATTTTCCTGCCTCAGTACAATAGAAATCTGGGATTTTATCTACAGATTGTGTTTGGATGTAGTATTTGTTTAGGGTGCTTCTTAAGGTGTTTCATCATCCCTAATATCGTCCCTTGTCTAGAATAGTACTTATGTGCTCCATGAATATTTGAATTAGAGGTTAGAGAGAAACTTCTAATCTCCCATACTAGGAAGAACAATAACCTGTAACATTAACACTGACAACTGGAGAATGACGCTCTGGAGGTTAGATACGTAATGCATTGGAAGCTGTGTCTTCCCTAGGGGGTGGCGATTCTCGATTTTACTCTGGCAATCTTCACACTCCCTGTTTTAACGCTGGTCAGTTTACTCATCTGATCTTCAAATTTCATTTGTATTATGAAAGTCAAAATTTAACGTTCAAGTATTGTATTGTTTCTAGTATATAACTTCTGACAAACCTAATTCTTTTTAGGATTCCAACATCTAGCAATCTTCTTAGAGTTTTACTTCCTTTTTCTATATATACTTCTTTTACTAGTGTGGTCTACTAAACCCCTATCACCTCCACCAGGGATAACACCAAGTTTAAGAGACCGAAAAAAGAGACCCAAAGCTAACAAACAAGACCCAGTTTTACGTGAAAGCTTAACAAAAGAGAAGAACCCAATGGAGGCGGGCAGAGCAGAGAAACCCGCAAATGCTTACAAACGGCATGCGGTTTATATAGCTTTTTCACTTAGTTCCCCCATCCCACGCCCCCATAACAGCCTCCACCTGGCAACCTTCATTTTAACCCAAAACTCAGCACTTCCATCCCCTGTATGGCCCTGTGTTCTAACGCAAGGCCCAGGGGATCAGGTGTTCCTCATAGACAAGGAACGAATCTCGGGGCTGGCCTCTCCTGGATTCCCTAGCTCAGAGCACATATTTAGGTACATCTGCCCTGCAGGGTCATTCTCAGGGTATACTTAAGTTATTGCTATCAGGTGCATTTACCATATTTCGTGTAGGAGTCTTTTTTTTCTGAAGATTCTGCCCTGACAATAGTGTTCTTGCTAACATCAGTATCAGCTATTAATGTTTGCAAGAAATCTTGTAGATGTTCCTTTCCATTTACTCATTTTACCTACAGTCTGAAACTCTGAAACAACACGAATTGTTGAAGTTTTCACATTGGATTGATAGAAAAGCCATGATTCTTGGTTTTATGATTTGCCACAAAGAGAGAGAGCTCATTCTACTCCTTTTGTCAACAGAAACCAAGTTTTTTTATTTAAGATTTAATTAACATCGTGCTTTCTTCTTTCTGTCACTTGCTTTTTTCCCCACTACCTGGCCAATATTGTACCCGTCAATCAACAATGACCAACCTAGCAGTAAGAGTAAAAAAATACATACTAGGACTGTAATATGGTTATAATTGGTGAAAATTTCTTTTAAAATAATTCAACAATAACCAAGAGAAGATTCTGTTTACAAAAAAAATTTTGGAGGGAACAAGTTAGATACAAAAAGTTGGACACAAAAAAAATTTTTAGTGTCTGAGTTCAACTACTATCCACGTGATACTGAAATGGTCTTAGCATAGACAAAACATATTATTCGATTACTGGGACATTTTACTTGTAGGAAAGTGAAGGGACAAAAATAAAATCTCACATCTTTCTTCAACCACATGAATTCCTCTGTTCTATAGAAATATGTGATCAAAACCCACGAAATGTATCTGTTTCTTTTATTAATATCACTACAGTTTGTGCATTTTTCCCCAGGTCTGAAAGTAAATAGCTATTTGACACTTAAAATTTTTACCAATGGCAGCTATTTTTATGAATTCGTAGCTCAACACGATGGGGAATGTTGCTATAGTCTCTAATCATGAACCGAATCTGTCAAAGAAAATGATGAGCAGCTGTTGGTAGCAAACATTATTTGCCACACTTGGTAGCTCCTTCCACATGCTGCTACCTGATTGCAAGTGGAGAGTCACACAATTGTTGAGTCCAGCCACAGTAAATCAAGTAGAATGCTTAACCAGAACTCTTCCACATCTGTGAATCATTGAAAAAAAAGCATCATACTTTCCAGCTAGCAGTGATCGATATTGGTGCTAGAAACCGTTCATTAGTCAGGAAAATACTCGATATTTATAAAATATCAAATATCATGAAAATATTAGAAATTTTACTCTCGAAAATAATTGTGGGTTAAAACACCTTTGTTTTATTCTGCAATGAAACACATATTTTACATTTCTATGATACCTGAGCCTAATAATAAACAGTAAGCCAATTAATGGAAGCATCAATCAATTTGACTGAAAGTGGCTCAGATTAGCATCACAGTTGTCACATAAAATAAAAAAAGAAAGGTGATTACCAGCTAAAAGGGGCTTACCGGATAAAAGTTGGGCTTGGTTATAAATCCAAGCACTAAATATTTTGCAGTCACCTGAAATCCTTGGTCACACACCTTTAATCATTTCCTCCCCTGCTGTTTAAGCAGACATCATTCTTTCTACTCTCTGAATTCCTAGTTTAAGTTCAAGTTCAGTACTTTAGCTTTTAATTTTTGCCGCATTGCCATTGCACAACAGAATGTCAGCACTTGCAGGAATCTTGCTAATCTTCTAACCTAACCTCCTTATCTAACAGAAAGTAACCCAGAAATGGTGATTATTACACTATCATGCAGCCAACATAGAGCAGCATTGAAACTATACTCAAAGTTTATTAATGGTACAAATCTGCCATCTTTTAAAAGGTGATACTCTCATCTCCCCAGCCAAGTTGTAAAGTCCTTGTGTACCTAGAAAAAAACTATGCATAAAGCAGGTATTTAATATGTGCTTTGATCTAATTCTGCTTTGTCCAAAAGTATGTTAAAGTTAGAGGCAACGGTTAGAAAAAGTCACTTCTGTGAACTTTATCAGTGACATAAATCCTGTTGTGACAGATTTTTTTAATATTTAAGATATCTGGAAAGTGTGGTCATTGTTGTAAGGTTTGACATAATCACATAGATTTCAAAATCTATTGTCAAATATAAAGCAATAATTTGATAAACACAGATTATTTGGATTATCCTACCTTACCAAATTATTGTGAAAAACCTCTGTTCACTGAAAATGGAAAATTATTTCTCCTAGGCATCTATGTTTCTAATGCTCCTCTTTGAATGAAATTATACCTGGAAATTCTTTTTCCACATATATAAATCTCTCTCTCTCTTTTTTAATTTGTTGCATACAGAGTATAGACTTGAGCCTTTTCCAACCAGAAGAAATATAGGTGTTAGAAATCATAGGCTTTGCTTGTTGATTAATTATACATTTAGATGCTAATTAAAAATGTAGGGTTTTTTTGCCATTGTGATAGGGATTAAAGCAAATTTCAGATTTATATATTTTTTGAAACTATTTCATAAAATGTTAGTTTTTTCCTATCAGTTAACTCTAATAATGACTGCTTCTAAAATTAACCCTTTCCTTCACTTGGGAACCTCTCATAAGAAAGGATAAAACATTTCCATCTGAACTCTGAAATTAATAAGGCCGACTTTCACTTCTATGACCGGGAAGCTTGTATCAGACTAAACTTTTTCCTGAGAATATCTGTCTAAGATGGAAATAATAAGTAAAATGACTGTTTAAGGCATTGGAGAAGAGGGAAGGCGGCCAGAATACTAGTGGTCAAGAACTTGTGAGAAAGGAAGTACGCTGAGGTGAATGTTGCATTGACCTCAGGATTTCACCTTGTGTTATTTTCTAATTCTTAGGCCAGGGTATGTGGTCCAGCATAAACCAAGGGCCTAAGACTTGCTGTACTGTCATGGGGTGCAGAGAAAAAAGTAATTCTGAACTGCTTTGTGATCAGAACTTAAAGGAACAAGGCCTAGAGATGAGGAACCATCTGATCTGGATATAATTTCCGCAGAAGACTTTTGCTCATACTAAGCTGTGCGGGTATCACATTAGATATCAAGAGAAAAACCTAAAATGCTGCAACCGAGAGTCTGAAGGGCTAAGCAGAAACTAGAAGGGATGATGAGGAAGAAGTATAAACTTTTGGGGACTCCAGGGGAAAAAGAACCTTGTAATCAGCACAGATTTTACCTAAGATCCCAAAGACTGTGGCCCCTAGGACAAAGAGCAAACCAGATTACAAACTATCACTAAGAAAGCTTGCATCAAGGGGATGTGCCTGCACCATATCTGCCTGCCAGAAAAAAAAAAAAATATATATATATATATATATATATCACTCTGGAAGAAAATAAAGCACCCACAAACCATACACATTTATTTTTATAAAAAATGCATAATATTCAATAAAATGTAATAGGTTTGTCAAAAAGAACAACATGGCCATAAGCAAAAAATAAAAGGGAAACAACTTCTCAAGTAATTTAAATATTGGACTTGTAAAAGAAGAAACTAAAAAATATCTATGGTAATATATACAAGAACAGACAGGAAAAAAAAATAAAACATTATAGGCCGGGCATGGTGGCTTATGCCTATAATTCCAGCACTTTGGGAGGCCAAGGCGGGCGGATCACCTGAGGTCAGGAGTTCGAGACCAGTATGGCCAACATGGCGAAACCCTATCTCTACTCAAAATACAAAAAAATCAGCCAGGCATGGTGGTGCACGCCTGTAATCCCAGCTACTCGGGAAGTTGAGGCAAAAGAATTGCTTGAACCCAGGAGGCAGAGATTGCAGTGAGCTGAGATGGTGCCATTGCACTCCAGCCTGGGTGACGGTGCAGGACTCCATCTCAAAAATACATAAACAAACAAATAAATAAGTTAATAAAACATTAGGAGGGAACTGGAAAAGAAGTAAATTAAATAAAAATTATGGAACTGAAGAACGAAATAAAATTGAATTAAATTATGAATTCAATAAATTAATAGATTATGCATGACAGAAAGAAGAGATTATAACATCAAGTATCAGAAACAGAATAGACAGAATCACAGAATGGAAGGTGATAAAAAATGCAAAACATGCCATAACAGACATATAGAATATCATATCATAAGAGGTCCAAGATATATGTAATTGGAGTCCCTGAAAATTAAAGGCAAAAGAAACTGTATACAAACAGTGTACTCTGGTTGTTAAAATTGCTTCTCAAGGAAGTATGGGTTAAGGGTTCTGAAGCCATCATACATGTATACTGGAATAGAATAATTAAGTAAATGGATGACAGATGATTGGAACCAGTTTACTCACCGTCTGAATGACAGGTTTCAGAAATCAAGAGGAAGATGCTAGAATGATCTGTGTGGTAGTGGATTAGAATAGGAGACATGAGTATGGACTCCTGTTAAGTTTAATATCAATACAGGTGGATACTGTGTTAGGCTGTTCTTGCATTTCTATAAAGAAATACCTAAGACTGGGTAATTTATAAGAAAAGAGATTTAATTGGCTCATGGTTCCGCAGGGTGTACAGGAAGCATAGTGCTAGCATCTGTTTCTAGGGAGGCCTCAGGAGGCTTTCATTCATGATGAAAGGCAAAGAGGGAGCTCGCACATCACATGGCAAACGCAGGAGCAAGAGAGAGAGAGTGTGGGGGAGGGGGTGCCCCACACTTAAACAACCCAATCTTGAGAGCTCATGCACTACCATGAGGATAACACCAAGGCATGACAGATCCGCCCTCATGACCCAAACTCCTCCTGCCAGTCCCCACCTCCAACAGTGGGGATTACATTTCAACATGATATTTGGGCAGGGACAAATACCCAAACTATATCAGATACATTGAGAAATATGTATAGATATGTATATATACATGGTTCAGTATACATATACATATTCTCTCGCTCTGTTAGAGGGTCTAAATGCAAAGACACCGTAGTACCAAGTGTTGTACCTAGTATCCATATCCTGGTTTCTAACACCATTCATCCATCAAAGGGTTCAATGATCTTTGGAGAAATACTAATTATAAAACTGGGTAGAAAACTTACAAGTTAAGCCTGGTGCATCTTGTAATGTCAGAAAATAAAGAAGTGCTAGGAAAAATAATAAATAATAAATAATAAATAAATAAATAAATAAATAAAACCTATGTTGAGAAAATATGTCAAAGGGACACAGGAGTGAACTGAATAAAAGTGTTCCTAATGGCCAAAAATGAGATAATTGCAACAACAAAATAAAGTAGCACTGGATTATAACATATCCAATAAGGTATAGAATAAGTATGCATCAGTTAATACTGATACTAATAAATCACTGAGTAGATGAATGGGAGAGAAGAGACAGATCCGCCCTGCAGAAGAATTCCAAACATTTTATGTAGATACTCTGCCCCCAAGGAAGTGAAGCAATATCTCCTTTCCCTAAGTGTGGGCTACACGTAGTAACTTCGTTTCAAAAACCACAGTACAGAAAGAGAACAAATCTTGAGTAACTTTGCAGTGGAGAAACCTAACAAAGACTACCTAAGTCAGGTGGTGAAGTTTAACATCAGTAGTGATAAGTCACATCGATTTGTGTACCCTTGATATGATGTGATTAGAAAGGACACTTTAACCCTGTGTTCTTCCTCCCCAAAACCTATCATTCTAGGCTAATTATAAGAAACATATTAGTAAAATTCCAGTAGACTGTCATTGAAAGAAACCCCTGGCTGCTACTAGTCAGAACTGTCAAGGTCATCTATAACAAGGAAAGTCTGAGAAAGCTTCATGGTCCAGAGTAGCATAAGGAGACACAACTACTAAATATAATATGGTATCATGAATGGGATCCTGTGACAGAATAAGTACAAAAGGCAATAAAGTAAGAAAATTGAAATAAATACGGGTTTTAAGTAAACTTTACAAATGTACCATACTAATAGAAACTATTAATAGTAGACGAAGGTGGGTGCAGGGATTATGGGAAGATGCTCTACCCTGTTCGCAGGTTTTGGCCATCCGAAACTCTTCTTAAAAAATGTTTATTTAAAAGAAAGAAATTAACAAAACATTTGAATACACAATTTACAAAATTGAATATATAAATTGCTATGAAGCATACGAAAATATGCTTCACCTCATTAGTCATGAGGGATATGCAAATTAATACTACAGTAAAATACTACTGCACATGATAATACCAAAAATGGTGAGTAGATGCTGAAATTCGAACTCCCCTGCACTGCTGGACAGGAGGTAAAACTGTAAAGCCATTTAGAAAAACAGTTTGAAATTTTCTTAAAGAGTTAAGCATGCAACTTTTCTATAATCCAGAAATTCGACTCCTAGATGTTTACTCATGGAAAATGAAAACATATGTCTACACAAAGATGTATATAAAGTGTTCACAGAATCTTTATTCATAAGAGCCCAACTCTGGAAATTAGTAAGAAGTTTCTTATAAACAAATTGTGTTCAGTAATGAAATGATTACTCCATATTTTTCTAATAATCTTGCTTTACTTATTGTCTCCAGAATATCAAGATAAATGTTATACAAACACGAAGATGATAATCTCATGTTTTATTTAAGCTTATTATCATTTATTCATATCTGTTCAAGGGTAACCAATCTATTTTTAAATAATTCCTCCTTCTAGAATTCCACTTCATTCTAATTACCCGATCATGCTCAATAACAGTGAGGTGACTTCCTTCAAATCACAAAAAGTAAGATTCCTTTTCAATGTGCTTTACAGCTCTAGGTATTATAGTTCAAGTCAGATCTACTTCAGAGGAAGCTGCTTGTGATTTTTCTTTCATGTGGGAATTTGAATGGTTTTCTAAGTCAGAAAATACTTTGCACTAATGGAAAATGGCTACATGCATGGTTCTATATTATTTTTATTTATCTCCTACTGAATGTGTTCAAACTTTGTTTCCTTCCATATTACATTCTGAACAAAAATGCAAAATTAATGCACTGAATTTAGTTTCTTATAATATTTGTAATTGTGGCTATTTTTATACAGTAGCAGCCATTTATATAAAAAGTGAAAATACATGCAATAATTCAGATATTTTGGTTTTCTTAAAGCATCTAAGCAATGATTTAATATTTTATATTTCAAACCTCAGCTGTTGCCTTACAGTCATATATTTTTATGGTTGAGTAAAAGTAAAACAGAATTATTAGAGTCAAACACACTTAACTACCAATTTTTAATTCAATAAAATGTTCTGCTGAGTTTTTCTCATTTACTTAAAAACATAGAGGTAGCCTCTACTAAAATTAAAAGAAGAATCATCTCTAAATTTTTTTGCTGACATTAATATTTCAGTGAGGAATATTTTGTCTCTGATTTAAGATTCTAGTTATTGGCAATGAAGATAATCGCTGGGACTTGTTTCTTATACAGAACTTTCCTAGAAGATATATTGCTTTATTATTTATGTATTATTTATTGCATATTTCAAACTTTAAATTGTTTGGAGACAAGAAATACATTTTAAAATATTCTTTAGGTTCAAATTCTTCCACCTTGTCCTGAAAACAAGGAGACAGTAAATTATGCCTTAGCAGCATAACGAAGGCAAAGTAAAGGGCAAAGGGACATAAAGTTATTTGCTAGAACAGTTCTGGACTATGCCCCAGCTAAGGTGCCTTCGTGCCTTCACGCATATGAGAACAGTCTTCAAATGCATAGCTTATTTTTACCAATGTAGTTTTCATAATTTGGAGGTCAGGGTTTCCTCAGGAGCAATCATACGGCGTCTAAACATCAGTGCCAATGCAAGAGAAAAATGCGTGCGTCCAAATTCCTATATTCTCATCCTCCTTTTCCTCCCAAATCAGGGAATAACACAATTTTCCTTACATGTGAGCAAGCCATTACTCTAGGATATGTTCTCGACATCTTCTATTTGCCCCAAGTGTAATCAGTCACCAAGCCATGCCAAATTTGACCTCCAAACATCTCTAGGAAACTATCCACAGCTCTATAGCTGTAATTAGTCACCTAGTTCATGTTACCACCTTCTGAATTACTTCAAAGTCTCTGACTTTCCCATACTGGAAGCATAATTATCCTCTTATGATAGAAACCTGATCGCCTAATTTAACACTGCACTAACTGCTCAATTGCTGAAGGGATAAAGAACACTTTTAATGGAGGTATGGACAGCCTTTCATGTTTTAGCCACAGTTTCAGGCTTGCTCTCATGGTCTGCTGCCTTCTTATACTCAACAGACACATTGGGCTTCTCTTAGCTGTATGACTGGGCCTTTCTCGCTCCTGCCAGAGGCCCTCAGCACAAGCTGATCCTCAACCTGAAATCCCCCTGTCGCCCAAAACACCTTTCACACACCCACATCTCTACAGATGTCAAATCTTCAGAGAAGTGACTCACAGTTCCCCAGAGGAGCTCAGAGACCCTGTTTATATGCGTCTTCTTAATAAAATCAATGCACATTTTATTGTTCTACGTTTAATAATGCATTGGACACATGTAAATTTGGCTCAGCATTGTATCCTGAGCCTCAAACACTGTGAAATAAATATTTGTTAATGAACAAAAAAATACTAAGAAAGCACCTACTTTGTTCCTGGCAGTGATCTGGCTGCTTTAGATATAACAGCAAGCTCTATGGAGACAGACTGATAATAGATAACTATCAAATGCCAGAAATGTGTAGAAATACTATTATGATTAGTGTGATCGATAAAAATAAAGCACATTAAAACAGAGTTGGGAACAGAGCGACAGCAGGGTGTGGTATGATTTTATATCCTCTGGTAAGAGACAGTCTCTCTGAGGAAGTGACACTCAAGAGACTTAAATGACCTAAGGGAGCAAGACATTCTGCTTTCTGGCCGCATCACATAGGATCCTGCAGGCATGTTGCTTTAGAACTTTGAATTTTATTCTGAGTGAGATGAGAAATCATCAGAGACTTAAGAGCAGGGGGTGATGTGGTCTGACTCAGTAAATAAAATGATGTGTTCCGAATAAATAATAAAAACTCGCTCTGGATGCTCCATGGAATACAGACTTTTTTATGGAAGAGGTGGAAGCATGTACATTAGTTAGCGGGTTCCCACAAACATGCAGGAGACAGATGTTTGGATTACAGATGTGTTTTGAAGGGAGAGGTTTCAGAATTTGCGGGATGAAGCAATGGGATTTGTGAAAGAGAAGGGTATCAAGATGAGCTCCAGAATTTCAGTCTGAGATACTCCAAGAAGAGGGCCAGGGAGAGGTGCAGGTTTGGGATGGGCGGATTAGGAGAGGGAATCAAGGGTGAGTCATTATTTTTTTAAAAACTCAGTTTTCTCCATTGTTGAAGACATTTCAACATAACAAATAACTAACAACATTAGAAACTCATGACCCAGAAATTACACTCAAAGGATTCTGCAATGAAATCCTGACATTGTGCCATGAAGAAATTTAAAAAATATGTATGGTGGTAATTAATTTTTAAGTCCTTTTTTTCCAGAAGTGGCTTATAAGGCCAACACAGGGCCTGCTAAGAATCCCCTTAGATGGCTTAAAATCTACAGTCTTAAATGACTGTAGCAAACACACTGTTTAATTAACTAACTCTTCACTATGTTAATTTATTGTAACTAGATGATGTTTGTTGAGGTTCCCACTATATTATACTTTACTAAATTATTAGAGTAAGTCCACACTGGCCTCTATTCTACACTTCAGTTAATTGCCCTTTCTAATCAAATTTAATGAAATAATCCATATTTCCTTAAACCCTGATTTGTGTAGGTTACTTGATTAATAGGTTTACCTATAAAATAAAGCCCATACTTCTAAGTCATTTATGTCCCCACACAATGGGCTTCTGCCTATTTTTAAAAATGTGTCTTGCACTGTTCCTCTTTACTGTTCTCTTTTAGAGTTGAGCTCACCCTGGCCTCAACACACCATGTGTGATTCCACCCTGGAGGTTTCAGTGGTATCCATCGGTCTGCTCTATAGTATATCAGTTCTCATTTAGATCCCCATAGACATGCCCTTACCTTAAAACTTTAGTCCCATAACCTCCATAAATTTTTTCCTAAAATTGCGTCTTTCTTCTCTGAAATGTTGTAGCACTGATAATCCCTGACACCTGAAATGCTATAATAAAAGTTGGCTTTAGGGAAAAGTTACAGAGTTCACATTTAGCCATGTTGAATTTGAAATGCTTGGAGACATCCTAGTAGATATTTCTAATATTACCCTTGCATTTTAGGAGCAAACAAGGGAATCTGCATAGTTCAGGTTGTGCTAAAGCTAGAAAAAGAAATCTCCTAAATATTTATAAGCACAGGCATGCCCTCATATGCTTTACGGGTTTGAATTCACACTACTATTATAATTAGGAAAAACGCAGACTGATAAATAAATTTAAAGTTGTCTACGGTTGATACTGCACCTGCTGCCTTGCAAAGGTAATAACATATTTGCAAAAGAAGAGATACTTCATCAATCCAAGATGTTGATTTTCCGAGATAGACCCACCAAGGATGGGCTTATAGTTCAGAATTATAAGACACATAAGGAAAAAAGACACATTAGCAAAAGTTTCCAGAAAACCTACCAACAGCATTAGAACCTAAGAACTATAGATTACGGAATTATTGGAAGTAAAATATTTATGAATGTTAAAAGGTGTATCAAAACATGACAGAAGAACAAAACATCAGAAAAATACAGCAGAGTAGGTTATGTTTATAAATCTAACGTAAGAAGCTCAGAAATTGTTACTTGTGTCTTTACAACAAGAAAACACATGAAAAAACTGAGTTGCACACTTGAGAGAACTGAGGTGGCAGGATAAAGTCACCTCAAAATCTCAAGATAAAAGCAAATACAGAGAATTACAACAAGACCAGGTTACCTGGAAGAGATATCTCTAGAACTATAAATGGGACACTAATGGAAAAATATACAATATGCAAGAATAGATGAATAATGTAAACAGAGAGATGGAAACTCTAAGAAGGAATCAAAGGGAAATACTAGAATATAAAAGCACTGTAAGGGAAATAAAAAATGACTTTGATGGGCTCCTCACTTGACTAGGCATGGCCAAGAAAAGAATCAATGAGCTTGAAGATTTGTCAATATAAACATATTAAACTAATAAGCAAAAGGAGGAAAAAATGGGAAAAATGCTTATAATAGAATATCCAAGAACTGTGGGACAGTTTCAAAGAGGGTAATATATGAGTGACTGGAACATCAGAAGCAGAAATAGAGACTAGAACAGAAGAAATACTTGATGTAATAATAGCTGAGACATTTCCAAATGGAATTAAGACACTGAACCAAGATCCAGGAAGCTCAAGAAGACTGAGCCGGATACATACCAAAAATCTAAACCTAGGTATACTACATTCATACTGCAGCAAACCACAAAACAAAAATTAAATCCTAAAAGCAGCTATGGTCAGGAAGAAATTGCCTTACTTCCAGTGGAACAAGGACAATAATTAGAGTGGACTTTTCATCAGAAACCATGCAAGCAAGAAGAAAGTAGAGTTGAGTATGTTTAGTGTTCAAAGGAAAAACAACAAAATACACCAACCTAGAATTTTATATCCAACAAAATTATCCTTTAAGAGTGAATGAGAAATAAAGACTTTCTCAGACAAACTAAAATCAAGAGAATGCATTGCCAGCAGAACTACCATGCAAAATAACATTAAAAGAAATTTTTCAGGGGAGGAAGAAACTCAGGCCTACGTGAATAAAAGAAGAGCAATAGAGAAAGAATTCATGAAGGCAGTATAAAATTTTATCTTATTCTTAACTGATCTCATAGATTAATATGGATAAGTGAAATGAATGACAACAACGTTAAAGGGGATGGGAGGGCAGAATTGAGAATCATCTTTTGTATGTTATCTCCACTACCCATGAAGCAGTATAGTGTTATTTGAAGGTGTACTTAGATTAGTTATAAATGTATATTATAAGTTCTAGGAAATCATGGTTTTCTTAAAATAAGGCATATTTGGTAAAAATTGAACTTCTTAGAAGTGAACAATGTATTTGAAATATATCACAGAAATTAGAAACTAAATGGATGAGTTGAAAAAAGAAAAAAAGATTTGACACAGGTTAAAATATTTGAAGATATTCTGAAGATATAGCATAGAGGTCTGGAAAGTTGAAAAACATGAGAGAGATGTTGGACAGAATGCAGGCTGTGGCAGGGTCCAGGCTTTGCCTCTGGGGAAGGTTACACAACCTGTGGTTTAGGATGTGATCATATTTAAGAACACAAGAATTGTACAAATAGTTCCTGGGCCCTTCTGGCTGCAAAACAAATAAAAAGACAAGGCCAGGCCAGCTGAACAGATCTGAGTAGGCCCATAAATAAAGCCTTGCATACTTTGATGATAAAATCACTCAATCAAAAATTATATAGTATTAACTATACAATCATATATCTGGTAAAAATGGAAAAGTGTAGAATAATTAGAAAATACATATAAACTCATGTTATTATAGTAAAGTAACTAACATCTTCATCATGACTCCATTATGGGTTCAGCTGTATTATATCGGCAATATTTCCATCCTTCCATTTTATGACCAAGAACATGGGGTGACTGAAATGAACTATTTCTAACATAGATGAACGCATAGTATGGCAATAATTTTATGATGAAGTTCTATTTATAAGTGATCACAAAGAGCAAACAAGAAAAACATGAATGTATCAATGGGCACGTTGATGTATTTTTGTAGATTAATGCTATACTATGAATATCAAATATTTTAAAGTGCTTTGTAAGGATTTGAACTGGTACAAGAATATTAGGGAATCCAGTACTATGAAAGAGAGAAAGAAAATATGTAAAAATTTAAACAATATTTCTTTAGCCAGGCACAGTCTTCTCTGTTCTTCCATAGAAGAAAAAAACTAAGACCAGCCTATCTATCCATCAGCTGAACTCTCTAGATCACGTTACCATGATATGCTTCTGGAGAAATGACATTTGCTGGTTTGTTTTATTATCACTTCTAATTATATCTCAATCATTGTGCATTTTTAATTATATCTGAAAAAATGTATTCTCCAAAATAATACTAGAGACCTGAACTACATAATCTGCAGCAAACTTTTAAGTTAGCTTTTACATCATTTCTGTCTTAATATTTTATAGCTGAGAAGAAAAATTAGTATTTATCTCTGTGTTTGGCTCTTAAAGTGTGTTCAATTAAATGAAATGTTTGGTAAGAATGATTGCTGACTTCAAATAAATATCTTCCTCCTGCCATATTTATAAAGATATTCTTTTAAATAAATTTCTAATGATTGTTTTTATTATAGACTTCATTATCCAGAAAATGCTTAGGAGGCATTAATAGAAAAATATTTAAAAAACTGTTTTATTTACATCTGTTCATGGATTCTAGTGTATAGGTATCTGATCTATATTAGTGAGCTCTATAGACTTAAAGGATGAACCTAGTATATGGATGGGTCATGTACTTCAAGTAATGCTCAAGATATCACTTGAATGCATGATCTGTGAAAACAACCTTCCTAAAATCAAGTTGAAGAAACCCTGAATCTGGAAGTAGTGTGTAACACAACAGGAGATAAGATGGTAGACTCTGGGGTATGGTGGATTATTTTTTGGAGGAGATACTTTTGATAAAATATTTTTTGAGATGGCTTTTTATATTAAAAAATGAAAATATACTACTGACTACTGCCAGAGAACATAGTCTGAATTTGAGACAGTGAATCATACATATTTTCTTTCCAATGTACTGAAATTCATCTAGATTTTCTAAAGTTAATTCCATCATTTAAAGATAAATAGCTAATGCACGTGGGGCTTAATACCTAGGTGATGGGTTGATAGGTGCAGCAAACCATCATGGCACACGTTTACCTATGTAACAAACCTGCACTTCCTGCACAGGTATCCCAGAACTTTAAGTTAAATTAATAAATAAAATTACCAGTTAAATCTGAAGTTCAAAAAATTAATGCCAGCTCATGATGAATTCTAAGTAAGCAGACATGAGTAGAAGAAACACCGAGATTTTACCACACTGTAACAGTTTTTTTTCAGTGGCTTGGGAAACCCCAGTAGAGGAGAAAATAACTATTGTTAACAGACCTGGTTAAATATTTCAAAAAAACTAATGAATGAAATGATAATTGGGGCCACCTCCCATATGTTTCCTATGAGCAAAGGTAATCATTATTGACCATAAATTCATATTAAATAAACAAATATCAACCATATTGAAGTCTAAAGATTCTGTGGGTGCCACAAAATTAGCCAAGATGACTCACAGTGGCCCTTGACAAATAGGCTTGAATCAAAGAAACCAGGCATGTAAATGATAACATTTTAAAGAACGAAATGGAGAGTGGTCTAGACTACATATCTCCATTTTCTCTAAGTCTTCTGTTTTCCTACCTGCAGTTGTCTGTTTAAAGAGGTGGTAATAGTTACGGGACGGAGTAGCTAAAATGCAGCAGTTTGCAAAACACTTCAGTGGGTCCCAACTTCGTTGTTTTTTTAACCTGTTCCCTAAGCTTCTGAACCTTAAAGAACAATTTGCAAAGCTTCCAATGACATGGTAAAAGAACACTAACAGCCCTGTAATGAATTGGAAATCAAGAAAGCATTAAAAATGCAAATACATTCTTGTTAATATCATATAATTGTGAAGAACTTCCAGGCAATCAATTACCATTTAACACAAAAGCCTGTAACGATTTAATTAGGAATCCTTCACCTAATTGAGGTCAAGATTGTTAGCAGTGGATGTCTAATTAGCTTGCTTACTGCAGCTCTTTTCTTTGAAAACTGCCTCAGTAAAATCTTTCCTTAAAAGATATTCCTAGCACCACCACGAACATATAAAAGTTGTATGTAAAAGTTGGTAAAATCCAAATGCAGTCTTTATCTGAGCAAATAATATTGTAGCACCATCAGATTCCGGTTTTGACAATGTATTACGGTTATATATTATCACTGGGGAGAACTGAGTGAAGCTAATAACTTTTGCAACTTCTTACGAGTGTTACACCATTTCAAAACAAACTGTTACTTAAAATGCACCCTTTTATTTCAGAAGGGCAAGACAGGACTTGAATTGTCTACTTTTTCTTTTATGGTTACGGTGATTATTTTAGACAATAATTGGTTCCATGAGTTAAGGCATTTGATATAGTTACAGTCAATACTAGGTTAACCAATCCAAAATTAATTGATGACTCAAATCACAGTAGCACTTCTAAGAGCCGGAGAACATTTTTTTTTTGACTGTTTATATTCCTAATTTCCTTTTGACCAGATTATGGTCTTTCAACATCTAGGTATAAAACTTCAGCTTGAAATATAGTCCAAAATAAGGTCATCCAATTAGTTTCCTTTGCCTAAGGGAAGAGCCCATTTAATGTTCTTTAAGATTAAGGCTTTCAAAATTATTTCAATGGAAAATACATTAAAATAAATGATTTCATAATAAGCTAACAAGAATCAAGGGAGATTTATTGTTGTACAGTTTCCTGGCACAACAATGACCACATTTTCTTCGCTGAAACTCTAATACTCCAAGGTAGTTTAAGATCAAAAAAAAAAAAGCAGTGACCATATCAAATGTATAATTTCTTATGTACAATGCATATTTCCATGTTTGAAGACCCGAACATTTTTTAGTTTATACTCAGCATATATTGAGTAAAATTTGGCCTGAGAATTGTTTCCAAAATCTACAATTAACATTTAAAATAAATGTTCTATAGAACACATGTTGGAAATAACTAGTATAGAGAAGTACACATCCTAATTAAGTCTAGTATCAACAGCCCAACTTAGAAATGTATAACACACATAGCCCTGGGGTGGTTATTTAAAAATTAAAAATTGGTCACTCATTTTAATGACACCAAAGTCTTTCAATTTTTGTTAGTTACCTCAGACACCCCATGTTTTTATTTTTGCATTTTAAAAATTACATCTTATAACAGCACAGGTGAAACATTTATTTTTATCTTGGTTCTAAGTCATGAAATTCTTAGACCAAGATGACCAACGTGAGTTGTCACACTTTCTTTGAAACCAGTACTGTCCGTCCATACTGCTGCAGTTCAGTTCTTTGAACACACCAAGTTCTTCCATGCCTCAAGGCTTTGTCTCAGGCTGTTTCCTCCATTGCAAAGGCATTTCCCTCTCTCCTGTATACAGCACTACCTTTGTATCATCCGTTTGGTCATCATTTAGATGTCACTTCAAATGACATTTGAAGATCTAGGACATCAAATAGTATTAACTTTAAGTAGGGAAGTTCTCTGACATTCAGTGGGGATTTTCATACTGGAGAGGAAAATCTATCCAAAATCTTCCAAGTCTGGATACGTAACCTGTGTCCAATGCATATCCTGTCTATATCGCACTACTACAATGAGCGTAGTTTCTTCAGGTCGTCTCAGAGACATGGGTCACAGTGAAGGTAAATTTTATCAGGGGATTCTAATGTGGTCATCTACAGTCCTGTGACTAGGTGTAAGGCTCAGACTGAGAAAATGATCAGTAGAATAATGCTAAAACTGTGGTATCTTTGTATTCAATGTCTACATTGTTATTCATTCAGTCTGTTAGGCTAGAAATGTACGTCGTTCATATTGTTTTTATTTTTTCCCATTTCACACTACAACAACCAGCCTACACTTAAATTTATCGTAAGCTGTGTACCTCTTTTACCTATCCTATGCCTGCAGTGGCAACCACCCCCTTAGTATGTTTTCTTTTTCTCATTGAGAATTGAGTTAATTCCACTGCTTTTATTTTATGGAAAGCAACAATGTTGGAGAAGAACAGGTAAGAAAGGGAAAAAGCCAAATTTTTGACAGAGAAATAAAAAGATAATATTTTTGTGATTGAATGAGTTTATTCATTCACCAAACACTTATTACTAGCTATCTCTGTTGAATGAAGATAGGCTGGGATTTATGCTAGGAACTTTTCGTTCCAAATGTGAATATTTAGCTTTGCAACCCTTTGGTAGAGAACTGTAGTCCCTTTATAATCAGGTGACTGATTTATCAACCAGTCCCACCTGTTGACCTCTCCACCTGTTTTTCAAGACTCTCAATCAGTAGCTACTACATGGACCATATAATTTTAGACACAAAGATTATAGAGAGTACTACTCTGAATTATGTGATATTTTAAACATTTACTCGTTGACCTTGACATTTTTATGAATATATTTAAAATTAGGTCCTCCTTCTCTTCAACTTCATTTTAAATTTGACTCTAAATAAGTATTGATAGAAAACTAAAGTGTGAGTAAAAATATAAAATGAGGCATGAAAATTCAGAAGTATAGAAATACGCTTATTGAAGTAAAAAATGTTTAAAAGTTAACGTGAAAATCCATTTTAAAAAGCCCTTAAAATTGCTGGAATCAGTTAAAGTCTTATTCACAGTAATCAAAAAAATGGCATTTTTATACAATACCAAAGTTACAGTCATAAAAGAGGAAAGTACTTCTCAACATATTAGAAATTGTCCCTTTCAAGTTAGCTGTCTATGCACAACAATTATGTGGTAATCACCTTCACTAGAGATTTTTCTGACTTCATCCCTTCCAATAAACATGGTAAGTCTATTATGTAGAATGTGAGTGATGAACTAGAATCAGAAAAAGGAAAGTAAACAGCATTTTGTGACATAAAAAATAATTTAGTTTTAAATCAGAGTCATTCCAATGAAATCTGGCCTAAAACAGTCAGCCTAGCTGATGTTACAATTCTAGGAGCTTCTGAGAGCAAGAAAAAAAAAAAGGAAGCCAACTCTTTGGTTATTTGAAGAAGCAACATGTGTTCTAAAATCTTTTACACAGAATGCCAATATTAGGTAAAATAAGTCATATATTGTGGATAAACTGACATATTTTAGCAGACTTTTTTTGTGTTAGAAATATTCAAATACACTTTTACAATGAAGAATTGGTAAAGTTTTGATTTTCCACAAAATTTATATTAGCTTCTTAAAATATTGAAATATTTTTAACATGGTCTGCCTGATAATGAACGTAAATGGAGGCATATTTCCTACCAATAAAATACAATTATTTTCAGAGAGAATAGAAAATTGTATACTTTTCATTTTAATTTAAATGCAATAATTATTTCTTTGATTTTTATGCTGCTCTAACAACCAATTATGAGTCAATATGTGGTCACTGTGTTTATTCTTTCATCCATCCATTTTCTCCCAATTCTTTTTGAATAAGTGAAAACTCATACTATGATTTGGTCTATGTCATACATTATTTTTATAAATAAATTCTCATCACTCTATACAACTATGAGGAGGATTAACTACCAACTGTTTACATTTCAGAAAGATGGAGGATGTTTTGCAAATCTTGACATTCTTTCAATTTCTTTCCTTTCTCTTTTTCTCTTTCTTTTTCTTTCTCTTTATTTCTTTCTTTTTTTCTTTCTTTCCTTCTTTCTCTTTTCTTTCTCTCTCTCTCTCTTTTTTTTTTTGTGAGATGGAGTCTCACTCTGTCACCCAAGCTGGAGTGCAGTGGCATGATCTCAGCTCACCGCAAACTCTGTCTCCAGGGTTTAAGCAATTCTCATGCCTCAGCCTCCTGAGTAACTGAGATTACAGGAGTGTGCCACCATGGCCGGCTAATTTTTGTATTTTTAGTAGAGATGGGGTTTCACCATATTGGCCAGGCTGGTCTCAAACTCCTGGCCTCAAGTGATCTGCCCACCTTGGCCTCCTAAAGTACTGGGATTACAAGTGTGAGCCACTATGCCAGGTCATGAATTTCTTTACCTAAGACATGTTCAAGTGGATATGAATCTAAAGCGACAACAGTTCTCCAGGAACAGCAAGAAGGGGAATCACCTTTATTTGGGCAATTGGGGAAGGAGTACAGAAATGGAGAACTGATTGTTATTGGATAGATTTTATTTTTTTTAGATGGCAAGAAACAGATATAATCAGCTCAATAGTTCGGATGAATTGTTAGGAATCAGTGCAAGCCACCCCAGAATCTATATACCCCAAAAGCCACATGGTCATCCTGGCATTGTGGCCTCCTATCTAGTTGAGTGGGGCTCCCCCAGTAATTAATGTCCAAACCAAGGCTTCGTTTTTACCTTTGCATGCAACTTGTACATTTGTTCCATAGCACATAGTTCTCTTTCTATTCTACTTATTTTGAATTAGTTTCCTCACGTATACAGTGCTTGATCCACAATTTTTTTTTTTTTTTTTTGAGATGGAGTTTCACTCTTGTTGCCCAGTCCGGAGTGCAATGGTACGATCTCGGCTCACGGCAACCTCCACCTCCCAGCTTCAAGCAATTCTCCTGCCTCAGCCTCCCCAGTAGCTGGGATTACAGGCATGTGCAACCACACCCGGCTATTTTTAATTTTTAGTAGACACAGGGTTTCTCCATGTTGATTGGGCTAGTCTTGAACTCCCAAACTCAGGTGATCTGCCCACCTTGGCCTCCCAAAGTGCTGGGATTACAGGTGTGACCCACCTCTTCCGGCCAATATTAAGTTATTTAAATGCAATGGTGAGCTCTTTTTAAAACAATAAAATCTGTAATTAGCTTATTTTATGGCTTAAACTCTTTTATTGCCATATTATCTCTTTGTTTTCAATTTTCTTGACTAATGATCACTGTTCTTTGTCTGACACATATATCTGAAGTAGAGCTGGGAAAAGACAAAATAAAAGTGAATTGTGATTGGAACATAATTTTAGGAAGGTAGGATTGAGATGTGGTATTGAGATTTACTCAGCTGGAAAAGGGGGACAACTTTGGGATGATGTAGGGAGTAAATAAAACATTATGTACCAAGTATGCATGTGTGTGTGTGTGTGTGCGTGACCATGCCAGAAAGGTAAGATTTTACTTGATGCATATTAAATGCTCTTTCGCACATAATATTTCCTCTCTGTGTGAAGACTTAAATTTTACCTTCAGCTGCCTGAGTAAAAGATCCTCAACAAGTATGTATCTAAAATTTTAAAAGGAGTTAGACATAAAAGAACTTCAAGGAGTCTATAAAGACTTATAAAGCCTTTAATATCTTTGTGGTGACAATAGAAGCATCCAACTTTCATCAGGGGAGTCAGACATAAAATAATTTTAAGGAGTCTTCAAAGACATAAAGACTGTGCCATCTTTGTGGTGAGAGCAAAAGGATCCAAACCCCATCAAGACCACTCTGCTCTCCAGTCCTGCAACTGCACCTGTTGTCTCCAAACCTTCCTATTGTTTCTTCTTGTCTTAGGCCCTGAAAGGTATTCCACCCTAATGCAGTGTCTGAAAGTGAAATGGATAGAGAGAGTGGCTATTTACAGTGGCCAATCTTTTTAAAGGCAGGGAGCCCTGCTTTCTTTCACAAAGTGATCATAAAAGTTCTGGGCATGTCTACACCAGTTTGTAACACAGTTTGGCTGCGGTATTTGGGAACACAAAATGACAGCCCTTAAGCCAATGAATAATTTGAAATCATAAGGGGCAATTCAGAGGTGAGAGGAAGTAAGGGAAGACACATGAATTGGTAGTAGCCACCCAGATGACTTTAGTTCTTAAAGGCTGAGGAACTAAATAGGGGTGAAACAGGAAAAAATCCCTCATGATAGTCATTGAAGAGTATTTTAAGAATGTAAGTGTCTCAGAAAGACAAACATGCATGTTCTCACCTGTGGGATCTAAAAATCAAAACTATTA
Organism: Homo sapiens; assembly: GCF_000001405.40. Taxonomy (NCBI): domain Eukaryota; kingdom Metazoa; phylum Chordata; class Mammalia; order Primates; family Hominidae; genus Homo; species Homo sapiens. The sequence continues at coordinate 76,772,261 of NC_000016.10, read as the reverse complement.
AACTTAGGGACATAGAGAGGAGAAGGATGGTTGCCAGAACCTGGGAAGCGTAGTGGAGGGTTTCGGGGGAGGTGGAGATGGTTAATGGGTACAAAAAACTAGTTAGAAAGAATGAATAAGACCTATGATTTGATAGCACAATGAGGTGACTACAGTCAATAAGAATTGTACATTTTAAAATAACTAAGAGCATAATTGAATTGTGTGTAACACAAAGGATAAATGTTTGAAGGGACGGATACCCTATTCTCCATGATGTGATTATTACGCATGTATGCCTGTATCAAAACATCTCACGTACCCCATAAATATATACACCTACTATGTACCCATAAATTTTTTAAAAAAAAGTTTAAAAACCCAAAAGAACAAAAACAAATGGAATGTAGGCGCCTGATGTTCAATTTGATGTGACATTTGTTGTTCCTATATGCACCCCATTGTCTCTCCGAAATCCTAATTCTTCAAGTGGATGACTGAATACATAACTGCTGTAAGTAAGGCTTTGTTGTGTTTCAGTGATTATGTAGAAGTTGAGGAATTTTTCTGAGTTGATACCATGCGGACCAGAAACCAGTACACCCGGGCCCAAGAGATGATCTGAACCTATAAAGGATGACTGGAGAGGCTGGCCAAGACACTTACTGCTACTCAGGAAGTAGCACATATTTTGGAAAGCATTTTGAACATATGAAAACATAGGGTTTTGTATTTTAAGCCAGTTTTTCTGGCAGGAATGAATCAGCTGACATTTAGATTACAGAGGAGGTGGTTAACAGAAGAGTGGTTTACATGATAAAATGGAGTCATCAAAATTAAAATGAGACCGTGTGGTTACTAGCAGCCCAGATTTTAGAACAGAAGGGATTTGAGTAGAAGCCAGTGCTAGGGGATTGGCAGCCAAGAAGCAGGGAGGAACTCAGTCACCTGCCAGGAGATGACTGGAGGTTGGGGGAAGAGGAAGGGGGTTGACAGGGAAAGATGGGGCTGCTCCATGAGCTGTGTGCCTTGTCACTCACTTCTTGTCTGCTGTCACTTTTAGTGCTTTGCAAGACACCTCCCTCTCCTGCCCACGCCTGCTATTGTCATGTTCCCCTCCAGTCCCAAAGCTTGCACAGCTTGACCATCCTTGAAGGTAAAAGATAGTTGAAAGGACAATGAAGTATGCAGTGGGCAATGGGACCAACTTCATGGCATAAGGTCAAGGTCAACCGTGACCCTTGAAAAAAACTCTCTACTTGACCAAACATTGGTTATATTTCTCTGTGCACCCTTTTCGAGAAGCCCTTGACCTTGGTCTTCAGTGTCTGTTTTGTTCTTGCCGGACTTACAGGGCCTAGACTTAGCAAGAACCCTATTAAGTCAGTTAAGCAATAATCTGCCCTCCCCTTGATCAATGTTGATATTTGATCATTGCTGACATCTAACCAAGTCCCTCATCTCTCAGCTTTGATATGTAGCTCCTTGGACTGTCTTAGCAAGAATCCCCCTATTCTTGCTGTTTCTTCTTAGTAATCCACTGACTCCCTTCCACTTCTCGTTGGCTATAAATCTCCACTTCTTCTTATTGTATTTGGAGTTGAACATAATCTCTCTTCCCTATTGCAATACCTCTTTTGCAATGACCTTAAGTAAAGTCTTTCTCACCATTTTAACAAATGTCAGAATAATTATTCCTTAGCGCCCTACATAACAGAGCCCTGCAACCAGGTGTGGTGGCTCACACCTGTAATCCCAGCACTTGTGGGAGGCTGAGGTGGGAAGAGACTCTATCTCTAGAAAACAAATTTTAAGAATTAGCCAGGTGTATTAGCATGTGCCTGTGGTCCCAGCTACTAGGGAGGCTGAGGTGAGAGAATTGCTTGAACCCAAGAGGTAGAAGCGGCCGTCAACTATAATTGTGCAACTGCACTATAGCCTGGGCAACAGAGTGATATCCTGTATCAAGAGAGAGGCAGAAACAGCCTTTTTCTCGCACCAGAGCAGCCCCTGCTCTCTTGGGAGAACAGGGGCTGTTTTTTTTGTCTCTCTTAGATAGAAGGAGGCAAATAAGCAAGAATTGTAGAACATTCCAACTGGCTCCTGGACCTGTGGACTGATGAAGTCTGTGGTCATACCTCCACCTGCTAGGAATGTGTTCTACAGGTTGGTGCAAAAGTAATTGCAGTTTTTACCATTAAGAGTAATGGCAATAAAATGCAGTTACTTTTGAACCAACCTAATAATAGTTGGACATACAGTAAGATGTGCCAGTCCTAGAATTTTCTCCCCTGCTCCTGGCATTGAAAGGCCCATCCACGACACGTCTCTGGTTCAAGGAATTGGCGTGATAAGTGGTTTGGAGCCTGTCCCAGGCCCTGGGATCCACCCAGAGGTCCTTTGAGCACCAGGCAGCATCAATGAAGGGTGCAGAGGTTGCTGGCTGGGGAAGCTGGGTCTTTTCGTGCTGCTCCATCCCCTTTTCAAGCCATGCCTCCATGCTGGGCAATACACCTGGTGTCCCTACTCCAGCAACCCTGTGGAGTTCACAAGATTCAAAGACCTGTTATCAGACATGGTCATCTCTGTTACCAATAGGAAAGGCAGAGGGGAGAAACCTGGGTCCAGGACCCAGGCAACCCTAAAGGAGTGTATTGTTTACCATATGCAGGGGATGGAAAAGGGAAGGAGAGTATAAAGAGTTAAAAGTGCAGTTTCTGAAGTGTGTGGATTCTCACTGGGGTTCAGTGAGGAAGCTTCAAGGCATAAACTGGTGAGAGAGTCCACAGGGCAGTGGATGCCACCTGGTTGCAGAGCCTCCTTCCTGGTGAAGAAGTCAGGAAGAAAAAAAAAAGAAAAACAACTCTCAGGGCATAGTCAGTCAACCTCCAACCTCCACACCTTTCCAGAGCTATCCTCTGAACCAGAGATCCAGACTCCACCCAGCTGACACCTGTTCACTCTCTTGGGCTGCACCCTCTTCCCAGACTCCGGTCTCTTTACCCAGTCCCACATCACTCTGAACACCAGGGAAACTGCTTTGAGCAGTGAAATCAGGCCTCTGGAGAGAGCAGGGCCTTCGGATGAGAGGGATGGCCCAGCCTAGGGAGGCACAGCCCTCAGAGCGCGAGTGACAGCAAAGCAGGCTCTGTGATGCACATGACCCGCCCGCCTGCTGTGTCGAACTGGCAGTGAGCCCCTTTCCAAGTGCATGGACAGTTAAAATATGCAGCGCTTTGAAAGTCACCATGTTTCTTACAACTTTCAGAGTAGTTAAACATATTGATACAAATGGAATCCTGCCTCTCCATAATTAATGAGCTTTCACCAACCTGGCTTCTTGGAAACAGCCATCCTGTCTCTGTTTAATGTCCAGCATAAAGTCTTCTCACCACAGTTAGTTGAAATAGCTCATAAGAGTAAAGTATTGTTGTAATTATTCCTGCTGTGAATTGTGGTGCCCACTTAGAAATACAATTTTACTTTGCAGCATTTTCTGAATTGCCAGATCTCAGTCCGTTCCTAGGCACACACCCCTGAGCTATGGGACAGGAGCGTGAGTCTGGCCCTCACCCAACTCCTGGAAATATTTGTCTCCTCCTTTTCTCAGAACACATACTTCTTGGGAATGAGGAGTCCACCACTGTTGCATTTCACTCTTGCCCAGTAAGTATCTATGCCTATAGTATCGTGTTGGTACAAAAGTAATAGCAGTTTTCGCAATTTAAAAAAATGCAATTAAAGGTTTCTAATGGCAAAAACCGCAATTACTTTTGCACCAACCTAATGGACACTTGAATATCACTCATTATAAAAACTGAAAAATAAATGGGTGGAATTGATTATACTCTTAAGAAGAGAATTGTAAATGTCCTTTGGATAAACTTTTAAACAATTCAAATTTGGAAAGAAACCTTCAATAGTGTTTTCATGTGTAACTCATTCATGACAGATTCATTTATCTGCTGATTAATGTATTCAAGGCTGATCAATCCAAAGCCTAAAATGTCACAGGGTTCTTCAGTTTTTACTCTTTGGTTAATCATATTCATCATATATCAATTTTTTAAAAAATATATTTTCAGGACGATTTTTGATATACATGAAAACTGAAGATAGTACAGAGGGTCTCTATATAGCCTATACTCAGTTTCCCTGAATATTAACACAACATATTAGTATGGTACATTTTTTACAGCCAGTGAACCAGTATTGATACATTTTTATTAAGTAAAATCCATACTTTTTAATATTCCCTTAGTTATTACCTAATGTCCTTTTTCTGTTCCAGGAAACTGCCTGCTTAGGCTACTCTTGGCTGTGATGGTTTCTCGAAGTTTCCTTTTTTTTTTTATGACATTGACAACAGTTTTTAGGGGTACTCGTCAAGTATTTTATAGAATGTTCCTCAATTGGGTTTTATCTAGCGTTTTTCCTATGATTAGACAGGGGTTATATGTTTTGGAGAGGAAAACCATAGAGAAGATGCCATTGTCATTACCTCATATCAAGGGTGCATCCTATCAATATGATTATCGCTGTTGAGGTTGATGGGGATCATCTGCCTAAGAAAGTGTTTGACAGCTTTCATCACTTAAAGTGACTCTTCCCCTGTCTCCTTTCCATACCGTACTTTGTAGGAAGCCATTATGCACAGACCACACATTTAAGTTCTTGAGCTATTCTCCACCTCCTGTGGCATGGCATATCTACATACATTATTTGTAATTCTTCTGCACAGAATTTTTGTCTCTTCTCATCTGTTTATTTATTCAATCATGTATTTATATTAGTATGGTATCATGGATATTTATTTTATATTCTGGGTTATTCTACAATATTACTTCATTTTTTGTGTTGCTCAAATTGTTCCAGCTTTGGCGATTACGAGCTCTTTCAGGGTAGTTGGTTTCTACATTCATCTGACATACCCCCAACTCTCTCTCTCTCTGTGTGTGTGTGTGTGTGTGTGTGTGTGTGTTTGAGCACTTTATTACTTTCTGGCACTACAAGATGTTACAAGCCTGTCTTATAAATTTGTTTACCCCAAGGCTAGAATCAGGCATTTCTCCAAGGAGCCTTGGTTTCTTTAAGGAAGAATGATATTAGAAACCAATATCTGTGTGCTTGTGGCTACTGAATGTTTCTTCTGGATGCTCTGAGCTGACAGGATAAGGAAATAGATGAGTGTACACTAATTCATGTATATACACATATCTACACACATTTCTATATGTAACCATCATATCTATATAAAGCTAAGCCTGAGTTCACACCAATGTATCCAATGCTAACCCATTACCACATGGGACTTTCTGGCTTCTTCTTGCTTTTCTATAAACTCCCATTCCAATAATGAGAAACCTGAATTTCACTATTTGCCATCTATTTACTTAATTGTTCAATTCCAGTATACATGGATGTCAGTATCAGAATTCTTAACCTGTGTCCTCATGGGAAACAACTTTATTAACTAGAGTAAAATTCTTATGCAGAGTTTCTTTTGCATTTAATTTTATAGACTTCTTTCATATCCAAGGTTGCTTACATCAGCAATATTTTCCCACACTCCCTTTGGGTGAGATTGTCCTATCATAACATTTGTAACAGATTTAGGTTGTTTTGTTACATTTGAATTCAATCTTAGGATTCTCCTGATGTCCTAAATTATTTATATATATTAAAGCTCACATTTTGTAGTGTAAGGCTGAATAGGTTTTGATAAATGCATAGTGTCATTAATTAAAAATTACAGTATTATACAGAAAAGTGTCACCACATTAAATTTTTCTGTGCTTTACCTACTCAACCTGAGCCATACAGTATGTAGCCTTTTCAGACTGCCTTCCTTCACTGAGTAATATACATTTGAAATTCATCCATATTTTTCATGACTTCATACAGCTCTTTTTTATTGCTGAATAACTTTCTATTATATGGATATACCACAGTTTGCCTACTCACTCAGTGAAGAACAGCTTGTTGCTTTCAATTTGGGGAGGTTATGAACAAAGCTGCTACAAACAGTTGTGTGCAGGTTTTGTGTGGGCCTAAGTTCTTAAATCTGTTTTGTAAATACCTATGAGTGTGATCGCTGGATCATATGGTAAGACTATGTTTAGCTTTGTAAGAAGCTGCCCAATTTGTCTCCCAAAATGACTGTGTACTTTGTATTCCCACTAGCAATGAATGAGAGTGCCTGTTCCTCCTTCTTGCCAAAAATTGGTATTGTCAGGGTGTTTTTGTGGGTTTTTTTGGTTCTTTTTGGACTTTAGCCATTTTAATATGTGTGTGATATTAGAACATTTTGTTTTAATTTGCAATTCCCCGAGGGCAAATGATATTGAGAATATTTTCATATGTTTATTTGCCATCTGGGTATCTATTTGGTGAGGTGTCTGTTCAGATCTTTTGCCCATTTATTAACTGGGTTGTTTATTTCCTTATTTTTGAGTTTTATTTTTTAGCTTATTTGGATATTTTGGATACAAGCCTTTATTACACATGCATTTTCAAAATGTGTTCTCTCAGTCTATAGCTTTTCTTTAATTTTTTAAACAATGCTCTTTTGCAGAGTAGAAATTTTTAGTTTTAACAACATATAACTTACCAATATTTTCCTTCACGGGTTTTTTTTTTTCTTTTGGTATTACATCTGAAACTCATCACCAAACACAAGGTCACCTAGATTTTCTATGTTTTCTTTTAGGGTTTTCATAGTTTTGCATTCTCCATTTAGGCCCATGATCCATTTTGAGTTAGTTTTTGTGAAAAGTGTAAAGTCTAAGTCTAAGTTCAATTTATTTTAGGATATACACAACCACTTGCTTCAGCAGTATCTGTTGAAAGACTATCCTTTCTCCACACAATCTCCTTTGGTCTTTTGTTAATGAGTAATTGGTTATATGTGTGGGGGTCTTTTCTGGCTTCTGTTCTCTTCCACTGGTCTGTGTGTCTCTTCATTGTCACTATGACATTGCCTTGATTACTGTGGTTTTATGTACATCTCAAAGTCAAGTATTAGGAGTAATCCAAGTTTGTTTGTCTTCAGTATTTTGTTGGCTATTCATGATCTTTTGCCTTTCTGTATAAACTTTAGAAAGAGTTTGTTTATGTCTACAAAATATCTTGCCAGGATTTTGATTGGCATTGCATTGAGTCTCTGAATCTAGTAGAGAACAATTGGCTTCTGACAAATCCTAAACCTTCTAATCCATGAACATAGACTATCCATTTATTTTTATTTGCTATAATTTATTTCATCAGAGTTTTGTGATTTGTATAGAGATCCTGTACATATTTTGTAATATTTATGACTAACGATTTTATTTTTTAGTGCTATTGGAGGTTGTATTCTTTTTTCTAATTTTAAGTTCCAAGTGTTTATTTCTAGTCTATATGTGCATTAGTCTTTTTTTTGTATTTGCATTGTGACAAAGAAGTACCTGAGTCTGGGTAATTTATGAATAAAAGAGGTATAATTGTGTCATGGATCAGCAGGCTGTGTAGGAAGCATGGTGCCAGTATCTGCTTGGCTTCTGGTGAAGCCTCAGGAAGCTTTTACTCACAGCAGACGATAAAGCAGGAGCAGGCATGTCACATAGTAAGAAAGGGAACAAGAAAGAGAGGGGAGATGCCACATTCTTTTTAAAGAACCAGATCTCTCGTGAACTACCAGAGTGAAAATTGACTCATTACTGTGGGGATTTCACCAAGCCATTAATGAGGGAACCACTTCCATGATTCAATACCTCCCTCTTGGGCCAATCTCAAACATTGGACATCACATTTCCACATAAGATTTGGAGGGGACATACATCTAAAACATATCAATAAGAAAACAATTAATATTATATATTATCATTTTATCCTGCTACCTTGCTATAACTGCTTATTAGTTCTAGGAGTTTTCTAGTTTATGTGTAACATTGATAATCTAGCCAAGTGCGGTGGCTCGATGTCTGTAATCCCAGCATTTTGGGAGGCTGAGGCAGGTGGATCACCTGAGGTCAGGAGTTTGAGACCAGCCTGGTGAACATGTTGAAACCCCATCTCTACTAAAAATAAAAAAATTAGCCAGATGTGGTGATGGGCACCTGTAATCCCAGCTACTCAGGAGATGGAGGTTACAGTGAGCCAAGATCGTGCCATTGCACTCTAGTCTGGGCGACAACAGTGAAACACCATGTCAAAAACAAACAAACAAAAGAAAGACAATATTTTGTGAAAAAAAGAAAATTTTATTTTTTTCTTCCCAATCTGTATAGATTTTATTTCCTTTTCTTGTATTATTGAACTAGCTGGAATTTCTAGTACAATATTGAATAAGAGTGGAGAGAGAGGATATACTTGTTCTCATTCACAGGAAAAAAAAGCATTGATTTTTGTCATGATTAAGTATGACGTTAGCTGTAGGGTGTCTTTTATTAATGGATTCTGTTAATCAAATTGAGAAAGTTTTCTCTGTCATTCCATTTTGCACTGCTGTAAGGGAATACCTGAGGCTGGATAATTTGTAAAGAAAAGAGGTTTATTTTGCTCATGGTTCTGTAGACTGTATAGGAAGCATAGTGCTGGCATTTACTTCTAATGAAGGTCTCAGGAAGCTTCTACTCTATTTGGGAAGCTCTGCCCCTTTGGCCTTGCAGGATGCAATGCTTGTTCTCAGGAGTTGGAGTTGAGTGCCTGCAGCTTTTCCAGGCTCAGTATGCAAGCTACTGGTAAATCTATCATTCCAGGATCTAGAACATGGTAGCCCCGTTCCCACAGCTCACTAGGCAGTGCCCTGATGGGGACTCTGTGGGATCTTCAACCCCACATTTCCGGTCAGCATTGCCCTAATAGGGTAGAGTAGGGTTCTGCATGGGCACCCAGGCTTTCCCGTACATCTTCTGAAATCTAGGTGGCAGCCATCAAACTTCCTTCACTCCTGCATTCTGTGTGCCTACAGGCTTAACACTTTGTGGAAACCACTAAGGTTTATGGCTTGCACTCTCTGGAGTGGTGGACCATGCTGTATCTGAGGCTCTTTGAGTCCTAGATGAAGCTGGAGTGGCAGGGATGTGGGGAGCACTGTCCCAAGGCTGAGCAAGGAAGTGGTGCCCCAGGCCTAGCCTATAAAACTGTTTTTTTCTCTTAGGCCTCTGGGACTGTGGTGGGTGGGGCTACCTTGAATATTTCTGAAATAATAATGGGCCTTTTTCCCATTGTCTTGGATGGCACCTGGCTCCCTTTTAGTCTTACAAATGTCTCTAGCAAGTGGTTTCTCCACAGGCCTCTTGAATTCCTCTCCTGAAGATGTTTTTTACTTCTCTACTACATGGATAGATTGCAAATTTTCCAAATTTGTATGCTCTGCTTTCCTTTTAATTATAAATTCCAACTATGTCATTCCTTTGCTCCTGTATCTCATTGTAGGCTATTAGAAGCAGTCATACCACCTTTTTTTATACTTAGAAATTTCTTCTGCCAGATACCCTAGGTTGTTGTTCTTAAGTTCAGCCTTCCACAAAGCCCTAGGACATGGACACAATGCAACCTAGTTGTTTGCTAAAGCATAATAAGGGTGACCTTTGTTCCAGTTTCTAATAAATTTCCCATTTTCATATCAGACCTCCTCAGCCTGGCCTTCAATGTCCATATTTCTATCAGCATTTGTATCACAACCACTTAACAATCTTTAAGAAGTTCTGAACTTTCCTACATCTTCCTGTCTTCTGAGCCCTCCAAACTCTTTCAACCTCTTCCGTTACCCAATTTCAAAACTGCTTCCACATTTGAGATAATAGCAATGCCCCACCCTTCAGTACCAAATTTTGGTTGTAGTCCATTTTGTGTTGCTATAAAGAGATATCCGAGACTGGGTAATTTATAAAGAAAAAACGGTTTATTAGGCTCATGGTTCTGCAGGGTTTATGTACAGAAAGCATAGTTTTGGCATTTGCTTCTGGTGAGAACCTCAGAAAACTCAGAAGGTAAAGGGGAAGCTGACATATCACATGGTGAGGGAGAGTAAGCCAGAGGAGGAAGAGGTACCAGACTCTTTTAAACAAGCAAATCTCACCTAAACTATCAAAGCAAGAATGCACTCATTGCCATGGGGATGGCACCAAACCATTTATGAGCTGTCTGCGTTCTATGATCTAAACACTTCCCACTAGGCCCCACCTTGAACACTGGAGATCACATTTCAACATGAGATTCGGAGGGGGGCAAATATCCAAACCATATCATTGCCTTTGTTTCTATTTTACTGAGAATTTTTATTATGAACATATGTTAGGTTTTTTCCAATGGTTTTTTTCTTTCTGCATCAATTGATATCAAATAATTTTTCTTTTTTAGCCACTTGATGCTGTCAGTTACAATGGTTGATTTTTGACTATCAGAAAGTCTTGCTTACCTAGAACAAATCTCACTTGGTTGTGGTGTATAATTATTTTTTATATATTGTTGGATTAGAGTTGCTCATATTTTGCTGAGGATTGTTGCATGTATATTCATGAGGCATATTGGTTTGTAGTTTTCCTCTCTTACAATATTTCTTTTTTTTTAAAATTAAGGTAATGTTGGGTTTATAGAATAAATTAGAAAGTGATGTCTCACTTCTATTGTGAGAAATAGATGCTTCTGTTTTCTTAAGGAATAGAAAACAGATGCTTCTATTTTCTAAAGAAAATCTTAGAAGAATTGGCTTCATTTCTTCCTTAAATGTTTGGAAGAATCCACACTGAAGCCATCTGAACCTGGTGCTTTCTTTTTTTAATGTATAACTAATTATTGATTCAAGTTAAAAAATATAGATAATCTAGTTCTATTCAGATAATCTAGTTCTTATTTGGTAAATTTTAATAGTTGCTTTCAAGGGATTGGTTTATTTTATCTAAATTACAGCATGTGTGCCATAGAATTCTTCATAGTATTTTTATCCTTTTAATATCCATAAGTTCAGTAACGATAATTTCTCTTTCATGTGTGATGTTGGTAATTCTTGTTTCCTTTCTTCCTTCCTTCCTTTCTTCCTTCCTTCCTGTTATCATCTCTCCCTCCTTTCCTCCCTCCTTCTCTTTCCAGCTGTTTGCCTCTTTTTCTTTTGCTTGTGTTTTTTTCTTTTGATTAGCCAGCCTAGAGGTTTATAAATTTCACTGATACTTTTTAGGGACCATATGTATAAGCTGGTCCCTATATATATAAAAGCTAGTCCATACAGATATATATATATACGGCTTGTTTTAGGCTTAAATAACTTTCCCTGGCGTTCTATGAGAAAATTTGTATTATTGATTTTAGATCTCTTTCTTTTCTGACGTGTGTGTTTAATGCTATGCATTTATCCTTAAGCTGTGCTTTCGATGCACCACACAAATAGTCAGTTATATCTTTACCATCACTAAAAGTTCAAAATAGTTTTAAAGTCATTTGAGATTTCTTTGACTCATGTGTTATGTAGAATCATGTTGCTTAATATCCAAATATTTGGAGAATTTATAATTTGATTTTTTTCCTTGTTTATTCTCATTGTGTTCTAGAATATACTTTACAGGATTTCTAAATTTTTAAATTGGTTATGGTGTGTTTTATTATCTAGGATGTGGTCAATGTTGGTGAATGTTCGATGTGGCTGCTATATGAATGTGAATTCTGCTGTTTTGGATTAGTTGATAAATGCCAATTACATCAAAGTGACTGATAGTGCTATCGGGTTAACTATATCCTTAATGACTTTCTGCCTTCTCGATCTATCAATTACTGAAAGAGAGGCATTAAAGTATTCAACTATTTGTTGGATTTGTCTATTTTTCCTTGTAGTTCTGTAAGTTTCTCCTTCATATATTTTGATGCTCTGTTGCTAGGTGCGCAATCATGTCTTCTTGAAAAATCAACTCATTTATTATTGTGTAATGTGTCTTTTTGTTCCTCATATTTTTCCTTGTACTGAAGTCTGCTTGGTCTGAAATTAACATAGCTCCTCCACTATTACTATTAACAGCAGAAAAACAATACTAAATATTAAGTATTAAAAGATAAGAAAATCTTTGAAATTAAAAACATTTCTTATTAGAATCGTACAACTATGCAGATCTTTTTTCTTTCCAAAAACATTAATTTAAAAATGAGTGTATCTCTAGAATAACTAAAATAACTCTGAAAAAGAAAAATGAGGACTCATATGACCTGATTTTAAGACCTACTATACAGTTAAACTTAACAAAATTGTGTGGCATTAATGAAAAAATAGACATTTAGATTATCGGAACAGAATAGAAAACTAAGAAATAGGGCCATACAGTGGGCAACTGGTTTTTGATAAAGAGGCAAAGATAATTTAGTGGTGAAGGGTATTTTCAGAAAATTGTACAGGAATGACTGGGCATCCATATACAATAAAAATTAATCTAGTCAACTACCTCACATCTTTTGTGAAAATTACTTGGAAAAGGATTATAGATCAAAATGTAAAACATTAACTATAAAACTCCTAGTATAACATACAGGAGAAAAGTTGGATGACTTGTGTTTGGTGATGAATTTTTAGATACTTTACCAAAATCACAATCTATGAAAGAATAGTGACAAGTTGGACTTTACCAAAATCTTTTTTTTTTTTTTTTTTTTTTTTTGAGATGGAATCTCGCTCTGTCGCCCAGGCTGGAGTACAGTGGCACAATCTCGGCTCACTGCAAGCTCTGCCTCCCAGGTTCACACTATTCTCCTGCCTCAGCCTCCCAAGTGGCTGGGACTACAGGCACCCACCACCACGCCTGGCTAATTTTTTGTTTTTGTATTTTTAGTAGAGATGGGGTTTCAGCGTGTTAGCCAAGATGGTCTCCCTATCCTGACCAGGTGATCCGCCCGCCTCCGCCTCCCAAAGTGCTGGTATTACAGGCGTGAGCCACCGTGCCTGGCCCAAAATCTTTTAAGTCTCTAAAAACATTCTTCAGAAAATGGAAATACAAGCCACAGACTGGGAACACATTTGCGACAGTCATACCTAATAAAATATCTGTATCTGATATACGAAGAATTCTTAAACCTCAACACTAAGAAACAACCTAGTTATAACATGGGCGAAAGATCAGAAAAGACCATGTCTATGTCCTGAATGGTAATGCCTAGGTTTTCTTCTAGGATTTTTATGGTTTTAGGTCTAACGTTTAAATCTTTAATCCATCTTGAATTGATTTTTGTATAAGGTGTAAGGGAGGGATCCAGTTTCAGCTTCCTACATATGGCTAGCCAGTTTCCCCAGCACCATTTATTAAATAGGGAATCCTTTCCCCATTGCTTGTTTTTCTCAAGTTTGTCAAATATCAGATAGTTGTAGTTATGCAGCGTTATTTCTGAGGGCTCTGTTCTGTTCCATTGATCTATATCTCTGTTTTGGTACCAGTACCATGCTATTTTGGTTACTGTAGCCTTGTAGTATAGTTTGAAGTCAGGTAGTGTGATTCCTCCAACTTTGTTCTTTTGGCTTAGGATTGACTTGGCAATGCGGGCTCTTTTTTGGTTCCATATGAACTTTAAAGTAGTTTTTTCCAATTCTGTGAAGAAAGTCATTGGTAGCTTGATGGGGATGGCATTGAATCTGTAAATTACCTTGGGCAGTATGGCCATTTTCACGATATCGATTCTTCCTACCCATGAGCATGGAATGTTCTTCCATTTGTTTATATCCTCTTTTATTTCCTTGAGCAGTGGTTTGTAGTTCTCCTTGAAGAGGTCCTTCACATCCCTTGTAAGTTGGATTCCTAGGTATTTTATTCTCTTTGAAGCAATTGTGAATGGGAGTTCACTCATGATTTGGCTCCCTGTTTGTCTGTTGTTGGTGTATAAGAATGCTTGTGATTTTTGTACATTGATTTGGGCAAGGACTTCATGTCTAAAACACCAAAAGCAATGGCAACAAAAGACAAAATTGACAAATGGGATCTAATTAAACTAAAGAGCTTCTGCACAGCAAAAGAAACTACCATCAGAGTGAACAGGCAACCTACAAAATGGGAGAAAATTTTCGCAACCTACTCATCTGACAAAGGGCTAATATCCAGAATCTACAATGAACTCAAACAAATTTACAAGAAAAAAACAAACAACCCCATCAAAAAGTGGGTGAAGGATATGAACAGACACTTCTCAAAAGAAGACATTTATGCAGCCAAAAAACACATGAAAAAATGCTCATCATCACTGGCCATCAGAGAAATGCAAATCAAAACCACTATGAGATACCATCTCACACCAGTTAGAATGGTGATCATTAAAAAGTCAGGAAACAACAGGTGCTGGAGAGGATGTGGAGAAATAGGAACACTTTTACACTGTTGGTGGGACTGTAAACTAGTTCAACCATTGTGGAAGTCAGTGTGGCGATTCCTCAGGGATCTAGAACTAGAAATACCATTTGACCCAGCCATCCCATTACTGGGTATATACCCAAAGGACTATAAATCATGCTGCTATAAAGACACATGCACACGTATGTTTATTGCAGCATTATTCACAATAGCAAAGACTTGGAACCAACCCAAATGTCCAACAATGATAGACTGGATTAAGAAAATGTGGCACATATACACCATGGAATACTATGCAGCCATAAAAAATGATGAGTTCATGTCCTTTGTAGGGACATGGATGAAATTGGAAATCATCATTCTCAGTAAACGATCGCAAGAACAAAAAACCAAACACCGCATATTCTCACTCATAGGTGGGAATTGAACAATGAGATCACATGGACACAGGAAGGGGAATATCACACTTTGGGGACTGTGGTGGGGTGGGGGGAGGGGGGAGGGATAGCATTGGGAGATATACCTAATGCTAGATGACGAGTTAGTGGGTGCAGTGCACCAGCATGGCACATGTATACATATGTAACTAACCTGCACAATGTGCACATGTACCCTAAAACTTAAAGTATAATAAAAAAAAATAAATAAATAAGAAAAAAAAAGATCAGAAAAGACACTTTACCAAAGAATATGTGGATGGAAAATAAATACATTTAGAAAAATCCTCAATCTCACATGTCAACAGGGTATTGCAAATTAAAACCACAGTGTAGTGCAACTACCCACTTTTTATAATGACTAATATCCAAAAACATTGACAAATGCTGGCATGAATGCAGAAAAAGCAGTTCCTTCTTTCACTGGTGGTAGGAATGCAAAATGATAAAGCATCTTGACAGTTTGGCTCTTATGAAGTTAAACATAGATTTATCATCTGACATAGCAGTCATGCTCCTAGGTATTAACTCAACTAACTGAAAAACTTAACTTTCACACAAAAATCTCCCTGTGATTGTATGTAGCAACTTTGTCCATAATTGCCAAAAACTGAAAGTAACTTGGATGTCTATCAATAGGTGAATAGTAAATGAATTGCAGTATATCCATACAGTGGAATATGATTCAGCAGTGAAAATGAATGAGTTATTAATTCATGCAAAACCATTGATGAATTTCAAATGCATTTTGCTAAGTGAAAGAAGCTAGAATTAAAAGGCTGCAAATTCTATGACTACATTTATATGACATTCTGGAAAAGGAAAACCTATCAGACAGAAAACTGACCAAGGGTTGTCAGAGGTTTGGACAGGGGACAGTGATTGACTAGAGAAAGCACAAAAGAATTTTTACAGTGGTAGAACTAACCTTTATGACTTTGTAGAGGTGGATACATGATGCTATGTATTTGTCAAGTCCATAAACTGCAAATCATAAAGAGTGACCTTTAATGTATGCAAACAAAAATAAATCAATCAGGAGATGTGGAACCCTAGAATGGAATGCAGACTGTGGCAAATGACTCTCCTAGTAATAAAAATGTATGAAATAATCTCAGTGAAATTGATGTAAAGAAAATTAAGATCTAACATAGAAAAACATAATTTTGAAAAAGAATGGTTTGACTAGAAATTATAAGGCTAAAGACCAAAGGAACTATATACATAAACACTGCATTCCAGCTGGTAAATTTGTTTCCCATAAGGCTGTACTTTAATTTTGAAAATATTTACATGTACTGGGTTTGGACAAATATGCAAATAGGTAGTGGATGGTAGGGGACAGGTTTTTCTGCTAGAGAGTGAAATTATAGATTAATAAGTATGAAAAGCTAGACTGAACACCATGGTATGGGATAAGAGTCAGAGATATCAATATGGACTCATTTTATTAGGTTGGTGCAAAAGTAACTGCAGTTTTTGCCCTTACTTTCCATGGCTAAAACCATGATTACTTTTGCACCATCCTAGCAGCTTACCATATATGTAGATGAATACTTACCGAAATAATTATAAATATGTGTATATGCACGGGTTAGTATCCATATACGCCACCGGCCTTCTATGATGGCCTAGAAGCAAGGACTCAAAGTACCAATGAGCACAGCAAGTGCTCCAATATTGGCCTCAAAATACGATTTCCATTACAAGGAAATCAAGTTGCTTAGAGAAATAACTGATTTTAGAGATGGTGCAGAGGAAATACAAGATGAATCTGGAGGATCTTGTAGTAACAGGAAATGAGGGTATGTTAGAAAAACAAAAACATCGGAGTATGTCAAGGGGATACAGGAGCCAATGTGAAACTGAAATAAAGCCAGAACTAAAATAACTTCGGAAAGAAAATAACATTTTATTGGACTGTAACCCCAAGTATAAGTATGCATGTGTCATACTGATACCAATGAATAGTTGAATGGATGAATAAATGTGCAAGAAGAAACTTCCTTACTGAAATATTCTAACTATATATGTAGATAATCCCCACCTTTTTTTTTTTCAGGGAAACTTATCCTTCCCACCCCAAATCTATTGAATGTAGATTTAGTTCCTTTCTGCCAAAGAATCCAATAGGGAAAGATAAATGGAATAATTTTAAAGTGGAGACCTGCCAAGCCCTACCTTTATCAAACGATGAAGGTTAGTGTCATAGTGAGGTCATATCGTTAATATGTACTCCCTGATGTGAGGTGATGAGAAGTGCACTTTATATCTGTGCTTGTTTTCCCCCAAACCCATGAACTCAATCTAATCATGAGAAAAACTTCAGATGATCCCAGATGGGGAACATTCTACAGGATACCTGGTAGTACGTCTAAAGTCCATGAAGGCCGTGAGAAACAGAGAAAGGCTAAAAAACTGCCACAGATCAGAGGACACTGTGAGCTATGATGACTAAATATAATGCAATATCCTAGATTGGATCCTGGAATAGAAAACGGGCAGTAATGGAAAAACTGATGGAATCCGAATGAAGTCAAGACTTCAGTTAATAGTAATGTTCCAGTGTCAGCCTCTTAGTTTTGACAAATGTACCATGGCAACATAAGGTGTTAATAACAATGAGGGAAACTGGACAGTATATGAGAATTGTCTATACTATCTTTGCCACCGTTCTGTGCATCTAATAGTATTGCAGTATAAGAAGTTTATTTTTTAAAAAAGAAATTGGTGTTTAGAAATTTCAAATAAATAGTCTCTTAAGGAGGATATATATTCAGCCAGTGATAATCAAACAAATGTGGACTAACTGGAATGACCATATTTCTATTAATGAACAGTGTAAATCAAAAGTAGAGAAATATTTCTGACCTTCAAACCTGAGGAAATCATAAAAAGATTCAAGATCTCATTATTTTTATGTGAACCAAGATATCAAGCAGAATTTCTTTTATTTAGAGCAGATGGTATTCCATATTTCTTTCCTGAAATTCTAGATTTTGTGAGCAAGGCTGTTTTTGAATTTAACTGAAAGAAAAAAAGAACACAAAAGCTTAAAATGTATTAAGCTTGTTAAATATTGGTGGTTTCCCCAATCATACTGGATAAAATGTGAGTTATTTTTGCCATGATTGGTGGCTTACTCTTGAAGACATTAAAGCTTAAAATAAACACAGTCCAAGAAAGCTACAGAATGTGTTTCCAATTTTGAATTACTCATAGAGAGAATACAGCAAGAGTAACAATCACACAATGTCTAATCTCCCACTTTATACTTAGTTCATATTGATATGTTGTATTATGTCTCTAAGTAATATTTAAAAATATGTATTACATCAATGTAGATGCACAGAAAACATGATACAGTGTACTAAACTATATAAAAGTATGATTTCTATTATAAGAAAAATGCAATTAATTTCTTTGTATTTTTAGCATCTAATAAGTAATACATAGTTCTGAATGACAGAATACCTACTTTTGATGTTATCAATACTATGTATTAAAATCTGTGATGAAAATAGACAATCATATGAATTTCTTAAATTTTATAATAATCATATTCCACTTGGAAAATAAGAACTTGCATTTTAATTTTCTTTCTTTCTCATAACAATTTTCTAGTATTTGGCATGAATTGCATCTCATTAATGGAAGCCTAAAATTGAAAGTAGAACAGCTGGAGTATTGAATCAAGAAGCCTCAGTAACAAAAGTCAAAGCCTTGTATTTAATTACTTAATATAGTCTGCTAATTATTACAGAAACCACTTGGTTTAGAACAGTATGAATTATATTCTATTTTATCTTATATGCACACAGTGTAAAAAAATCTAGAGGAGGATGTGATGCATATTCATTTTTTCCCTTTTTAAATACTTAAACTCCTTTCCAATTCAGTTAAGAGAATGAAGCATAAACCACAGTTCAGGATGAGTTTGGCAACAGAGAAAGCGACATTATTCTGCCCTCTTGTAACTAATCTACTTCTATTAAAGGGTAAATTTGACATTCTTCCAACTACCACTAAAACTGTCAGAAAATCCTTGAAAACAGCATTTAAAAAAATCAGTAGTGCCCCTTCACATCTCTTAAATTGGTCAATTTTGATTGGCCAGTTCCCTGAAATTCTTTGGAACTCACTTGAGTATAGATGGCCTAAGCCAGTCATTATGAAAGTCATTAAAGAGAGATACCAAATTTAGAGATCAAGATATTGTAGAAACATATTAAAATATGTCCTCAGGTGCTACTTATGAGGGATAGCATGATTTCTTCAATGTAGTCATCTTTCAAATCAGTGCCAATTAATATAATATAATGAAATATAAATGTTTGGCTTAAACATAGAACGTAGATTTGCAAACGTGTTTCTTCTATAGGGTGATATAAAACAAATGGAGAAAACCATCTATGATTTCTAGTGAAAGATGGTATGTACACATAGGACTCTCCTAGATCAGGAGCTCTACTAAGGGCTGCCTCTCTGACATTGCATGTTTCTAGTCTCAAGACATAGGACTTAGAAGGATCCTGGTGGGGAACCTCGTCTTTGTCTCCCATATTTGTCAGATAATGATATCACCCCCCTACCCCCATAAATAACTTGAATGGTAAGTTTTCTGTTTTGTTTGCACTGAGATGATATCTGTGCCATTTATATTTCAAGTTAAACTGATTCTAATTAATTTCCTCTTAGGGTATGGAGGAGGGCATCATTCCAGTGTCTTGGTCATTCACTTTCTATTGTGAACAGTGATCTATATCTGCAACACGTGATAGAATAAGATAGGGGAATTTTATCCCCAAATATTCCAATTACATATTCTATAACCTTGAGCAAATTCCACTAAGCCAGACTTTTCCCTTTGTTAGATGTGGGTGATGATGGAATGTTACTTTGTAAGCCTAAAGAAGGTTTGCATAAGAGATACAGGAGGACTAGTGACGGTAATCTCCTTGCAAGTATAAAGAGCATAAAGATGCTGAAAGTAGTGTAAGAGAATAGCAGCTGTCCTTGAGAACCCACATAGCAATGATGTTTTCAGCTTGATCCAGGAAGCCGCCATTACTGTATTCCCCTCTTATACTTTATGTCTTGGTTTGTGGGAGGGTAATATTTTCAACACTCATTGCTGTGAAAAATGATTATTTTTTTTTACACACAGAGAGTTGTGTTTTCAAATAGGAAATAAGCAGCAGAAGCAGAAATTCTTTAGAAAACATTTGTTATTCCTAAGCAAGTGTATACACACATTTGTATAAGACACAAATTAATAATAAATGGAGGAATAAATAGTATATGCTAGATATGTATGTAGTCTAGAAACACACCATTTCAAATTGTTCTAGTTGCCCTTAAAATGTCATTATTCTCCTAGTTGTAGAGACTTATTTGCTATTATGTGCTCTGTATACTATTGCAATCATGTTAAAGGAAGACCAAATGTCACGTGTGTGCAGACTGTGTCTCTCCACAATGAACTTGGCTTTATTCTGTAAGGTGGCCTATGGGAGAGGCTTGGTAGCCCATAGATTTAAATCTTGCAGTGGAGTTGGGGCTGGCGGACTCTAGTTCTGGAAGGCAAGTTCTGAAATGTTTCTCCTTGTGTAAGACCCTCAAGATAGCTTGCCCAGAAAGGGATATGCATGCACTATGGCATAATTTCACACACTCAGACATCACAGGGAAAGCCGGGGTCTAGGCCACTGATCCTAGCCAGCATCCCTTCATTAAATTACCTGTGCATGTGAGATAGGGATAGCAGCGTTATGCTCTGACCACGCCATGGGGGTTGAAGGCTTAAATAAGGACTCACTGTTGTAGAACATCAGGAACCCTGATGCAGTAGCCTGGATGGATAAGTGAGTAGCTTCCTGTTTGGCAGAATCATCAGTCAAAACTTCTTAGACATGGAAGTGTGTGAGGCTGCTGTGCTCTGATGGTCTGAGGCTTTACATCCCTAATTCCACAAAGATTCCTTCAGATCCAAGGAGAGCAGGGTCTGAGAGCCATGACCAACTTCTCTATCCACATGCCTTGGGAGGGTCTATCTCTCACCCTCGGATGCTCCTTCGCTTAGCGGTTAGGGAACCCTCCTGCCCCTTCTCCTTCTGCAGTTCACTGGCCACTCCGGACATCTAGGAGGTACTGTCTCCAGGTGACCTCACCTACCTCCATCTCAGTAATACTTGGCTGCCTAGATGGAAGAATTTGGACTCCTGCTGCATGGACTTCTTCAGAACAAAGCTTCCCTCCTCTTAGGAAGGAAATTTTTTTCATTTGTGATTACTATTAACAAGAACAGTATCACGACAAGGTACAGGCATCTGCCAAGAAATTTCCTGAGTTGCTTTGCAAAGTGACTGCTGAAAACAATTTCTAGTGCCCTGACATCTGACTAGCCAATAGATTTTAGGGGATATGCTTTACTTGACTGATTAAAAAGAGGCTTTATAAGACAAATAGCTCACCCAGGTGGAATGAGCAGGAAACTGACACAAGCTCAGAATGCCTGGATAGTCAATTGACTTAAGTGTTCAGGGATCTTCTAAAATAAACACTTAAATGATTTAAATAGAGTTGGCTAGTCATTTTTGTGTCTGTTCATGGAGTTTCAGGCCCGCGAGACACATGCAAATCTAAACTGTAGCCCACACTGCAAGAAATAGCAGCACTGAATCAAGAACGTAGCTATCTTATGGGTTATCTCTACTGATAACTCTTTTTTTAAACAACTGTTTTTTTTTTCTATGAGCTTGCTTCAGGGAGTAATATTTGTTTGTTTGATTATTTGTTTTAATAAATAAGGTTATTAGCAGCAGTCTAATTGTCAAAAACTGGAAACAATCCAAAATTTTTATCAAGAGTAGAAAGAATAAATAAATAATGGTATGCTTACATAACATATGCTATTCAGCAGTGAGAATAAACAAGCTATAAATAAATGCAAAACGTGGATAAATTTCTCAGACATAATATTTAACAAAAGAAGCCAGATACAAAAGAACATATACTCTATAATCCAATTGTTTTGAGCTGAGAAAAAATGAGATCTCTAATTTATGTTGCAAAAAACCAGCACCAGGAGTTGGAAACTGGAAGGGAACATGAGAGGAGATTCTGAAATGAAGATAGTTTATTTCCTAATCTAGGTTGAATATCATCAAATTGCATACTTAAAAATTGTGTCCTTTTCTGAATATGTGCTACAATTCAACAAAAAATTATTAACAACAACAAATGAAAAACAAGCCTACTCAGTGCAGAAGTCCAATCCTAACACCCAAATCAACCCCAGCCTTTTCTCCCTTCCCCTGTGCACAAGCCAGCAAACCCATCATTCACTCTGGTGATTATGAGACTGTTTGTGGTTCATGCAATTTCATGTCATAAACAGCACAACCGCAGAGACAAGAGTTTCATTCCTTTAGCTATGTCATAGGTAATTTCTTATTTCTTTACATGTCTCATAATTTTTCAACCTACTGGACATTTTGAATAGTACAATATGGCAATTCTAAAACTCAGTCTTTCCTGTCTAGATGATTTGTGGTGATTGTTGGTAGACATTGTTTTGCGATTTGTTTGTTTAGTGACTTTCCTGTACAGTTTGTATTCTTCATCATGTGTGACCGCTGAAGTCCCTATTGAGTTAGCTTAGTGGTAAGTAAATGATTTCACAATTTTCTTAAATGCCAAGAACTACTAAGTACCCCAGCCTTTGTTGAGGGGCTCTGTATACCTTATAAGTTAAGAAATGTTTCAACACTCGGGCAAGCAGTTTATAATTCTGCTTTAGTCTTCACTTCTGTTCCCCAAGAGAAACACTGAAAAATATGCACAACCTCTCAGAAAAACAAAACAAAACAAAACAAAACACCTTATAAGAACTCTGGAAAACAGTAAAAGATGTGCAACACAGAGATGACTGCTCAATCAGGAAAAAGATAAAATAACTGCTTGCATAGAACCTCAAAGTCATCCAGAGGTGGCTACTTGGTGCCTTCTCAAGCCTTCTCTAGCATACTCACAATCCTAGGCATATGTGTGGCATTCTAGATTCCCAGCAATATGGCAAAACTTTCCAAAGCCACTTATGTACATAACTGTTATCACTATCTCAGTCACTCAAAATCTTAAAAAAAATTGCTGCTAGGTTTTGTTTGTTTGCTTACTTTTGACAAACGTTCTCATGTAAAACGCTGTTCAAACTAAATGAGCCAAGTCAGGTCAAATGAAGAAGAGCCCTGTTAGTGGGGGTTTCTGCAGAACTACTAGGCAGGTCAAATAATGACAGTTCTCTGAGAATGGTGCTTGAGGGCAGTTCTAAACTTATTCTGCCCCCTTTGGTGTCTGCTATGCTGCTGCTTCTCATTGCAATTGCAGGACTGTTGGTTTTCAAGGTTGCCATGGAATTTGGGAGAGGAGGATGGGAATAGGGAAAGTTAAAATGTGACAAAGCTGACTGTTCTTGCTGAGATTCAGCTGTTTTTTCTCAAATAAATATTCCCCATGTTAACATTTTTGGTAAATTTCCAGAGTTCTGAAAAACTTGGTGATTGTCAATTGTGGCCAGTGTTCTTATTGTTTCACTGATAAGAGGATGTTTGAATGTTCTTATGCCACTATGCCTGCTGATGTCACCTCAGGTCATATACCAGTGTTTTTTAAAGCATGATTGCAGCCTTTTTCTTTACTTTTCTTACCATTATTTGATGTTCAACCAGAGGTTATAATTACCCACACGATTCCACTTTGTTGAATAAAGTGACAGATGGCTTTGTTTGTTAAAAAAAAAAAAAGCTAAAAAAAAATCCATAGTGTTTTCCCTTTAACAGTAGCACACAATAATCTCCAGCTGTTCAACACTGTCACATTTGATGGAAGATCTATTAACAATAGAGTATAATTTGTCTTCTATATTTTTTAAATGGACACACTGTCTCAATTTGTGCAGGTTTTCTCTTTTTTGTAATAAGTGTTCACACAAGGCTTTTGATAAATAAATCTAACTGGTCTATTCTTGCTTTCATTTTTTTTCCAAGTGCTAGTGCAAAAATGAACCTTATTTCGCAATTAGTTCCACGATTCTCATGGCATTTCTATTATTTCAGGGATGCCTCTCGTCACTGTCACTGCTAAAGGGGAAACATCTTTCCCTGAGAATTGAATGGCTGCAATTAATCTTTTAGCATCTCAAAATAATGCTGAATGTTCCCTCCAGTCTTTACTTCAAAACACTGATCCAACCTGTGCATGTTTACTTATTTATGTGTAAATCAAATAAACCTAGCTTCTTCTGGTCTATGAAATCTTCAAGATTTTTGAGTGCTGTCATCATATGCATCCAGTCTTAGAACCCAACTGATGTGAATGATTTCTGTCTTTCTGTAAATAGTTTACCAATAAAACATTACTTAAATCTGTTAGTCATGAAATAGGCTATTTAGAATCTCATAAGGGTGTAGCTTTTAAAAAATATTCTTCACAAAAGATCTGAAAAATACCTCTTTGATCCATTACATGTTCTCTTTGTTAGTCTGTAAATATTACTGGGTATATTATTTCCAAAAAAAGCAGTTTTTTAAGTAATAGTATTGATCTTATCTTTCCTACAGTTTACTTTTAACTATCCTTTTTGAATTTTGATATGATTGATAGTGATGAAAAAATACCAATAGTCATCTGAAAGTTAAGAATATCTCAAAATGCCTACAATGTCGTCAAGTAGGGTCAGAGTGAGAAGAGAAGTTAAGCAGGAGACAGAAACCAGTCTTAAGTAATTGTGATTAAAGTATCTTACTTCTATAAATTTTATGGAAACATATGATTAGTTCAGACCATTTCCAGAGCCTTAAAAGCTGTCTTTGCAACTAAGGCATCTAGAAACTTAGGTACATTTAAACCTTGAGCCCCAGACTTTTCTTCTCACTCTTAGATAACAGAAATTCCTGTGGCCTCCTTAAGGTATAAAGAATAGTCAGTAGTAAAAAGAGTCTAGTCAAAAACATTAATCAACCCTTCCACCTTTACCGATCCTTTTTCTCCAGGTGGGCTGATAGAAATGAGAATCTATCTGGAAAGCATCGAGTAGGTTTTTCTCAATGTCACTCATCTCTCCACTCCATGCAAGCCACTACTTCTGATGCCAGTAGAACTAATGAAAGAGAGCCAGTACAGAAACAAGCAGTAGGAAAGCTCTTACTTAACCAGCACTGTTGTGAATTGGCTTCACTGTCTCTAGACCCAGAAAATATTTAAAGCAGACTCTCTCTCTCTTCTTTTCTTTTTTTCTTTTTTTTTTTTTTTTTTTTTTTTTTTTTTTGAGACAGAGTTTCACTGTGTCATCCAGGCTAGAGTGCAATGGCGCCATCTTGGCTCACTGCAACCTCTGCCTCCCAGGCTCAAGCGATTCTCCTGCCTCAGCCTCCCGAATAGCTGGGATTACAGGCACCAATCACGCCTAGCTAATTTTTTGTATTTTTAGTAGAGACAGGTTTTCGCCATGTTGGCCAGGCTGGTCTGGAACTCCTAACCTCAGGAGATCCACCCTCTTCGGCCTCCCAAAGTGCTGGGATTATAGGCATGAGCCACCGCACCCGGCCCAGCAGACTCTCTCTTTCATGGGTGCTTCTGTGACTCCTTCAGAGCTCCCCTTTCTGTCAATTGGCTGGTTGTGCCCAACTGCAATCTGGGTGATGTTTTCTGTGATATCCCTTGCCACTCCTCTCTCCACCCCTAGTTTTCTGAGAGTTCAAGCCACAGAGACTCTCTATTAGAGTTTCATGCTCTTCCAGGTAGTTTACTTGCTCAGATGTCATAGAGGATCCAGGCTGACTCTCACTATCTCAAGGACCACGTCTGGCTCATGAACAATACTCCTATGTCTTTTGTACCTCCTCAGTAAAAGTGCAGGGTAATTACTATGTAGCAACTTCTTTTCCGCTCCTTTGGGACTGTCTTCACAACAGTGTTCTCTCTCTCTCTGCTTTAGTTTGTTTTGTTTTGTTTGGTAGACCTCTAAGTTTTAAAACCAGAAGTCAGGGGCCAGGCGTGGTGGCTCACGCCTGTAATCCCAGCACTTTGGGAGGCCGAGGTGGGTGGATCACCTGAGGTCAGAAGTTCAAGACCAGCCTGGTCAACATGGTGAAACCCATCTCTACTAAATACACAAAAATTAGCCATTCATGGCGGCAGGCACCTGTAATCCCAGCTACTCAGGAGGCTGAGGCAGGAGAATCACTTGAACCCGGGAGGCGGAGGTTGCAGTGAGCCAAGATTGCACCGCTGCACAAGCCTGAGCAACAAGAGCGAAACTTGGTCGCAAAAAAAAAAAAAAAAAAAAAAAAAGAAGAAGAAAAAGAAAAAAAAAGTAGAAGTCAGATCTCATTCCACCTTTTTTCCCCATTTCAGGGAGTTTGAAGCAAACTTTCCATGTGGTTCCACGGAAGCCTCACCTAAGGTAATGGAGGTAGATAAACCCTCACCCCCACATATACACACAGACACATACTTCCACTATCTCACACACTTCACATGCTTTTACCTCTTGCATGTTGGTGGGTGGAACAAATAGAACAAATTTCCCTGAAAAATTTATCTTCATAAAATTATTTACAATTTTCTACCCTCAAAGTGAGTGAGAATTAGCTATTGGAATTTCTTTTTGATATCTACATTTTGATCTGACTCACAACACACTTTATTATGGAATTTCGTGAATATCTGAGCGTCTCAATAAAAACTTTCAATATGATGCTATTTACTTCTGGATGACCTTAAAATAATAGATTTGGAAAGTCTACATAATCATATATGTATATAATCCATTATATATACATATAATTGGCTTGAAGATTATTTCAATATGACTGGAAAATATTTGCCCAAAATGTAGACCTTAGTAGGTCAAAACTGAACTTGCAACAATTATTGAATTTGAAAACATAATTGTGATATTGTTTTCAATCAATCAGACCTTTTCTTTCTAGAATAGTACCTTATAAACATAAGTAAAAATGAAAACTTGTTCTTTGTCATACCTTTTTATGGCTTAAGTTATAAAAATTACAGAAACTAAGTCAGGTATAAATTTTAACTTATGTTTAAATAAAATTTTCTTCTTGCCATCTCTCTCTTCCTCATTTTCTCTTTCCACACACACCAACAGGGACTCTTCCTCCTTCTGATGCTCTGTTCCAACTATGGAGACTCCTACTTATTTGGATAAGATTGAGAGCAAGATTGAAACTAAATTATCTGAAATCTCTACATATTCTTAACAGCCAGTTTTCTCCACACTGCGTTCATGCTTAGTAGAAAAAGTAGATTTAACTAGTAAAAGTTAAAAACAGCACTGCACAAAAAAGTCATTTCCAGCCTTTTGTAAATCTATAAAAGATGAAGTTAAAGAGCCAGTTTTGTCTGTAATAATGTAAACCAGTAAAGGTTGGTTTATTTATTATAATTGAGGAAAAACAAGAAAATGCTGAATAAATAACAATAATTCAAATGCATAAGCTCGTCTACGGCCATACCACCCTGAACACACCTGATCTCAAATGCATAAGCTCGGCTTATAAGATAAAATATCTCTGTAGCCCCCAAACAACTAGACAAATAAAAGGATAATACCTCCTTGATGAAACTGTGTCAGCAATCTTTCTTATTTGCTATCTCTCCATATCTTCTCATCTGCAAAAAAACTTTCCTAACTAGTTTGTTTCCTTTTAAAAAATGTTTTCCCGGAGTAAAATACACTTTAGAATATTATGTATTCTAAATATTTCTATTATGTATTACATGGGCTTTATGTAAACTGATTACTTCCTTGGTAATTCCAAGGACCTTAAGTGGGAAGATCTATATTCTAAGTCTGAAAAGGTAGCAAATACCTAAATACAAGATTCAAGATGAACTTGGGTACTGTGGCACTCATTGCTGTACTACTTATAATAGCAAAAAATTAATAGCAGCCTAAAAGTCTAATTAGTTAACTAAATTATTGTATACTCATAGAAGAAAACTCCCTGCCACCACTCACATCACATTATTCAAGCATATTTAATAATACAGGAATTTATCTCAGTGTTTACATGCTTAACTAATTAATTAAGTGAAATTATCCAAAGTATTCCTTTTAAGGCATTAGCAGTGTTTTAACAAAGCCTTAGCAAAAAAATTTGAAATGTATCTACCTATGCACCATTTAACCAGCCAACCTATACTTGAGCATTCATTCTTATTGGAGAGTCATTCTTAATGGAGAACTGTCCTCATTCCTCCTCTTCTTTAAGAACTATCATTTCCCTTGCTGGCTTATATACTGACACTTCATCACATCTTCACACACACACATCTATTTTTCTTTGTATAGAATGAATAATAAATATAGAGTAAAATATTTACTGGACTGACATCAATGAATTGATAGAGCAGGCAGTTCCAAGCTTCTGTTCCTCAAAAGAAACATTGAAACACACGCACAACCTCTCAGAAAAACAAAACAAAACAAAACAAAACACCTTATAAGAACTCTGGAAAACAGTAAAAGATTTGCAACACAGAGATGATTGCTCAATCAGGAAAAAGATAACTTAAAGATGATAGAAAAATTTTCTGCCATTTTTTACTTGTCCTTGCCTCAACATCTCCCCAGCCTGGTGACACTATAAAAGAAGGCAGGCAGCATTCTCAGTGTGGGGTGATGGTCCCTGCTTCTGGACAGAACAAAGCAGGTCCTATTTGCAAATTGTTATGTATGTCTATTCTAACCTGTCTGGGGATGACACAAGGTTCCCACCTCTGTCTTTCTGAGCTTGAAACCCACTGAGGTTGGAAAAGTGAAGGGAGTTGCTTGAAAACACTGTAAAGCAAACAAACAACCTACAGATACCTGGGACAAAAAATTACGGTGAGACAGAACGTAAAGTATCTAAAAGTCCATTAGGAAATGCTATGGAGTGGTATTTTGAAAAGCACTGAAAATCACTTATATATATGGGATAATTTAGAAAGTCATACACACACCAGGGAAAGACACATGCTCAGAAAAGCCTTTCGAAGACATAAAATATTCCCCTCAGGCTGAGCCCTAGGCTTAGAGCAAAACTGGCTATGCTGTGAAAGAAAGCCCAGCACAGATCCAAACAGCAGAATGAAAGAGTTTTTTTCTTGGTTTGTTTTTTAACTCCTGGAATTCAAAGAAATCCCTATCAAAATACTTCTTGAATATGAGCTAAAGGGATGGTCAATGCAAAACTAGCTTGAAAAAGGCACTAAGTAAATGTACTACTACAACCTTCAACAACTAAAAAAAGTAAATCCTGGAGGAAGTGGAGAATCTTATTTAGAAAATTACATTATAATATTCAAATGTGTCCAATTTCAAAACTTAAAATCACAAGTTATGCAAAGAAATAGAAAAGTGTGGTCCATTCAAAGCAACAAAATAAATGGACAAAAACCATACCTGAGTAAGCCCAGGCATTGGAATAACTAGAAAAGACTCTATAATAACTGTCCTAAATAGTTTCAAAGAGGTAAAGAAAAATAGGGGCAAATAAAGAAAATCAGAAAAATGAGAAAGGAACAAAACAAAAATGCCAATAAAGAGACAGAAATTATGAAAAGGAACTACACACAATCTGGAAATGAAAAGTTAAAAACGGAAATAGAAAAATTCATTTGAGAGGGGTCAGCAGTAGATTTAAATAGGCAGAAGAAAGAATCAGCAAACATGAAGACAGGGAAATTGAAATTATCCAGTCTGAAAAGCAGAAAGAAAAATTAATTAAGTAAACAGAGACTAAGGGACCCATGGAATACCATCCAGTGGACCAACATATACATTATAAGAGTCTCAGAAGGAGAAAATAGACAAAAGAATGTTTCCATAAGTCATAGGCATGTACTTCCAAAATTTGGTGAAATACATGAATTTATATATTCAAGAAGAACAACAAGTTCCATTTAGAACAAACTTAAAGAGCTTCACCTCAAGACACACTACAATCAAATTACCAAAACACAAAGGGAAAATCTTGAAAGAAGTAAACAAAAAGCAACTCATTATGTATAAATGATTCTCAATATGATTAATAATTGATTTCTTATCTAAAACTATGGAGGGCAGAAAATGATTGAGTGACATATTTAAAGTACTGAAAGGACAAAGAAAGTCAACAAACAATTCTACACCTGGTAAAACTGTTCTTCAAAAATGATGACAAAATTAAGACATTTTCACATAAACAAAAGTTGAGAGAATTTATTACCACTAGAACTATTCTGTAAGAAATACCAAAGTCTGTTTTATCTGATATAAGAATAGTGACTCTTGCTCTTTTTTGTTTTCCACTTGCATGGTAGATTTTTCTTCAACCCTTTACTTTGAGCCTGTAGGTGTTATTACATGTGACATTGGTCTCTTGAAGACAGCACACAGTTAGACCTCTTTTTTTTTTTTTTAATCCAGCTTGCCACTCTATACCTCTTCAATGGGGTATTTGGATAATTTACATTTAGGGTAAGCATTAACATGTGGGATTTTAATCTTGTCATCGTATTGTTAGCTGAATGTTTTGTAGACTTTATCATACAGTGGCTTTATAATGTCTGTGGACTATGCGCTTACGTGTGTTTTTGTGGTAGCAATTGTCATTCTTTTATTTCCATGTTTAGCACTGCTTTAAGAACATTTTGTCAAGCTGGTCTAGTTGTAACAAATTCCCTTAGCATTTGCTAGCCTGAGAATAATTTTACTTTCTCCTTTACATATGAAGCTTATTTGGTAGAATATAAAATTTTTGGTTGAAAATTCTTTTTTAATAAAGCTGAAAACAGGCCCCAGTCTCTTCTGGCTTGTAAGGTTTCTGCTGAGAGGTCTGCGGCTAGCTTGATGGGGATTCCTTAGTATATTACCTGACCCTTCTCCCTAGCTGTCTTCAACATTTTTCCTTCTGCACTGATCTTGGTGAATCTGATGACTATGTGCCTTGGGGATGACCATCTTGGATATTATCTCACAGGAGTTCTCTGTATTTCTGGAATTTGCATGTCAACCTCTATAGTGAAATTGGGGAAATTTTCTTGGACTGTGTCCTCAAATACGTTTTCCAGGTTGTTTGCTTTCTCTCCTCTCTCAGGAAAAACAATGAGTCACAAACTTGGTCTCTTTACATAATCCCTTATTTCTTGGAGGTTTTGTTCATTTTTAAAAATCCTTCTTTATTTTTGTCTGAGTTGATTCAAAGAATCAGTCTTCAAGCTCTGAGATTCTTTCCTCAGCTTGGTCAATTTTGCTGTTAATGCTTCTGACTAAATTATAAAATTATTGTAGTGGACTTTTCAATTCCAGAAGTTCAGTTTGATTCTTTCTTAAAATGGCTAGTTGTCTTTCAGCTCTTGTATTGTTTTATTGGATTTCTTGAATTCCTTGGATTGGGTTTCATCTTTCTCCTGAATCTCAATGTGCTTTTTTGCCATTCACAATCAGAATTCTGTGTTGTCATTTTGGTCATTTCACTTCGAACCATTGCTGGAGAGCTAGTGGGCTCATATGGAGGTAAAGGGGCCCTCTGGCTTTTTGAGTTGCCAGAATTCTTACACTTGTTCTTTTTCATTTGTGTAGGCTGATGTTTCTTTAATCTTTGAAGTTCCTATCCTCTTGATGATGCTTTTAGCTTTTATTCTCTGTAATGCCCTTGAGGG
Source organism: Homo sapiens (assembly GCF_000001405.40). Classification (NCBI taxonomy): domain Eukaryota; kingdom Metazoa; phylum Chordata; class Mammalia; order Primates; family Hominidae; genus Homo; species Homo sapiens. Next base: position 76,740,838 of record NC_000016.10, on the reverse strand, counting down.
TTTGACTGTGGTGTAAATTGGGTTTAGTTGATTGGCTTTATTTCTGGATGTTTTCAGAGGGCTAAGACTGAGCTCAGTACTCCTGGGCTGCATGCTCTAACTCTGAGGGGCTGGTACCAGGCCATGGTTTTCTTCTCTGGCCCCTCAAGGTCAAACACTACCTGCACTGGGGGAACCAAGGTTCTGCTGACAATAGCACTGTCAGGGGCCACTGGCAAATGAACTCTGGTAGAGCAGGGGGTGGGCCACAAGTGAAAGTGCTCCAAAGGAATAGCAGGGGGCCACAGGTGAATCTCTCTGGCAGGTGGGCGGGGGACATACACGCAAAAATAAAATCCTTCAGGTGAAAATATAAAGATACTAAATGGTAATTTGAAGCCATGTAAAGAAATAAAGATCTCTAGTAAAGATAACTATATGGGCAAATATAAAAACCAGTATTATTGTATTTTATATGTGCAACTCTATATTTTCTACAGTATTTAAAAGACGAATGCATAACAGTCTATAGGTTTACACTATTTAACATACAATGTATAAAAATATAATTTTTGACAACAATATAAAGGGGGAATAGCTATATAGGAGCAAAGTTTTTTATATGCTATAGAAGTATAAATTCAAACTAGATTTTTTATTAATTTAAATTATAATTGTAATACCCATTATTATCACACACACACACACACACACACACACACACACACACATTATATACACCAAAAAATGAGAATAGACTCAAAACAGCTCACATGAAATATTGGACTAAAAACAAGACAGGGAAGGTAAGAAGGCACAAAAAGAAAAGAAATGGATAAATATACAGCAAACAAATAGCAAAAGAGCAGATGTTCTTTCTATCAGCAATTGCTTTAAGTGTATATGAATTACACTCTTCAATTAAAACGCAGGCATTAGAGAAATGTATAAAATTATCCAACTATATGTTCTCTATTAGAGACTCACCCAAGATCTAAAACGTGCAGACAGATTGAAAATGAAAGGATGAAAAAAAACATTTAAGACAATCAACCAAAAAGAGATCTGGGGAGGCTACACTAATATCAAGGAAAAAATGACTTTAAATTGATACTGTTCCAAAGACAAAGCAGAACATTTTATCATATCACTGATAAAATGATAAATGTATTGAGAAAAATGTAACAATTATAGTCACATATGTGCCAAAAAGCAGAACACCAAAACACGTGACAACTCTATTAATGAAGAAAAGGCGTTAGACAAAAACCAACACTCTGTTATGATAAAAACGCTAAGAAAACTAGAAACACTTCCTTACCACGATAAAAAGAATTTATCAACCTCATAGCTAATATATACAATGCCGAAAACCTGAAAGTTTTCCTTTAAAGTATAAACAAGACAGGATGCCCATTTTTACCACTTCTATTCAGCATTGTACTGGAAGTTCTATCTATAGCGATTAGATAAAAAGAAGAAATAAAAGTCATTCAAATTGGAAGTAAAGAAGAAAAGCTATCTACATTCAGAGATAGCCTGATCCCGTGCATACAAAAAATTTTTAAAATTCCACAAGAGAGCGACTAGAGCTAATAAATGATTTCAGCAAACTTGCAGGGTATAAAGTCAATGCACAGAAATAATTTGTGTTTCTATACAAAATGCAATGAAAAATTTGAAAAAGAAATTAAACCCATTTCATACCATCCGAAACAATAAAATACTTGGAAATATGTTTAATCAAGGATGTGAAAAACTTGTAAACTGCAAATTAAAAAAAAATTTGAAAGAAGCCAAAGATGAAATGTATGGAAAGGCGTCTTATGTTCATGGGCCTGGAGGATGTAATATTGTTAAGATGTCAATTCTACCCAAAGAAATCTACAGATTTAAAACGATCTCTATCAAAATTCTGACACCATTTTTTTCAAGAATGTAAAATCTGATTGTCACACTCATGTGGAATTTGAAGGGGTCCTGCATAGCCAAATAATCTTAACATGGAAGAACAAAGATGGAGAACTCACACTTTACAATTTTAAAACTTTTTACAGAGCTACAGTGTGGTACTGTCATAAGGACAGACAAATAGAGTGACTGAACAGAATTTAGACTCCAGCAATGAAACCCATATATTTATAGTAAATTAATTGTCAATAAGGGAGCCAATTCCACTCAATGAAGAAATAATAACTTCTCAATAGATAATCCTGTAACTCTTGGATTTCCAAATGCAAAATATAAACTTTTATCTCAACCTCACACCATTTACAAAACTTAAATCAAAATAGACTAACAATCTAAATATAAGAGCTAAAACCACAAAACTCTTCGTAGAAAACACAGGGGTAAATTTTGTATGATCTTGGATTTGGTGACAGATTCTCACACATTACACTGAAAGTATGAGCAACAAAATAAATAAAATAGACAAATTAGAATTCATCAGTGTTAAAAGCTTTCATATAAAAAACAATTATCAAGAAAGTGAAAAGAAAGCTTACACATGGGATAAATTATTTACAAGCCATATATCTGACAAAAGTTTAATATTGATAATATATAAAGAACTCGTAAAACTCTACAACAAAAAGACAAACACACAAATTTAAACACAGACAAAGGACTTGAATAGATATTTCTAAAGAAAATATAAAAATGGCCTATAAGCATATGAATATGCTCAAAAATCATTACTCATTATGGAAATGCAAATCAAAGCCACAACGAGATTTCACTTTACACTCACTAAATTGGCTGTAATAATAATAATAACTGAAAATAATTGTTGCCAAAAATGTGGAGAAAGTAGGATACTTTTACATTCCTGGTAGGAATGTAAAATAGTGGAGCCACTGGTACAGTCCCTCAAAAAGTTAAACATAGAGTTACCATATAACCCAGATATTCTACTTCTAGGTATATGCCCTAAATAACTGTAAACAGGGATTCAGATACTTGTACATGAATGTTTACTGCAGCATTATTCATGATAGCCAAAAGGTGGAATCAACCCAAGTAGCCACCAACAGATGAATGGATAAACAAGATGGAGCATATGCATACAATGGCATATTATTCAGCCATAAAAGGAAATGAAGTTCTGTTGTATGCTACGACCTTGAAAACATTATTTAACCGAAATAAGCCAAACACCAAAGGTCATATATTGTATGATTCCACTCTTGTTCAAGATCCAGAATATACAAATTCATAAAAACAAAAAGTAGATTAGAGATTATCTGGGGTTAGGGAAGGAAGGAATGGAGAATGTTGCTTAATGGAAACAGAGTTTCTTTTGCGCTGACGAAAAATTTGGGAAATAGATAATGGCAATGGCTGTCCAACACTGTGAATATAACTAATGCCACTAAATTGCATACTTAAAAATAGCGAAAATGGCAAGTTTTACGTTGTATGTATTTAACCACAATTTAAAAAATTTAAGAACACCAATGGTCCCTCTGAACCAGTTTTGTCTCTAAGAAAAATTGATACTTTTCCCATCCTGGTATTCTTAGATACCCCAATTCCTGCTCAATTGTGACTAAAAGTTATACTGTTGGTGAAATTTTTTTTAAAGGGACACTCTTCTAGTTCTCTATCAGTGGCATAATACACATTTGATTCTAGCTGAAACAATCATTTGAAACAAATGAAGGACCAAAAATAAACCCTGCAATTAAAACTGATAGCTTGTACTTGTCAAGTTTTGAATCATGAAATTGTAACCACATTTGAACACAATTCTCTAGGATTATTTAATGGACCTTTCATCAGTCAAAAATGTTAAAAGACACTGAAAATTTCCCAACGCAGTTTCCATATTACGAGCAGCACTCTACCAATCTACCATCATCTCTCATAGGCAAGAACCTCTCTACTGGTCTCTTTTCTTCTGCTTTTGACAGTGTTTCATCCTATTCTCTGAAGAGCAGCTGGAGTTATATTTTAAAACACAAGCCCCTGCTGGTCATGTGGTGGTATGCCTGTAATCCCAGAACTTTGGGAGGCCGAGGTAGGAAGACTGCTTGAGCTCAGGAGTTCAAGACCAGCCTGGGCAACACAGTGAGACCTTGTCAATACAAAAAAAATTTAAAAACTTAGCCAGGCATCGTGGCATGTGCCTATCGTCCCAGCTACTCCAGAGGCTGAGGTGGGAGGATTGCTTAGGCTCAAGAGGTCGAGGCTGCAGTGAGAAATGATCATGCCACTGCACTCCAGTCTGGGCAACAGAGTGAGACCTTGTCTCAAAAAAAAAAAAAAAATTAAAAAATTAAAATAAAATTAAACCCACAAATCCGATAATCTCATTACCAATTTTCAAACCTTGCAGAGGTTCCCCATTTTAATTTGAATAAAAGGTCAAATTCTTACCAGCAGGAGCTTGAGGCCCTTCATTAGGCAAAGGTCTATGGCTCTTCACAATTTATCAGAAACACAGCAGACTCTGCTCAGCTATGCAGACCACCACTTGCTTGCATTAATGCCTACCCTCCTGGGAAGGCCCTCTGGAGGCTGGACATTGATGAAGCTAGGCCTGTGAGGAAGGATGAGAACATCATTAATCCCTCCCCTGCAAAAGTGGCCCCGTCATCAACCCTGCCTCAGAAGATACCACTGACCACATACTTCATGAGTTTCAGGAAATCTTTGACTACAAAGTAAAAAGCAACAGTCATCATTAGAGGAGATATGTAACAGACAGGTCTAGCAAAGAGAATTTTTAGTTTTCTCAAGAATGTAATATATATTTCTGACTGCATATGCATAAATACTTTTAAATGCAAACCTTTCAGAACATGGTTGGATACCCTAGGTTATCTGTCTCAGTACCAGCATTCTCTAGCTGCTTTTGGGCAGGTGGGAGTTGGTGGGGTATGATGTTGGAAGATTGCTGGATCCATTCAAGGTTGTTTACCCTGTAAATTGCTATGAGATTTCTGTGAGGCAATCTTTGATAATTTCTAGAACCTTAAAATTGTTTATTTCCTTTGACCCTACAGTTGCTTTGCTAGGAGTTCATTTTTTTAATTAATTAGAGATGCAGAAGAAAGTTTATTTATCAGAGTACACATAGAAGCATTATTTATAGAAAATGGTGAATAGAAAGCTCATTTTCTAAATTCAAGTGCACAGGTAATTCCAACTTTATTTTTTTCTGAAATTGAACTTTATTTCTTTTTTGAGCTTCTATTCTTCCAGGCATTGCAAAGTTGATTTGATTTAATCTCATCTCCCCCTAACTCCCACTCCTATAACTTCCCTAAGTGACTTATCTAAGTTTTAAGTGTCAAGATGTTGAAAAGAGAAGCTATGTATAAGGGATCACCGCTAGCTATTCCTGCCAGCATCTTCTGAGATGCCCATATTCCATACCAGTCTATAGTTATTCGTCTAGAGCAGTGTCATTTTCTTAAGTCCCCAAAGGATCATTTCAGTGTGTCCATCTCCCTATCTTTGCCCTCTAGGGCAAATTGGAAATTATTTTTGGTATGTATCGTGCTGAGCTGCTAGAAAATCTATAAAGCCCTATAACGTCCTGACAGTATACACACAACTCAACCCCCGTACCATCAAAGAGACTTGATTATTTTTTACGGTCCAAACTGGATCTCGAAGCCAAAATTTCTTGTTTTTTGTTGGGCGGATGGTTCTAATTTTGAGACAGTAAACACAGAAAACTCTGGTGCCTGAATAGGAGCAGAAGGACCACTGGCAGTGGTTCGCTGGCCCCAGTTTTGATTGGCAGATTGAGAGATCATTCCATCTCTTCATTTAGTGGCATGCTGTTGGTAATGTGAAATTGACCATGGTGGAATTATTTACACCAGAGAAACTAACAAATGCTACAAAGGACAACTTTTTTGTTTCCTTTTGGCCACAGGAACTAAAAAGTAAGGGAAAAATATATAGTTGTTAAAAAAGCAAAGTGTTATACCACAATAAAGGTAAAATAATGTAAAACTGAAATTTCTAGTAACTACAAAAGAATTAAATAATGTTTTGTTCATATAATGAATATTGTACAGCCTTAAAAATCTCATCTTTAAAGATTATTTAATAATGTGAGAAAATATTTATGACATGTTAAACAAAAATAGCACAATGTTCACATGTATAAAATACATATATATGTATAGAAAAAAATCATTGAAAGACATCTATGAAAATGTTAAAACATTGCTTTATCATGGGAGGTGGGGATATGCATATATTTTTCCCTTGTTATAAAGGGAAAAGTTTCTACGATGGAAACTATAATCCTCAAAGTAGAGACACAAATAACTTATACCTCTAAGAATAAATATAAGGGCTATAGAGACTTCAAGTAAAATAAGGATTGGACAGAATTCCTTGGCTAAGACATTTAGAAAGTAAGTGGAGAACTTAACAGGAATATTTCCAGTGAAGCTGATGGGGGTAGAAGTCTGTTTACTACAGATTAAAATTTTAAATGAGACACTAACTATGTTAGTTAATTTAAGCCATATAGTAAACAGCTTGGCTATAAAATGAAGGAAAAAGATAAAGCAGTAGCTAAAGAGAAACATTAGGTCAGAAGAAGGATCTATGTTTAATGGGACATACTAGAATATACACACAGGCTGTGTGGGAGTGAGTAGAAAGGGAAACGTTTTAATTGTAGGTTAAAGGACCCAATTTTCTCTGTGAAGAAGCAGGAGAAACTATCCGTAGAGAAAAGTTACTGTTGGTAGAGTAGATTTTTGTGAGGGGAAAAGTAAAGAATTGAAATAGGTGCTACGATGAGCAGCACAGGTAATGACCAACGGGCATAGCAATATTGCTGAGCTGCATTGGGGCCCAGGTGCCACTGGGTTCCTAGAAAGTGTGATGACACCAATCTGCTCAAATGCATGATTTAATCTAACAGTTTGCAGGAGTCAGAATGCAGAACAAAAAAGATGGATAGCTGGATTGGTTTTGAGTTGAGAGATTGGGAGTTTGGTCAGAAAAATGAGACAAAGATTACAGTTCCTGTGCAACTTCAATGACATGGAGGCTGACAGCACTGGAGTGAGAATTATTACTCTATAAAGGAGTCAAGGTGTACCAACCAGATCAGATAATGTATGGTCTGATGAATGCAGGTCATTGGGTAATCTTGGGTCTCTTAATTGCTAATGGATTGAGTTTATCATTATTTGGTTGGCAGGGTTCTATTGCAAACATTATCTAACTGGGGAATATTTTTCAGACTTGCTTTCTTGTACTTATCTTTCTTTAATTTCATATGATTTTTTGAATAGTCAGAGACATGACAAAATTTAGTCACACACAGAAAAAATGAGTGGTTGTTGAATACAGAGGATAAAGTATCTCAGATGTGCTGGTGAGTTTGCCTGTGACCTGTGCAAATAACAGGGCTCCCAGAAAGAAAGCAGACCCCAAGACTCTGCATTTTGACAGTTCCCAGAGATGTGATCTTTCTGTGATTATCTTCACAATTATTGGGTTTTGTGTGAACTATGAGCAAACATATGTGTGAAGACTGAAAGTATTTTTCTCTATGATTAGAGAAAATAAGATAGTATCTTTAAAAAATATGTAAATATATATTTTCTCATTAGTATGATATAATAATTCACATAAATTGCCATCTCATGCTTTCCAATTACATTAGAAATCAGACATGACTTTTTTTCCCTATCATCAAGAAAATTACTTTTAATCATTGCTACTACAGCATCTCTGAGGCTGTCTGGCTCCTTCTAATCACATCATCAGTCTAATCACATAATAATCATAAGCAGCTATATAGTAGGCTATAATGAGCTAGAAGGTCAGCAACTGTGAAACAGGTCCAAGATATACTACAGGATAAATTATGACCTCAAAGTATGAGAGCATCTCCTACAGTATTTTATATATAATGATTAGTGTTAGAGAGCAATTCTTCTGTGTGTATTTATGGACTCCTTTGCAACTCCATTCAGTAGTATAACTAATAATATACCCCTTGGGTTTTAAAAATTAGCTACATCCTGTGAATACAATTAATAAATGCTGTACAAGCAAGTGGAGGAAAAGGAAAATATCACATAAACTTTACCATATTTAAATCATTATTTGTACCAAATTTCCACAAATAGCTAGCATGTGTCTTGGGAAGTACCCCTAAAAGTAATTACTTCTTAAGAGAATTGAATAATGATGGTGATATTTATTGAACTCAGGCTGTACCTTGCTTGCACTGTTCTAAGTACTGTTTACCTGTTGTCTCATTTAATCCTTTTCTTAGCCCTACCAGGGAAGTATTATTGTTGTCACTCTTTTAAAGGAAAGTAAACTTAAAGAAAGAGAGGTCAACTCTCACGCTAGAGCGTATACTCTCTGCCACCACCTCAACACCACTTCCCTATGCAAGATTTTATATATCATTATTTGTTACAATAAGGTAACAATTTAAAATTAATTTATTGTAAGCTCTACAATAACATATTATACAATGACTTACAATAAGGTCAAGTTGTTACACTGCATGATTCCTAAGAATAATCAGAGTTTTTATTGGTGTATTCAATGGGATTTATTATTTTTGCTTTTCCACATTGTGTTATTACACTGAGCTTCTTTACTATGTAGAGGCATACTGTTTCACACACTGCACTGATACAGGCTGCAAAAATCTTTTGGTTAAACTTTTTAATGACTGTGTATCAATATCATCAATTGAGTGGTAACTGTAGCCAGATACACCTCTTAGTAAAGAACAAGAGTCTATACCAAAACTTGTCTGTGTTAAATATTAAAACAATTACCGTTCATACATTCTAACATTGACTATAAAAATAGTGTGGTATTAAGTTTGGTTCTGATTTTATTTAATTGGATCCATCTTATCTTTGAGGTTTCACTAAATTTTAAGGTACATCATTGTAGTACAGTTCACATATTATTTTCTAAGCATCACTGAACACAGTCATTGGATTTTTAAAAACATATTTGTAAGAAAGTATGTGTTTTGATTTATTTTTATTAAATCTCTGCATGCCATACCCAAATTACTCTCCTGAGGAGCACATGTCAAATTTACACTTTAAAGCAGTTTTACAAGTACAAATTAAATGTCATCTCACACAGACTAAAGTCATTTCTATGAACATTCTCCACAGGGGACAATAATGTTTATATAAAATGGAGCAAAGTAACTGATTAGACCTCAAAAATTAGGACTGGCCCATTACTGGGAAACATCAAATTGTTTCTCTATCAAATATTGTGAACTAAACCTGAACCCTTTCCTGATCCAATCCAATTTGTCTTCCCCTATCACAGGTCCCCAGTAGAAGACTCTTACCAGAATTCCCTAATACAGCTGGTCTCTGCATTTATTCCAAGAGGAAAGAAATGTTTAAAAAGGAAACTTGGCCAGGCTTGGTGGCTCATGTCTGTAATCACAGCACTTTGGGAGGCCGAGGCGGGCTGATCACAAGGTCAAGAGATGGAGACCATCCTGATCAACATGATGAAACCCCGTCTCTACTAAAAATACAAAAATTAGCTGGGCATGGTGGCGCTCACCTGTAGTCCCAGCTACTCTGGAGGCCGAGGCAGGAGAATCGTTTGAACCTGGGAGGCAGAGGTTGCAGTGAGCCGAGATTGCGCCACTACACTCCAGCCTGGCAACAGAGGGAGACTCCGTCTCAAAAAAATAAATAAATAAATAAATAAAAAATAATAACAATAAAAAGGAAACTCTTCTCCTAAGACCATTTCAACAGGGTCATGACCTTTGTATATGTTCTCATCTGCTCTGGAAGTTCTGCTTGACAAAAAGCAAAGTCATCCTTCAACTCCCTGTGATTAGTAGTTTATCAGTCCAAAGACTTACTCTTAGTTTTAGTTTTTCTTAATACAAATGACTTTAACTGATTTTCCACCGGACTGTAGTTTTAACATCTCTTCTGCCTCAACCCATGCTTCCTGAGCTAATGGTTCCCAACAAAAGTCCTCTCTTCTCCTGCTCGGTTGTGTCATTCTGCCTCTTGAATACATCACTAACTTGGTATCCAACTGGCCTGAATTCAGATTCCAGATCTGTCGCTATTACATGTATCATTTGGGGCAAAATACTTAACTTCCATGAACCACAATATCCACATCCAAATGTAGTGCTTACTTCAGAAGGACGATGTTGAGAATTAGAATAGATATTGTGAGTGAAAGTTATTTGTTGACACTTTATAAGGATATGTGATTGGAGAGGCTGTAAGATAATTCCAAACTTGAGAAGACAGAGGTGCAAAGTTGTGGAGAAATGTTACATTGAAACAAAAAGAAAACAACTGACAGAATAAAAGTGAAAAACAATGGGGTATACCATAGTCTGTCACTCATCATCGTATTCTTCAAACAATAACACATCGTATTCTCTGCATTTATTCCAAGAGGAAAGAAATGTTTAAAAAGGAAACTTGGCCAGGCTTGGTGGCTCATGTCTGTAATCACAGCACTTTGGGAGGCTGAGGCAGGCTGATCACAAGGTCAAGAGATCGAGACCATCCTGATCAACACGATGAAACCCCGTCTCTACTAAAAATACAAAAATTAGCTGGGCATGGTGGCACGCAGCTGTAGTCCCAGCTACTCTGAAGGCCGAGGCAGGAGAATCGGCCATACTTAAATATTCATTAGAGTGTTATTGTTTGCTTTCATCTACAGGATGACAATTAAAAATAACAACATTAAACTACATGAGCTTTGGGAAACTAAAATTGATATGTATTTGACTTTCAAGTCAGTGAGAATTTATTTTTAAGAGCGGTCTGTGATTAACAGAAATAAAATTATAGGCACACCTCAAGCAAAAGCATTAAAAATGTAATAGCTGTAATTCTCATAATAAATGGAGGCTTGCATGTATGGGCAATAAATAGGCAATAAATACTACTTGTTAAAAAATTACTCTTTGTCAGATATTCTTCAAAATGTTTTACATGCATCACCTTATTTAATCATTACACTAACTTTATGATGTTAGTAAAGCCATTAGTACCATTTTACTGGTGACAAAACTTCAGCTCAGTAAATATGCATAACTTGTTCAAAGTTGCCAGGCAAATAACTAGCAAAGTCAGGATTAAAACCTCACTTTCTAAACTGCAAAATGTGAGTCATCAGTCACTAGCAGAGCTCCCTCCCTCTGCCCCTTCTGGCCAGTGCTGTGCAAGAGCTGACTCCAGTGGCTTATAAGATGCAATTGTCAAATTGTCAGGAATTTTATGAGGTGATTGTTAAACACAGTCTAAAATCAGCCACAGCGGGAATATTTACATGGCAGAAATTGGCACATGTTATAAATCAGAGCCCCACTCCCTGTCACCAGAGCCAGTTGATAAACACGAACCAGCATCCAACTGAATTAAGGTTTCTTGCTTCCCAAAATACATTAGCATCCTTTGTAGGATTACCTTAAACCTACTAGTGTCTTGGCAAGTATGTTTTCGTTAATCACTCTTCAGCCGATTCTTAATGTGTCACTTTTTTTCCTGCTTAAGACACATTTAACCGATATTTGGACTAACAGCAGCTTATTCTAGATTTCAATACTTAAGTCATGCTTTAAAAAATTGAGCCATGAATGACATTTTTGAGTCATCTGAATCTGTAATATGAATCATTAATATATTAATGCCTTCCTTCTGCCTCTGGCTTTCTTTAAAGGAGATTTCCTAGAGATACTACTTTTTTTAGAAGTTGAGTTACTACCTTCCAGTGAGTCATTTCTAATAGCTTGATCTTAATTGAAACATGTGGAGTGTCCACTGGGCTTGATAACCATTCTCTGTAATAACCTAGAATGCTGTTAATTTCTAAGTCTGTTCATTGTCAGCTCATCTCTCATTTATACATCTGCACGTTTATCACCTCTAGCATGAGTGAGAAGTCATCATCATTGTTGACGGGTAGTTTATTAAGGCTGCAAGTGTTTTTTTTAAATACTGTTCTGTCATCAATTTCCACTAGCTAAATTTATATATTGTTCAATTTTCTCTATCCAACTTATGCAGTGAACGGTATCCAACTTTTAAATGCATACTTTATGGCCCACAGTATATTAACATGAATTAATCAACCACTGAGAGACAAAAAAGAGACAGACATAAATAAATTAAATTATAAATTTATAATTAATAGATTGATATTCTATTCCATTAAAATTAATCTTTATATCTGAAGAAAAGTACAGAACAACTTTAGGACATGCTGTCATAAACACATGGCAAGAGTAATAGAATCAATTTTTAGTGACCTAACTGCCTTTCCTCTCATTCTCCTCAACCCTTTCTTGAGATGAACTGGCTTTGGGTATCATGTGCAATTGAAATTCCTCCTTGGTAACTGCAGAAAAATGAACTTTTACAGTAAATTTTCATAGAGCTTTTAGCCACAAATACAGGAACAATCTAGGATGAGAGGCTTGTGAGAAGAGGTATAGCAAGGTTTTGTTTTCAAGTAAGTTTCAGGAGAAGAGTAAATAAATACTTTGCACAAATACTATCTCCCAAGGCTAAAATTAGTCTATCTTAGTAATTAAATTACTATTGAATGAAGTTCTGAAAACCAAACCTCATTCACAGAAAGCAAACCTGAACCACTACTTTTCAAGAGCATTCCTCTCAGAACTTACCTAAAAAGGCTCAAAACAGTGTGTTAATTAAACTCCTGTTTAATTTCTTGCAATTTCAATTTTGAGGAAATAACTAGAATATTGTTTAGCTTTGCCTTTTTATTCCCATTCTAAAAATGCTGATCTTACTCTTAGGGGCAAAAAAGGAATGATCAGAATTTTAATTGATACCAATGCTATCCGCACACATGTCCTTCTAGCTGCTATTGAAAGCTAGAAGCTAATTTTAAATGCTTTTTAAATTCCCTCAGAAGCAAAAGAGAAAATTAAAAGAAGCAAACCATAAAATATAAATAGAGATAACACCTAGTACTGTAGTCAGGTTTCAATTAGGCAAGTTGTTTATTCTGAATTATGCCATCTTAATGTTTGATAATCTCTATAGAAATAGGCCATTTTTAATGATGAAAATTTAATATAAAGTTTATCCTTGGGAATTTTGATCCAAATAGAAGTGATGACTTTCATTGACTGAAAATATTTATACCTTATTTACAGAAAGAGATGTAATGCTTGACTATTCTAATATTCTAAAGAAAAATACTTCATTGCAATATGAATAGTTATTTTTATGCCATATGAATAGTAAATGCATTAACTTTTCTCTTGTGTACAAGAAATGTATGATCCCCTAGATAGTTTTACTTACCCAAAACCACGTACCCAAAACCAATTCAAAGTGACCTCTGCTTTTTTTCTAAGTTTAACTTAAATTTAGAATTTCAAGTAGAATGATAATTTTATCTAAAATTACACTACCTAGGGATTAGACCCATCAGATATATATGATGATGTACAAATTATTTAGTCTCATATAAATCACATGAATGATTTAAGTCTTAATATTTATTAAGATATATACATAATTGTAACTTTATATAATACATGTTATATAAATTAATTATATTGAAAATACAATTTTTTAATTCATGTATCAAAAGATTTAGTGTAACAAATTACTCTTACAATTACGGTATTTTAAAATTATTAATATCAATTTGGCTCAGAAACAGGTACTAAAAACTTATAGTGTAATTACATATAAGAATTAGCAATTTTTTCAGTTACTTTACTTAGTCTTAACATTGCAACATTCATGATTTTTAAACACATCAGAGAAAATCTTGTCATGGCTGAAAAAGTGTATCACAAACTGACCATTTCTTGTCTAAGGACACTCACTTTTCATTCCTCACCAATTCATGTCCTCTAGTTCATGAAGATCCCCAGATTTACCATTTTTGTACCTTTCCATAATGTCTAGCCTCAGCCTGAAATAAATGCCTTCATTGTTTTATAAATCACATCCATTCTCCCATTCTAGAAATGTTAAATTAATTTCCTAATTAATTTACAGCTTGATCCAAAGTTACAAGAATCCTCTTCTGGCCATGTCTATGTCTTTGTGAGAACTTCATGGACTATTCATATTTCATGTTGGTGAGCCTTTCTATCTCTTCTATTGAATAGACAAGCCCCTGCAGTATATAAAACAAGGCTAGCTATTGTGTAAGGGACCTTAAGCTGTAAGCTGCCCTTAATATTCCAGTTGGTATTTAATAATTACTCTGTCAAAGTTCTACTGAGAAAAAAATTAGTATTTTTATATCTAACATCCAAAGTCATTTAGGTTTACTATCTTATCATGATGATATCTAGAGTGTTATTACTAAATAGAATTTCGGGTGAATATTAAGATAAAGACACTGAAATGTATTTATTCAAATATCTATTCAGCACATACTATATCCGTGGTACTGTGCTTTGGGAGTATTGGTGACTTTTTAACCTCACGGTAGCATGTATCATTAAAAAGCAAGATAGATTACAAAAAAAAAAGCAAATAAATATATCACATAAGATATTAGACATTGATAAATACTATATGAATAATGAGAACAGCAAAGCAGAGTCAGGTGTTTAAAAAATACAGTGTGGGATTCTTGGAGGTGGTGGTAAAATTCTAAATCTTGTGGACATACTAGGATGTATTGCAAACTTGATTCTTTCTGGGAAAAGGCATTCATATCAGATGAAAGAGCCAGGTCCAATGGCCTCAAGTGAGAACATGTTTGGAGTGTCCAAAGAACAGTAGTGAGGCCAGTTGTGGCTGGACTACAGAGAGCAGGTGGGAGAGTCAAGATGAGGTGGGAGATGGTGTTGGGGGCACCCTGAGAGCTTCATGAGCCATGCAAGACCCTGAATGAAATGGGCAGACACAGGAGAGTGTGAAGAGCTAGTTTTTATATTTGCAGAACCACTCTAGTGGTCGTGCTGAGAAGAAACTGACGGGAGCAAGACAAAAGCCAAAGGCTGGATGTTAGGAGTCTACTACAGTGACGCAGGCAAAGAGAAGGCTACTCAGACACTGCGGGCAGCAGGGAACGCTGGTTTCTGAGAGTGGCTGGTTTCTGGGGTATTATGACACATCGCTGACAGATTATGCAGACAAATTGAATGGAGAGTATGAGAGAGAAACAGGCATCAAGGACGACCACAAGGATTTTGACCTGAGCTATTGGAAGGATGGAGTTGCCTTAAATCAGGAAAAATTTAAAAAAGGATGTAAATTGTTGCATAGCAGTAACAGGTAGTGAGGAAGTAATAAAAGACATCTTTGTGTTGGACTGTTTCCTTGAACATTTTAAATATGAAATATAAGTGACATGCATTTATAAAGAATCATTTAAATGTCTTCATTGTTAAAACATATAATAGAAAATAATATGTGAAGCAATGAAGACATTCAAAAGCAGCAACTCCTAAAATTTCCACCCTCTGAAAACAATGATATAGTATATATTTTAAGGCTTCCAAAATACATTGCAGAAATCTTATTAAATTTCAAATGCCATCAATAAAATTATTATTTTACCCCTTCAATAATTAAACAATGCGAGTATTTTCACATGATTACTTGACTCAGGAGCTTGCAAAATCAGTGAGTTGGATACTACATAGAAAGGTGTTCGCTAAAAATGAGTATAGTTTATTAAAACAACTCCAAGAAAACCATGTCTACCTAAAAATTATTGGCTGTGATTTTTATGACTAAAAGTTGCTCATTAAAACTCCTGAAATGTAAAATTCTAATCTAAAAATTTTTTAACTTGGAAATGACAAAACACTCAAAGAAATATAAATGAACACACCTACTCTGAAAGTCAGTCAATAAGAGCTCTCACAGGTCCTAATTTACTTCCAAGGGTATGTGATTTAATTCAGAGAAGTTCAAAGGTTTTATGTAAATTTGCTTTGAGCAACAATTTAAATGTATATCAAAAATTTTAAAGCAAATTAAAAAGCTTTGTTTACAAAATTAATTGCAGATCCACATGAAGTGGTTTCTAACCATGGGCAATGGGGTATCTCAGAAATTAAAAATTCCCAAGTGTTGTTATAAGATTCCATGTTTTATTCTGTGAACGTCAATCTCGCATATAATTACACCAATATAAATATCTACGTTAGAGTAATATGCATTTATACAAATAAATTTACAGATGCAATATATGTATGTGTACTAGCTTCTGTGTATGGATGTGTACACATACACATATTGAACTAGCTAGTAAACGCCCTCTATTTTTAGAATCAGTAAAATATTTTTCTAAATATATATAATCTTTAGACATCTCAATTCCAGTTTTCTCTTTTAAATGCTTTAAACATTTTAAAGCAGTTTCTAGGAAAAAACTTTGCATATCATTACATTTTTATGTAAAGTGATTTCTATGTGAAGTATTTTATATCATAAATCTACTCTTTCCAAACCTACTTATAGTTGTCTCCCTGTTGAATCTGCTGGATCATTCCCAATCCTGATCACTGGCAGGATTTTTAATTTTACATACATCATTATGTAGTAGAGATTGTGAACACTTTGATACCAAGTGGTATAAAATCATTTTTTCATCTTCTTAGAGAATCTGTTTTGTGTACTACCACATCTTTTCTTTATGGTATTCTCTTTAATACTTACTTTTCTGGAATCTGCATAAATATGTGTGTATGCATACGGATATGTGTGTATATGTATGTTATTTTACTTTGTCAGTTTTGTGTAAGCTCTTTGCAAATCAAGAAAATAAATCTTCATATGTGTTGCAAATTTTTCCAGTTTATTATTTATCATTTAACTTACATTTTTTAGTCTGTAATTTGTCTATATATATTTGTTCTCTGTACACACACACTTATATATACACATATATACATATACATATACACGTGTGTGTACAGAAAACAAAAAGTATATGTAGATTTAGATTATTAAAAATATTTTGTATGCATTTATTGATTTTCTTCTGAGTGTGGCTTTTAATACATTCCTTATGGTATTAGAATTTCAAACAAGTCTAAATTTATAAACCAATTATGTCATAATAAAGGGTTTTGGAAAACAGTTTGAAATATTTCACTGTGAAATGTTTACTGAAGGTATTGAAGGGGAGAAGAAACAAAAGCACCAGGTCCAAAATGATACTAATTTTTAAAAGATACATGTTCATTTTTGTTTTATATCACAGAGTGTGTTGCATGAAGAATTAAATTCAAATCTTAAAATGGCAGTTACATATTTTTAAACTAAAGGGAAATAAAACTAGTGAAAGCCTTGCTGGCACAAGAATAAAGGTCAAAATAAGTTTCTTCAGTGTGGTAAAGTAGGACCCTGATGCTGGTCTCAGAAGTTCATCTGCCAATTACATAGTATTTGGTAAGTCATTTAACCTCCAGTCTTCCCACTAATAAAACAAGAAACTTAGGACTGTCATACTGATTTCCAACCGATGTTTTGGAAGACTCCCAAGAACTTCAAAAAATATTGGAGAGAATCCATAAATAACAAACATACAAACAAAACTTTGTATTCAACCATACCTACAACTGGAACCTCATTTTAACCCTTTGATAAATGAGAAAGAAAACCAAACTTAAAAATAAGTGTTAGCTCTCCCCTTTTCACCCAATGTACGCCAGCTGCAAGTAAATATACTGTGTAATGCGCTTATGAGTATGCATGTACAAACCGACAGATACAATTTTTCCACAATCATCTAAAGACTATACTAAAAGGGTTTAAAATTGCACTCCTGTGTGATAGAAAAGGCCTTTGATATGCCGGTGTGGTTCCTCATGCCTGTAATCCCAGCCTTTGGGAAGCCGAGTTGGGCGGATCAACTGAGGTCAGGAGTTCAAGACTGGCCTGGCCAACATGGCGAAACCCTGTCTCTACAAAAATACAAAAATTAGCCAGGCGTGGTGGCGGGTGCCTGTAATCCCAGCTACTTGGGAGGCTGAGGCAGGAGAATCACTTGAACCCGGGAGGTGGAGGTTGCAGTGAGCTGAGATCGCACCACTGCACTCCAGCTGGGGTGACAAAGCAAAACTCCATCTCAAAAAAAAGAAAAGAAAAGAAAAGGCATTTGATATTGATGTAATTTCTTACATAAAGGAACAAATTGGCTTTGCTAAATTCACTGACTTTTAACTCCATCTCCAAGTTTCTATCCTTTCAAGGCTGTCTTGATTAAGATGTGGGAGGGAATTAAGTTTATTCAAGTTGGATTAATGAAACGTTGATTTGAATAGAGTGCTATTTCACAATATTGAGTATTTCCTTGCTTTGCCTTCCCTTTAAAAAAATTATTTTTCCTTACTCCTTGTGTTTAATACATGATTATTTTACAGACAGTGCTCATATAGAGTGTTTCAGAATCACACATGTAGCCATTTTATATTGGTTGCAATATTTTGAAATTATGGTTTCATTATCTCTTGGACTGTTATTTTCAGAGAGGAACAAATATATGTATCAACACCATTATAAGCTTTGGAGGCTTTGAAACACTATTGAGATTGAAGTGCTATGCTTGCAAAAAAAAAAAAAATTGATTCTAACAAACAGCTTGCTTTGAATTTTCCTTTCTACTGAGTTTTTATTTTTTATTCTCACATGGTGTTCTGAAGCAGTTACAATGAATCATGGTGCTGAATTCGGCTTTGCAAATAAATTAAAAGAAATTTTCAGGCACTTCACTTCATCTAGAAATATCACCCAAAGAAAAAAAAATAAACCTTTGGTAGCTACTGTTTCACAAAGAGTAAAAAGAATTGAACCAGTATTACTGTTTTCATTTGACAAGCACAAAAATTGTACCATCTCTGAGAGAGGAACTATTTGTAAATTTCTTTGAGCATAGTTATCTTTGTATTCATTATTTACTGAGACCCAAAATGTTCCTCAGTAATATTGTATTAAATACCACCGTGCTTGAACATACACTATGTGCTTTGAGACATTGATGACGTTGGTTAAATATTTGCTACGGGAAATGGAGTGGCCTGATGGATTGATTTTCAAAGTTAGTAGAAACTGATACATAAAGTCAGGGCCTACTGTCACCTTTGGATGAAATGAAATGTGTTGATCCTGTAAATATTCTCCAGTCAATTTTATAGATCACATGAACAGCACCCCAAATGATGACTTCCAATGTCTCCATCCATAGGTGGTGGTTTACAAATCGTTGCCTACACGCTGCTTCAAATTCTAAATGTTATGAATCAACTTATAAGTAAGAAAAGTTTTAAATAGGTGGTCTCCTTCTGACAGCGTATTCTACATTAATTGTGAAAAATATCAAGTTGGCTTCTCCAGACACTTGTATTTTCGTGTTGTCATTATACAAGCATACTTGCTTATCCGCAAATTTCCTATAAGCCACTTGAACTCTGTCTTTCCAATCAAAGGATGATGAGAAGAAAGGAGAGTAGAAGTTACCTGAGACTGTTTAGTGCCTTAGTTTCAGCTCTGGATAAGTTTTTGTGATGGTAGCTAAACCATGACCTATGGTGAGGTTCAGGGATTACTTATCCATTACGCTAGCTATATTTTTGATTACCATGGATAATAACAAACTATGTTTTATTCTATTTTGAGATAATGAAAAACCTTTTAAATGTGAGTTAGCATGGAATCTGACTACATCCTACCTATTAATTCAGATCTCTGCTGTTTAGACTTCCCAGTACATTCTTATTCTATGTATAATTAATACATTGTGCATATTCAGTGATAATATCAATGTTAAGTCAATTTAAAGGAACTTTCTCTACCTTTTTCTGAACACTTCCACTATTTTTTTTATTTATTGACAATTTATCATTTTTCCATAAGGTTTTGGGGTACAGGTAGTATTTGGTTACATAGTTCTCTAGTGGTGATTTGTGAGATTTTGGTGTACCTATCACCCAAGCAGTATACACTGCACCATATTTGCAGCCTTTTATTCCTCGCCCCCTTCCCACTCTTCCCGCAAAGTCCCCCAAGCCCATTATAACATTTTTATGCCTTTGCGTTCTCACAGCTTAGCTCCCACATATCAGTGAGAACATACGATGTTTGGTTTTCCATTCCTGAGTTACTTCGCTTAGAATAATAGTCTCCACTCTTACCCAGGTCCCTGCAAATGCTGTTAATTCATTCCTTTTTATGGCTGCACAGCATTCCATCATATAAAATATATGTATATATTATTATATATTATATATTATGTTATTGTATATTATTTTACATATTATAGTATACATATATACATATATGTACGTATACTATATATATTATTATATATGTATATATTATATATTATTATATATGTATATATTATATATATACATATACACAGCTGTTTCTTTAGCCACTCGTCGATTGATGGGCATTTGGGTTGGTTCCATGATTTTGCAATTGTGAATTGTGCTGCTATAAACATGCATGTGAAAGTATCTTTTTCGAATAATGACTTCTTTTTCTATAGAACCACCATTTGATCCAGCAATCTCACTACCCAGTAAAAGTAGAACTAAAAGTAGAACCACCATTTGATCCAGCAATCCCACACTACTGGGTAGTGGGATTGCTGGATCAAATGGTGGTTCTACTTTTAGTTTAGTTTTGTTTTTGAGACACAGTCTCTCTCTGTCTCCCAGGCTGGAGTGCAGTGGCATGATCTCAGCTCACTGCAACCTCCACCTCCTGGGTTTAAGCAATTCTCCTGTCTCAGCCTCCTGAGTAGCTGGGACTACAGGCGTCTGCCACCACGCCTGGCTAATTTTCATATTTTTAGTAGAGATGGGGTTTCACCATATTGGTCAGGCTGGTCTCAAACTTCTGACCTTAGGTGATCCACCCACCTCGGCCTCCCAAAGTGCTGGGATTACAGGCGTGAGCCACCATGTCCGGCCCCACTTTTAGCTCTTTAAGGAATCTCTGCACTGTTTTCCATAGTGGCTTTACTAGTTTACATTCCCACCAGCAGTATAGTTATGTTCCCTGTTCACCACATCCACACCAACATCTACTGTTTTTTGATTTTATTATTATGGCCATTCTTGCAGGTTTTGATTTACACTTCCCTGATTGTTAGTGATGTTGAGCATTTTTTCATATGTTTGTTGGCCATTTGAGAATTGTCTATTCATGTCCTTAGCCCACTTTTTGATGGGATTGTTTTGTTCTTACCGATTTGAGTTCATTGTAGATTCTGGATATCAGTCCTTTGTCAGATGTGTAGATTGTGAAGATTTTCTCCCACTCTGTGGGTTGTCTGTTTACTCTGCTGAGTGTTTCTTTTGCTGTGCAAAAGCTCTTTAGTTTAATTAGGTCCCAGCTATTTATCTTTGTTTTTATTACATTTGTTTTTGGGTTCTTGGTCATGAAATGCTTACCTAAGCCAATGTCTACAAAGGTTTTTCCAACGTTATCTTCTAGAATTTTTATAGTTTCAGGTCTTAAGTTTAAGTCCTTAATCCATCTTGAGTTGATTTTTGTATAAGGTGAGAGATGAGGATCCAGTTTTATTCTCCTACATGTGGCTAGCCAATTATCCCAGCACCATTTGTTGAAAAGGTGTTCTTTCCCCACTTTGTATTTTTGTTTGCTTTGTTGAAGGTAAGTTGGCTGTAAGTATTTGGGTTCATTTCTGGATTCTCTTTCTGTTCCATTGTGCCTATCTTTATACCAGTACCACAGTGTTTTGGAGACTATGGCCTTATTGTATAGTTTGATATCAGGTAGTGTGAGGCCTTTAGATTTGTTCTTTTTGCTTAGTTTGCTTTGGCTGTGTGGGCTCTTTTTTGGTTCCATATGAATTTTAGAATTGTTTTTTCTAATTCTGTGAAAAATGATGGAGGTGTTCTGATGAAGATTGCATTGAATTTTTAGATTGCTTTTGGCAGTATGGTTATTTTCACAATGTTAATTCCATCCATCCGTGAGCATGGGATGTGTTTCCATCTGTTTGTGTCATCTATTATTTCTTTCAGCAGTGTTTTGTAGTTTTCCTTATAAGGGTCTTTTGACTCCTTCGTTAGGTATATTCAATTTTTTTTTTTTTTGCAGCTATCGTAAAAGGGGTTGAGTTCTTAATTTGATCCTCTGCTTGGTCACTGTTGGTGTACAGAAGAGCTACTGAGTGTGTACATCAATCTTGTATCCGGAAGCTTTGCCGAGTTCTTTTATCAGTTCAAGGAGCTTTCTGGAGGAGTCCTTAGGGTTTTCAAGGTAAACGATCATATCGTCAGCAAACAATGACAGTTTGACTTCCTCTTTACCGATTTGGATGCCCTTTCTTTCTTTCTTTCTTTCTCTTCTCTGACTGCTCTGGCTAGGACTTTCAGTACTATGTTGAAGAGGAGTGGTGAGAGTGGGCATCCTTGTCTTTTTCCAGTTCTCAGAGGGAACACTTTCAACTTCTCCCCATTCAGTAATATGTTGTCTTTGGGTCTGTCATAGATGGCTTTTATTACATTAAGGTATGTCCCTTGTATGCCAATTTTGCTGAGAGTTTTAATTATAAAGGGATGCTGGAGTTTGTCTAATGCTTTTCTGCATCTATTGAGATGATCATGTGATTTTTGCTTTTAATTCTGTTTATGTGGTGTATCACATTTATTGACTTGTGTATGTTAAACCACCCCTGCATCCCTGGTATGAAACTTACTTGATCATGGTGGATTACCTTTTTGATATGTTGTTGGATTTGGCTCGCTAGTATTTTGTTAAGGATTTTAGCATCTATGTTCATCAAAAACATCGGTTATGTAGTTTTCTTTATTGCTTATGTCCTTTCCCGGTTTTGGTATTAGGGTGATGCTGGATTCATAGAACGAATTAAGGAGGGTTCCTTCTTTATCTATCTTGTGGAATAGTGTCAAAAGGATTGATACCAATTCTTCTTTGAATGTCTGGTAGAATTCTGCTGTGAATCATCTGGTCCTGGACTTTTTTTGTTGGTAATTTTTAAATCACCATTTCAATTGCGCTGCTTGTTACTGGTCTGTTCAGGGTATCTAATTCTTCCTGATTTAACCGCTGTTGCTTTAAAGTTTGTTTTGTGTGATAAAAGAATAGCTACTCCCTCTCACTTTTCTTAACTTTGGATAACCTGATGACAATGTGCACAGGCAAAGATCTTTATGCGATGAATTTGCCAAGTGTTCTTTGTCCAGGTCTCTTGCAAGGCCAGGGGAGTTTTCCTCGATTATTCCCGCAAAAATGGTTTCCAGGCTTTTAGAAGTCTCTTCTTCCTCAAGAACACCGATTATTCTTAGGTTTGGTCACTTAATATAATCTCAGAATTCTTGGAGGCTTTGTTCATATTTTCTGATTCTTTTTTCTTGTCTTTGTTGGATTCAGTTAATTCGAAGACCTTGTCTTTGAGCTCTGAATTTCTTTCTTCTACTTGATCAATTCTATTGCTGAGACTTTCCAGAGCATTTCACATTTCTAAAAGTGTGTCCAAAGTTTCCTGAATGTTTGACTGTTTTTTCTTTAAGCTATCTATTTCCTTGAATATTTCTCCCTTCACTTCTTGTATCATTTTTTGGATTTCCTTGCACTGGGCTTCACCTTTCTCTGGTTTCTCCTTGATTAGCTTATTAACTGACCTGAATTCTTTTTCAGGTAAATCAGGGATTTCTTCTTTGTTTGGATCCGCTGCTGGTGAGCTAGTGTGATTTTTTCGGGGGTGATGAAGAGTCTTGTTTTGTCTGTATTACCAGGGTTGGTTTTCTTGTTCCTTCACATTTGGGTAGGCTCTGTCAGAGGGAAGGTCTAGAGCTGAAGGCTGTTGTTCAGATTCTTTTGTCCCATGGGGTGTTCCCTTGATGTTGTATTCTACCCCTTTTCCTATGGATGTGGCTTCCTGTGAGCTGAACTGCAGAGATTGTTGTCTCACTTCTGGGTCTAGCTACCCAGCAAGTCTACCTGGCTCTGGGAAGGTACTGGGGGTTGTCTGCACAGAGTCCTGTGATGTGAGCCGTCTATGGGTCTCTCACCTGTGGATACCAGTGCCTGTTCTGGTGGAGATGGTGGAGGGCACACTGGGCTCAGTGAGGGTCCTTAGCTTTGGTGGTTTAATGGTCTGTTTTTGTGCTAGTTGGCCTCCTACTAGGAGGTGGCGCTTTCCAGACAGCATCAGCTATAGCAGTGTGGAGATGGCCTGGCAGTGTGTGGGGCCCTAGAACTCCCAAGATTATATGCCCTTTGTCTTCTGCTACCAGGGTGGATACGGAAGGACCATCAGGTGAGGGTAAGGCTAGGCATGTCTGAGCTCAGACTCTCCTTGGGCGGATCTTGCTGCGACTGCTGTAGGGGATGAGGGTGAGATTCCCAGGTCACTGGAGTTGTGTACCTAGGAGGATTATGACTGCCTCTGCTGAGTCATGCAGGTTGTCAGGGAAGTGGGAGAAAGTTGGCAGTCACAGGCCTCACCTAGCTCCTACGCAAACCGAAGGGCTACTCTCACTCCCACTGTGCCCTCCACAGCAGCCCTGAGCCTGTTTCTAGGTGGAGGGTCAGCTGGGCTTGAAAACTTGCCCAAGACTACCTACCTCCCAGAGTATTTGGGGTGTCTCCTGGGTCCTGCAGGAGCAGTCCACTTCCTTCAGAGGGCCTGTGGGTCTTCCTGGGATTGACGATTTGCTCTTGCAGTCAATTCGGAGGTAAAATTCACAATGCAAGCTTCGCATGCTGCTCTGTCCAGAGCTGCAATCTAGTCCTGCCTCCCATTCGCTATGATCCCCTCACTTCCACTCTTGTAATAAATACTCTTTGTTATTCTATTTTCATTAAGAGACCCAAATTTCAGGTAAAATAAGATAACTGCTATAGGAATTAATTTCCTTTTTGCTTGGCAAAAACTCCTACTTCCTTAAATAGATATAGACAGACACAGACATAGGTATAGAGATAGATAGGCATTCATGTACGTATATAATTAATTGAGCATTTGAGTCATTGCTTTAGCTAAAACTGTTAAGTTTCTACAGCTGAAAGTTACCTTATCTGTGGTAACTTTAATTCCTCTCTCTACTGTCTAAAAAGTCAAGTCTCTACAAAAATTCAGGATGTGTTTCTCTATTTCCCTTCAGGATAAATTAATGACTATAATCTGATTACAGATGTACCACTTTCTTCAATCTCTTGGAAGAGGTGGGAATACTAGAGGAAACAGACAACTAAAACTAAATTGTCAAATTAAAGGAAAAATGTGGAACTCTTGACTTGCATAAATAGTATTATTTTTTGTAACAGTAAATTTGAACTCTTTTTTAAAAGCTGCTTTTTAAAAACCTGCCCTTAAACTGTAAGCTTTTATATCATTAAACATTTATTTTCTTCAAGTACATCAAGAATGTCATTCATACAAGACCTTATATTATCTTTAATCATAAAACACAACTAGGCTTATTGAATATGAATAAATATTGTAGTTTGATGTATTATAAAATGTGCTCTGCTTTTTTGAAAAAACTTCTTTTCAGACTAACTTTGGCTTATGAATATTATAACAGTTCTTCTGTTCACATTCAGTGAGCTGAGACAACCTTCAATCTAGTATTTGGAGACTTCTTCCATGAATTTGTCTTATGACAATGCATATTCAATGGCTGAAGGTCTCAGAATAAAAAGCAATATGCAAAGCTCATGACCTTTATGGGCACTTTGGGTTTTGTTTCTCGTTTTTAGTATATCTCATGCCAAAATTTTCATGGGTTCACTTTTCAAAGAAAGGTTATTTAGACTTCATAATCAGAATATATAATGCTACTATTATTTTCCTCACCAGAAAAGCTTTATTTTAGTATATTAAATACATAATAATTATCTTCCTCAATTAACAGCCCATTCTAAATATTATTGCCAGTTTGTCAATGTAAGTATTTGCCTTCTGAATCATTCAATCTTTTATCTAGAAAACATTAGGTTTTCTTTTAAATCACTGAATGAAAATAATATTATTGTGTTAAATTAAACATCGGAATTTAGACGCTGTAAATCAGAAAATATTCAAATATTAGACAGTATTTTTAAATCTAGGGTCAAACTGCATACGAACTTTTATTATGCTTGGAGAAATACTTTCTTATCTCTTACTGCATTTGATAGTACTGTATATTACTGCTAAGTACAAAGTAAAAAAAAAGTTGCTGATAGCTAATTAGCAAACTTTTATGGGTCAAAATATTGCTAGTATATAAAAACAAGTAAAAAATATAATAAGGATAGAGTTAGTATTAAAACACCATTTAAAAAAAAGCTTTCTCTAAAAGCACCCATCCCCAACATTTTCACTAATTATATACTATTTTTAAAGATCACCTAATTGTAATGCCATTTAGATGTTGTTTATCATTCAAGTGTTAACACTGATGCCAAAATGTGATAATTATTGTATGTAAAAGAAAATGACAGACTAATATTTATGAATATTGATAGAAAATTTCTAAAGAAAATTAGCAAAATGAGTACACGTTTCATTAAAAATTAAAATATCATGACTGATTTGAGTTTAACCAGGATTCAAGAGCTACTCAATACCAGAAGTTTTATTGTTGTAACCTAACATATCTATACAGCCAGATAGAAAAAACATTCATGTCCACAAGACCAGAAAATATACTGGATAAAATTCAACAGCCATCTGTGGTCTAAATAAATAAATAATGGAAACCCTCAATAAAATAGGAATTAGTGGATACTTCAAAAGCACAACTCTTACTCAATAGGAAAACAATAAACACTTGTTCACCAAAATCAGGATCAGTAAAGTGATCCCCAATATAATTATCACTACTTAACACTGTATATTGAATGGAATTTTAGCCCAAGATATTAGCCAAGATAAGGCAATTAGTCACATAAAAATTGAAAGTAAGGAAGTAAATTGTATCTATATGCAATTGATATGGTAATGTATCTGGAAACCCCAGAAGAATAAATAGAAACACTAACATAATTAATGACACAATTTACTAAAAATAGAGTTTAAAAAATTAACTTTAAATTATATATACAAACTAAACCCTTTCTATATGCAAACAAGAATAAGTTTAGAAAATATAGTGGAAGAAATGACTAAATTTACAAAAGCCAAAAAACCCAATAAGATCCCTAATTGGAACTTTAACTAAAATGTTCAAAACATAGATGTGGAATATTATTGCTCACTTCCAAAAGACACAAATTAAATATAAAAAATGGAAAACATACTATGTTCTTAGAGAAGATATGAGTTAAAATGGAAAGGACAACTTAAATTTACAAAGTTTAAATAACAGTAACAACACAAACCTCAGGCTTTCTATGGAAACAGATGAGATAATTAAAAAGTTTATTTGTAAACACAAGTGAGTAAGAATAGCTAGACAAAAATCCTGAGAAAAACGACTTGTAATTCCAATTTCAACAATGATGTAATAGCAGGGAAAAAAATATGTCCCCACTGTAAACTATACAAATGTAAAATAAACAAAACATTTACAGGCATTATATCAAGCCATAAAAGACTGTAATATCTTAACAAAAAGCAACAAGTAAGATGAGTTGTGTAATTATATTAAACTTCTGTTGGAAGTCATTTTCCAAGTCAGAACCCAAACAAGGCTGAGTATCCTCCCTTGAATGAAGAGATCAAGACCAGAGCTTGGGAAGGGGTAGGTTGCTGGATATTATGAGGCAGGGATCCAGGAAAGAGAGAGTTATGAAGAACAAAAGCTCCAAAAAATATATAAGGTTGTTCTTGAGTCTTGCTAAGATCCAGGCCTTGCATGTATAAAGGGAAAGTCCATAATGTTGGGCTCATGGGGAACAGTAAGCAGAATAATTGTGAGAGCCCACATAGTGTGGGAAGATAGTAATGTCCAAGCAGTCAGATTAGAGAGAATGTGGTGACTACTGGAGATATTCAGTAAGCCTAATGTAAGAGTGAACTATCTCTGGATTCATGTATAAACTAGAACTGCCCTAGCTTGGCATAAGAATAGGCCTCAGGTGGATCACATGATCCAAAAGTAACTTAAATGCCTGTCAATATTCTTCAGATAAAGATAACAAAATTCAGATAACAAGATAGCCTTCACAATGTATGACATCCATTAAAAATTATTAAACATAGGAAGAAGCAGGCTACTATGCTCCAAATCCAAGAGAAAAATCAGCCAATATAAATAGACACAAAAATGAAAGAAACTATGACACCAGCAGATGTATATTTTAAAACGGCTATTATAACAATGTTTAGATATTTAAAGGAAAACACGAATATAAGGATAAAAAATGAAAGACATTTTTTAAAAACTGGAACCGCTAGAGATTGCAGAAGAAAAGATCAGTGAACTTAGGGCTTAACAATGAAATCTATTTAAAGCGAATCACAGAAAGATGAAACATTGAAAACCAACACAGACTCAGAAACTATTTTAAAAAGCTCTATTTCTTCAAATATTGTCTTCCAGCTGTCACAAAAATAAAGATGATTTTTTTTCCAAATTTAATAAAACTATAAACTCAGAATTCTAAGAATGTCAATGAAAATCAAAGAGGACAACTATAATGAAAACCACACCAAAACACATAATAAATACATTGCTGAAAAATGTCAAAGAGAACATTTAAAATTAGAAAGGAAGAATATATTTCATACAGAAAAACAAGAACATTAGAAAACAGAAGATTTTACAATAGAAACTATTTCCTCTCAGAAAGTTAGAAAAGGAAGCACAAAAAACTAGAACCCAGTGGTAATACACAGACACACACACGCAAATATACATATGCACATACATACACAGATGGATATATATAGAATACACAGACACACACACGCAAATATACATATGCACATACATACACAGATGGATATATATAGAAATTATTGTAGATATGTGTGAATAGTGTTTCATATATATACATATATATATAAAATATATATATAGCCCACTATTATTTGTTGAGATATATATAACCTACCATCATTTGTTGAGAGGGCTTAGAATCAATGACATCGCCATAGAAATGAGAGCTCCCACCTGCCAAATCATGGCTTTTAAATACCATTCACTAATTAAAGGAACCAAGGCTCCTTAGAGAAATAGTTGATTCTAGGGCTGGAGCAGGAAATATGTAAGATGAGACTAGAACATCTTGTACTACTAAAATATAGAGATATACTCAAAAAATAAAAGAATGAGCTGTGTCAAAGGGATATAGAAGCCAACATCAAAGAGTTTCCAGTGGCCAAAGCTGAAATTATTTGAGGAACAAAATAAATAGTATAGTATTAGATTATAACCCAAAATATATCCATGAATTTAAATGGACTTAAAGAAATGTCTGAATAAATAAATAGATAAACAAATAAATAAATTAGGAAGAGGAGGCAAGTCTTTCTTTTAGAAGAATTCCAAATAATGTACAGAGACTAATTTCTCTATTTTTACATTTGTTTGAAATTTTCAGAATTAAAAGTTAGAAATAAACACAATCTTCTTTTTCAATTCATTCTTTTATGTCCTGCCAAAATATTTGCTCACTGAGAGTTTAGAAACTTTCCGACTAAGAAAGGTAGGGCAATACCTACATGAGCACATCTGGAGAAGTTTGTCTACTTTAAAGTATTTAGAATTTTTGAGTTGTTTTATCAGCATTATGATCCTTCATTTGTTGCACGGAGGATCCAGAGCAAAATGGAATTCAAATGATTTATATTTTGATAACAATGTAACCTATGGGGAAGACTCCATCTTATGCAATGGAAAAAGTACATTGTTTGAACCCAGATAGATTTGGGTAGCTTTTCTAGGTACCATTGGTCAAGTTATTTAACCTCCCGAAAGTTCAGCTTCCTCATATCTAAAACTGTGATAATTATATATGTAGCATAGGGTTGACTTCACATTTAAATTAGACAAACCACACAACAATGTCTAATACATGTTTGGCACTCACTCATGATAATATAGAACATTTATTGAATGGTTATTTTGTGCAAGACACAAAAAAGTACCACGTTTACTGAGTCATGTATTTTACTTTATTAATTAAATTATCATTCTTAAGTTTTAAATTTGTATTAAAGATTTTATTGTCTCTAAAAATTTATCACACATCATGATTTGAAAAGAATTTACTTTCCCCAGGAAGATGCATAACGTAAATTGTTAGAATTGAATGTTGTTACTTATAATTTTAAAAATATGCTACATTTTAGCTTTATAGCACTTAGATAATTTCCACATCCATAATCATTAAATAGATACCTCTCTATAAGGTCATTTAACACTGTATATCATTTAGTGATTTAAAAAAATAAAACTGAGTTGTATTCTCTGTTATTTCAATACTGTGAGCACCTACAAGTCTTTTTTGAAGGAGTCATTATACTTACACAAAAGATCACTAGACTGGAACCAGGAGTTCTGGGTTATGGTTCTGTTAAACTTGAAAACGTCATGATGCCTCTCAGGACTCAGATTCTTCTTCAGTAACAAGAAAAACAAATGCTGAATGATTCCACTCATTTGAGGTACCCAAAATAGTCAAGTTCATAGAACCAAAGGGTAGAACAGTGGTTGCCAGGGGTTAGAGGGTGGAGGAAATTGGGAGTTACTGATCAAAGGGCATGAAGTTTCAGTTAAGCAAAATGAATAAGCTCTAGAGATCTGCTGTGCAGCACTGCACCTCTAGACAACAATGTGATGTGTGCTTAAAATAATGTGATGAGCACTTAAAATTTTGTTAAGAGAGTAGAATTCATGTTAAATGTTTTTACTACAATAAAACGAAAAGAAAAATAATAAAATTATAATATACAATCTTAGCCTGGATTCCCTGGAAACAGACTCCAAAGACAGAGAGTTCCATGCAGGAGGCAAAATTCAGGGTCTTTGTTTCCCCACTTCAGCCAGTCATTGTCCACAGGCAGTGCACCAGGATCTGAGGAGACAGATTGAGGGGTGCTGCTGTGAACCGCCAACAATTAATATATCCAGCAGCTGACGGATAACTGCCTTGGCCCTGAAGTGAGCATCTGATTGGAGCACTGCAGTATCCATCATAACCATGAAACTATGGGATTCCTTCCATTTCGGAGACTCTGGAGCATGTTATAAACAAGACCAAGTCAACATATCTCTAGAGGCATTTAGATGTTTTCCTCAGGCCACAGAAAATAAACTTTTAGACTCCTGCTAAATGAAAACAGGAGTATAAGTGAGATGGTTTGTCTTCATTACAGAACTATGTATCTCTTGCAGGAGGAAACTGTCCCACAAAATCCTGGGCTGGAAGCCATCCTGAAGTTGTCTACCTTGCAGTGACTTGATTTCAGCTTTCATCCACTCCCCTGGCTGGATCTGTCATTTTCAGTATGATAGCCTTAATATTTTTAGCTAAAGCCTCCTCTTTCAGCATCACAGGTGATTTATGAGGATAGACTTTTTTTTATACGGACATATTGAAGAGCTGTCAGATTGTGTTGATTAAGTATTCAGGCTTTGGAGGCACACTGCCAAAGTTGAAAACAAGGCAGTAAAGCATACCACACTGGAGTTTGTTCAACGATTTACCAACTTTTCTGTGCTTCAGTTTAGTTTCCAAACAATAAAACAGAATGATGATAATGTTGTTGATGATGATAGCAACAATAACAGTACCTATATAAAATCAGTCTGTATAAGATACATTAACTACTATAATTCTCTAGGTAGATATTTTTTACATGTATATATATATATATATGTAGACATTTATATGTATATATGTACATATTTTATATATATACACACACATATATATGCATGTGTGTATTGTTTAATTATATTCTAAAATAACTTTATTTGCACATAATAACCAATAGTCATACTCAATGCGTTTTATAGCACCTCTGAACAAGAAGAGTGATCACAGAGATTCAAAAATTAAAGGTGAAGTCTCAGGCAAGTGCAGATTTCTCCTCTATCTCCTCTCTAACCACTACACAAATCAACACAGGGTAGGGGTGAAGGTCTGAGAGCTCAAAGGAGAGCCCACAAACCAGTCTGGCAGTCTAGGGTATTCAGAGGAACGCTGAATGAAGAGGCAATTTCTGGGCTATGTTTTCTAGGTTAGAATTTAGTTTTCTAACACTAACACAACAAATTTCTACAAACTTACTGGCTTAAAACAGTATGAAACTATTGTCTTAGAGCTGTGGAAGTCAGAAATCTGAAATGGAGTCAATGGACTAAAATCGAGATGTCTGCAGGTTGTGCTCCTTCTGTGGACTCTAGGGAGTAATGCATTTCCTTGTCTTTTCCACATTAGAGATACCTACAGTTCTTGGCTCACAGCTCCTTCCTCCATCTTCAACGTCAGCTAAGATAGGTAGATAGAGTTCTCACATCACATTGCATTATTCTGACCAACCTTCAGTCTCTATCTTTCCATTTTATTTTATTTATCTTCCCTTGTTATTACATTGGACTTACCTGAGCAGTCCAAGATAATCTCCATATTATCAAGTCAGTTCATTACCAACATTAATGTTATCTGCAACCTAAATTGCCCTTTTGTCATGAAAGGTGGCATATTCACAGGTTCTGGGGAATAGTAGATGGCCATATTTGGGGCGGTCTTCGTTCTGCCTACCACTGAAGGCTAAATGTTAATCCAAAGAACAAAATGGAAGAGAAAGTAAAAAATGCAACACTGAGGATTGAAAATGTGTTTTAATTCACAATGATACAAAAGAAGGAGATACCACACACACAGAGGAAATTCTACGTAACAAGGATTTACCAGGTCAGTTGCTTCAATTTTCCCAAATAAACTGTATGACTGAAATGCTTTCTTTTTTATTTCTGTGAGAGTCACAGGGTGTAATAAATTCACCTGATCCTATGATTTTTTGCAAAATAAAAGAGGGAAACTGAGGAATAATTTCACCTTTGCTCGCGTAGATTTTGTTCACATGCTATTGGCATTCATCTGCATGTTTCACATCCTTTTTCACTGCCCATGAATTCTTACCAGAAAAAATAAATTGAGCTTTTACATTACCAATAAAGTCAATCTAAACAGGAATAAAGAGAGAGCGAGAACAAGGGGGACAAGTGGTATTGGTTATATTTATGCTTCTCCACTAATTTCACCTTAATATGGAATTATAAGGTAAAAACAGTACATAATTATTTTTTAAGTCAACCAGGACATAGGGTGTGTTAATTAATAGTTCACAAATTCTCTAAGATTCCCAATTCCAGTCCTAGTTTTTTTAATTTTCTGAATTTTTTATTTTTGTGGGCACATAACGAGTGTATATATTTATGGGGTATATGAGATTTTTTTTTTTTTTTTTGAGATGGAGTTTTGTTCCTTTTGCCCAGGCTGGAGTGCAATGGCACAGTCTTGGCTTACTACAACTTCCACCTCCTGGGTTCAAGTGATTCTCCTGCCCCAGCCTCCCAAGTAGCTCAGATTACAGGTGTGTGCCACCACGCCTGGTTAATTTTGTATTTTTAGTAGAGACAGGGTTTCACCATGTTGGCCAGGCTGGTCTCGAACTTCTGACCGCAGATGATCCACCCGCAGATGGGATGTTTAGATACAGGTATGCAAAGCTCAATAATCACGTCATAGAGAATAGGGTATCTATCCCTTCAAGCATTTATCCTTCAAGTTACAAACAATCCAATTATACTATTTTAGTTAGTTTTAAATGTACAGTTAAGTTATTATTGACTATAGTGACTCTGTTGTGCTATCAAGTCATAGGTCTTATGTATTCTTTCTAACAATTTTTGGTACCCATAACCATCCCCACCTCCCCCTCAACCCCTCACTTCCCTTCCTAGTCTCTGGTAAAGAGGCTTCTCCTCTCTATGTCCATGAGTTCAATTGTTTTGATTTTTAGATCCCACAAGTAAGTGAGAAAATGTGATGTCTGTCTTTCTGTGCCTGGCTTATTTCACTTAGCAAACTCTTTTAAGGATAATTGTGATTAATATTTGGTGTGTAGCTTTTCAGATGTTTTTATGTATGCACATGCACACATTAAGAAATCAGGAGATATGTGTGTGTATAAGTTTGTGTGTTTATATATATACTTATATATGTGTTTACATAAATATATAATACATATTTATACTTATATATATTATTCTGCAGCATGGTATGTGTATTAGCCTTATTGCTAGTTTAATATGACATAGTTTAATTAGGACATGCTTATATCTTTATGATATTTAATATACATATCCAGGAAGAAGAGATGTCTTTCCACTATTTTAGGATGTTTTATATACTTTAGTTAATTCACTAAAGAACTTAGAACTCAGAGATTTCTACAGAAGAACCAGACTTTTTTTTGTTAGACTTATTCTTAATGCATTGTATTTTTGTTTCCTTTTTTTAAAATTAATGATCTCGAAGAAGAGTGAAGCCCCGAACTACAAGCCATGACCTACGACATTCCTCCCTTTGGGAAGTGTTCCCATGTAACATCCTTGAGTAGGTTGTCCTCTGGTCCTGCATTCTGCCTCAGTGACACCCATCATCTACATCTGGATTCCTTATTATTGTCTTCTACATAGTTTTAACAACATTGTGATTAAATTTCTCATGCTTTCAGGAAAGTCCATTGATGTTTTATGCTTGGTAATTTGTATAATTTCTAAGTTTCTTCTCATGTACCACAAGGTCATCCTCACAGGGACACCTCAGGAATTCTAGTGCTGGCTCAGCTATTACCTACTTTTACAACCTTTGATAAATAATTAACCTCTGTGGGTTACTGTTTTCACATCTATAAAGAGGACCAGCAGAACAGACTGGTGGTTCTGAAACCACATAGGATCCCTGACATACTGTGGGGTAGCCCTGGGGTGGAAGCTGGGGTGGGGAAAAGAGACCAAAAGAAGATTGCCTAATTCAGTTTGCTCATATTTTACAGGTGAAAATAAAATTTTTTTTGTTTGTCCTATAACAGAATATTAAACAAACTTACTGAAAACCACTAGACTAACATCTAGTATGATTCACTCTAATTCTAAACAACTCATCAACATCTTTGAGAAGATATTATAGAAATCTCATGTTTATTGACTAGACACAAGATATCTGTGGAACTTACCTAAAATTGATTCAGCCAAGTCCGAATTTCTGCTCACTTTGATTACAAAAACACGAAAAAAAATATATTTGCTTCTCTGCATTTTAGTAGATTCAACTACTTTTAATCTGATATTTGTATTATCAAAAAGCAAATCTTTGCGAAAACATTTTAAAACTGGAACACATTGTCATCATTGTAAAAATTTGTACCTGGTTTGGGAACTCCATGTTCTCTTTCCTATCAGCGATTTTCTAACCCATTCTACTTTCCCAAGTAAGATTAATTTTTCCCAGTCATGGAAATCTACTGGCCCCAAACCACCAGAGGTAAATTTCTATACTTACTTTGTAATTAATTTTAGTTGTGTTAGACTAGGGATGGTGCGGGGAAAAAATTACAGATAGAATAATTACCAAGAGTACAAGTAGTGGGATTCTCTGGCCGTGTGTGTGTGTGTGTGTGTGTGTGTGTGTCT
The DNA here is from genome assembly GCF_000001405.40 of Homo sapiens. Lineage (NCBI taxonomy): Eukaryota > Metazoa > Chordata > Mammalia > Primates > Hominidae > Homo > Homo sapiens. The sequence goes on along the minus strand of NC_000016.10, from coordinate 76,705,293 downwards.
GTGTGTCTGTTCCTTGCCCTGCTGCAACTATGGTGCTTTGGGTAAATTAAGCAATCTCTACATATCACTTTTATTGGAATCTCAAAAAAGGTTTTTATGAGAGATAAATGTTATCGTTTATACGTTATTCACTTGACACAGTGCCTACTATACAGTAAACTGCAATTGGCTGATAATATTGAATTGTGTGGTTGGTTGGTTGGTTGGTTGGTTGGTTGTTTTTGAGATGGAGTTTTGCTCTGTTGCCCAGGCTGGAGTGCAGTGGCACGATCTCACCTCACTGCAACCTCTGCCTCCCGGGTTCAAGCGATTCTCCTGACTCAGCCTCCAAAGTAGCTAAGATTACAGGCACCTGCTATGATGCCTGGCTAATTTTTGCATTTTTAGTAGAGATGGGGTTTCACCATGTTGGCCAGGCTGGTCTCAAACCCCTGATCTCAGGTGATCCACCTGCCTCAGCCTCCCAAAGTACTGGGATCACAGGCGTGAGTCACTGCGCCCAGCTGGATAATATTGAATTGTATGCTTTCTGTGTGTCATCTCAAGAAAATAAACACTTACCATACAGTTCAAAATAATATATGTATTTGTGTGTATATATATATATATATATATATATATATATATATATATATATCTTATACATTTTATTATTGTTATTGAAAAAGGATAACTTGGAATAACTACTTAGGTATTCCTACTTTCTATATTGTTTAATGAAATGTTAAAAATTCATGAAAGTGCATGATTGTTCTCATTGTTTAATCATGGAATATATAATCCAAACAAAATAACAAAACACAGAAAACACTATGGAGTAGATAATACAGTATTTTTAGAACACTAGAGGAGAGGGAGGAAATACAGGCTAGTATAAGAGCGAACACTTCCCTATTCAGCAGCCATAGTAGACATTGAAAATTAATAACACTCCTCATTTCAAATATGCTAAATGTCCTACTATTCCAGCACACACTCCAGGCAGCCACTACCATACCAACCAGAAATGCATACAGGATGAGTCTTATTTACCACTCTTGCTCTAATATAATATTATGAAGAGATGCTCAAAAATACACAAAGAATGTCAAGAAGTATATTTCCTCTAAGTAAACATAATAAAGCTTAAAAGCAACAAGTAACATGAAAAACTTCATGTGACTAAAACGTCTTTAGTAGAATATTTCTAAAATGAATAGTCAATATAATGAAGGAATAAGGCTATAAATAAGAGATACTGAAATTATTTAAATTTGTGTTTCAAAAGAATAATTTTGGCAAAACAGAATAATTATGAAGCAGTGAAGACTCAGTAAAATACATATTAATAATATACAGATTTGAATGTGCATATAAATTTATAACCAGTATGGAATAAACATTTAATATTCAAACACGTAAATTCCTAAATATTACGGTTGTGTTTAATAGTCTTCGAGTTCTGTAAACAATTCTTCTAAAATACCTTCTGATTTAAATAAATTCAGATATAATTTTCTTTAAAGATGCATTTTAACAGCATATTTATCTAGTTGCTAGATGTTATACTGGAAAAGCAAGAAAACGGAGCCACTTAACTCAAATAAAGTAAATTGCACACCCATTTCCAGCTACAGAATCTAAGACTATTGGAGGGAACAACATTTTTAAGAACTCGCTTATGCAATCCTCCTCAGCCTTGCCTTTATTTGTTAAATCTCTCACTATTATTTTCCCTTTATCAATTTAATTTTTTTCTTATTTACAAGAAATACATATTATTTCTCATTATATATTACATAACAGAATATGAATATATATTTCTGGAAAATATCTAAGATTCTTTTTAAAACAGGATAGGATATAAATTAATTTGTCCTCTTTCACTCTATTGCATGTTAAAATGAAGCTTAGAGAGCTCATCTTGCTTAGCCAAGCACTTTAACCAGACAGTCAGAAATTAGAGGTCCCTGAAGATGGGGCTTTTCGAAGAGTTTGTCATTTGTTTGTTGTCATTGTTGTCAGTCGATAGGAAACTTCAGCCAATTAACAATGCATAGAAACTTTTCATCTATAAAATAAAGCCATAAATAATACAAAATACTATGTTTTAACACATAATATGTCATGTTATACATGCATAAGTCTATATACATAGAAATGATATGAGAAAATTTCACAGGAAAAATACATAAGTGAGTATTATATTGAAGTCCATTTTGATTAAATATAGGAAGAAACATCTAATGTCAGGCTGCTGTAAACTAAGGAAAATCGTGTTAGCAACAGAAGTTATATCGATTAAATTTAAATAAGTACTAAGATGAATGTTATAATCCCACTTGAAAACAGGTGGAGCTTTTCCATGATAGCTTGCCCCCAGTTGTCTTCCTGGGACCATTGGTTTTGAAGGAGGCTGATGAGTGTTTCAATGGAAAGGGGTACTTTGTTCAAATACATGTGTAAACTACTTGGTTAGACAACATTATCCAAGTCCCACTGTCATATATGAGTTCAGGTGTGTTAGTGTGCAGATAGGACCAATGCATCTTCCAAAGGGAAGGTAGACAGGTTTTCCCCATTCTGTTTGAACATGAGACTGTTCTGTAACAATCTCAAAAGAGTTGTGTTCCTTGGAAAATCTGTTCAAAATGCTGTTTTACATTATATTATCCACACCTATCACTCATTTATTACATGTCATATGTGATGTGTACATTTACTTTCACAAGAGGGGTGCCCAAAGAACTTTGAAAGATGTGAAATATGCAATATAGAGAATAAAGATATTGATGGTTAGATAGCTACAGCTATATATTTAAATACGGTTTTTAGATAGAACCTTTATTTTTCTCCAAAGTAACAAATCCCTTGAGTCAAGACTTACCTTCACAGTAAAAGTGTAATTTTGACTTGACCTCTGTACATGATAGACATTTCTTAAGGATGAATCAGATAAAAAATGGTAGTAAAACACTGCAAGTTATTCCAGGGACTCCTGTGTTATCATTGTTCCCTCTACTTAAAAGCTGAATATTTATAGGCATGTTAAAGTTAAATCAATTAATTACTTGTACTCAGGTCTTGATTTCACACTTTGAGAAAAAGCAGAATATTATTTTCCAACATTGTTTCTTGTAGGAATATCTATTTGAAAATTTACAATCACTTTTAAGAATACTGTGTACATCTTTAAACATTGTATAAAATGAGCAAATTTGTGGGGAAAAATTATTAACAAACCAACTTTCAGAAACAAGTAATTTCATGAAATCGTGTCCCTTGCAGCAACATGGATGAATCTGGGGGCCATAATCCTAAGTTAATTAACACAGAAACAGCAAACCAAATACCTCATGTTCTCACTTATAAATGGGAGCTAAACGGTGGGTACTCATGGACATCAAGATGACAGCAATAAACACTGTGGACTAGAAGCAGGTGGGAGGGAGTGGGGCATGGGCTGAAAAACCACCTATTGGGTACTATACTCAGTACCTGAGTAACAAGATCTGTACCCTAAACCTCAGCATCATGTAATATACCCATGCAACAAACCTGTCAATGTACCTCCGTATCTAAAATAAATATTGAAATCACTAAAAAAAGAAAAACTGGCATTAAGCTAAATTAGTGGTGTTCTCCAAATGCAAGCTGTATTTTGGTTCTCTGAAAACAATTTAATACCATTGTTCTTGTTTACTTGCACTGATCACCATTTAAATTGCATCGAAGTAGTTTTTACTCCTTCACAGAATACACTTGGTAACATTTATCTTACTAGCCAGTTGTATGTGTGCTGACATATACCAGAGTCAGAAATTAAACACATACCCATTAGAACAGCGTATTTCTGGTAAACACATTTTGCATTCTATCCCTACCATTGCATTGTGTCTTCTATAATTCACACTGTATCACAGACTGTTAACTCAAGTTGCACATAAAATTTTGAGGTACTTATTTTAGGAGTTGACTTTATTTCTGGGTACAGCTGTAAACTCATAGAACGGAAGATTCAGATGCAAGGAACTAAAGTTCTAGACTGTCCAATATATTAGCCACCAGTTGCATATAGCTATTTAAATTTAAACTAATTCCAAGTAAATAATGCTAAATATAATTGTTCAGTTGTAGAGACCACCTTACAAGGGTAAAATTGTCACATGTCCCTTGTGGCTACCGTATTGAACAGTGCAGGTATAGACATTTACATTTTCACAGAAGGTCCTGTTGGACAGCCCTATAGATCTTGCTGTCCCTAAATGAGATCCCAAGCTATATGGAAATTACATCAATAAAATTCTTCTTTTTCAAATTTAAACCTTTGTCCAAAGACATCAAATGACCTATTCAACCTCATATCACGTAAAAAAACTCAATTTAAAGAAATCCAGCTCTGTGTGTAACTGTGTGAGTATATATACTGTTGTGATCCTTGCCAATCAAACTTATACAAGGTCCAGCCTCATGCAACCACAAATGTGCTCTGCCAAGATGGATTAGATTTGTATTTTCTAGAATTCAAGAGTCATATATATTTAATGTACTCTTTCTTGTTTTGTTTAAATCCTATACATTTGTTAAACTCATTTATTTGTTCTGGTAGCTTTTTATTTAGATTTTTTAGGAATTTCTACATAGCTGATCATGGCATTTATGATTATAAATACTTTTATATCTTCATTTCCAATCAGTATTCCTTTTATTTCTTTAGTCTTATTTATTTGCCTAGAATTTCTAGAACAATACTGAATAGAAGTTATAAGAGTAAGCATTTTGTCTTATTCTTGAATTTAGAGGGAAATAGCAGTCTTTCAGCATTAAGCATGAAGTTAGCTGTAAGTTATCTATCTGTATATCTATCATCTGTCTATCTCAGGTACCTGACCTTACGCAATTGTGGAGGATGACTAAGAGTCTCTGTCTTTGTATGTGATGGTTGAGATTGAACTCAAAGGAATAGGCAGTGAAAGAGGAAAGGTGAATAGAGTTATCATGGATAAGCTGTAACCCATAAACACGAGCTGGAACCTATGAGGAAGGAAGAAACCTATGTTGGTTTTCATTTTTCTCAATCTTAATGATGTGGGTGTCTTGCAGGAGAAGCTGATGTCCTTCATTCAATATCTTTCATACAATAGCAAAGCAATAGCAATTGCAAAGCTAAACACACACCTGGCCCAAAAGTCAATGAACTTGAAGGAAGAGTCAGCAGAAGGTACTGCCATTGCTGGTCTTGCTGCTGTCCTACTTAGATGATGTGAGTCAATAGAGCAACGAGTTGTATCAGCTGTGAAAGTGCCTGCTCCTACCTTCCTAGCACAAGTGAAACATGATGACTTATTCACCCCGACCTCCAAACTTTACGCACATTATATCTCTTCTGGGCCCAATGTTACTGGAAAAATAGAGGAAAGAGAATGCGGGGAAAAATTATTGGTCTCTAGTCAAAGTGACATATTACAAAGCTACCATACCTTCCATTTCTAATTTGCTCAGACATTTTATTATGTACAGGTGTTGAATTATTTCAAATGAATTTTCTGCATCTGTTGAGATCATGATATGAATCTTTATCTTTGTTCCAGTTATATAATGAACTACATTAAAATATGTTTGGATGTTAAATCAGCTTTGCATTTATGGAATATTCTGCACTTAGTCATTGTGTATTCCCTTTTAATACATGGATGAATTTGTTTTGTTCATAGTTTGTTAAGGACATTTATTCACCCGCCCCTGAAAGACACTGTTCAAGAGTTTTATTTTTCTTTAATGTCTTTATCAGGTATTTCTGGCTTCATAAAATCAGATTGAAATTATTACTGCTTTCTCTATTTTCTGAAGTAGTTGGAGTAAAGAGTTGCTAGTCTTTCTTCCTTAAACGTTTCTTTCTTAAATGAATTATCTAATAAACCCTCCTCATCCAGAGTTTTTTTTTGTATGTGGAGGCTTTTAATTACAAATTTATTTTTTTTACTTGTTGGAGAGCCATTCAGGAGTTTTGTTTACTTTTGAAGGGTCTTTATAGGAAGACCTTTTGAAGTGTCCACTTTTTTGCAGGAAATATAAAACAGTCTCTCAAAGCTAGTAAGTTCATCAAGGTAGCAGTCTACAAGATGAAAATTGCTTTTCCATATCCTAGTAATGAACATGTAGACACCAAAATTAAAAATACAATACTATTTACGTTAGCTCAAAGATGAAATATTTAAGCGCAAATCTAACAAAACATGTACAACACTTGAATGCTGAAAACTAAAAAAAATGCTAATGAAAGAAATAAAAAATAAAATCAATAAATGGAGAGACATATTAAGTCCCTGGATTGGAAGATTCAATATAGTAAATACATCGATTATCCCCTAAATGATACATAGGTTTAATCCAATTTCTATCAAGATTCTAGCAAGATACTTTTGTAGATATAGGCAAGATTATTCTAAAATGTATATATTAATTCAAAAGAATTAGAATAATGAAAACAATTTTTAAAAGTAAAACTAAGGTAGAAGGAATCAGTCTATCCACAATCAAGGATTATCATACAGCTACAGCAATCAAGAGTGTGTGGTATTCGTGGGAGGGTAGATACATGGATCAGTGAGACAGAATCCAGAATCCAGAAACAGACCCACACAAAATTTCAAATGATATTTCACATAAGTGCAAATGCAATTTGATAAAGGAAAGACAGTCTTTCAACAAATGGTACTAGAACAATTGACTATCATTAGGCAAAAAAAATGAACACTGACCTAAGTCTCACACATCATAAGAAAAATGGATCACAGACTCTAATGTAAAATGTGAACTATAATATTTTAGAAATAAACAGGATAAAATCTTCAGTATCTATGGCAAGGCAAAGAGTTCTCATATTTGACTCCAAAAGCCCTATTCATGAATAGAAAAAATACCTTTGACTTTATCAAAATTCAAAACTTTGCTCTAAGGAAGTCTCTGTTAAGTAGATTATGAGGCAAACGACAAAGCTGGAGGAAAAATTTGTAAACCATATATACAACAGAAGACTATTTTCTAAAATATATAAAGAACTCTCAAAACTCAACAGTAATAAAAAAAACTCTAATTAGAAAATGAGCAAAAAAAAAAAAATCCCACAAAGAAACATTTAACCAAAGAGAATATACAAAGAGCAATACCTGAAAAGATGTTCGACACCAATTAAATAACAATGAGGTATCACTAAATACCTTTCATAATATCTAAAATGAAAATAGTGATAATGCTATATATTACGGGGATTTAAAGAAAGCGGCTCACTCATTTATTGTCAGTTGGATGTAAAATGTGACAGCCACTTGGTAAAACAATTTGGAATTTTTTTCAAAAACTAAATATGGGACTACAATATGACCCAGTGAGTTTACTTCTGGGCATTTAACCCACAGAAATGAAACCTTATGTTCACACAAAACTGTGTACATGACTATTGGTAGTAATTTTATTTGTACTAGCCCAAAAATTGAAACAGCTTACTCACATATCCTTCAATGGGTGAATGAATGGTTAAACACATGATGATAAATCCATACCATATTGTGATGCCATAATAAAAACCTAGTAAAAAGCTACAGTAATTTTGATGTAGCATTTAGGCAAGACTAGACAACTGAACATTGAAAGTAATCAAAACTCTATAAGCAAAAGGAGGAGGTTTTCAACAAATACCTCTGGGTTTAGTGGATCACTGTGTTGAAAATAAACAATTTATATTTACCTATATCTTATTGTGTATCGTATACACAAAAATCAACTTCTGGTAGTTTGCAAAGCAAAATATGAAAGGTAATCAAAAAAAGCTTTTACAGGGATACCTGGAAGAATACTTCTATGACCAAGAAGAAGTAAATACTTCTTAACTAAGTCAAAAACCATTTAAGAAAAAATGTATTAATTGGGCAATGTCTAAATTAAGAGCCATTCATATAAAGACACCATTAAGAGAATGAAAAGGCAAGTCAAAGAGTGTGATAAAATATTTACTATAAACCCATCTGAGAAAAGATGTGTTTAGAATTGCTGGAAAATTATTTGGGTGGCCTTGGACTGACCTGGTTCTCCCCACTTTCTCATTTGCAGATCTCAAAATTAACTGTACAGTTTTTGCTGGGAATGCAATATCCTGAGATAAGAGGGAACTGGCTGGAACAACCCAGGCTTTGTTCCAGCTTCCCCCTAGAATAGGATGTTCTCTAACACTTTCGCCCACTGTGCCCAGTTTCTCCTGAGGTGTAAAACCCCGGGCAGGCTGCTTTTCAGGGTCTTTCAGCTGTGGTACAGATGGGGCATGTGCAGTGAGACTCTATCTGCCATGTGCAGCTTTCCAGAGCCTTCAGGGACTGACCTGCAATGAAACCTAGGCTTCTTTTGTTTCTTGCTATCTGTAAATAATAATCACTTTTTATATAACTTATGTGTGTGGGTGTTCTCTCTCACCAGCTTCCAACAAGTTGTTAACCAGTGCATAACCTGCTTCATAAAAATATATGCAGAATTCCTAAAAACAATAAAAGACAAAAAAATAGACAAAATGACATGGCTGTACAGTTTTAAATGGCCAGTAAACACGGAAATCTTCAACTTCATCAGTCATCAGGTAAATGCAAATTAAGATCGCAATATATTACATCTACATGTCTACCAAATTTACTTCGGTAAGGAAAAAAAGTGTTGGCAAGATTATGAAGAAACTTAAACTGCCATACACAGCTCTGAGAGGATAAACTGATGCCATCAATGACTGCTGGTGATACGGACTAACAGTGAACATAAGCAAACCTAAATTACGTATCAAGTCCACTCCTATGTATAATATCACAGAAATGTGTATATTTGTTCACCAGAAGACATGCGCTAGAATATTTGTTATCACTTTTCATAGTACTCCTAAATTATGAACTATCTAAATGCTAATGGATTTGTAAACTGTGCCATTTAACAGGTAAAACACCACAAGGCAATAATACATTAACACAGATAAATAAATAGATAAATATCATAAATGTAACGTTGAGCAAAAGAAGGCAGACACAAAACAACATATACCCTATGTTTCCAGTTATACAAAGGACAAAAACTGGCAAAATGAATCTCTGCTCTTAGAAACTAAATAGTGGTTAGTTGTCACTGAGGTTTAGTGCCTATGAGGAGTCATAGTGGGGCCTTCCAGAATGTTGGTAATGTTTGTTTCTTGATGTGGATGCTGGCAATATAAATGGATTTGGTCTGTGACTGTACATCAACCTGCACCATTATGAAGTGTGCATTTTTTTCTGTACATGATATGCATCAATAAAACATTGTGAAAAGGCAGCTTAAAATTCCATATCATGATTTTAAAAACAATTCATTGAAGATTAAGTGAAAAATAAAATTTTTTAAATATATGAAAATCGAGACTTTTTGATGTTTCTATTCAACCTTCCTTATGCTGTGTATGTGAGATTTTAGCTCCATGTGGTAGGCTCAGTACACTCTTATAATATTAAGGCTTTTTACCTCTAGATCTCTAATAGCCTAAGATCTAATCTCAATTAGCTGCAAGACAGTCTTATACACCCAGGCTATGGTTAGAGAAACTCATTATCTTCCCAGTTATAGTCTATTTTGTATTTTATCAAATTATAGTAGAGATTTATCTTTGATTAGATTTTTCCCCAAATTCCTGCAACCACTTTTCTCTCTTTGCACCACCATGCATCTAACATACACATGGATCCTGTGGTTTATTTCCCAAGCACAACAGACATGAGTCAATCTCTTATGAGTTTTCTAACTTTATTGTAAGTTTTTCAAATAATGGAGGGAGTTTAGAACATGGAATGGAAAAAAGCAATCTTAAAGTTATATCAGAAAATGTTTCTTCCTAAAGTGCATTGGTCACTGTTTTGTTTTGTTTTGTTTTTAGAATTCTAGTAAATTTATTCCACGATTTTTTTTAATTTATTATACTTCAAGTTCTGGGATACATACGCAAAACGTGCAGGTTTGTTACATAGGTATACACGTGCCACGGTGGTTTGCTGCACCATCAACCCATCATCTATATTGGATATTTCTCCTAATGTTATCCCTCCCCGAGCCCCCTAACCCCTGAAAGGCCCTGGTGTGTGATGTTCGCCTCCCCATGTCCATGTGTTCTCATTGTTCAACTCCCACCTATGAGTGAGAACACGTAGTGTTTGGTTTTCTACTCTTGTATTAGTTTGCTGAGAATGATGGTTTCCAGCTTCATCCATGTCCTTGCAAAGGACATGAACTCATCTTTTTATGGCTACATAGTATTCCATGGTGTATACGTGCTACATTTTCTTTATCCAGTCTATCATTGATGAGCATTTGGGTTGGTTCCAAGTCTTTGCTACTGTGAACAGTGCCACAGTAAACATACGTGTGCATGTGTCTTTATAGTAGAATAGTAATAGGATTTTTGGGTCAAATGGTATTTTTCGTTCTAGATCCCTGAGGAATTGCCACACTGTCTTCCACAATGGTTGAACTAATTTACACTCCTACCAACAATGTAAAAGTGTTCGTATTTCTCCACATCCTCTCCAGCATCTGTTATTTCCTGACATTTTAATGACTGCCATTCTAACTGGTGTGAGATGGTATCTCATTGTGGTTTTGATTTGCATTTCTCTAATTACCAGTGATGATGAGCTTTTTTTCATTTTGTTGGCTGCATAAATGTCTTCTTTTGAGAAGTGTCTGTTCATGTCCTTTGCCCACTTTTTGATGGGGTTGGTTTTTTTCTTGTAAATTTGTTTAAGCTCTTTGTAGATTCTGAATATTAGTCCTTTGTCAGATGGATAGATTGCAAAAATTTTCCCCCATTCTGTAGGCTGCCTGTTCACTCTGATCATAGTTTCTTTTGCTGTGTGGAAGCTCTTTAGTTTAATTAGATCCCATTTGTCAATTTTGGCTTTTGTTGCCATTGCTTTTGGTGTGTTAGTCATGAAGTCTTTGCCCATGCCTGTGTCCTGAATGGTATTTCCTAGGTTTTCTTTTAGGGTTTTTATGGTTTTAGGTCTTATGCTTAAGTCTTTAATCCATCTTGAGTTAATTTTTGTATAAAGTGTAAGGAAGAGATCCAGTTTCAGTTTTCTGCATATGGCTAGCCAGTTTTCCCAGCACCATTTATTAAATAGGGAATCCCTTCCCCCATTGCTTGTTTTTGTCAGGTTTGTCAAAGATCATATGGTTGTAGATGTATGGTGTTATTTCTGAGGCCTCTAAATGCCCACAACAGAAAGTACGAAAGATCTAAAATTGACACCCTAACATCAGAATTAAAAGAACTAGAGAAGCAAGAGCAAACACATTCAAAAGCTAGCAGAAGGCAAAAAATAACTAAGATCAGAGCAGAACTGAAGGAGACAGAGACACAAAAAACCCTTCAAAAAATCAGTGAATCCAGGAGTCGGTTTTTTGAAAAGATCAACAAAATATATAGACCACTAGCCAGACTAATAAAGAAGAAAAGAGAGAAGAATCAAATAGACACAATAAAAAATGATAAAGGGAATCTCCCAGCCGATCCCACAGAAATACAAACTACCATCAGAGAATACTATAAAAACCTCTATGCAAATAAACTAGAAAATCTAGAAGAAATGGATAAATTCCTGGACACATACACCCTCCCAAATCTAAACCAGGAAGAAGTCAAATCCCTGAATAGAACAATAACAAGTTTTGAAATTGAGGCAGTAATTAATAATCTACCAAACAAAAAAAGCCCAGGACCAGATGGATTCACCACCGAATTCTACCAGAGGTACAAAGAGGAGCTGGTACCATTCCTTCGGAAACTATTCCAAACAATAGAAAAAGAGGGAATCCTCCCTAACTCATTTTATGGGGCCAGCATCATCGTGATACCAAAACCTGGCAGAGACACAACAAAAAAAGAAAATTTCAAGCCATTATCCCTGATGAACATCAATGCAAAAATCCTCAATAAAATACTGGCAAACCAAATCCAGCAGCACGTCAGAAAGCTTATCCATCACAATCAAGTTGGCTTCATCCCTGGGATGCAACACTGGTTCAACATATGCAAATCAATAAACATAATCTATCACATAAACAGAACCAATGACGAAAACCACCTGGTTATCTCAATAGATGCAGAAAAGGCCTTCGATAAAATTCAGCACCCATTCATGCTAAAAACTCTCAATAAACAAGGTATTGATGGAATATATCTCAAAATAATAAGAGCTATTTATGACAAACCCACAGCCAATATTATACTGAATGGGCAAAAACTGGAAGCGTTCCCTTTGAAAACCGGCACAAGACAAGGATGTCCTCTCTCATCACTCCTATTCAACATGGTATTGGAAGTACTGGCCAGGGCAATTAGGCAAGAGAAAGAAATAGTATTGAAATAAGAAGAGAGGAAGTGAAATTGCCTCTGTTTGCAGATAACATGATTGTATATTTAGAAAACCCCATTGTCTCAGCCCAAAAACTCCTTATGCTGATAAGCAACTTCAGCAAAGTCTCAGGATACAAAATCAATGTGCCAAAATCACAAGCATTCCTACACACCAATAATAGACAAACAGAGAGCCAAATCATGAGTGAACTCTCATTCACTATTGCTAAAAAGAGAATAAAATACCTATGAATACAACTTACAAGGGATGTGTAGGACCTCTTCAATTAGAACTACAAACCACTGTTCAAGGAAATAAGAGAGGACACAAACAAATGGAAAAACATTCCATGCTCATGGATAGGAAGAATCAATATATTGAAAACGGCCATACTGCCCAAAGTAATTTATAGATTCAATGCTATCCCCATCAAGCTACCACTGACTTTCTTTACAGAATTAGAAAACACTAAATTTCATATGGAACCAAAAAAGAGCCCATATAGCCAAGACAATCCTAAGCCAAAAGAACAAAGCTGGAGGCATCATGCTACCTGACTTCAAACTATACCACAAGGCTACAGTAACCAAAACAGCATGGTACTGGTACCAAAACAGATATATAGACCAATGGCCAATGTTTTAAAAGAGATCTTTTAAGAGAAGTTTTAGATTCACAACAAAATTAAGTGGAAGATACAGAGATTTATCATGTACTCTCTGTCATCATACATACAAACAGTCTTACACGCTGTCAAAATCCGGCACCAAAATGATACATTGTCACAATCAAATAACCCACACTGACATATTATTATCATCCAAAGTTTATAGTTTTCATTATGGTTTTCTCTTGGTGATGTACATTCTGTGGGTTTTGGCAAATGCATAATGACATGTGTCCACCATTATAATATCATAAAGAGTAAGTTCACTGCCTTAAAAATCCTCTGTGCTCTGCCTATTCATCCCTTTCTCCCCCCAGGATCTGGAAACCACTAATGTTTTTTCTGTCTCCATAGTTTACCTTTTCCAGAATCTTACATAGTTGGAATCCTAAAGTACACAGCCTTTTCAGATTGGTTTCTTTCACTTAGTAATGTGCATTTAGGATTCCTCCGTGTATTTTCATGGCTTGATAGCTCATTTCTTTTTGGTGCTGAATAATATTTCATTGTCTGGATGTACTATACTTTATTAACCTACTGAAGTACATCTTGGTTGCTTTCAAGTTTTGGAAATAATAAATAAAGGGTCTATAAACATCCATGTGAAGGTTTTGGTGTGGATATAAGTTTTTAGCTCTTAGCTCTTTTGGGTAAATACTAAAGAGCATGACTACTGGATCACATATTAAGAATATGTTTAGATTTGTAAGACACTAGCAAAATGTCTTCCAAAGTGGCTGTATCATTTTGCATTCCTATCAGCAAAGAAAGAGAGTTTCTGTTGCCCAACATCCCCAAGAGCATTTGATGTTATTCATGTTGTTTTTTAATTTTGTCCATTCTAATTGGTGTTTCATGGTATCTTATTGTTGTTTTAATTTGCAATTCTCCAATGACTTATGATGTTGAGCATCTTTTCAAATGCTTATTTGCCATTTGTATATCTTCCTTGGTGAGATATCTGTTCAGGTCTTTTGCCAATTTTTAATCGGGATGTTCATTTTCTTATTGTTGAGTTTTAATGAGTTCTTTGTAGATTGTTTCTTTCACTGTGCCAAAGAATTTTAATTTAATATCCTTCCACTTATTTTTTCTTTTGTTGTTTGTGCTTTGGTTTCACATCCAAAAAAATTCATTGCCAAGACTATGTCAAGGAGTATTTACCTTATGTTTTCTTCTAGGAGTTTTAGAGTTTCAGGTCTTACATCTAAAGCTTTGATTCATTTTGAGTTGATTTTTGTGTATGGTGTAAGATAAGGGTCCAATTTCATTCTTTTGCAGGTTGACATAGAGTTTTTTAAACACCATTTACTGAAGAGATTATTCTTCCCCCAACTGTATGCTTGGTGTCCTTGCTGAAGATGTTAGTTGACTATATATGTGTGGATTTATTTCTGGGCTCTCTATGTGGTTTAATTGTGTCTGCCTATGTGTCTGTTTTTATGCCTGTACCATACTGCACAGGAAAGGAAAAAGTCAACAAAATGAAATGGCAACCTGCAGAATGGAAATTTATTTGCAAACCATATATCTCATACAGGGTTAATATCCAAAATACATAAGGAAAACATACAACTTAATACTAAAAATACAAATATCCCAATTTAAAAATGGGCAAAGTACCTAAACAGACACTTCTCAAATAAGCAAAATTAATATGGCCAACAGGTATATGAAAAGGTGCTCAACACATCTAATTATCCTACAAATGTAAATTAAAACCATAATGAGCTATCACCTGACATCTGTTAGAATGGTTATTGTCAACAAGACAAAAGATAACAAGTGTTGGCAAGGACATGGAGAAAGAGGAACTTTATACACTGTTGATAGAAATGTAAATTAGTAACGACATGGGAACCAGTATGGAATTTCTAAAAAAAATTAAAGTGGAAATACTGTATGACCCAGCAATTCCACTTCTGGGTATACATATCCAAAGAAATGGAAATCAGGATCACAAAGAGATATCTTCAACCCAGTGTTCACTGCAGCATTATTCACAATAGCCAAGTTACAAAAAACACCTAAATGTCCTTCAGTGGATGGATGAATAAACAAAGTGTGCCATAAGCCAGGTGCGGTGGCTCACGCCTGTAATCCCAGCACTTTGGGAGGCTGAGGCGGGTGGATCACAAGGTTAGGAGTTCAAGACCAACCTGGTTAATATGGTGAAACCCCATCTCTACTAAAAAATACAAAAATTAGCTGGGTGTGGTGGCGTGTGCCTGTAGTCGGAGCTACTCAGGAGACTGAGGCAGGAGAATCGCTGGAACCTAGCAGGTGGAGGTTGCAGTGAGCTGAGATCGTGCCACTGCACTCCAGCCTGGGTGACAGAGCAAGACTCCATCTCAAAAAAAAAAAAAAAAGAAAATGTGCCATATACATGCAATGGAATATTATTCTGCCTTAACATACTGCCATTTGTGACAACATGGAGGGAACTAGAGGACATTATGCTAAGCTAAATGAGAAAGATACAAGGCCGGGTACAGTGGCTCACACCTATTATCCCAGCACTTCAGGAGGCTGAGGTCACTTGAGGCCAGGAGTTCAAGACCAGCCTGGCCAACGTGGTGAAACTCTGCCTCCACTACAAATACAAAAATAAAAATTACCCAGGCATGGTGGTGCATGCCTGTAGTCCCAGTTACTTGTGAGGCTAGGGCACGAGAATCGCTTGAACCCAGAAGCTGGAAGCTGCGTGAACTGAGATCACACCATTGCACTCTAGCCTGGGCAACAGAGTGAGACCCTGTTTCAAAAAAAAAAAAAAGATGCAGAGAAATACTGCATTAGCTCACTTATATGTGGAATCTAAAATAGTCAAATTCACAGAAGCACAGAGTAGAATGATGGTTGCCAGCAGCCAAGGGAAGGGGGAAACCAAGTAATGCTGATGAAAAAATGCAAATTTCAATTATGCAGGATGAATAACTTCTGGAGATATAATGTACAACATGGCAACAATAGTTAGCAACACAGTATTGTATACTTCAAATTTGCTAAGAGAATTGATTGTAAATGTTCTTATCATACACACGTAACCATGGAGGTGAGGGATATGTCAATTAGTTTGATTAGAGTGATCATTTCACGATGTATACATATATCAAAACACGACATGCACACCATAAATATATGTATAATTTTTATTTCTCAATTATACCTCAATAAAGCTAGAAAAACAAAACAAAACAAACAATAAAAAAATTGTATCCTTTCTAAAGGTGCACTCACCCTGACTCCAGATATAGGCTGCTCTGAGCTGGAGGAGCTGGCTTCTAGGAAGAGGAAGGAGTGGTCTTCCTAAAGGCAAACCAGGCCACACCCAGTAGTACCTTGACTTACAAACTAGCCACAGTGACAACTGACTTTTCAGATGCTCTTAAACCTGCAATCAGGAAGCGAATGCTCAGCAAAACACATAAGAGTTAGACTTGGTTACAATTCCTAGGTGAGTATCCAAAGACTGATCAGAGCCACTAAAGACTGACCTGAAATGGCGAAGGATTGAGTTTTATTTAGTTTGTTTGTTTTTTTTTCCTAAGCTCTGCTCAATTTTTCTGCCGGTGTCTTCTCTGTAACAGCTAAAATTAATGTTTAACAACATAACTCTACACTTTACCGTGTTTCCTTCAGAAAATGACTGAAACTCTCTGAGCCCCAGTTTTCTTATCTTTAAAGAAAACATAAGGTTGCTGTGAGGACTAAATAAATGCACATTAAGCACTATGCATGCCACAAAGAAAGTGCACAATAATTTGGATGCCTTTGTTTCTGTTGTGGTGGTGACAGTAGTGGATCTTAAGTTAAATCTTCTCACCACTCATACACGCACACATGTGGTAACTATGTAAGAATGGTGGATGTGTTAATTAGCTTAATTGTGGTGATCATTTCATGATACACATGTATATCAAAACATCCAGTGTTACACCTTAAACACATATAATTTTTATGTCAATGATACCTCAATAAAGCTGTTGAAGTTATTTGTACATTTTGGATAACAGTCATTTATCAGGTATGTGTTTTGCAAATCCTTTCTCCCTCTCTCTGGCTTGTCTTCTCATTCTCTTTAACAGTGTCTTCTGTGGAACAGAAATTTTTAATTTTAAAGGAGCTCAGGTTTAATTCTTTCATGGATCGTATCTTGGTGTTGTGATAGATTACATTAATTGATTTCCAAGTGTTGAAACAGGCTTGAATACTTGGGCTAAATCCCACTTGGTCTTGATGTAGAGTTCTTTTACACATGGTTGGATTTGATTTGCTAATATTTTGATGAGAATTTCTGAAGCTATGCTCTCGTGTGATATTGGTCTTTAGTTTTCCTTTATTATAATTCTTTGTCTGGTTGGTATTATAATTCTTTGTCTGGTTGGTATTATAATTCTTTGTCTGGTTGTTCTTCTTGCTCAGGATTGCCTTGGCTATTCGGGCTCCTTTTTTGTTACATGTGAATTGATATAAATTATTTCTTAAGTGTTCGATAAAAATCACCAGTGGACAAATTTAGGCCTGGTGCTTTCTGTTTTGGAAGTTTATTAATTATTGATTCAATTTCTTTAGTAGATATAGGCCTATTCAGTTTCTCTATCTCTTCTTGTGTGAGTTTTGGCAGATTGTGTCTTTCAAAGAATTGATTTGTTTCATCTGGGTTATCAAATTTTTGGACATAGAGTTAGTTCTTCATAGTTTCCTTTGATTATCATTTTAATGTTCCTAAGATTTGCAGTGGTATCTCCTTTATTTCTAGTGTTAGTAATTTGTGTCCTCTCTTTTTATCTTAATAAAAGCTTAACAAGACACTAACAAATTACATTAATCTAGGTGTGCACCACCACGCCCAGCTATTTTTTTTCTTTTTGTATATTTAGTAGAGATGGGAATTCACCATGTTGGCCAGGCTGGTCTCAAATTCCTTGGCCTCCCAAAGTGTTAGTATTACAGATGTGAGCCACCGTGCCCAGCCTTCCATCCATTTACTTCTAATTTATACGTGTCTGTTTAAATTTCAGCAGGTTTCTGGTAGACAACATACATTTAGGTCTTGTTTTTTAATCTAATCTGACAATCTCTATTTTTTAATTGTTGTTAAATTTAGACCATTGCTATTTAAAGTGATTATTGATATAGCTGGATTAATATATATTTGTTACTCTCTTATATTTTTGCCTTTGTTCTTTGTTCCCATTTTTGTCTTCTACTCTCTTACTGCTTTTTGTGGTTTTAATTGAATTTTGTATGATTTGGTTTCTGTCCTTAGCATATCAGTTATATTTCTGGTATTTTAGAAAACTTTTTTTGGTGGTTTCCCTGCAATATACACTTACAACGAATCCATCCCCACATTCAAATAAAACTATAGCACTTCATAGACAGTGCAAGTACCTCACAATAACAAAATAATTCTTTCTTCCAGCCCTTTGTATCATTGCTGTCATT
The DNA here is from genome assembly GCF_000001405.40 of Homo sapiens. Classification (NCBI taxonomy): domain Eukaryota; kingdom Metazoa; phylum Chordata; class Mammalia; order Primates; family Hominidae; genus Homo; species Homo sapiens. The sequence goes on along the minus strand of NC_000016.10, from coordinate 76,686,780 downwards.
CATTTATACATAAACATATATATTTTAAAATTTCATACATTATCTAATACATTGATTAAGCATAAAATACATTTTTGCTACTGTAATTTTGAAAAACTTCTTATATGTTACATCAGTTAAGAATAATAATAATAAATGTTTTTATTTTGCTTTCACTTATTCCTTCTCCTATGCTCTTCCTTTCTTTATGTAGATTTGAGTTTTTGATCTTATATAATTTTCCTTTCTTCTGAAAAATTTCTTGTAATATTACTTACAAGGCAGGTTTACTGGCAACAATTTTTTTCAATTTTTGATTTTTGGATACAGTATTTATCCTTCATTTTTGAAGGATAATTACACAGAGTGTAAAATTTTATGTTGTTTTTCTCCCAATACTGTAAATATTTTGCTGTGCTCTCTTTTTGCTTATATGATTTCTGAGGAGAAGTCAGATAGAATTTTTATCTTTGCTCCTCTACAGGTAAGCTATTTTTCTCTCTGATCCCTTTCACAATTCTTCTTTGCCCTTGATTTTCTGAAGTTTCAATATGATACGCCTTAGTATACATGTTTTCATATTTATTCTGTTTGGTGTTCTCTAAGCTTCCTGGGGGTATGGTTTGTTAGATGACATTAATTTGGGAAAATTAACAGTCATCATTGTTTCAAATATGTCTTTATTTTGCTCATTTTTCTCCTTCCAAAATTCCCATTATACTTAAATTGTACCTTTTGTAGTTGTCCCACACTTCTTGGATAATCTATTCTGGGTTTTTTCAGGTTTTTTTTCCCCTTTTTTTTTTTTAGTTTTAGGAGATTTTATTGAGATGTCTTCAAGTTCAAAGATTATTTTCTCAGCATGTTCAGTCTACTAATGAGCCCATCAAAGGCATTCCTCCTTTCCTTTATATTGCCCACCTGTTCTGGCATGCTGTGCACTTTATTGATTAGAACGCTTATCCTATTAATTGTAGTTGTATTAAATTCCTGAGCTAATAATTCCAACATCTCTGTCATATCTGAATTTGGTTCTCATGCTTGTTCTGTCTGTTCAAACTGTGGTTTATACCTTTTAGTATGCCTTGTAATTTTTTTCTTGATAGCCAGATGTGATGAACTAGGTAAAAGGAACCTGATTCTTGTTACAGTGGAGGTTTCTGCCTGTAAGCCTCTGCTCTAATAAGTTGTGATTCTTTGTGTTCAACAGTCTTTTTCTGACTTTGAGGCAGAAATCTGCCTTGTGACATCACCTCTCTGACAGATCTGAGATGAGTGGCTGGTTTTTCAGATCGCTCAAATTTTACTTTTTGTTAGGATGAAGTGATGACTTTCAAGCTCCTTACATGCCATATTGAACACTGGACCTCCACTGACTACTTTTTTTTACAGGGCATTAAAAAAATCAAAGTCCATTCATACAGAATAAAAATTACAGGACTCCTACTATAACTAGCAGAGACATGTTTTTAACAATCTGTCAGATTAAAAAGGAAAACGAAAATATACCTTTTCTCCAAAATTCCACTTTATATTAAATTTGGAGAGCAACTTAGTTCTCATATAAGTCTTTTCTTTCATAAACAAAAATCCCATTAAGATGTTGATCCCTACAAGGGCACAGAGTTCTGTTAAGGGAAATATTAATGTTAGTATGAGGAAATCAATATAGGTAGCCTTTTAAAAAGCAAATTTGTCTTCCCACTCTAACCAAAAAGAAAAAACAAAAAAAATCCATGCTGGTCCTAACTACAAATAACATAAAAGTCTAACTTTTGAATATGTTTCATTGGGATAAATGTTGTACTTGTCTTCTTGTAAGAGTATTTCTTGACTTGTTACGTTTTTCAATTAAGAAACTATTGAATGAAGTATTTAAAATAGTAAAACTTAAACAATATTTAAGAGTATGTAATGAAATATAGAACCTTCATTTGCATGAGTATATTGGAATGCCTTTTCTTCCTAGCCCTTGAGGACAATAGGAGATAAAACAGAACTCTCAAAATTATATGTAACTCATCCATGAGGGAACCATCAAGAACACAACAAAGTTCACTTATGGAAGAACTGAGAAAGAAGGGAATTTGTCCAGCTAGTCAAGAAAGAAATGTCTAAGTATGTCTAAATAAAATGGCTAAATTATGCATAAGACGGACTCTCAGAAGTACAGTAAATTATGTTATCAATATTTGCTGGTTAACCTCCAACTTTAAAGAGCCATAAACTACTTGCACATTTATCAGTTGCGGGTTGTTAGTCAAATCTGCTGTGACCACAAAGTTACACCTCCAAGAGTATTAGATGAGAGTCAAACAGAATTTTTATAAAATGCTCTGACATATATCAAAAGCAATCATTATTTTATCTCTTTCTAGATGCAGCTCCATAGGTCACCTTGTTTTCCACCTGAGTATGTTTTTTTGGGTTCAGAGGAATGAAGTGATAACTCCAATCCCCTGCACATCCTCACTGGAGGTTTATTTACAATATACAACCCAGACACACCAGGTATAGCATACTAAAAGGTTTTCTTAGGTAAGAAATCGGTATATAGCAACCCCAGAAGGCCCTCGTTTATCTTCCAGCTAGTAAATTCCGTCAGTATGTTTAAGAGAGGTCAAAGCTGCCTGAGATGTCCCTAAGGAGGATAAAACAGAGTTGCAAGCCCCCTACTAACCCTATTCTCCCCCTACAAATAGTGCTTCCATAAATATTGCAGCATTTATGATGGTGGTAAATGATATATTCTTTAAAAGGCAAAATCATGAATTCCATACAAATATAAAAATAACACATGCCAAAGGCATATATAACTCATTAATGAATTAACAAACAAGCAAAATGTTTGTTTGGCTCAAAGGAGAATTCAAATACACCATATATAGGAAAACAGAAAGGCTGAAACAAATTAATAAGTAAATGTTAAACTGGTCAGCATCAGCAGGACAATAGTAAGTTGCATTCCACAAGATTAAATCCATTAGCCTGTCTAGGAAAAAAATAATAATGTACAGCATAACATTTCCTACACCCTCTAGAGTTATAAAATAGCCCAAAACCAATAAATTAGAAAACCCAGAAGGATGAGCTAGACAGAAAACACAGTAATCTTTTGTGTGGGTGTATACGCATTTTTAAACGTCATACAGTTTTTCCTGACAGTGGACAATTTTGTCAGGCATTTACCTAGAAGTGGATTTGCTGGATCAAGAATATTCATATATTCTAATTTAATCGATATTAGCAGATATTTCCCCCAAGTGATTGTGCCAATTTACACATTCATAAACCATGTAAAGTTCTTTTTATACTTGTAAAAATTAGGAAATCCTGAGCCTCAATTTAGATCTACCAAGAGTTAATCTTTGTAACATCCCCTTTACAGTTTTCACACATCTTAAGTCTTTGGAGCTATTATCTGTGAGGTAATAAAGAATATCTCCGGTCTTTGTATCCGGTTCCAGGCACAGAGCTTCTAAACCCTTATAATTGATTGAGTGACTGGAGTTTCTTTTTTATACAAATGAGGTGACTCACGGGAGACCTGTAAATAGCATCAGGATGGGGGCTGGTCTTTGGGCTAGCCTGACCTCCAAGGAGGGGATTAGGGCTAGGGGTTGAGTTCTATCACATGGCCAACGATACAATAAGCAAGCCTCCATAACACAACCCCAATAAAATCTCTGGACTCAAAGCTCAGTAGAGCTTCCTGATGGGTAAACACACTGATGTGCCAGGAGGGCAGCACACCCTAAATCTATGGGGAAAAAACATGGAAGGTATGTCTTTTTCACTCCCAGCCCATGTTCTGTACGTATCCTTTATAATAAAACTGTAATCTTAAACATAGCATTTTCTATGAGTTCCCTAAGTCATTCTAGCAAGTTACTGAACCTGAGGGGTGGTCATAGGAACCTATAAATTGGTAGTCAGTTGGTCAGAAGAATGGGCTGTCTGAGGACACCACTTGTGGCTGGTATCTGAAGTAAGAGAAGTCTTATGGAAGCCTGGGCTCTTAAACCTGTGGAGTCTGATACTAACTCTAAGTAGTTAGTGTCAGCCTTAAATTTCAGCACACCCTGGTGGTGTTTTACCAGGTGAGATTGAAACAAAACACTAATGACATGAAGAGTAAATTCTACTATTAATCTGGAATTTTAATACACAGAAATATGAAGCTGGAAAGCTAAAGATAAGGAAGAGAGATATAAATTAAATCATCTGGGCTTCCATGCAAAGAAGTCGATGTAATCATGGCAAAAGCACTGGGGAGACCAAAGTCAGGAGGGGCCTCACAGAGTCATAAAGAGGAAGACAAACATCTTTGTGCCTTTTTTTTGTGAATTTATGGCAGATTTAAATAAATTTAACTGTTATTCAGAAAAAGGATACAAAAATAGCTCTCAACTGACAAGCTGAAGGAGTAATGAATTATTAAAGAGAAACCAAATTAAGCAAAAAGTGTCACATATACTACAAGTCAGAAATTACTAAATTCATATTATATTAAATTCTGTTCATTAATCATTGTAGATTACTAGTCTAGAACATTCCATTTTTATCATTTTACAACATTACTATCACCAAAATTAATCTACAGATAATAAAAATAATTACTAAAAGATAAATAATATAAACAGAAACTCATGGGCACACACACACAGAGAAAAGAAAATTAGGCAATTGTGGAATATAACATTGTTCACTGGCTCCCAAAACTTTGTAAAAATTAATGTTAAGACGTTTATTGCTAGGAATTAGAGTAAGAGAATGTATCTTATTTATGCGTGTTCTTCTAAGTCACTGAGAGAAATCTCTGAGGTAAATTAAGTTTTCAACTTAGTGTAAATTTTCTTATAAAATATTTTCTACCTTTTTACTAGCAGTCTCTTATTTTGATATTGCTTTTAATATCAAAATCATATTCAAGTTTCTTATTAGAAAGCCTCTTAGAACCTCCTTGGGTGTAAGCAGATGTAAATAAACAATGAATGAACAAACAAATTTCAGAATAATGAATAATTTTTATTCATAAGAACATAAAAAGCAAATGAAGAAACAAATGAAGTACGAAGGAGGCAAAAAAATAGCTGAAAAGTTAGCAGCAATATGTCAAATACACAAAATACACAAATGAAGTACGAAGGAAGCAAAAAAAAATAGCTGAAAAGTTAGCAGCAATGTGTCAAATACACAAAATACGTTTTTAAGATGTGATATGGTCACTGTGTCTTGATTTTTTTCTACAAATTCAGAGCCAAAAGAATGTATCCTGCTCCGTGGCAATTTCTCCTCCCGCTTGGCAATTTCTCCTGCCTTTTTTGGACATGACAAGCATTGTCTGATCTGATCATAAGCCAGTGTCATACTGGCCAAGCAGTAAAGTCTATTGTTTTTTGTTCCCATTGGAAAATACTGCTATCAAATGAAGCCTTATTATACTCCTAATCATGAAATGCTTGACATATCATATCTTATTGTAAAACATACATATAGAACTTAAAATGCCTGAAATTAAACAAATATTTAGCAAAAACTTTGCTTTAAAAAGTACTGTTAACAAAAAATTAACATACAATCTAATGTCTTTTCTCAACGCTTTTAACTTCTTTCAGAGCCGGGAAACTGTCTTCCTGCCTCTCCATTTTCAACACGTAGAACAAAGCTTGCAATTTACCAAGTATGTTAAATTTATTTGATGAACAAGTAAATGCACTCGTTCTAATGCACTCCATCTAGCCCTTGAGTAAATCAACCTGGAAGCATAAATTCTATGAGCATGGGCCAATCATGGTGGGCTTTGACATTTTCTGTTCACCTGGACAGATTCTAGAAAGTCCTGACTAAACAGTGGGAATCTTGTTGTGTATAGGAGGGCTATATATTACCATAGAAAATGACATCTGCTAGCACAGTAATTTTCTGTTTTAAAGTAAGTCAAGGCAAATTGATCATCCAGCTGGTGGTCCGCACAGTGGACATTGGCTCCTCCAGTAGGATTAATTAATAGGAATAAAAAGGAGGAGAGTAAGTAGAGCAGCAACTTGAATTGTGATTTGCATTTCATTATTTCACAACATGAGGAGGGTTCCAGTCTGTAATTCATAAGGGTTTACTTAACTTGTGAGGCTTAAATCGAACAGAGAAAAATATATAAATATTTCATCTCGGGGGAATTAGATTAACTCAAGAAGAAAAAAAAAATCTAAAGAAACTGATATTAGGCATTCACCAGTAAGTATTCACATACAAAGTAGTATCTTGCAATATCAGAATGACACTTTAGCCTTCATTTCCTAGATTTATATAATTTTGGAAAACTAGAATTCAGATAGAACTCTGTTGGACTTGGGATATTTGGCTAAAACATGTGGTTTTAATCCTTGTTCACAGAGGGAGACTTGAGAAGTTCTGACCAATGAAATGCAGAGGACAAAGTAGTGCTACAGGGAAATTAATTTAACAATAACCAGATGAATTGAGAGATGTAGAACAAAGAGAGATAACTGATATTCATCACATATAGCTACTAAACTTTCCTAGATCATTCATTGTTTTACTGTAAACTTTTTAACTTCTGGAATTACACTATTTACTTCTGTATACAGTGTGGCTTAACATCGTAATTTTAATAAGCAAATTTAAGTTCTTTTCATTAGCAGGCAGCTATGTTGTTTCTGAACAATTAAAGAAATTTAAATATTTCATATAAATCTCATTGTTTGAAGATTGTGGCCAACTTTCAACAACTTCAATATTAAACTCGAAAAAGAGAAGCCTCTTTGTTTTATATTTCCATAGGTTTTTGGGGAACAGGTGGTATTTGGTTGCATGAGTAAGTTCTTTAGTGGTGATTTGTGAGATTTTGGTGCACCCATCACCCAAGCAGTGTACACTGAATCCAATTTGCTGTCTTTTATCCCTCACCCGCTTCCCACCCTCTCCCCCACAAAGTCCCCAAAGTCCATTGTATCATTTTTATGCCTTTGCACAACAGGAGCCTCTTTATATTGTAATTTGCATCAGGAAAAGCTGAACAGGGAAGAAAGAATTTTTTCAAGTCTATTGCAATAAAGGAGAGAGGCCAGAATTCGGTCTGAGCTCGACTCCACTGAAACAAAGAGTGAGAGAAATTTTAAGTTCTGGGATGAGAGAGAAAGCATAGGTTATATGTGTTTTCTAGCTGACTTTACCCATTGAAACATAAATTTTCCACTCTCTTTGTGACAAAAGGGTAGTTTTACAATAGGAACAAGGCAGCCACCAAAGTTAGGCTCCTACCCTTCCATAGAAACCAGGAGATAGGGGTGTTATCTCCCTTGATATTTACATTCAAAGAGTTACGTTGTAAAACTACTAAGAGGTTTTTTTAAAAAAAATTCACATCTCAAAGGGGCAGAGAAAAATTTACAATTATGTTTTCCAAAGTAAATGCTGTACAAAAATGGAGACCAGGGCCCTAGAGTCAGGAAGAAACCTATGTAAAGTGTAGTCAAGCTGAGGGTAATTGTAATATATTTAAGTCTCTTGGCCAATGTATTTAAGTCTCTTAAAACATACTGAAGCAATCATAAAGAAAGAAGAGTTCTTCAGAAAAACATAATCAATAGGATTCTATATCAATCTTGTTGATATATATCTATATATAGATCTATATACCAATATATGATAACAACATATATAGGTCTAGATACAGATTTATAGAGATTTGGGTAAAACTAGAGGGAGAGGGAGATTTATTTAATGGAACTGGTGCATAAAGGTGTGTGAGCTGGCAAGTCTGAAATTTGCAAGGAAGGCTGGCAGGCTGGAAACCCAGGGAAGAGTTGACATTGCAGCTGGAATCTGAAGGGAGTCTGCTGGCACAATTCCCTCTTCCTCAAAGGTCCTCAGTCTTAAGACCTTCAACTAATTTGATAAGGCCCCCCCACATATGGAGAGCACACTGCTTTACTCAAAATTTCTGAATTTAGGGTTAATTTTATCTAAAAAATAACTTCCCAGCAACATCTAGACTGCTGTTTGAATAGACAGCTGCATACCATGGCCTACCCAAGTTGACACATGAAATTGACCGTGATAGGCAGTGAGCCTGGGACACAAAAGAATCCGGTAAACGACTTTATGAAATTCCAATAATGTATTTCAGGAGAGTGACTATCTCTGAGAAACATTCCTATACTACTGTTATTGAGTAATCTAGTTACCTAATAGGGGAAAATCAGAAACTTGACATAAATGTTCTTGTAAATTTTTATAGTTTCAGAGAAATGGAAACAATCATAATTTTTTCTTCTCTGTATAATAAAATTTGTTTTGAAATATGTGAATATCAGAAGAGGCAAACAAGATGCTGCTTTTAAAAAAAGGATCCAATTTGGAAGCAGGAAACTGCTTTCCACGGCCATACAGGTAGGCAGATTCTGACCTTCTGATGATAACTTCATTATTTCTGTAACTGCAGGGGACCCACAACACGATCTCAGAGGTAAAGAGATTTGCAATTTACATTTGCACTGAGATATAGCAAAAATGAAAGGTGGACATATAGCTTTTCTTAGAGTTAGTCTACGTTGGAAAACTACAACCCATGATAAAAATTAGATGTAGTTAGCCTTAGAAATGATAACTTTAGATATTGTGTAGTGCTTAGTACTTTGAGAGAGTAGGAGATAGGAGAATAAAATAGAAAGATGCATTCAAGCACTAAATAGAGATGTTAAGAAAGCTTGCAGCAGATGAAGTTATTATTCACCTGATGTGTTGCCATCTCTCAGATCATGTGATATACACCTTAAAATGCAAATTGCTTCTTTCTAGATATTGGCTTTTTTTCTCTCTCTCTATTCAGTAACTGAAGATACTTTCGGCTGTACACCTAGGGCCCCGTTTGCCAACTTCCTAAGTCCTCTACAGGTAAAGTTATTTTAATCCATTCCCACAGGTTCCTCCTTTTTTTGAAGACTTTATTATTCTGTACTATTCAGCTCTAAAGAATCTACTAATATAATGTCAGCCTCCAAATTGAGGAAATTAGCTAATGTAGGACACAGATTTATGGAAATATTTTTTAGCTATTTAATCATTTCTCAAAAATCAACAATCTGCGTAATAGCACTGAATAATTACCTTAGTTGTCAGAGCCTAAACCCTAGTTTTCTTTTTCATATTCCACTTCTTCCTATTTTTTAACTTGTATTTAATACTACATCTTGTTTTCACAAATTCTGCATTCCTTTTTCATTCTCTACTAAGAATACTATTTAGTTTTTTGAGTTTATTATATTATGAAAATAATAACAGAGAGACAAGATTTCCAAAGGGAGAGTTTATTCAGGAATAGCAGACAATTGCAATCTGGGATGTACACGCTATGGTGAACCACAGGCACATCTAAAGTGGCTGGGATACAGGGAAGATTTAAAGACAAAAAGGAGAAATCCATGCAAGCTTCTTTGAAACAAAGACCATTCGTTCTTGCAAGAGTTGACATTAGCTCATTGGCAGAGACAGCCATTGATAGGCAAGCATCCTCGTGCAAGTGGCTTAACTGGAATACCACATTTTTAAGGAGTTCCTTGCATAATTCCCATCATAGGCATATAGGCAGAAAGCTCTTATAACTCCAATTATAGGCATATGAGCATGAAGTTTCCTTCTTCATGATCTCCCAGCTCCATTTCTTTAGGGCTTCACATAAGTGACTCCATTTTGATATTAATAACTTTTACAAAAAATGCCTAGTTTTTCATATTGCTAAGATCTTATCAATGGTATGTCACTTCACTGACTTAATGACAGTCCCGAAAAAATAAACTATCACATAAAAATAAAATTGTAGGTTTAAACCTGACTTTAAAGTCATAAAATCCAGAGAATTTGTTTTGGAATGTATAGCTTACAGTGAAAATCAGGAAATTGCACATCATCATGAGTGGTGCAAGGTCAGGCATAACCAAGTCCATGAACATCTGTTTCTTTCCACAAGGTCAGACCTGTATGAATGCTATTTCAATCATAAAAGCCATGAACTACATGGAATTCCCAAGGAGGCAATTCTTAGTACTACCCATTCACTTGGTTGCCAGAGCTGTGGGCAAACAGGCTCAAGCCATTGTCCTCTAGCTTGCCTTTCTATAATTGCTTATTGCTCAAGAATCATGTAGCTGGGGAGTCACAGGATTTGCAACTTCCTCAACTGCTCCTATAGACAACATCACTATTGTCAACATCTAAGACTTGTCTTTGAGATATTTTTCAGACTTTTGCATTCTGGTGACCAACTGACTCACTCAGATTCCTAACTCACACCAAGGAACTGGCTCAACCAGTTCTGTGACTCTCACCCAGAAGCTGACTCAGTGCACAAAGACAGATTAGGCAGTCGTATAATTTCATCCCCAACTAAGTAGCAGCACCCATTCCCTAGCCCCCTGCCCACCAAATTATCCTTAATAACCCTACCACTCCAAGAGCTTTCAGGAAGGCAGACTTGAGAAATGTCTGCTGTCCTTCCCCTTGACTGGCCCTGTGATAATTAAACTCTTTCTTTGCTGCAATACCTGCTATTCTCAGTACATTGGCCTTTTCTGGGCAGTAGCTTTCTGAAAAGATGAACTCATTGGACTGTTATATTCCTAGGTTCATGCTATGACCTTTATGCTTTGCAAATATCTTTATTATATATATGTAATATTATGTTCTGTATATTTACACATATATGTGTATATGCATATGATGTGTATGGGTGTATATATACACACATATACATAATTTGTAAATACATCAATTTGTGATGGCTGATTTATATGTAGCATAAGCTATTACCAACCCCTTAAGATTACTTTCTTTAGCTGTTGTTTATGTAACTCTTGGATTGAACTGCTTTTGAAATACACATTCTCCTACTAAATTTTGTTGGAAATAAACACATTTGACAATATTACATGATATTACTTCTGCAAGATCAATCTGCTAGAAATCTTCCTTTAAATTATAATTATATAAAACGAAAGTATTCCCTTACAACAGCATTTGCCCAGGATATATTAAATGAAAGCACTATCATTAACATTATTCTAACCAACTAGCTTTGTTAAAGAATCAGGCTTTGAGTGACTTCCTGTAAAACAGTAAGAATATAAATTTAGTCTCTGCCCCCATTTCCTGGCACAAAGGCCCCTTGGAATCTCTGCAGCGATTAGTGTCTTTTTATCTGGAAGTGAGATGACTGAGCCTGCTAGATAGCCTTTGGATGACAGTTGGCTGCCAGGGGAATGTGACTAGAGGGCTGTAACTTTCACTGAAGGTTGAACTGATCATCAATGGTTAGTGATGTAATTTATCATGTCTATGCAATGAAGCCTCCATAAAAATCCAAAGGATGGGGTTGGTAGAGCTTCTAGGCTGCTGAACATGACCACTGCCAGGAGGGTGGCCCACCCCAACTTCACGAGCACAGAAGCTCCTGCTCTCAGGATCCTTCTGAACCTCCCCTTATAAACATCTCTTCATCTGGATGTTCATTTATATATTTTCAAATATCGTTTGTAATAAATTGGCAATAGTAAATAAAATGTTTCCCCGAGTTCAGTCATTCTAGCAAATGACTGAACCCAAGGGGGTTACAAGAACCTCCAATTTATAGCTGGTAGGTCAGATGTACTGGAAGCCTGGACTTGCAACTGGCATCTGAAGTAAAGTCTTGTGGGACTAAAACCTTAGCCTATGGGATCTGGCACAAACTCCAGGTAAGCAGTGTCACAACTGAATTGAATTATAGGACACCGAGCTAGTGTGGGGGAACTGGTTAGTGCGGAAGAAACGTACACACATACATCCAGTCACAGAAGTGTCCTGTGTTGTGTGTTGAGAACACAGCAGGTGAAAAAGGCTTGTCTTCTCCTACTATACACTCCCCCTCCCCCACCGTGCGCTAGACTGCCATTGAACCTAAATGAAGACTCTTTTCTCACCAAGAAAAAATGTCATTTCTTATAACTAATCAAACACAGAACTATGGCTGCATCCTTCCTATCCTGAGAGCTAGCTTTCAGTCCTGAATCCGAATGCCCATCATGAAATGCCTTTTTTAACGGTTGAAACCCATGACTTTCCCTCTCCTCTAACTACTCAGTGAAATTCTTCATGGGTATATTCTTAAGGGTGGCATAAAAATGAACCCAGACTTAAGAAAAAAAGTTTTGTTTTATACCAGCTTCAGTTGCTTTCCTGGTATCTTTGAAATCTGTGTTTAGGATACTAATTTAATTCCTTATCCATTTAGACCTGAAAATAAACTAATCAGAATAAAGCTGACATAAACTTAAGCCTAATGTTTTATCAAATATTAACACCTCTGATTACAAAATTGTTATCATCATCTTTCACAATTTCTTAGAATAACTGTCTCATCTTTGATATTTTTATGTCATAACAAATTCAGAAACAGGATTTTTCCCTTTATTTATCTTCCTTTTACTTTTTGTGCTCATGACTATAATATCTGTACTCTTCAGACAAGGCTTGTTTTGTGTTTTGCTGTTGTTGTTTGAGCTTTTAGAAAATCCTTTGACAAAACCTTTGTTTCATCCTCCACTGCATAGTGTACGTATCCTGAATGTATCCAGCCGAGCTTGATTACATGAAACATAGCCTCTAGAACTTGGGAAGTACTTTCTTTTCTACCTGCCCCACTCAAAAAAAAAAAAAAAGAAAGAAAGAAAGAAAAGAAATTGGAATTTTTTTTTATGACTTACTGTGGGCTTGCTGAGGACTGTGTGACAATGTGGTAAATAAACCAAGGATTTAATTGAAATTTTCTTTCTGGTAATCCAGCCTCTATCCAAATTGGTTGAACACTACAACCATCATTGTTTCCATTTCATTTACTGCCCATAAAAATGAATTCACTTGAATTCAAAGGCTACAAGCTCAGAATATTTGCAATGTAATTTTGCTGGGCTGTAAGACTGATCTCTCCACATTTTTTGTATTCATATTTTATTAGAGAACATTTACATAGGAATAAAAAGAAGTAAAGAAAGTTGTTCAGAATTCCATTACAACTTATTTTCACGTTTCTTGCCACTCCACCTTCACATGTTAATTTTATACCACTATCATTAACACTTTTGATATGGGTATGTTAGCATAAGCATTTCTGCAATTACCATATATATTTTATAAACATATTTTGTGGATATCCAATATTATATAAACCTGATTTAGTTTTCTTAATCAATCTTTTATTATGGGAAATTAAAATCGTTACTACTTAAATGATTAAAATTAACCTGCAGTTCAATAGTTAGGCAAATAGATTTTTCTCCATTGTCATTTTTTTAGAACAAATACATTTTATAATATGTAGTGGCATTTCTGGGTCAAATGCTGTATGCTTTTTAAATGACTTTTGTTAATCGTGTGTGTATGCATATATATGTGTATATATATTTTTTTCTTTACATAATATACAACTATGTACTTCTGAATGATTTGAATATAAGTCATAGACATCACATCCCTTTTTCCACAATAAATTCAGTAACTATTTTCTAAGAATTTGTATTTTCTCTTATGTAATTGCAGTATAATTATCAAAATTAGAATACATAACAACAATACAATAGTATTAGCTATTCTATAGTCTATACTCAAACTTTACCCATTGTCTTAACAATGTCTATCATAATAACTTTTTTAGTCACAGTCCAAACCAGAATCACATTTAATTGTCATGTATCTTTATTCTCCTTTAACAGAAAACAATTTTCAGACCGTTTTTTGTTTTCCATGACCTCAAGACTTTTGAAGAGCACAAGCCAATTATTTTGTAAAATTTCCTTCAACTTGTATTTGCCTTGTGTTTCCTCATGGCTAGATGCAGGTTATGCATTTTTACTAGGAAAACTGTATACGTGATGCTGTGCTCACTGGACAGCATTATTTTAGGAGACACAAAATGTCAGTTTGTTTCTTTACTAATGATGTGAAGTTGATCTATTCATTAGTTATTGTATACCAGGTTGCTTCCCTATGAAGTCACTATTTTTTTGTGTGTGATTAATAAGTATTTGAAGGAGACACTTTGAAGTTATGTAAATATTTTGTTCCTCATTAAAATTTTACCCCCTATGATAACAGCTATTAATGATCCTTGCCTGAATCAATCATTATATGATGGTTGCAGGAAGGTGATTTTATAAGGAATCATTAGTTCTGCACTTACTAGTTGGTCCTCTGCCACACATAACAGCTATCTCTTTTCCACCATTAATGTATTTATATCAGTACAGGTTCATATTTGCGTATTTTATTCCATAAATATTCTGTTACTCTTATTATTCTGATGCTCAGATTGTCACAGATTTTGCCAGAGGGAGCCCGTTCAAGCTGACATCTGACATGCTCTCATAATATTTTAAGTACTACTGTAGTTTTGGGCACAAGACGTTCCAGGCTTAGCTTCCACTTTTCCTACCCCAACATGGAAATCAGCCATTTCTCCAAGAATCTCCGATTCCTTTAATGGGTCATGGTTTATAGAAACCAAGGTCCCGGCACTAGGTATGCTCATCCCAGGATGTCGATGCTTCTAGCTCTTATCAGTAGAATCCAAGAACTATGAACACGAATATAAATATAAGTAGTGAATATATTGATCTATCATCCATATATTAAAAGGCACGAGTCCATACCAATTTCTCACATTTTAATTTCAACATGACTGGTTATAATGTTTTCTTTCCACTTACTAAGAATTAAATTATAATTTCTATCCATTGTTGGCACACTCTAAGTAATTGATTACTTAATCTGTATTTATTTTTCATTATACAAAATCATTACACACCCAGAAAATACCTGTTTCCAAAACTCCAGGGTACCTTCCCGTCATATTTTATTTAATAAGTTTCTTTACAACTTGTTACAATATTTATATCTATTTCTGAGCATGACAAATTCCTCTTTAATATGACAGTATTTAAAAATCACCCTTTTTTTAATATATGCCTTTATATTTTTAATGTGTAAAAAGATTTATATGTTTTACTGGAAACTGAATCACAGATTAATAATAGGAAGTTTGCAGCATAAAGGTGAAATTATTATGAACACAAAACATAATAAAAGAAATTTGCTTTCAGAATGGTAGGGCCCACCAGACTCTCCAACAAAACAATCATTTAACTGGAGGAAATTATTAAAAACCCCCTAAGGTATCTGGAAATTGTCCTAAAGTTATACAGATAATGGAGAAAGATCTATTCAAGAAAAATCTACTAAGCAGTGGTAACAACAGTGAAAACCTATGGCATTTGAGCCACAACCTACTCCCTCCCCTATCCCTAAGCTCAGTGTGATGGAAGTTTTACTCTGTGTCCTGTAGCTGGAAATACAGTCTCTTCTTTCCTCAGCTCACAAGCTAAGACTGCAGGTCAACCCTAAAGAGGTACGTAATTAACACTTGTCATTTCCTTCAGGTCTCTGTTGCCCAAGCTCTACTCGTGAAGGCTTGGTTGACAGGGCAGCCCCCCTTCTCCTGCACAGAATAGGAGCTCTACTCCAAGCACAGGAGACCAAGAATGCTTGGCACTAATTGTCCTAGCCCTGGCTGGCTCTTGAGAGAGACAGAAGTTGTGTGCTAGAGAAGAAAGCCAGGAAGCCTAGATGCTGCCAACCTCCCAGCACCTGCTTTCAGAGCAAGGTGTCACACTGGAAGCAGCATTCACACATCCATTCATTCTGTAATCCATGAGGAGCTCTTTCCTGATAGGATGGACTTCGCAGAAGAATATGGAAAAGTCCATGCCTAAGGACACTGTCAAAACAACACAGATTCTGGTGGAGAATGATTAAGGGGGAGTGCATAGCTCCATGATAATTGTAATAACAAATAAAAGGGCAGAGCACCTGGATGTTTAGCAGAGAGAACCAAGGAAAGAGAAAGCCAGTAAGAGCAGAGCCATCCTGGGTCCTCAATCATCCCTGGGGTGATGGGATCGGGAAAGCTGTATACAGTGCTAGGATGCACCCACTTAGGAGTAATCATAACACAGGGTGACACAGACTTAAAATCATTCAACAAGTCACGTGCAGATCCAGCCACAAAGGGCAGAAGTCTCACTGTCACTAGGAGATTAAGCACAAGTTCTGACCCAAACACTGGGCAAACAATTAGCAACTCTGACTCAGATGAAACTCTAAGGAAGCTGGGCTTTAAAATAAAATCACAACAATCTCTGGCAGTCTGAAATACTGTGTGCATGCCCAAAGCTATATCCCTGTAGGAGGGATTGCAGGGGGAATGCCAAGCTATGAGTCCCTGGCTGAAGATGGGGGCAGGAACCTAAACTTTTTAAACCGTAATCACAGCCTCCAAGCCATGATCTCATCAAATGGTAAAGGCCAAACTCTAGTGAGCTAAGAGGGCTTAAGCACAACATTTGACCAAAATGTGGCTTATGCTGACTCAGGGTAATGTCTACACAGCACTGGACATGGTGCAGAGACATCTGTCTATCCACATACAAAGTAATGAAGTTGGGCCCTTAACTCATACCTTAAACAAAATTAACTCAAGATAAATTATGAAACAAGCACACGAGTTATAAGTGTTAAAAACTCAGAAGAAAATATAGGAGTAAATCTTTGTGACCTTGGGTTACGGTACAGTTCCTCAGATATGACACAAAAACCACAAGTGACAAAAGAAGAGATAGATAAATGACCACATCAAAATTAAAAACATGTGCTACAAATGATACCATCAAAAAAGTGAACATATAGTCCATAGAATAGGAAAAAGTATTTGCAAATTGTATTTCTGATAAAAAAGTGTGTATATACACACAAATATGCACAAATACACACACGTATGTACCTGTATATATTTAAGTCCCTTATCAGATATATGAATTGCAAATATTTTTAGTACACACATGCGAAAATGTATGAATATAAATCACACTTATAAATGAATAATAAAAAGACAACTCAATTTTAAAAGCAATAAATGATGTACCTAAATGGACGTTTCTCCAAAAGAATACACAAATCCTCAATAAGCATATTAAAATTCTCAACACTCAACATCATCAGACATTAGAGAACTGCAAATCAAAACCAAAATATGACTTCATACTCACAGGTATGACTATAATAAAAAAGAAAGACAAAAACAATGTTGGACAGGTCATGGAGAAATGAAAACTCTCATTCATTTTTGGTAGGAATATAAAACGGTGCAGCCTCTTTGAAAAATAACTTGAAAGTTCCTCAATGCTAAACACAGGAATATCACATGACTCAGCAATTCAACTCCTAGGTATACATTCAAGGGAAATAAAACATATGGCCTCGCAAAAACGTACATGCAAATGTTCATGTAAGCATTACTTACAATACTGAAAAAGCTGCAACAATCCAAATATCTGTAAACTGATGAGTGTGTAAATAAAAGGTCACAGATCCATGCAAAGAATATATTTGGTTATAAAATGGTATGAAATAGTGATACATGTTACAACATGAATGAACCTTTAAAACGCCATACTAAGTGAAGGAAGCCAGTCACAATAGCCTACATATTAGAAAATTGTATTTACATGAGACATTCAAAATAGATCTATAGAGTCAGAAAGCAGATTATTGTGTGCCCAGGCTGGGGGTGGGATGGGGAAATGACTGTTAATGGCAAAATGGTTACCTAGGGGTGATTAACACATTCTAAACTTAGATTTTGGTGATAATAATTCCCTAACTCTGTGAATATACTAATAGTCATTAAATTGAATACTTTAAAGAGGAAAATTTTATTCTATGTTAAGATCAATAAAGAGGTTTAACATTAAAAATAATAAATTTTTTTATATTGCTTAGCAAAATATCACAAATTTATTGGCTTAAAACAACACACATCTGATGTGATGATATATGTGCACACTGTGGAAAAATTAAGTAGAACTAACATATCCATCACCTCACATACTTATTATGACTTTATGGTCATAACATTTCATAAATATATACATTATTACTTGTCGGTTTAAAATACAATTAAATTTTTAATAAAACAACAGAAGTTTATTATCTCACAGTTTCCATGGGTCAGGAGTCTGGGCACAACTTAGCGGGTCCTCTGCACAGGGTCTCAGAAGATTGTAATCCAGACACAGACTGGGATGAGTGTCCTGTTTGGTGGCTGAATTCACTTCCCTGTGCTTAGAAGACCGAGGTCTTCCTTTTTTGGCTGTCAGCCAGGGCTGTGCTACCCTCTAGAGGCTGGCCACAGTCCTTTGTCACATAGCCCCTTTCACAGCATGACCACAAAATTTTGAAGGCTGCCAGGAGAATCGCTTTTAAGATTTTCCTCTGATTAAGTCTGGCCCACCCAGTGTCATCTTCCTTTTGTTTGTTTTTATTTATTTATTTATTTATTTTTTGAGATGGAGTCTCACTCTGTCGCCCAGGCTGGAGGGCAGTGGCACGATCTCGGCTCACTGCAACCTTTGTCTCCTAGGTTCAAACGATTCTCCTGCCTCAGCCTCCTGAGTAGCTAGGATTACAGGCATGTGCCACCACGCCTGGCCAATTTTTGTATTTTCAGTAGAGACAGGGTTTCACCATGTTATCCGGGCTGGTCTCAAACTCCTGACCTCAAATGATCCACCTGCCTTGGCCGCCCAAAGTGTTGGGATTACAGGCATGAGCCACTGTGCCCGGCCTCATCTTCATTTTGAATAACTCATAATCAACTGATGTGGGGCCTTAATTACATGTGAAAAGTCCCTTTATCTTTGCCATTTTCCATTGGCTAGAATCAAATCACAGGTCCTGCCTATGCTGAAGGAGTGGGAATTATATAGGTCATGAACAGTAGGCGGCACAAGCTCCTAAGTGTCAAGGCCCGACTACTACAGAGAATACAGAAAAACAGAAATTGAGTGTCATATCAAATGCACTATTGTTCTTGACTCTTCCTGCTATGAATTTTTGGGCAAAGAAGGTGAAAAAATACATTCACCCAGGGGACTATAGGAAATTGCAATATCCAATATGAGTAGCCCTAAGCTTAGGATGTAGCAAAATGTTTAAATATGGATTTTGTTATGAAGATGATGCAAATGTCTGAAAATTAGTGTCTCCGGTGTGAAAAATTCTGGGTAACTACTGAACGAAATCAATATGTTGCCAGAAGGAATCACAAATATAGAAGAAAAATGAGCAGAATTATTAACAACAATGAACAGCTTGTTTAGGAGTAAGGAAACTCAATAAATTAAGCATGCAAAAAACTGAGGCTTTTTAGAAATCCACTTAATCTGAGAAAATTTGTTAAAGGGATGTGCCATATATACGCTAAATCAGTTTTGGATCTAAAAGAAATAATTCATCAAAAAAACATGACCTGGGCAGGCGTGGTGGCTCATGACTGTAATCTCAACACTGGGAGGTTGAGACAGAAGAATCACTTGAGCCAGGAGTTCAAGACCATCCTGGGCAACATACATAGTGAGACCTTATCTTTATTTATTTTTTTTTAAATCAGCTGGACTTGGTGCTCGCCTGTAGTCCCAGCTACCCAACAGGCTGAGGTGGGAGGATGCCTTGAGCCCAGGAGGACATGGTCGCAATGAGATTAATTGCGCCATTCCACTCCAGCCTGAGTGACAAAGCAAGACTGTCTCTAAAATAAATAAATAAATAAGCATGGCCTTATGAAAAGAATTTGTCCAAGTATGCACTTAATTGTGCAAATAAACACACACTCACAACCTAGAAAAATTAAAAGCTGGCTTTTTAATCCATTTAGAAGTTGGAACAATGGGTAAAAGTCATACTATTGCAATATGAGTCCGATTTCTTTCATTGAACAAAAGCCTTCTGAGTTTTGTCTTTCACTAATTAATGATAAACGGCAGTTGCCTCTTATAACCCTATGTGTCCCATACAGCCTCTATGCTCTTTTACTGCTATTTCAGGCCATAGTTGGACCAAACATTTTCATCACAGAATAAAATGAATAACCACTCTTAGAGCCTTCAATATCAGTTTACTTTCAGTCTGACAATCAACTATTACACTGTTACATATATTCGTTTTCACTACAGCAGGCCCTTTTTCTAGGTATCATTACTTATAACAGTTAGGATAGGCCAGGTGTGGTAATAAACAACCCCAAGTCTCAGTGCTTAGAACAACAGAGTTATACTTTCCCCTAACACAGGCAGCAGGTGGCTCTGCACTTCATAGTGACCCAGGGATACAGGCTGACGGGACAACCATCATTGAAAACATTCGCAAAGGGGAAAAGATCTCTGGAGGATCTCAAACTAGCCATTAAATGCTCTGACCAAAGAGTCACTGGTCACTTCTGCTTACAGGTCATCATAAGTCACAGGACTTCAATAAACTGCGAGCTTCAGGAAATGCAATCATTTTGGTGCCTTGAAAGCAAAAAGCCAGGAATATTTTGTGAACAGTATTAGTGATTATCACAAAAACAGTCACCAGGATTTCAGAAATGATGATTAAAATGGAAAACATTTTTTCTATAAAAGCAAAGCGTATTGGGCAAAAATGTATGCAGATGTCCATGGCATGAGAAAAATGCTATACAAAATATGCCGAAAATAGAGTGCAACCTAAGTGACACAATATGGGGGAACAAATATATTTCTATTTCAATTTCAATGTATTATTTCTGCTAGTCCCTCTGCTGGACAGATCACACTATAACCATACCTTAAATCATTTAGCAACATTTTCTTTCAAGTGTTAAGATTAATTATAACATTTTCCTTTCATGTAACTGAAGTGCCTGCTACCTCAAGTTTGCTATGCCTGACACACAGAGAATTAGCAAATAATATACTTAAAAGGATTTTAGAGTCATTTAGCGGTATAACTCTAAACATAATTGATTTTATTAACTGAGCTGCAGACTGCAGAAGGCAAAAATCAGCAGAATTACAAGTCACTACCAGCTGGTAATGCTGGGGTTAAAAATTAGGCAGTGTAGCAGCATCAATGCTTCTGGTTATACATTCACTTCCTTTGCACGCTACACTCAAAAGCAATGATTAATTACAAAATGTAATTTTAAAAACCACTCTCCTTTATAATAGCAAAAGAAACATACTGTGAGGTAACTAGAAACAAAAGTTTAAACTGTTACCTACATTTTAATGGAGCATGGTATTAATATGACACAGTCAAAGAGACAAGATGAGAGAATATTGAGCACAGACACACACTCAGGTGTGCCTGGAAACCTGGCTTGTGAAAAAGGGAGGCATTACAAATCACTGAGAAATGATGGCTTTTTACTAAATGCTAATGGGAAAATTGAACATCCATAGGAAAAATATATCCCATGCTCACATCACATACCAAAGTCAAGCTCAAATATACTAAACATCCCAATGAGTAAAGCTTATCTAAAATGTCTAGAAAATATATAGGTAATTATTCTTGGGATATCAGGGTAAAGAAGACTTTCTTAAAGCTGCACAATCATACATGAAATACTGCTACATCTATGCAATAAAATAAATCATAAACAGATTCAAAACACAAGACACAGGCAAGGAGTATCTTTATAGCTTATTCAGGCAGCCAGTATAAAGAAATCCTAAAACTCAATAAGGCACAAAATATGTATGAGCAGTCACCTGAAAAGCAATAAACACGTGGAAAGAAAATGTTCAAGCTCACTGGTAATCAGGAAAAATGCAAATTAAAGTCAATATTTCAGTCTCACACAGGAGAAACAGTAGTATATTTTGAGGAAATTGATCTTAAGAAGGGACCAACATATTGTGTTGTTAATGACTAATATGACAAGAGAGATAAATACATATTCTGCTTTGATATTATTTGCAGGATCTTTTTTTGGGGCTTCCTTCACAACATCAATTTTTACTATAAAGAGTTCAGGGACAGACAGCAAAGGGGATATAATCAAAGCATGCCAAAAAATAATGTGTGCTGCAGTCTTAAAGGAATTTAGAGGCTTGTAGCATCATTGAGTTGACAGCCCAGCAGAAAGCACACACCTACACAAGAAATGTAGCCTGAAGTAAAGACACTCTTGGCATATAATTTATCAGGGTGCTAATATGATAAACAACAACAAGAAACATGCCAAGAAGATACTTTTGGAGGTTATTAAAATGCAGAATGGAGAAGACAAAATGCTAAATATCCCCATTTGAAGTCAGGTGTTTAGTTACATATTGCAGCACAACCTCCCACTCCCAATGTATTGGCTTACACAATCATTTAGTGTTATTAGTCATAGTAACAAGAGTTGGCTGGGCTTAGCTAGGTAGTTTGCACCTGAGGTCTCTTATACCGTTGCCATTAGATGGTGGCTGGAGCTCGAGACTCACTTGTCAGGTACCTCCACTGGGATGGCTGGAACAGCTACAGGGTGATCAGGAATCTTCTCTCCCAGGCAGGCTTTCCATGAGGCTAGACTGTATTTCTTCATAGCATGATGGTCTCATGGTTATCAGACTTCTTACATGACCCAGTTTTCCCCCAAACAAGACTAAGGAAGACATAGGAAGCTGCCACCTTCCTATGATTTGCTTCCAAAATCCCGGAAGATCAATTCCGTTGCATTCTACTAATCAAGCCAGTCGTTAAGAGCAGCCCAGATTCAAGAGGTCTGGAAGTGGATTAGACTTCATCTCGTGATGGAAGCAGCTACGTGGAGGTGCACGGAAGGAGTAACAGGTGCCTATCTTTGGGTATTATCCACCACACAAGATAATTTCAACATTTCTTCACTCCTTACAGTGTGTTACCAAAATGATTATGAAAGATGTCTTCACGTATTAACATTATATGTGAATGGATCAAGCTTGTATCCCTAGGCACAGCATGGACACAGGCCAGAACCAACTTTAGTCTTCATCATGAGTGCCGGCATGAGAAAGAGGCTGTGCTATCTCCATGTTCCTAAAATAACATCCTATAGCAGATCTCATCACCTGGCTGTTTCTGGGAACTACTGGAATCACTGATGCCAATCAAACCAGACCTATGGACTCAGATCAATTGCGTGGAATCAGATTGATTAAATGATCTTCTAAAAATACCACATGCCTGAAGAAGCTTTATCCTTAGTATTATTCCACTCACGTAGTACTTACTTTCCTTAAAGTCAGATAAAATTGGTTTATTTTACAGAAAAGCAATTAATAGGCCAGAATGTGTATTTCATTCTGATACTTAATATTATTTCTTTCTTTTTCACATTGTCTTACAAGTGAATAACTAAGATTTCCAGCTAATACTATGTGGTGTTAGCTTTTATCATCAATAATTAATTGAACTGATTTTCTTGATCAAGGTATTATATAATTTCCTGTTTAAACTTCACACACTACCACAAATTCTTCTTCAAAATCAATTTGAGTTTTTTGTTTGAATAAAAACTATCATTTGTCAGTCACTAGATGTATTTACTTTTTAAAAGTATTTTCTAAATTCTATAAGTGACCATTCTTATAAGTATTCATAA
This sequence comes from Homo sapiens, assembly GCF_000001405.40. Taxonomy (NCBI): domain Eukaryota; kingdom Metazoa; phylum Chordata; class Mammalia; order Primates; family Hominidae; genus Homo; species Homo sapiens. The sequence continues at coordinate 76,663,262 of NC_000016.10, read as the reverse complement.
TTTCAATTCGTTAAAAGTCTTTTTGCTCTCAGAACCTTTCATTTTCTCATGAAATTCAAGTATTATACTAGAAGTTTAGCCAAACAATTTAATTTTTGTACATCCCCATCTTCTGGCTCCGACTTCTGTCACCAGGAAATTCTCAGTTCAAAATGATTTTTATTGCTTGATTTATTTTTTGCTATTAATCAAGGACCTCTTTTCTACATTATAAAAGGCTATGCTGTAATTCTTTCCTGATAATGGTTGCTATCTAGTTCTATCTTCTAATTCCTTCCTCTTCTGCCTAAAGCTTCATATCTCAAATACTAAAATAATATCCAAAGTGTCAAAGTGCCATTTAATACTTTGCTCTATTCCTGGCATGAATAAAACTACAATGATCACATCAGTCTCATCATGTCTATATAATTCAAAGCAATTTCTCAAAGCAAACTAATGAACTAAAGAAATAATAAATCTCATTGCTCAATCTTTTATCTATATTTTAAAGTGTTAGCCAACATTTTTTTCCTAATCTTATGGTGTCCAATTATTTTCTAAAATGGTCATATAAAGTCCCATGAGCAGTGAATAAGAATTCGTTACTTCACGTCCTCATAAATACTTAATACTGCCCAATTAAAAAAATCCTATTCTAGTATTAACTATGAAGAAAAGAAATTCTCATGTATTGTAATTTACTAATTATTACCTTTATTATTTTCATGCTTTATATGTTAAAAGAAATATGTATTTTAATAAAATTTAGGGATAAACTGCTATCTAAAATATCAAGAATTTTGCACTGTTGGTTTTGCAAGTGTCCTTAAATGCTCACACCATATTAAAGCAATGCCATTTGCATATTACTACTACATTTGGTTCATAACACTATAAGAAGTTGAATATCTAAGGATCGTTCCAAATAACTCGAATCACTCAATCTACCCACGCCACCCATAGATCAAGCAATTCGTATGACAACTATCTTGAAAGGTGCAAAGGTAATTCTGCATCACGGAAAAAAAATAATTTACCTTTGCATTACATACAAGTGTTTTTGTTTTGGTTTAGTTTGGTTTCTTTCACAAAAAGTACAGTAGTTTACTTTTAAAATTTGCATTTAGGGAGTATCTTGTTCTCAAAAGTGATGGAAGTTGTCATAGAAACAACCATAACTACAAGAGATACATTTATCAGAGAGGAAAATATTCACCCTGATCCACTTTTTCCTTGTTGCGAAAGAAATAAGTCATTCCTCAGGAGTGACTTTTCTCTTACAGGAATATGCAGAGGATACTGACCTTCTCGGTTTTCCATTCCCAGGAGTCCTTTTTTTCAGGCATCATGAGGCTTAATTTGTCAGAGACCTGCATCCTAAACTTGTTTCTGAAGACTAGAATGTTTCCTCACAAGACTTTGAATCACTTGGGGAAAATGTCAGAACGAGATTTTAGAAATTATGTGACTGAATAGAACAGGCTGTTATTTGTATTTGAGGAGGAAAAAAACACCCATGATATTTCCCAAGGCAAGTAATTATCTTCAATAATATCTATCCTTGGTGTATTCAGAGTTAACAGAAAAATCACAGGAGTAGAAGCCGAAGAGACATTTGTAAATACCTCATTTATTTTTCCCTGCCTGAAACTGTACCTGTTACTTCTCTAACAAAATAATGCCTCTTCCTTTCCTGGTAATGTTTTATGTTGTTAACCTCTTCATAATCCTAACTCTATAACTTTGTCTTCAATATCCCTTTATAAATATCTTAACAGTTGGGTCCAATGCTTATAAAAATAGATATAAATTTTAAAAAATACATTATAATTTGCAATAAATTAATGTATTATAAGTCACGCTATAAAGCATTCATATATTCTTTACTATCTATAAAAATAAATATTTTTATATTTTAAATCCTTTTGTTAGTATTTTATTTTTATTTTTAAATTTAGACTTCTATTATTGATTAAAGGGTACATGTGCAGGTTTGTTACATAGGTTAACTGAGCGACACTGAGGCTGGAGGTCCTAATGATTCTATCACACAGGCAGTAGGCACAGTGCCCAACAGGCAGCTCTTCAGCCCATGTCCCCCACCCTCCTTTCCCCATCTACTGCTACCCACTGTCTGTTGTTTGCATCTTTATTTTATGTGTATTCAATGTTTAGCTCCCATTTATATGTGAGAATATGTGGTATTTGGTTTTCTGCTGTTGTGCTAGGTTACTTAGGATAATGACCTCCAGCTCCATCCATGTTGCTGCAAAGGACATGATTTCATTCATTTTTTGGCTGTACAGTATTCAGTGAGGTATATGTACCACATTTTCTTTAATCAACCCATTGTTGATGGGCAGTTAGGTTGATTCCATGTCTTTGTTATTGGGAACAGCACTGCAATCAACATACGGGTGCATATGTCTTTTTGACAGAGTAAGTTATTTTCCTTTGGATATATACACCTAGTAGTGGGAAGGTTGGGTCAAATGGTAATTCTGTTTTAGGTTATTTGAGAAGTCTCCAGCTACTTTACACAGTGGCTGAACTAGTTTGCATTCCCATCAACAGTGTATAACTGTTCCCATTTCTCCACAACCTTGCCAACATTTGTTGTTTCTTGACATTTTAATAATTGCCATTCTGACTGGTGTAAGATGGCATCTCATTGTCATTTACATTTGTGTTTCTCTAATGACTAGTGTTGTTGAGCCCTTTTTCATATGCTTTTTGGCCACTTGTATGTCTTCTGAGAAGTGTCTGTTCATGTCCTTTGCCCTAAATGCAGATATTTTAGAAGTATTGAACATATTTTATATATTTTCCCTGCTATTTAAATATTGAATAATTTGTCCTAGTTTCTTCCAAAAATGATTTCCAGCAACTTTCAAAATATATGGATTAGGGTGACTATAGTTAACAAAAATGTATTGTACTCAGGTAATGGACACACTAAATACCTTAACTTCATCACTACACATTATATACATGTGACGAAATTTTACATTTACTCCATAAATTTGTATAAGTTGAAAAACAATAAAAATATTTTGAGTATGATATTAACTGTATAATAAGAGTATAGTGAGTTTAATGAGAATAAGAACTACTACTTATTAAAATAATAAAACTTAAGTAGTAAAGATCAGGTAAAAATAAAACAAACATACAGAATACAACACAAAACTTGGTCCATACAAAATTACCAAAAAGGACGGCTGAATTGATTTCATTTTCTCCTTCAGTTTGTGCAGTGAAGGCAGCACATTCTCCCTCCTGCTTGGTAGTGTCCTAATGATGTTAAGCCGATGCTCAGAGGCAACAAAATTATCCTTACATCTGCTCAGAAAACCTTCCCTCCCATGGGCATCATTAAACACATTCCAGGTAAAGCACTTAACTTTGTCAACAATACCTTATACTAAATCACACAGTGTTTATCTTGTTGTATGGTAATACACCTCTCAAAATTGCAGTGACAATGATGGAAAATTGTGTTTTGGAGAAAAGGTTATCCCATATTGTATCAGAATACTGGGTTCATGACTAATTCCTCCTCGGATTAATAAATGGATAGAATTTAAGGCAACCAGAAAAACAGACAAATTAAATCATTTCAAATGTAATGTACTTTTTCACACCACTAGAATCTAGTAAGTTTCAATGAATTAAATTAAATCCACTGGTAATTATGGGAGTGCAGGTGTTCTATTTTAACATTTGTAAGTAGATTCTACCAACTAGACATAAGCAGAATTGCATTATTTGTCAGGGGAAAACCCTGAAGAAGCCACAGGCCATGTACAAAGCCTTCTTCCTGCCCATAGAAGACTAGTAGGCAAACCCTTAGTGTTATACACACACACACACACACACACACACATTTAATGTATTTGTTGAGCACCTACTATGTTCCTGGGACATTCCTAAGTCTTTCAAATTTTTTTGATATTTAATGACAAACAGGATTCCAAATGAAATCTTTATTATTTAGCTCAGTTTGCCCTAACCTCCAAGCTATTGATTTCCATTTTTTTCATTAAATATCTTAGATAACAGTCTCCAATGATATCCAACAGAATGACTTGACATGGTTTCATCAAAAAAGGGAGATTTGCTGGATTATCATTACAATCTTAGTTCAAAATAATCCAATCTCTGCTAAATATAGCAGAACCTCCTCAAAATTATGTCCTTTTATTTTTTATTAGCCCCGAGGTAAGTTTACATATATCCTGAACACATTTTGAATTGTTTTGGTAACTTCCACCAGAATATGGGAAGCAGTAAAAAGCAGAGAGAAAATCAGTTTTCCTGCTAACTAGATCGCCTTCAAAAAATTCCACAAAAGTATATAGTTAATTAAAGAAAATCATTCAAACTAAAACATAATTTCATATTTTAATATCTTTAAAATGTAAAAGCTCAGTGAACTTCAAAGTTTAAATATAAAAATAATCTAATGTTAGAAGGTGAATTTAGTGATCTGAATGTCTTGCTATCTCTATACTTTGCAATGAGAATAGTAATTTAAACAGCATTCTTTTGCTTCCGAGGGATTTGTTTTTCAAGAGATTGCTATTGCATGATTCCTTATAAAACTGATAAAAGCTAAAATATAGAAACATCCAGTATGCTAAAATATAGTTATATTTTTCCCACTTATCTTTGTCTCTTGGATGTATGTGCATGTGTGTGCGTATATACGTATGATACGTGTATATGTATGTATATATGTATATACATATATATGTACATATATGCACACATACATATATACACACACACACATTTTTTTTAATTTCAACTTTTATTTTAGATACAGGGCATATATAGGCAGTTTTTTTACACAGGCATATTGCACCCAGGTAGCGAGCACAGCACCCAATAAGTAGTTTGTCAACCCATGCTCCCTCCCTCCCTCCCTCCCCACTCTAGAATTCCATAGTATCTGTAATTCTCATGTTTATGTCCATGTGTGCTCAGTGTTAAGCTCCCACTTATAAATGAGAGCATGCAGTATTTGGTTTTCTCTTCTTGCATTAACTCACTTAGGATAATGGCCTCCAGCTCCAATTCATTTTAGGAATGTTTCTTTGCTCCCTCCCTGAATTTCTTTTCTTTTTGGGGGGTAGAGGTGCTGAACTGATATCCTCCTGCTCACAATGCAACATCTGGTATTTTTAAATTGCCAAGTCTATGGAATCTCTGCTTTTAATTATAAACCTCAAATCTTTCAAAGGAACGTTAGGTTTCCTCCAGGATTCAGCCTAAATTGCACTTATACCCAAAGCCACTCCTTCCCCTCAACCTCCTGGTGTCAAGCAATCCTTCTGCCTTGGCCTCCCAAAGTTCTAGGATTACAGGTGTTAACCACTGCATCCGGCCAATGAGACAGTTTCTATGAGTGTTACCTGGGCTCTCTCCTTTAGAATTTCTCATAGGCTGTAATCAAGTTGTCAGCCAGGGTTGTGTTCTTGTCTGAAGTTTTGACTGGGAAAGGATCAACTGCCAAGCCCACTTATATGATCATTGGCAGGATCCAGTTCCCATGAGCTGTTGGGTTGAGGGTTCGTTTTCTAGCTGGCTGTTGGTCAGAGGTTGCCCTCAGTTTCTTGCCATGTGGACCTTCCTGATAAAACAACTTGCCTCATCAAAGCCAGCAAAGGAATACATTCTACTCGACTATATCATGTAACCTAATCATGGGAGTGACAACTTTTGCCATATTCTGCTGGTTTGAAACAAACTACTCAGCCAGCACCCATTCACAGGGAAGGGACAAAGGCCTGGATGTGGAGGCAGGATTGCTAGGGGCCATCTCAGAAGCTGTTCACTGCAGTATCATTACAGTGAAAAAAAAAATTGAAGACATCTGTGTCCACGACCAGCTTATAAAAAGCTTTGTCCATAGGCAAGTGGCTGTTTTCACACAGGAAAACATCTGTTTCCACAGAGGCAGCAAGCGCGGTCTGGGCCTTATTCAAATCTACAAGCTTTTATCTGCTTGGGCAGCATTACAGAGCTGGCTGCTGCCAGTGCAGTTTTCCTAAATTGACCTGGCTGAGGCAAGAATTAGATTTCAGAGACAATCTTTTCACATAATGGCCTTTTAGATATTATATGAAAGAGTAACCATGGGCCTGTAATTTATTCCTCCCTCCTTAGGGATCTCTGAAGAAGTTTTGACTCTGAACAGAATTCTTTGCAAATATCGACTGATGGAATACACTAACATAGAAGACAAATGAGGGTCCTGAAAGGGTTGGCTACGCGCTGACTACTGATCTAGAAATCATTTCAGCATTACGTCCTGGTCTATTTAGACTGCTCATATTAAATTATCCTGAAAATCATGGGAAGCTGAGCTGAAGCATGCAAGTTATACATATAACCACAGCAAGACCATGTGTCTAGTGGAACTCCAGAACTCAGCAGCCTCCATGGCTAATGTGTCCCGTGTGCTTGTCATACTCCATCACCAAAATATGTCTAGCATAGGAAAGGAAGCTTAGGAAGCCTTATCTGTGGATTAGGAGCCTCCCAGATGCTGTGTATATTGCTTCTTCTGTCTCTTATCCATTGATAATTATGCACAAGCTTGGAGGTTCTGAAACAGTAGAAATGATAAAGGTGGAGGCAACTTTAGATTGGTTAAATGGCAATTGGGGTCATACAGCTACAGTTTTTGACAGCTTTAATTGAGATATAATTGACATATAACAAATTGCATATACTTTAAGTTTTGGCATATGTATACATCCCTGAAATCATAAATACAATCAAGACAATGGATACCTATTTGATACCACTGACCCAAACCATGATAGATGCTGTGATTTATGGGGATCCCTAAATTTGTGCTTGTCATGTTTCATAGTTTTAGTTAGTGGTCAAGAAGTACTCAAGAGACAGTAACCTCAGTTATTATGTATGGGATTAATTGGTAGCAGAAATGTTCATGCTTCCCGAAAGAAAGGTGAGACTAAAGAGGGAAATTATAAAGAAGAAGGAAAGCAGTGATGCTTGACCTACTCTGCTGGAATTGTTCCACTGCTGCTGAAAAACAGGATGAAAAAGGGGGAATTGAGAGGATTATTGGTAGGGTTTTGGCGGTATAATCTTGAAGCATGAGAGGTAAAAATCCAACTTCATTGTTGGCTATGACATGCATACCTTAAGAAGCCCCCTCGAAGTTTCCACATATAACTTAGCATGGATAAGTACAAATCCAATCATAAGGATTATGATTTGGAATGGAAATACTTAAACAGGCTGAATGTAATCCCTCAGTTAAAGCCATATTTCCTTTTTATGTAAATTAAGTAAGGATTTGGGATCTGCCCACCCACCCCTCAGTGAGGGAATCCAAAGAACTAGAAAGTGATGTGGATGGAATGGCCTGAGGGCAATAACTAAAATATGTGGAATTATTAACTCTTCGCAATCAGTCTATGGAAATCCACATAGGGGCTAGGAGGACAGTCTAAGAGGTCTAAAGGTGAAACTTGGAGAACGCGGAAATGCTGTGGTAGACAATAACAACGTACCAGTTAAACTCTAATTTGGAAAATACGACTGGAGAAAGTATTCTCTCATTTCATCTCCCTTACCTAAGTGTATAATGGGAATGGGTGTCACAGGAGAATGGAGGACTCTGCTCCTACATTATTACACTGCGTGTGTTCCATGTTCCATAGTCACCCTCCACCTGGTGTCACCTGAAATGATAAATTACAATCTTTGCAATTGCCTAAGACCTCCTCTGTAGAAAATACTAAATAATACAGAGTTCCAGAAGTAAAAGAGAACATTAATGCTTTAATTAGCATTAATGATTGAAATAGTGATATTGATCTCCATTAATTATTTTCCTTAATTGATAAATGAAAATTATTTATATTTATGGTATACAATGTGGAATTTTAATGTATGTTTGAATGTAAGTTAGTATAGCCACCATAGAAAACAATGTAGAGGTTCCTCAAAAAACTCTAATTAGAAGTAGCATATGGTAGTTTCAGCAATCCAACTTTTTGGTATATATCCAAAGGAAGTAAAGTCAATACGGCAAAGAGATAGCTGCACTCCCATGTTAATTACAGTATAATTCACCATAGCCAAGACACGGAATCAACCCAAGTATCCATCAACAGATGAATAAAGAATATGTAGTATGTATACACAATGGAATACTACTCAATCTTTAAAAAATCAGTAAACCCAATAATTCTCTTTTAATAGCCCTTACACACCAAAAACGCAAAGCAGGTTATCTACACATACTGATAGTGGACCACTGGGAGTTCATCTAGGTAGATCCACCATAGCGTTGGATGTGCTATAGATATAATTCAGAAAAACAAAAAGCAAAACCAATACAATTGCACCAACAGGCAATGGATCAAAGGAGAGCATTCAGTATAGATCTTAGCTCATGCTTTCTTTTGTACACCTATTTCAGAAGTCAATCAAGAACACTGCCTCCACATATTAACAAAAAGACATTTAAGCTAACCAGTATACTATCACAATCCAGCGTAGCTGCACTTGATCTTGATAACCAGGAGTAAGTTGATAACATCAATGATATCTTAATTGCCTCCTCAGAGGAAAAAGCAAAGTATACTTTAGAGACTGTGTCACCCAGCTGTCAATAAAGCACGGCAGATAAACCCCAGTACAATTCAAGACCTGCCCCAGTCCCTGAAAATTTAGAAAAGAACATGAGCCAGATCACAAGAGGCTTTCCTCCTATCATAAGAAATAATTTAGAATCTGATCTTGACCTTGTTACTAAACAGCCCAGAGACTGGAGAATCTGTTTGAGTTATGGCATAATCACATCTTCCACTCTGGGATATTGTTAGTCCTTTCCACAAAGTCACTAGAAAGAAATCTGAGATTGAATTGTGGCCTGACAGAAACAAGCAAATAAAAGATTTATAAAGGGCTGTCAATCAGGCAGTGTCTCTTGAGCCTTATGACCCGAATGCACAAATGATTGTAGAAGTGTCAACAACTGGAACACACACAGACTAGAGCTTTTGGCAGAAATCAATATTGCTGCTCAGTGGAGACGGCAGAGATTTTGGACTTGAAAGTGGTCTGATGCAGCTGCTCAATTCAGCCCTTTAGAAACATAATTGTGAGCTTGTTGTTGGGCATTGGCAGGAATTGCTCCTACATCAAGAGACCTGGCAATCCTGAAACCAGAAACACCCATCATGACTTAGGTGATGTCTGTGAAACATTCAAATTGAGGAAACACCCCAATGGAGCACACTGTTAAATGGAAATGGTGCTCAAGTGTACACTTTAGCTGGGGGTTCCAAAGTTCACAGCATTTATGAATAGATCTATCCCTTGCATTTGCACCCAATAGTAACCCTCCCTATCTTTTCCAGCCCATCCTGATCCACAGCCCAAAGATCTCCCTGCTGTAGCTGCTGAATTGTCTAAGCCTTTAAATTCTCCCCTGGCCATACAAAATAGCTGCTAAATGTACTGACTGGATTTCATGAGGCTGTTTCAGAAATTCAGTGGTTACCTGTCCTACATATGGTAAATCCTTAGTGGGAGAAGATAAAAGGCTGAAAGGGCATTTACATCATCCTGAAATCGACTCACTAACTCAAGTAGAGACACTAGAGGGAGCCATCTTTCAGGAGACGGGCTATGGCTGATGAAGCAACCTGAGAACAGATCCTATGCATTACTAGACTCATCAAACATCAAGCTTGCCAGCAACTCTGGGAAACAGCATCTGCCTTTACTCAGGGGACGTTTTAATAATAATGAAATCAGATATATTTAACATACACTGGTGCTAATGACAAGATGTCACTAGAAGTGTGCAGCCCAATAAGGTAGCTGCAAGCTACATATGACTATTGAGCATTTGAAGTGTGGCAAGTCCAAATGAGAACTGTCATATGCACAAAATGCATATGGGATTTCAAAGACAGTACCAAAAAAGTGTAAAATGCCTTGTTAATAATATTCTATTGATGACATGCTAAATTAATACTATTTGGATATGTTTAATACTATTTCGATATGTTTAAATTGTACTATTAAAATTGATTAATTAAATTGTATCTACTTTTTCCTTTTTTAGTATCCTTCTAGAAAATTTAAAATTAATATATGTGGTACACATTATATTTCTCCTGAACAGTATGCTTCTAGATTGCTTATTACAAGTTACCCTATAATTTATGGGCTTTGGCTGGCCTGAATTGTAGAAGGTGAATGTGCAGCCAGAACAGATTTATCACACACGCGCACACACACACACACACACACACACACACACACACACACACACACACGAGACAGACAGAGAGACAGAGACAGAGAGATTTATAATTAGGAAACTTTACAAAACTAGTTTAAAAAATAAGGAGATGAAACAAGATTTCAAAAGCACAAGTGGAAAAAGAGAAATTTGACAAATATCCTATCATGAAAACCAGGTTAATGTTAATTGAATGCAAACCAGAACAGCTGTATTTTCTTCACAAAGGAAAACACTGTGGAATAATATTGACAGAATCATCAAAAGGGAAGACAAAGGAAAGTAATAATATATTTTCAATGTTAAACCATAATAGAAAATTAAATAATAATAGAAAATTAAAACAAATTATTGACATATCACTCTGATTTTAACTCACATATTGGTAACAAATCTCCTCTCTATATACATTCATTTATTCTTTTGAATGTATTTCTGTATTCAATGTATTTATTTATTTAATATATTTATGTATTTATTAAATATATTTACAAAATGCCTACTAGTCCAGGCACTGTTCTTGTCACTTAAGATACATAGTGAACAATCGGACAAAACTTCTGTTTTTAAGTGTTTATTATAGTTACAAAAATGAACAAAAATAAAATTTTGTATATGATGAACATATTTAAAAAACTAAATATAATGGGTAATTTTCTTCCCTAATAAAAAAAATCTAAATTGACAGTTGTACTAGTTCCCAAGGAGTGGTGTTACAGGGTATCACAAAGTGGGTGACTTTCTACAATATAATTATATAATTATATATAATATGTATTATATAATATATAATATTAATATATTGTAATATCTAACATATTATATTATATATAATTATACATTATATAATATATAATAAAATATAATTATCTTATATATTATGTTATATAACATTATAATATATAATTATATTATATATTATATATAATTATATAATTATATTATATATTATATATAATTATATAATTATATTATATAACATAATTATATAATTATATAACTATATATAATTGTTATATGATTATGTTATATATTATATATTAAGTAATGCAATATATTATATTAATATATATTATATAACACATATTATATATTATATATAAGGGATTACATTCAGCCTGTTTCATATATATAACATATAATTATATATAATTATCTAACATATAATTATAATTATCTAACATATAATGATATATAAATACATAACATATAATTATATATATTAAAAAGCCACCTAGATTATTTATATTATATAATGATACATATAATTATATATTATATATATTAAACAGGCTGAATGTAATCCCTTATCATATAATTATATTGTAGAACATATATATATGTAATTATTATATAATTATATAAAACATACAGAATATAATTACATAAAATATACAGAATATAATTTATTCTGTCACTATTCTGGAGACTAGAAGTCCCAAATCAAGGTTTTCAAAGGGTCACGCTCCCTCTACAGCCTCTAGGGCTCAGGGGATTCTTTCTTTCCTCTTCCAGCTTCTACCTGCCCCAGGTGCTTCTTGATTTATGGCAGTATATCTCCAACTTTTGCTTCCATCTTCATGTGGACTTCTTCCCTCTGTGTCTGTCTCTCTCTCTGTTCTCATAAGGATTCCAGTCACATTAGATTAAGAATCACTTTAATTCAGTATGACCCTATCTTAACTTGATCACATCTGGAAAGACCCAATTTCCAAATAAGGTCACAGTCACAGTTACTGGGGGCTAGGACTTAAACACATCTTCTTGGGGAAACACAGTTCAACTCATATCGATACTCTAGTAGGAATCCCAAATAGACTAACTGTGTCAAGGGTCTTCAAGACCAGCGCCCAGTTTAATGATTATTAGAAGAACTCGCAAGACTCATGGCCAAGGTTTATTACATGGAAAGGATACAAGGAAAAAAAAGATTATGGGGAGAAGTCGGTAAGAATCAGGTGCAAGATTCCTAGAGTCCTTTTCCAATAGAGTCATGCAAGGCGTGCATAATTCCTCCAGCAGTAAGTTGTGAGAACACGTGTGAAATATTGCCTACTGGGAGTCTTTTTAGAGACTCAGTGCCCAGGGTTTTTATTTGAGGCTGGTCTTGCAGGCACCCACTGTTTAGCATACACCAAAATTCCAGACTCCCAGAAGGAAAGGAGATGTTTAACACACATCCCATTATTTGCATAGTCTAGTCACAATGAGTCATCCTTATTATTTAAACAAAGTTTATGTCAGTGGAGAGAACTCTTGATCACCTACATTCCCAGATGACAGCCAACCTTGTATGCAGGCTTTTCTAAGGATAGTAGTATCAGGTTGGTTCTTTTAGTGTCACACTTTTCTGCACGCTGACAAAAGAGAAAAGTCAAAAGTTATTTTTAAAAAAGTGTTCTCCCTCTCAAAAGCCACCTGGATTATTTAGTTAAATCATACAAGGATCTTATAATGTTCACATCATAACTATTCTATGAAATAGAATATGTTAGGTAAGAACTGGCTAATTTAAGCAAATAGCCATGATATCAAAATTAATCAACATCAAAGGTGGTCGTTTTTATTATTTGATATTATAGCTATTAAAAACTTCTATTTGGGATTCCTTTTCATAAATCTCTTTCATATTAAGTCGTATTCAGAATTGTGAAACACTTACATGTCTTATTGTATAAATTAGAGCTTTAATAACACAATAATCTAAATCGCAGGTTCTCTGTAGGGGCAATATCTCACCCAAGGAAGAAAAAATGGTTCTTGGAGAAAAAGAACCTTATTATTTTTATGTATAAAACAATAGATATGCATCAATACACACACAGATAAATAGATATATGTGGTATTAAAATTCCATGGTGGGAGACAGTTAGGAATAAAACAAGTTAATAAATTATCTCATATGACTTTTCATTTATTCTATTTATCTATCTTCTAGCACTATATATCTGGAAGGACTCAAATCAAGTTGTTACTATTACATCTGACTAGTGGGGTCAGGGTAAATATAAGAAAAGACTAAATTTTTATACTTTGTGCTTCCTTTTACAATGATCATTTGTATATAATAATGTAATAAACATAAAGTCATTTAATCAACTGAAAGAATCAGCAAAATACACATCCATTTGTCTTGAAGAGACATCCATTTCAGTTATATACATGGTGAAATTTAGAACTTCTTAATGAAACCAATGAATCCATTTGAGGTGAAAAAAAATCAATATGGAGTTTCCTAGTTGAAGGAAGAGACTGACTAAAGAAAAGCTAAAACCCAAGATAGAGTGCAATCAAGTGAGGTTGTATTTTGAAGAAAAGATCTGTCAAATATTATCTATTTCAAAAGTGTCATTGGGTCAAGCTTTACAGATGAGACCAGATTTTCTGTTTAATGTACATACACACACACACACACACACACACACACACACACACACGGACTCAAGAAATTGGCTGGTGGAAATACGAAGTAAAGTTTTAAGATAATTGGCATAAAAGTAAAACATTCTCGGATCATTTTTGAATTAACTTAGTGATACAGGAGTGCCGGGAAGGAAAGAGCATGGTCCCTTTAAATGATATGGAAGGTGGGGAAGGGAAGTGCTGGGTAGAGAAGGGTGGGTCCTTAACTAGGGCTCCACCCCCAGGGACCTAGGTGAGGACAGGCATTTCCTGCCCAAATGTTGCATTTCCCAAGACCAACCTGGCCTGCCACACCCCCATCCTGGGCCTATAAAAACCTGAGATCCTCATGAGGAGAAGCCACTGGACATTGTGAGGAACACATGGGAGAAAGAAGACACAACTGGCTGGCTGGGGCAGTCGGAGATGCTCAGCAGCCCGACTCCAGGGGAAAACCATCTCCTTTCTGGCTGCCCCATCTGCTCAAAGCTACTTCTACTCAGTAAAACCTTGCACTCACACTCCAAGCCCATGGATCTGATTCTTCCGATACATCAAAGCAAGAAACCCCGGGATACAGAAATCCCTTTGTCCTTGTGATAAGAAATGGGGTCTAATTGCTGGTTAACACAAGCTGCCTATAGACGCAAATTAAGAGAGCACCCTGTAACATGCGCTTACTGAGGCTTCAGGAGCTGTAAACATCCTCCCCTATACACTGCCACGGGTCTGGAGCCCCACAGCCTACCCATCTGTATGCTACCCTAGAGGTTTGAGTAGCAGGGCACTGAAGAAGCGAGCCACACCCTCATCGCATGCCCTGCCAGGGGGACAAGGGAACCTTTCCCTTATCAATAGTAATATCTATAATTGTACATCATTTGACCGTGAGATAATATATAAAATCTTCTGGAGTATCCCTACACACTTTTCAAGATAACAACAAAACTCAAGGAATTATTGAAAAGAGGAGGAACTGGAGTTTTGGGGATTGACTATTTTCAAGGGATTTAAAATTTGTAATAAGGTTCTCAAAGCAAAGAGGTTTTGGGTCTCATCATGAGAAAGTAAGACAGATAATAGAATATGAAACTGCCCACATAGTAAATTACCGACTGAAAACAAACCTGAGTACAAGTAAGTAATTTTCTTCTTTCAAATTCAGGGAAGGGTGTTGGAAACATGACAATTAGGAGAATTATTACAAAGTTTATGTATTCCAAAGCTCATCCAGAGAATTCTGTTTAGAAAGATCTTTCAGATTAATTCACGCTATAATAATTGCATTGGTGCTTTCAGCATTATTTACAATTCCTGGTTTAATTAAATGTGTATATTTAATTAAATATATTTATATGTATTTATATATGTCTGTATTGAATCTTTAGTTTCTTTATGTGTACTATTAAAATAAACTTTGTGTTTTTTCTTCCCCCATCCAGAAACTTTCCATATTCAATTTTTTGTACACACTAAACACTAATTGTTCTACTTAACAATCATTTTTGTTGTGTATTTTTCTCTTCCACTTATCAACACATTTTATAATACCAGCATTACACCAAAACAAGCCAAAAATACAATATTAATAGAGTACAGGCCAATCCCTCATATACATAGAAATGAAGAAGCTTTTCAGAATTTTAAAGGGCAACTGTGAAGAATTTACAGATAACAGCATTCCCAGCAATGAAAGACTCTGGATTTTCCTTAAGATCAGTAACAAGGCAAGAATTTCTCTTTTACAACCTGTATTCAAACATTGCACTGGAAGCGTAACCAGTACAATAAGGCAAAAAGAAGAAAAAGAACACAGAGAATGGAAAGAAAGAAATAACTATCTATAGATGGTTGCCTGTCTTCAAATGGCCTTTTCTGAAAGAACTTTTAAGTTCCAATAAAAATTTCATGGCAAAATAGGTTATGGGCTTTATCATTAGAAAGTAAGACAGAAATGAAGACAGAAGACATGATTGTGTATAGAGAAAATGCTAAGGAAGCTATTTTAAAAGCTGCTGCTAGAACTAATACGGGAAGCTAATAATGTAACACAATGAAATACATATATATTCTTATAAGAATTGTAAATTCAAATTTAAAAAGAATGGTTTATTGTTAGCATCCAAAAACTTAAAATCATAGGAACAGATTTAAAATTGATATAAGAACTGCATTTTGAAAAATGGAAAAAGCATAGTGCACAGAGAAATGAAAAAAGATGAAAGTAAATGGAGAGATACAATGTTCTTGAGAATCAGAAGGCTAAGTATTATTAAGACCTCAGTACTCTTTAAACCAGTCTTTACATTCAAGGCAATTCCATGCAAAGATCCTACAGACTTTTTAATAGAAATGGATGAGCGAATTCTAAAATTTATATGGCCTTTCAAAAGACCCAGAAGAGGCAAAAAACACCGTGTACAGTAAGAACAAAGCAGACGGACTTACACTATCTCATTTCAAACGTAACTTTATAGCTACATTAATCAAAATGGTGCAGCATTGGTGTGAACAAAAAAGTGTAAAATTAGATCGGTGAAAGAAAATAGGGTGTCTAGGCCGGGCATGGTGGCTCACACCTGTAATTCCAGCACTATGGGAGGCTGAAGAGGGTGGATAACCAGAGGTCAGGAGTTCGAGAACAGCCAGATCAACACAGCGAAACCCCGTCGCTACAAAAAATACATAAATTAGCTGGGTGCGGTGACATGCACCTGTAGTCCCAGCTACTCGGAAAGCTGAGGCAGGAGAATCGTTTGAACCCATGATGGGGAGGCTGCAGTGAGCCGAGACTGCACCACTGCACTCCAGACTGGGCAACAGAGCGAGACCCCATCTTGAAAAAAAACAGAAGAAGAAAAAAGAAAAGAAAGTGTCTAGAAATACGCCCATGGGTATAATATAAAAATTTTCAACAAAGTTGCCAAGAAAATCCAATAGGGAAAAGCTTTTCTTTTCAACAAATCCAATGAAAACAATTGGATGTCCAAATGAAAAATAGAAGAACTTTGTTTCTTATCTCATATCGTACACAAAATTACATAAAAATAGATACCGTTGAAACTCTGAAAAGTAAATTATAAAAACAACTTCTAGAAAAAATTATATAATATCCTTGTAACATTCATGAATGCAATGACTTCTAAATAGAACAACACAAATCATTTTAAAAATCTGGTATTTGAAAAGCATAAATAAGTAAATGAATCACAAAATAAAAAATTAGATTTTACAAAATTTTGTAAGTCTAAACTTCAAGATAGTAAAAATTACATAATTGGCATATCAAGAATAGATTATAAATTACATTATAAGGTAGATTTATATATTATTAGATTTCATATCAAGAATAGATGATGCATTACATAATTGGGCATATCAAGAATAGATTAATAATCCTGACAACCATAACTCAATAACAAAGCAAACTACCCAACTTTAAAATGTGCAACTTGTTTGATCAAATAATTTACAAAAGAAGATTTATAAATGACCAATATACGTGAATATGATCAATATCTGTAATCATCAAGAAAATGCATATTAGCATAATGAGATTTCTCTAAGATACCTGAAACTTAGAAGTCTGGCAATATCGAGTGTTCAGAAGCATGCAGACCAACTGGAAATCTTGTACATGTTTTATGAGGATGCAAAATTGGAGAACTACTCTGAAAAACAGATTGGCAGTTTCCTATACATATGTTTACTATATGTATAAATACCTCATCAGTTTTACCTCTAGAAATCTACCCAGGAAAAAATGAAAACTTACGTCCACACAAGTATTTCTACATAATTGTCTACAGCACTTTTGTGCATAATAGACCAAAATCAGAAATACTCCAAAAGTTGACCAAATGGCAAATAAATAAATACTAGTATATCAGAACAATAGAACACTTTTTTACTTAGCAATGAAGAATGGACTATGGATACAAGAGAACATGAACCAATCTCAAAAACATTCTGCTGGAAAAAAGAAAGCCTACACTAAAAGACGTTATCTTATAGCTCTATTTATATAAAAGTCTAGAATAAGATAAACTAACCTATAGTGACAGCAAGATCAGTGCTTGCCTGGAGTCAAGGGGGGTGACTTTTAAAAGGCATAATGGAACATTTGGGGATGACAGAGATGTTCTACATTTTGATCATGATAACGGCTTCGTGGGTGTATGTATTTGTCGAAATTCATCTAACAGTATATTTAAAATTGGTGAATTTCATTTTATGTAAATCAACTGATTTGGTTTAAAAACTGCAATAGAAAGGGTAGTGAAACTGTATCTGAGGCACTGAATGGAGTAAACCATTCTTTCTTCCATCCTAGAAACTCCAGGAGTAAAAGAGACCCTGCCTTTAGTGCATGAACTTGTCCACACTTATCAGTTACTGGAAATATTTCAGAAACAGAATCTGAGGAAAACTTTGACTCTCTGATAGTGAAACAAATGTTTTTGCACTTGGAGATTTGGAAACTTGTTGCAAATCTAATATTAGGTAGGGCAGCTTGACGAAACATAAAGAATGTGTTGCCTGGGCAAAGTGGCTCACGCCTGTAATCCAAACATTTTGGGAGGCTGAGACAGGAGGATTGCTTGAGCCCAGGAGTTTAAAACCAGCCTAGGCAACAGAGTGAGACCCTATCGCTGAAAACAAACAAACAAACAAAAAAGGTTGACATCAGTTATTTTCTTTACTCTCACTGATTAGTAGTAAGTTCATGTGCAGAAAAAAATTAATTTGTAAACCGGGAAAAAATAATGTTTATTATTGCATCTCAAGTTGTACCTGGCAGTTCCCAGGTCAAGTTAAGGAACATTCTCAGGGGAAGCCTCCTGTCTTTGCCTAAATTACACCAAGATATTTCATGCCTCAGCTCCCTCCACATGTGTTGCTCTCAGGGCCTGAAAGGTTTTTCCCTTGTCTTTGCTTGGTTGGCTTCCACTCATTCTTCCAGACCCAATTTAAAAACTGATTTTTTCAAATCACCATTCTGTTTCAATGAGTTGTTCTTCATTAGATTTACTCATTGCACTACATTTTACTCATTCAGAACATCTACAATATTTGGATATTTGTGTATTTATAAATGAATTTTTTTTGGCTTATTGTCTGTCCTTTCTCTATTCTAAATTCTATGACCTCATTCCTTTCTAGTGCTTACAAATGCTGTTGATTATTGGAATTGTTCAGTACTTTTGAATCCCAGAGATGTGTACAGGAGGGTCAAAGTTTTCATACAATCAGAGAGAAGATCTCATTTTTTATGTGATTTTCCCTAAATAGCTTCAAAATGTGGCTTAATCTGAATATAGGTTGCAGGGGTTTCAAAGGCATGGACTCTAATTCTGTCCAATTTTATATTTCTGGTTTCTAGAGTACCAAAAATAATAACAACAACAACATAGTATCAAGCAAACAAATTTAAGAAAAAGAATATTCTTTGGAGGACAACAGGAAACTGAATCATAGCATAAAAAATGGTAAACAAAGGGAAAGTATCAAGCATTTATCCTGCCTCGTCTATAGGAAGTACCATTAGGTAATTAATCAAACAGTAGCCCATAAAAAGTGTCTTCATATAAAACATCACAGCAAATTAAAAAGAAAAAATCTGACAGAATTTAAATGCTGTAATTTTTCAAAAATAACTAATTAATGAATCTAATCATTGGGCATTCTGCCGCTAATATAACAAAGAGTGAGGCAACTAGACATCACGTACCTCCTGATTAAAGAACACAATACCACCTACCGTCTTTCCAATGCAATGGAACATGAGCCTGTTGAAGCCTGAGATCCATCACCAAGTATTTAAAGAAATAGCAAGGACAAAAAACACGTTAAACCACAGCATTAGTACATAACAAGTGAAGTCCATACCATGGAAAACCTTACAGGACAAATGTCCAGGGTTGATGAACAGATAAGTGGCAAGGTAATAAAAAGAAGTGGGGGGAAAGCCTGTCAATGAAAAGATGTATCATTTATTTTAAATGGGCAAGAAAAAACTATAAAAATCACTAGCAGAAGTTCTCTACAAGAAATTCTACAGAGATTCTTTAAGGCTGAAATAAAAGGAGGCTAGAGAATAACTTGAATTCAAAGAAAGAAATTAAAAGCACGGGAAAAGTAACTTTATAGGTAAATAGAAAAGAGAATATAAATGTATTTTGTTATTAACTAATTTTTTCCTCATAAGGGATTTAAAAGATAACTGTATAAAACAGTATTTATAAGTCTATGTTGATGGACGTACAATATATAAAGATGCAATTTGTGTGACAAAACCGTACACTGAAAGAGTAGGGAATGAGCTTTATGAGAGCAAAGTTCTTGTATACTGTTGAAATTAGGTTGATATTATCTCAACTAGATTTTTATAAGTTAAATGTTAATTGTGAACCTCAGAGCAATCACTAAAAAAACTCAAAACCATATTAAAAGAAATGACAAATGAATTAAATGGTATGCTCTAAGTACCTAACAAAAGAAGACAGTAATTTAATGGAACTAAAAAATACGTAAGGAGTACATAAAAGAAACACAAATATGGCAGATGTGAGTCCTGTCTTATCAGTAATTGCATTACATAATAATGGAGTAAGCCCTCAAATTAAAAGTAGAGACTGGAAGAATGGATAAAAAACATGAGTCAACTATAACCTGTCTACAAAAGATACACTTTGTATTCAAAGACACAAACAGGTTAAAATTAAAAGGATGGAAAAAGAAATACTATGCAAACAATAGTAAGAGAACTGGTGTGGCTATACTAACATCAGACAATATAGACTATAAGGCAAAACATTGTTATTAGATACAAAGGTGATTTTATAATAAGAGGTTAATTCATCTAGAAAATATAACTATTAAAAACATATAATAAACAATAGAGCTCAATATACATAAAGAAAAATTGCAGATTTGAAGAAGAGACATGTCAACCGTAACAGCTGCAAAAATCAACCCCCCTTTAAACAATAAATTAAAAAACTGGAAAGAAATTCAAGAAGGAAATACAACATCTGAACAACACTATAAATGAACTGGAACTAACATCTATAAAATACTCCACCCAACAGAACAGACTCCAGATTAGGCCCTATGGTAGTCCTTAAAACAAAGTCCAATAAATTTAAAAATATTCAAATCATACAAAGTATGTGTTCTGGCTATAATGCAATTAAATTAGATATCAGTAACAATGAAATATGGAAAACTCACAAAAATGTGGAAATTAACAATACACTATTCAATAGCCAACAGGTCAAGAAGAAATCCCACGTAAATTAGAAAAGACTTGGAAATAAGTGAAGGAAAACACAACATATTAAAATACATGAAATGCACCTAAAACAATACTTATAGGCAAATTTATAGCTATAAACTTCTCTTAAAAAAATAAGACATTTTCAAACTAATAACCTAACTTTGCACCTTCTTAAGTAACTAGAGTAAGAGGAAACTAAAGCCAAAGTAAACAGAAGAAAGGAAAAAATAAAGATTACAGTGGTAGTAAATGAAAAAGAGTAGGGAAAATAACCAAAACCAAAAGTAGGTTCTTTGAAAAGATCAAACCAAATTAACAACCTATAAGACCGATAAAGAAACAAAGACAGAAGATGCAAGTTACTAAAATCAGAAATAAAAGAGGAGGTATTTTTACTTATATTTTACTTATCTTAGAAATTAAAAGTATTGTAAAGGAATACTATAAACAATCATATAGCAACAAATTAGATAACCTAAATGAAATGGTCAAATCCTCAAAATGACAGAAACAATAGACTCAAAAAAAGAAACAGAAAAAAATTATAAAATTGGAACAGACCTATAACAAGAAAAAAGACTGAATTAACAGTGAAAAACTTCCTATAAGAAAAAGCACAGGACCAGATGGCTTCACTGGTGAATTCTACCAAATGTTTAAAGAAGAATCAACAACAATCTTCTACAGACTCCTCCAAAAAAATAGAAGAGGAGAGAGGGAGAGACACTTCACAACTCATTCTATGAGGCCAGTATTATCCTGAAAACAAAATCAAAGAGCCCCACCCCCCAACACACACACACACACCACACCAATTTCCCTCATGAACACTGGTGCAAAAATTCTCATCAAAATACTAGTACAGGTATAGTAACATATGAAGGATTAAACACAATGAATGAGTGGGATTTCTCTGAGGAATGCATGGTTGGTATATCACATAAAAACCAACAAATACCATAGGATGAAAACCACATGACCATCCCAGTAGACAGAAAATAAACGTATGACAAAATTCAAACCCTTTCATAATTAAAAAGAAAAACCTATTGGCAATAGGAAGGAGCCTGACAAAGGACATCTATGAAAAGCTCAATGCTAACTTCATTCTCAGTGATTAGTGACTGAAAGTTTTCCTCCTAATATCAGGAACAAGACAAGAATGTCAGCTTTCATCCATTATATTCAACATGGTACTACAGGATCCAGTTATGGCATTTAGGAAAGAAAAAGAAACAAGGTAATAATATTTGAAAGGAAGAATGAAACTACCTCTATTTGCAAATGACATGATCTTGCAGAGAGAAAATCCTAAGGAATCTATAAAAAATTAGAGGCAGTAACTGAGTTATTAGAAACTCAGTTTCTAACGTTTGAAGGATACAAAATCAATACATAAAAATCAGTTGTATTTCTACAGACTAGCAATAAACAATCTGGACATGAATTTAAGAAATCAATTCCATTTTCACTAGCACAACATGAATGGCACACCTAGGAATAAATATAACCAAAAAGTGTAAGATGAGTACACTAAAAACTGCAAAAATTTTTGAAATTAATTTACAAAAATACAAATAAATGTAAAGACATCTCACATTTATAGATTGGAAGACAATCTTTTAAAGATGGAAATATTTCCAAAAATGATCTACAGATTCAATGGAATCACTATCAAAATCTCAGTTGCCTTTTATGCAAAATAAGGTGAACTTAAAATTTAAATGGAAATGCAAGGGACCCTGAATAGTCACAATAGTACTGAAAATGAAAAACAAAGTCAGAGGACTCACACTTTCCAATTTCAAAACTTAATACACAGCTACAGTAATCAAGACTGTTTTGTACCAACATGAGGACAGACATACAGATCCATGGAATAGAATTGAGAATCCTGAAATAAAGACATACATTTATGATCAGTTAATTTTCAACAAAGATGTCAAAACTTCAAGTAGAGAAGAATAATCTGTTCTATAAATGGGCTGGGATAACTGGATATCAACATGCGAAAAAAAAAAAAAAAAGATTGCAGAACTCGACCATATACTGAGGTAAGAGACTGGCACGACTTGTTTTCTGGTCATAGCCCTGCTGATCAAAACAGGATCTGGCCCAAACAGGATAAAGTGAAGAAATTAGCAGGAACCAGCAGATGGCGATGAAAGCGATCCCTAGTTGCCCTCATTGCTCACTGGCCTGGGATACTCCCACCAACGCCATGGACAGTTTACAAGTACGATGGCAACCACCCAGAAGTTACCACCCCTTTCCTAGAAAGTTATAAACAAACTGTCCCATCAATTTGCATTGACTCACCCATCCATGTAATTGAAAGTGAATGTAAGGGAGTATAAATACAGTTGCCAAGAGCCCATAAGTTGGTGACTCTGGGTCCACTGCCTATGAGGTAGGCATGCTCTACAAAGAACAGTACCTACCGTTCTATAAGAGATTGCTAATAGCACTGACTCACCCTTGAATTCTTTCCTGTGCAAAGCCAAGAACCCTTCTGGGCTGAACCCAAAAGTCGGGGCTTGCTTGTGCTGCATCATCATCTATAAAAATTAACTCAAGTGAATCGAAAACCCAAATCCTAAATATAAGAGTAAAAACTGTAAAATTCTTAAAAACATAATTGTATATTTTGGTGACCTTAGATTAAGCAATGATTTACCTACATTTGACAGCAAAAGCACAAGCAACCAAAGAAAAACAGACAAATTAAACTTTATAAACTTCACAACTTTTGTATTTTAAAGGATATTATGAAAAAAGTAAAAAGATAACACACAAAATGAGATAACAATTAAAAATGGGCAAAGGACTTTTTCAAGGAGATTTATATCTTCAATGAATCAGGGTTTGACAAGAGAACTGTAGCAAAGACATGAGTGTCATCAGATCATAGCTCATGCAACTTACATACACATTGTTGGACAATCATGAATCATTTGCTATATATATTTGTAAAGGCCATATAGATGCTCATCCAGCATGTGCTTAATTTGTTGACTGACAACTCATTTATTCCCAATGCAACTCATTCCATTTAAGAACATTTTAAACCATTCTACAATGTAAATGTATTTCAAAACATCATATGATACACAACAAATACATGTTTTATTTGTCAATTAAAAAATAAAAAAGAACATTCAAAAATGGCACAAAAACAAGGAGAAGCAAAGGATTTCAGTGGACATTTCTTCAAAGAAGACATATATGTGACTAATGTTTAAAAATCTTCAAAATCAATAGTCGTTAGTGAAATGCAAGTTAAAACCTCAGTGACATACCACTTGACATTCTCCTAGATGGCTATAATTTTAAAAGGCAGAAAATAAAAAGTGTTGGCAAGGATGTAGAGAAATCAAATCCCTGATATGTTGCTTGTGTGAATGTAAAATATGCAATTCTCTGGAAAGCAGATATTGCCCTAGAAAGTTAAATATAGAATTGCCATATCACTCAGCAATTTTACTCCTAGGTATGCCCCCAAGAGAACTGAAAATATTTGTCCACGCAAAAGCTCATACATGAATATTCCGCACAGCACTGTTCATAATTGCCAAAAAGTGAAAAATTCCATGTCTATCAACTGATGAATAGACAAAATTTGTTATATCCATAAATTAAATATTATTCAGCCATAAAAAGGAATGCACTACTGATTCATGTAAGAACGTGCACGAACCTTGAAAACATGCTAAGTGAAAGAAACCAACCACACAAGGCTACATATTGTTTGATTCAATTTATATGAAATGCCCAGAATATACAATCCCATTGAGACACAAAGTAGATTAGTGGTTGCCAGTAGCTGGAGGAGAGGAGCAAGGAATGGCTCTTCTAACAGTAGTTGACAGCTTTATAAATATATTAAAAATAAATTGTATACTTTAAAGGGTAATTTTATAGTATGTAAATTGTATATTATATGTCATTTAAAATTTAACTAAAACCTGAACCATAATAATGATATCGACTTAATATTTTAACTTCAAACTCATAAATGTATATATTTATCCCCTAATAGTCCTTGGAAAAATATATAAGGCCTTTCTGTGACTGTGATCCAATACCGTCTCTCTAATTTTCTCAAGATCCAAATAATGCATAACGCATCTCTTTAGAGTCCCAGTTCTACATCATTTCAAACCGAGTGAAAAATCAGACATTTTTTGGGTCATTCTGAGGGCTAAATTCATCCAAATATTTTTCTGGTCTTCTACAGTTATCTCCTCGACACCTAATTTCGTGAGATTTTAAATCTACTCTTTAGAGTCTCTCTAAAGCTTCTAATTTCATTTTAAATTGAACCACAAACTTCCTCTACTTTAAACTCATTTAATCATATTTTTGGTTTTTAATTAAAACACGTAACCACTGCAAGTAGCATAAGCAGTTTTGAAGAGAACAGAACCAATTCTTGACAAACATATAATTCAGCTGGTGTAAATGGAAGGACAAAGGCAGGAAAAAGGAAGATCATCTAAGGCACAAGTCAACAGATAACAGAAAAAAACACTGAGAGACCAGTTTGTTCAGGACATTTGTATACAGAAGTTAGATTAAATAACTGCTATTATACTTAAACATGATAGTAAGGTATGGATGAGTCTGAATATGTGAAAAGGTCATTGCACGCATATATTAATATGATAGCATGGACCACAGAACAGATTTTGGAGAACATAAAAACAGAGAAATTTGACTAGTGTTTATCCACCCATGTATAAACCTGTGCCCTTAGTTGAGGATAAAATATCCTTCAGTCGAGTTTATAGTACTTTTACTGCAAAAACAAAAAATGGTGATCGCTAAACTTTGAAGAATATAAGCATCCCCACCCACATAGAGCCCCACCTCTGTGTCTCTACTCTACTCATTATGGATTCTAATTATTGCCTTGAAACAGATTATACACCCTGGGTCTAAATAATGTCCTTTTTAGCTTTGGAAATGACTTTTCTCATCTTTTAAATGGCTACAGTGATTGCTGTGTTGGTAGATAGTGGACACCAAAGATGTCCACACCCTAATTTTCTGTGAATATACTGCCTTATACCACAAAAGGAACTGTGTAGACAAGAGTAAATCTTCCTGAGATGAGATTATCTTTGAATACTAAAGTAGGTACAATCTAATCACATGGGTTTCTAAAAGCACAAGAACAAGGCAGATGAATATGTCAGATGCAAGACAAAGACTTGACCAACTATAGGTGGCTTTAAAGATGGAGAGAGAGGCCATGAATCATAGAATGTGGGTAGCTCCTAGAAGCAAGGAAATGAAGACCTCAGTCCTACAACCACATATAACTGAATTCTGCCAAAAATCTAAATGAGCAAAGAAAGACATTGTCTCCTAGGGCCTCCAGAGAGAAACACAGCCCTGGCCACACCTCAATTTTAGCCCAGTAAAACCTGTGCTAGACCTGGATCTACAAAACTGTAAAATAATAAATTTATACTGCTTTAAGTCACTAAAATTGTGTTAATTTTTAATAGTCACAATAAAAAAAACTAATAAAGTGAACTCATCCTCACAGAATTGGGACTAATTTTAAACTAGATGATTCATGTAAAAAGTATATACCGTTCCTGACACTAAGTTGTTAGTAGTTTTACCATTGCTCTTCTGTTACTGTTAGTCTCACAGCACTTTGAACACGAGGCTTTGTTTCATAGATATATTTTTCAAAATAGATTGGATGCCCCTTGATGGCAAGAGTCATGCCTAATTTATTTTGGAGCACTCATGCTAGCAATAGCATTGTAGGTTTTTTAATTCTTTCGTATATGTGTGATTAAATTAACAATTGGACAGTATTACAGAATTTTGCATTTCCGGATACTTTAGAATTCTATGCTAAATAATTACAGGAACACTTGGGAGTTGCTGCTCTACCTAAATGATGTGAAACTATGGGAAAAGGAGAAAAAATGAAAGTAAACTATCTTTTGTAACTGGTCTTAGATAGGCAAGAACACGGCCAAGAGAATTAAGGAATGAAAAGCATTACAGAAGACTAAATGGGCTGCAACATTGGTAGCTTTGGCATAGTTGCTGTTAGAGACAAATTTTATGAATGACAGTACACGTAGTCTATATGCATTGCTTATGTGATGTGTATTAGGAGTTATTTTCTTCTCATTCTGCTCAATAAGACTTAGGAGAAAAGATGAACAAGCAACAGTAAGAACAGCTCTTTCATCTCTTCTATAAGTTTCTTACCAGTCAGTATTAAAATTGTCCCAAATTTAAGCCTGTTTGTGTTACCATATACACAGAATACTCATCAGGGATTATACCAAAGAATATTAGAACAGAAAGAAGCTTTAAGAATTTGAATTGAATTACAAGACACCCTGATACTTAGGCACATTTTTTTCTAAGCTTATTTTTTTTTGCTCAAAGTAGCATCTCCAGAGCTGCAAAGCACAATTTTCACTGCTTTGGAAAATAATGTTGTATTTTCCGTGAGTCAATATATCTGGATAATTACTTATTTGAAGTTGACAAACACAACTTTTGATATACTGAAAAGCAAACATGTAAGGCTAAAACAAGAAAGGTATGTGTATAATATACTATTGTTTTGGTTTAGGTATCATTTTATCCTTAAATCTTTGAGCATATATAGAAAAAACACAATCTAGAGACTCACAGGATTTGTGTTCATCTTTCTCCGGCAGACAGACTATAAGATGGCCCCATGGTTTCCATCTCGTGCTTTTGCTCTTGCATAATCTTCTCCCTTTGAGTGTGGGTCAGACTTGTGACTTTGTTTTAACCTGTAGAATACAGCAAAAGTGACATGCTATATGTAATTATGACATGTAAGATTTTAACAGCTGTCTTCCTAGAAGACACTATTTTCCTTGCTGGCTTTTAAGAAACCAGCTGCCATTGGTGTATTTCCAATATGTTTTCTTGCTTTTTGTCAGTTTCAAATAAACAGAATGTGAAAAATAAACAAGTCTGAAACTAACTTCAAGTTTTAAGAGTGATAAAGTATTGTGTAAGTTAAAGAGGCGCACCCTGCCGCCATTTTGTCCCCTGGTCCGGGCAAGACATTCTGACGGCCTGCGCCCCAGCGTGGACAGTCCGGGTGGGCGCGACGCTCCTAGTGGACACTCACCCCTGGCCGCCCTGCGCAGGTGGGGGTGGCTCAGAGCCTCCCGCCAGGAAAGGAGCGGAGCGAGGCAGTGAGCTCTCCAAGAAGCTAGGCGGCTTCCTGGCGCACCACGTGACTCTCAGCGCGGCCGCGCAGCTCCCGGCTGCAAGCGCTTTGTGGCCCGCGCGCAGGCGCACTCCGGTTCGCGCCACTGGGGCGCACAGGCGGGAGGTCGGAGCATCTTGTGAGTTAGAATATGGAGAGGGCCACATGACAACCAACTGAGGGTGGCCTCTGTCCAGCAGCTGGTAAAAAAGTCATAACCCTCATTCCGATAACCTGCAAGAAGACTGAATTTTGCCAACAATCACATGAGCTTAAAGGAAGTTCCTTCTTCAACTGAGCCTTAGATGAGACTAGTACTCTGGCTAACATATTGATTGCAGCTTTGTTAAACCCTAAACGGGACCCAAACTAAATTATTCTTCAACTCATGACACAGAAAACATGAGATAATAAATTGTATTGTTTTAAGCAATAGCTAATACACTAGGTTTCAAAACCTTTTCTGTGCAGGTTGAAAAAAGTTTCATAATACGAGCTATTGCCTCATATTTCTTATTTAAAGTATTAAATACTAAATTAACACAACATGAGTAGACTAATTATGATACTACATATATGAACTGACAAGTGAAAACTTCCATCTTTAGGACGTTTCAAGACTGTATATAAAAAACTGGTTAAATGTTTAACTTGGGTGTCCCATTAATTTGCTATAAAGCTTTTTTAAAATCTCTTTTTTCTTTCTTATCTCTGCAATATCTACTAACCAAATTAGGCAAGTTCACATCATAAATATTTCTAAAATGCATCTACTTTCCTTAATTCATAGTCATGAGCCCTAATTTGGGAGCTATCATATCCCACCTTTGACTGTATCAACTTCATTTTTTTTTTTTTCTTTTTGAGACGGAGTCTCACTTGTCACCCAGGCTGGAGCGCAGTAGCGCGATCTCGGCTCACTGCAAGCTCCGCCTCCCAGGTTCACACCATTCTCCTGCCTCAGCCTCCCGAGTAGCTGGGACTACAGGCGCCTGCGCCTGCCACCACACCCAACTAATTTTTTTGTATGTTTAATAGAGACAGGGTTTCACTGTGTTAGCCAGGATAGTCTCGATTCCCTGACCTCGTGATCTGTCTGCCTCTGCCTCTGCCTCCCAAAGTTCTGGGATTACAGGAGTGAGCCACCGCGCCCAGCGTGACTGTATCAACTCCATTCTGATCTCCATACTTCACTCTCACTCTTTTTCCCCTCCCTTCATTTTTACCTAAAACCAGAGTGATATTTCCTATATAAACATGTAATTACATGAACCAGATTCTCTATCTGCTTTCCAGAGTCTTTGGGAAAAGGCTAAACTCTTTAGTATAACTCATCTTATGCCCCAGGTTTTATTAATTTCATCTGTCTAGCTAAAAGAAACACATTTTGTTTCCCCAAGGGTAAGGGTTACGCATCACTTATCACTTTATTCTCAGCATTCTGCATCGTTGATTCAAGCCTGAAACAAATTTGGCAGTTAATATTTGTTGAAGTAATACACGAAGCAATACATAACATATTTTTAAATGTATGTCATCAGAACACGAATCTCATATACATTTTGTACATTTATTTTCTGTACCTACTCATCATTAAACTTTTTTGTTTTTGTTTTTGAGACGGAGTCTCGCTCTGTCGCCCAGGCTCGAGTGCAGTGGCGCGATCTCAGCTCACTGTAAGCTCCGCCTCCCGGGTTCACGCCATTCTCCTGCCTCAGCCTCCCGAGTAGCTAGGACTACAGGCGCCTGCCACCGTGCCTGGCTAATTTTTTGTAATTTTAGTAGAGATGGGGTTTCACCATGGTCTCGATCTCCTGACCTCGTGATCCGCCCACCTCAGCCTCCCGAAGTGCTGGGATTACAGGCGTGAGCCACCGCGCTCGGCCTAAGCTTTTAATAAAACATCTGAAAGGTATCTATAGAGGTGATGTCAGCAAAATGGCAGGAAAGGAGTTTTCCACCCCTGAGACAGCATCGCTCAGTGCCGAGAGACACCCTACTTGTTTGCTGTTTCTCCCACAAGGGAAAGTTACAGCATAGTGAGAGAGCATCTGACTCCTTCAGCTACCTGGAGTATTGCTCAAGAGGCCCATATTTTTCTCATCGTGCCCAAAATACTGAAGTAATCAACATGTCTGAATGGTTGAGAGGGACTGGGAGCACAGAAGTGAAACTCCAGACCCTACTAACCCCTCCACAGACTCCATCAGGAAGCCCACCCATCAGTCACTTAGCAAGCGTCACCTGTGAACTCCTTCTAACTGGCCAGCAGGCTCCTCAAAGGCTCAATGTGCCTCACTCTTTCACCCAGGACAGCTCATCAGAAACACCCTTGTGAATGACAACTGCAAGCAGCTTGTACAGACATCCCAACTTTGCATGACTGGGAAAAAGTACACAAACTTGAGTACTTTAGGGTGCCACCCCCAAAACAACAGGAGGGTATCAGCACCAGCTTTGAAGGTTCAAGAGAAGGCATACGGTATTAAGAATTCCCCCTCATAGAAAACAAGACATGTAGAGCAGTCACATCTATAGAAAAGATCTGAAAGAGCCTTGAAATTCCTGAGATGTTTGGTGAAGGTATTTCTTTCCTGTAGTCAGTCAGTAAAAACTGGAGGAGATGAGTTCTTTAAATGTGAATAAAGCAACACAAGACTCACAGATCAAGAAAATTCCAGAAGCAAGACACCACCAAAAGAACACAAAAATATTCTACTAACACTTCCAAAGAAATGGAGTTAGACAAATTGCCTGAGAATTCAAAATAATTGTTCAATGGAAGCTCAGTGAGCTACAAGAGAACACAGATAGGCAAGTCAATAAAAATGGAAAAGCAATATGTAAACAAAATTGGAAGTTCAGTAAAAAGATATATATCATAAAAAAGAACCAAAGAAAATTCTGTAACTGAAAAAGACAGTGAATGAAATTTAAAATGCAGTAGAAAACATTAGCAGCAGACTTGACCAAGCAAACAAAAAGAATTTGTGAACTCAAAGGCAGATTATTTGAACATATCCAGTGGAAGGAGAAAAAAAAGAATGAAAATGAATGAAGGAAGACTATGAAATTTATGGATACCATCATTACAGCTAACTTTTGCATAATGGTTGTATAATAAAGAGAAGAAAAACAGAAAGGCCTAGAAAGCTTATTTACAAAAATAATGGCTGAAAACTTCTCAAATGTAGGTAGAGGTATGAGCATCTAGGTATATGAAGCTCCAAGATTTCCAATAAGCTTCAATCCAAAGAAGACTTTACCAAGACATAGAATCAAACTCCAATAAAAGATTACGAACACACACACACACACAAATCAAAGATAAAGAGAGAATTTTGAAAGCACCAAGAGAAAAGAGGCTAATGATATATAAGGAAATTCCATCAGGCTATCAGTGGATTTATCAGCGAAACCTTGCAGGCCAAGGAAAAGTAGGATGATATATGTAAAGTGCTAAAAGAATAACAAACTGCCAACCAAAAATGCTTTACCCAGCAAAACTGTTGTTCAGAAATGAAAGGGAGATAAAGACTTCTCCAAATGAACACAAGCTGAGGAGGTTTATCATTACTAGAGCTGTTTTACACAAAATGATAAAGAGTTGAAAGAAAATGACACTAACTTGTAACATAAAAACATATGAAAGTACAAAACGCACATGAAATGGAAAGTATATTGTCTTAAAAAACAAATGTATTAAAAATAATTATAGCTATGATAACAATAGGTACACAGTCTAAAAAGATATAAATTGTGATCTAAGCAGCATACTATTGGGAGTGAGTGCAGTTTTTATATATGATTGAAGTAAAGCTATTAGCTTAAAATAGCTCTTTATAACTCTAAAATGTTTTATGTAAGCCTTACGGTAACTACAAAGCAAAAATCTATAGTAGATACACAAAAGATAAGGAGAAAATAATTAAAGGATAAGATTAAAAAGGAAGAGAGCAAGAGAGGAAGAAAAGAACAAAGAATCTACAAAGCAGCCAGAAAACAATTATCAAAATGGCAGTAATACCTATCAATAATGTAAATAGATTAAAATCTCCAATAAAAACATTCAGTGTCTGAATTGATAAAATAAAAAGATCCAATTATATGACGACCTTAAAAAGACTCACTTCCCCTATAAGGACACACACAGGCTGAAAATGAAGTAATGGGAAAAGATTTTCCAAGCAAATGGAAACCAAGAGAGCAGGAGTAGCTGTACTTATATCAGAAAACAAAATAGACTTTAAGTCAAAAAGTAGAAAAAGAGATAAAGAGGGCTGTTACATAATAATAAAGGGGTCCATTTCTCAAGAGGATATAACAATTGTAAATATAGATGTACCCAAAATAGGAGCAAATGAATAAATGAAGCAAATATTAAGATGTCTGACAGGAAAAATACAGTAATGCAATAATTGTAAAGGATTACTATACATCACTTTTAACAATGGATATATCATCCAGACAGGAAAATCAGTAAGAAAACATTGGACTTAAACCGTACTTTACACTAAATGGAACCAACAGATATACACAGAACATAACATCCAACAGCAGCAGAATACATATTTATCTCAAGCATACACAAAACATTCCCCAGGATAAATCATAGATTAGGCCACAAAACAACTCTTAACAATTTAAGAAGACTGAAATCATAAAAAGCATCTTTCCCAAACATAATGGTATAAAACTAGAAATCAATAACAAGAGAAAAATTAGAAAATATATAAATATGTGGAAATTAAATAACACAATCCTCATCAATGAAGAAGTCAAAAAAGAAATCAAAAGGGAAATTTAAAATATTTTGAGATAAATAAAATTCAACACACAAAAGTTATGGGATGCAACAAAAGTATTTCTAAGAGGGAACAGTAATAAATGCCTACATTAAAAAGGAAGAAATATCTCAAATAAATAATATTACACCTCATGGGATAGGAAAAAGAACACACTCAGCCGAAAGTTAGTAGAAGGAAGTAAATAACAAAGATCAGAGCAGAAATAAATGAAATACAGACTGAAACACACTATAAAAATATAAACAAAACTGAGGTATTCTTTTGAAACATAAATGACATTGACAAAACTTCATCAAGATTAAGAAAAAAGAAGACTCAAATACATAGAATTCAAAATGAAAGAGAATATATTACACCTGATACCACAGAAATACAAAGGATCATTAGAAATTACTAGGAATAATTATATGCCAACAAATTGGATAACCTAGAAAAATAGCCAAATTCCTAGAAACATATGCCCTACTAAAAGTGAATCATAAACAGAAAATCAGAACAGACTAATAATGAGTAAGGAGATTGAATCAGTAATCAAAAGTCTTCCATCAAAGAAAATTCCAGGACTTGATGACTTCACTGGCTAATTCTACCAAACATTTAAGTAAAAATTAATACCAATCTTTCTCAAAGTCTTCCAAAAAATGAAGGGAATAAAACACTTCCAAACATATTTTACAACACCCATATTACCCTGATACCGATACCAAAGCCAAACAAGAACACTAGGAAAAGAAAATAACAGGAGAATATTTCTGATTAACATAGATTTAAAAAATCTTCAACAAAATCCTAGCAAACAAATTCAACAGCACAGTAAAGGTATCATTATTCATAATCAAGCAGAGTTTATCCCCAAGAAGCAATGATGGTTCAACCTATGCATCAATAAATGTGATACACCACATTAACAGAATAAAATATAAAAATTATATGATTGTCTCAATAAATGCAGAAAGAGTGTTTGAAAAAATTTAATATCCTTTCAGGATAGAAACTGTCAACAAATTAGCTATAGAGAAATGTGCCTCAACACAATAAAAGTCATATATTATAAGCTCAGAGATAACATCATACACAACAGTGAAAATTTGAAAGCTTTTTCTCTAAGATCAGGGACAAGGCAAGGATTCCCACTTTTGATACCTCTATTCAACAGGAAGTATAGCCAGATCAATTAATCAAGAAAAAGAAATAAAAGACACCCAAATCAGAAAGTCAGAAGTTAACTTGTTTTTGTTTGCAGATGACACATTCTTATATATAGAAATCCTAAATACTCCACCAAAAACAGAACTAACATACGAATTCACTAAGTTGTAGGATACAAAAATCAAAACACAAAAATTAGTTGCATTTCTATACACTATCCCTCCAAAATTAAGAAAATTATCCCATCTACAAAAGCATCAAAAAGAATAAAATGCACAAGAGTAAATTAACCAAAGGGGTGAAAGATTTGTACACTGAAAAATGTAAACATTGATAAAACAAATTGGAAAAGATAAAAATGAATGAAAAGATATCTCATGTTCATAGACTGGAAGAATCAATATTGTCAAAATGTTTATACTAATCTTTATAATCAACAAAATCAATGTAGTACTTATTAAAATTATGATAGTATTTTTGACAGAAATAGAAAAAATATATCTTCAAATTAAAATTGTGAAAGATCTCAAAAAGCTAAAATAATCTTGATTAAGAAGAACAAAAGCAGAGGCATCAGACTTCTTTATTTTAAATTATATTACAAAGGTACAGTATAACAATACAGCACTGGCACAAAAACAAGCATATGGCACCAAGTATACACAATGGGAAATGTATAATCTCTTCAGTAAATAGTGTTGAGAAAACTGAATAGCCACACAAAACAAAACAAAATAAAATTGAATTCTTATTTTATACTTTACACAAAGTTCAACACAAAATGGATAAAAGTCTTATCCATAATACCTGAAACCTTAAAACTCTTAGGAGAAAACTTAGAGGAAAAGCTCCATGCATTGGTTTCAGCAGTGAGTTTTTGGATATGATACCAAAAGCACAAGCAATCAAGCCAAAAATAAACAAGTAGGACCACATCAAACTGAAAAGTAGTTTCTGAACAGCAAAGAAACAATCAATGAAATGAAAAAGAAACCTACTGAATGGGAGAAAATATTTGTGAACCATTTATCCAATAATGAGTTAATAACAAAAATATGTAAGGAACTTATACAACTCAACAGCAAAAAATAAATAGCCTGATTAAAAAATGGGCTAAGAATCTGAAAAAAACATTTTTCTAAACAAGACAGAAATTACCAATATTATATGAAGAAATGCTCAACATCACTCATCAGTAAAATGTAAATCAAAACCACCATGAGATATCACTTCATGCTTGTTATTATGGCTACTATCAAAAGGTCAAAAGACAACAAGTGTTGTCTAAGATGCAGAGAAAAGTGAGCCCTTTTCGCTTTGGTGGTAATGAAAATTTGTGCAGCTGTTATAGAAATTAGTATAGAGGTTCCTTTAAATTTTAAATATAGAACTATCATATGATCCAGCAATCCCACTTCTTGGTATATACCCAAAGGAAATAATATCACTATCTTGAAGATATATCTTCACTCCCATGTTCTTTACAATATTATTTACAATAACCAAGATATGGAAACAACCTAAGAGTCTGTTAAAAGATGAATGAATAAAGACACATGGGATGTGTTCTACAATTCCATTGTACATGTGTGTACAATGGAATATTGGTTGGTCTTAAAATAGAAAGACATCCTCCATTTGCAACAACAGAGTTGAACATAGAGGACATTATGCTAAATGAAATAATCTAGACACACAAACATAAATACTACATGATCTTACTTACGTGCAGAATCTTAAAAAGTTGAACTCATAGAAACAGGGTAGAAAAGTGGTTACCAGGGGCTGGAGTTGGGAAAATAGTAAAATGTTGGTAAAATTGTACAAACTTTCAGTTATAAGACGAATAAGTTCTAGAGACCTAATGTACAGCATGGTGGTATATTAATAATAATGTATTTTATAGGTGAAATTTGCTAACAGAGTTGATCTTAAGTATTCCTACCATAAATATGTTAGTTTGTGGCCATCCTTCCTCAATGTACACATATATCACAACATCATGTTGTACACTTTAAATATATACAATTTTTGTTTATCAATTATACCTCAATAAAGCTAAAAAACACAAAAATACATAAAAAGCATGTGCCTTCACACATGCTCATACCCACATATTTCCATATATTCACTTAGATCTCATTACATCCATGTGCCAATAGGAAGGATAAGAGAAGAGAGGAAGCAGAGTAGAGATATATCCAGGGTAGTACCTACCGTGCAGCAAGAGAATGATGGTGAATGGCTGTGAATATCTGCTCTCTGTAGCACACTCTGTACTCTTAGTTTGATCTAACATTTAGCTCACCAGTGCTCACAGACAATTCAAAAATCACATTTTTATACATATGTAACCAAGTAAATACAAAGCTTTAAGAGTTATTCACACAGCTATTTTCTTAACAGAAAGCCAATGGCACAGGGACAGATTGGTGAACCTGCCATTGGATTTCTCTCCAATCATGATTCTACTTGTCTTCATGGTCTGTACTGTCTTTGGAGCTTTAGCCACTGATAATTTATAGACATTGCACACAAACATGAACACACATGTCTCCTTGGCTATTTACATATTGTGAATGGCTAAACTGGACCACAGAATTTTATACATTCTGTTCAGACTTTTCCTCATCTTTCCACCCCTCTGAATGACACACAAAGAAATGAAATGATCAAAAGTCACTGGTTTGCATCATGGTGATAAGAATTTCTAGGAAATGTGAAAATGGAGCCCTTTTGCAGGTCATGGCTGGAATTGAGGCAGAGAGAATGTTGGCAGAGCGGTGAAACCACAGTTCTCATAGCTGTAGGTATTCATTCTAAGTCACAGGCTCTACAACAACTTATTCACTGGTGGTTTGAAGGTATTTAAAAAGCCATTTCGTGATTTTTGGCCAGGCACGGTGGCTCACGCCTGTAATCCCAGCACTTTGGGAGGCCGAGGTGGGCGGATCACAAGGTCAGGAGACTGAGACCATCCTGGCTAACACGGCAAAACCCTGTCTCTACTAAAACACACAAAAAATTAGCTGGGCATGGTGGTGGGCGTCTGTAGTCCCAGCTACTCTGGAGGCTGAGGCAGGAGAATGGCGTGAACCTGGCAGGCGGAGATTGCAGTGAATCGAGATTGTGCCACTGCACTCCAGCCTGGGCGACAGAGTGAGACTCTGTCTCAAAAAAAAAAAAAAAAAAGCCATTTAGTGATTCTCTGTTAGCCAAATATCAGTTTCTTAAAGCAAGAAAGAGAAAAATATCTGAAAGTAGCGTTGTTATTTTCCCTGGTGGCACTAGGTCTGCCATCCAGTATGGTAGCCCTTAGCAGCATGTGGCTACAGTGGATATGAAATGTGGCTAGCCCGAATTGACATGTACTGTAAAAATAATCATTGAATTTTGAACATTGAATATAATTGTTTTGTCATAAAATATTTCATTAATAAAGTTTTACATGTATTACATATTGAAATGATCACATTTTGAATACCTTAGTTTGAATAAATTATTAATTCCATATTACCTGTTTCTTTTTACTTTAAATGTGGCTACTAGATTTTTTTTGCATCAGAGTCTTGCTCTGTTGCCCAGGCTGGAGTGCAGTGGCATGATCTCGGCTGACTGCAATTTCCACCTCCTGGATTCAAGCAATTCTCCTGCCTTGGCATCCCAAGTAGCTGGGACTACAGACATGAGCCACCACACTCGGTTAATTTTTATATTTTTAGTAGACACAGGGTTTTTCCATGTTGGTTAGGCTGGTCTCGAACTCCTGGCCTCAAGTGATCTGCTTGCCTCGGCCTCCCAAAATACTGGGGTTACAGGTGTGAGTGACCAAAGTACAGTGGTTCTAGGCCACTGCACCCAGCCAGAAATGTTTTAATTACCTGTGTGTCTCACATTATAGTTCAGTTGGTCAGGGCTGCTCTACATAGTTATATTCTTCAGTAGTCAAAAGGAAAAAGTGAATTGGGACTTCTCCTTTACATCTCATCCCCATGGGCAGACAATTCATCTCCCCTACACTTGGACAAAGCCCAGTCACATTAGGGAGGGCAATCTACTCTGCCGGGTCTACTAATTCAGGTGTTAATCTCAGCAAGAAGCACCCTCAAAGACATACCCAGAATAATGTCTGAATGAATGTCTGGGGACTTGTACCACAGTCAAGTTGACACATAAAATCAAACATCACAGTGAGACCTTAAATATTTTCTAATTCCCTTAAAAAGCAGTTGTGTTCCTTTAAAAATCATTTTTAGTCACTCTGTTTGCTCTGATACCCCTATTACTTGTCCTGCAAAATGCAAGTTGTAGCTAATAATTGTTGAAGTCTTTATACTGATAATTAACTTGCATGCATGTAAGTTCATTTTACTCTAGTATGTCATCATTACATTATTTTATCAGTAATGCTTCTTGGTTGTAAACAACTGAAAACAACTCTGGATAACTTAAGTAGAAAAAATAAGGCCTAGGAGGGAGATCTGAACGCCTTCAAAAATGCCTGGAAGGTTGGAGAACTGTCAGGAACTGAAAGAGAGGACAGGCAGTAGGAAAAACAACCAAGACGACTCTTTGGATGTGAACACCTGCATTGCTGAATAATTAATGACATTGATGTTTCCATTCCTTCTGGACTTATGTCTCTCCCTCAAATCCTACGTGGGTGCATTCAGTTGAAGAACCCAAATCACACACGGCTGTGCCTTCGCCACCACAAGAGGATTAAGCTGATTTCTTGCATGTTGAAAGGCAGGACCCTGCCCACCTGACACAATAAGGCCTGCCACTAATTTGAGAAGGGTGTTCAGATTCTGGGTAGCATTTTTAGTGACAAATATCCCACAGATTCCTCCAGAAATATTACTTCTGTGGTATATAATAACAGATTGGCAGTAGGGTTTACACAGAAATTAGAAGCGTATATTTTCAGTAAAATAAAAGATGCTAGTATATTAACTATAGCATAGTTTTAAATTTAAAATAAACTTCATAAAAATGAACTTTGCGAATCACAAAAATTTCTTGTGCCTTCCAAAATTTAATTGGCCCTTCCAATGAGTCTCTAATGAGGATTGAATCCTAGTTTCAGAACCTTTCAATTTTTTCAATCTACAGACATTTATTGACCTATTAGTCTTAGTTCTCTTAGAATAAAAGATCAAAGAACAGCAGATAATTACATATGGACATTTCCATTAAAGTGCACCATGTACGTTTTTTTTGCAATTGTTAATGGTGTATTGACACTATGAGAGTAACTCATTATATTCTTGACTTCATATATAGCTATGTGTATAATTAGCTATTCATAGATAAGAGTGCTTATTTAATTGACATTATCAAATTTTAAAATTCCACTTTTATTTACCTAAAAATATACACCATTGAAGCAGTTGATGCACATGTTAAAAATCAATAGTGCCAAAGGACTTGTCATGAAAATTAAAACTCTTCTAACCTATAATTTTATGTCCTCAGTGTCACCTATTTTAACCATTTTTAGTTTTAATTATCTTGGAGATTACACATAGAAGGCTAAGTGTTCATATTGCAATCTTTACAATCTATTTTCTATGCAAAGGCATTGTATGACAACATTTCCTGTTTGTATTTCATAGTGTATTGATCCCATATCGTCACCAACAACTGTAACTGGTGGAGAAAAAAATGAAGGTAATTAGGAGGATAACAATGGAGGAATAAGAGGGACTGAATCAGAGATATTCCAGTTACTATATTCTCCTCAGAGTTGGCCTTATCCTGTCTCTCAATGCAAGGAAACAATCTGGGGTAAATTGTTGAGATGCCTGGACATTCACTATTTGAGTCTTTATTTGAGAATGGAGAGAAGCACACCCTTCATCCCAGGTATGTGATGATAGGCCTTGAGCTCATGTGTGTCCTGGGGCTGTTATGCCATCCCTGTGTAACCACCGGAGCAAGAACTACTCTAATCTCAAACTTGTTACATAGTTTGTTTTCGGTCTGGTGACAGTTCGTCAGTCAGAATGCAGCTGCTATTTGCAGCTTGGTTTATTTTCCCCTAGAAAACTCAAGCCAAGAGAAAAATGTTAAGGAAGCAGAAAATTTATTTTTGGCACTTGTTCATATATTCAGTATTTTGATGTCACAAGTGAGAAGAATCTGAATGACAGTCCATACCAAGCACCAAGGTCTAGATGTGAAAAATCAAATCAGGGGAAAAGTCATCTATTCTTTGAAGTGAAAACTAGAACTTCTTCAAGTCTAAAGGCTTTTTTGTTATGGTTGTGTGTGTTTTATTTGCAGTAACATGTGTGCATGCACACACACATTATTGGTAGAGATAGTTTTCTACTTAAATAAGTTTTGTATTGATATTTCAAAGCACACATAAATGAATATGACTTCCACATTTTAGACCGCCTGTTTAATGTTCTAGGCAATACAGCTTGGAAGCTGATAAGAATTCTACCCTCTGACACAAAACCTGATTTCTTGTGGTTTCTCCCACCTTAGTAAATAATATTGCCATCTTTTCAGCTGCTTTGGCCAAAAACTTGGAATTATCCTGTAGTTCTTTTTGTTTACATCCATTTTATTTGCCACAAGCCACAACCAATCCACCAATAAAACTACTCAGCTGTCCATTCAAAATATCTTTGGAATCCAACCACTTTTCAGTACGTCCATAATTAACTTCTTCATCCAACATCATCTCATTGGATTTTTGCAGTAGTCGGCTAACTACTCATTCTCTCTCTGCATTCCTCATCCCCTTATGTTTGTTTTCCATAAAGCATCCATTTTTGTATTATAAGTCAGATCATTTCACTAAAGTAAAAGTAAAACCAGAATACTTATTTGTGGCCCATGGGTCCCATGTAATCTAGCCACCTGCTACTTTATAACATCATTTACCATCACATATATTCATGCCACTTCATCCAGATCATCCTTCTTGAAGATACATTGATCATGCTCTCATCTCTATGCATTTGCACATGCTGTTCCATCTTCCTGGAAGGCCCATTGCTCTGATATCCACATGTTATGTTTCTTCATGTTCTCAGGTCTCAATTCAAATACCAATTTGTGACCATGGCATTTTTCTGATAACTATAAATAAAATAGTAATCTTGACCCATATCTCTGGCCCTTTATCCCTCTTACCCTTTTTATTTTTCTTTAAGATTTGCATAACTATCTGCCCTTTCATTTATGTGTTTATTTCTCATATGTTTTCCTAGCCTCCAACCTCAAAACATAAGATCTATCCTCATAGAGATTTTATTTTTTGTTTGTTTACTATGATACCTTAGGCATTTGAATATTGGCTGGCTTGAAGTCAGCATCCAAAATTATTTGTTTGACTCAATGGATCAACAAAAAATAAAAAAATGCATAAGAGATGAAAATTTGATGCTCAAAAAAGGGGTATGGCTATATAGGCTTGACAGAAACGTTAATTAAATTCAAGCCATAAGTGCAACCATCAAATCTGGTGATCTTGGGCCTCTATTAACTTAAGGAGGACAGATTTAATGGAGTTGCAGGCTTGCTATGTACTCCTCTGTAATCCCATTTCAGCCCCATCATATCTGTGTATTTGAGAAGAATGGTTCAGATCCGATGTCTTCTGTAAATGTGAGGCTGATACTTGAAAGTCTTCCCCAGTCTAAGGGTAGAACAGGGGAGGGGCAGGGTCAGAGGAAATCCTTCAACCATCATGGATGGTGACTGTGAATCCTACTAGGATGTGGAGGTGAAACCACAATCAGGCAGAGGAAAACAATGGTAGGATGGGCAGTGAGTGCAGATGCAACTATAGTAGCGTGCCTAATGCTAGACCATCCTCATGAGTCTTGTGCAGGAAAATACTTTTAAATTACATACAATCTCTCTTAGTTGAACTCATCATGTTCTAAAGAACATGTAGCACTAGGCTTTGGTGATAGTTAGCGGTCCTGGGTCATTACTTCAGCATTCAAGCTATTGCTCCTGCTTTGATGCTGGAAGATTTTTATACATTTCTTTATTCATTTAATAAATATATTATGCTCCTCCTAAAGGCCAGATGCTATTCTAAAATCTGGGTAGAAAACACAAATTGAGCATGGTTTCTGCTTTCAAACCACATACAACTGGAAGCAAAGTTCAGAAAAAAATGTTTCATAGTATAAGTTAACACTGACATCCACTGGACTCTCAGCCTTTACAATGGGGAGAGAGGATTGTGTTGTAGTTTTAGTTAAGAAAGAAACAAGCTAATGGTAAATAAAGCATAGCTTCAATATATTTACATATGTTAAGAAGGAAATGCAAGACTCCAGATATCTACTTTTGGATTTATTTGTCACAAAATGTCACCACCCTAATGTCAGAAAATAGAAAATATACTTTCTAGGTGCTTAATTTGATTATTTTCTAGCCATATTGAATAATGTCTATATATTCAACTATAAATAGCTTTTTGAACAATTCTAGTGAGATCTTTAGTTAAGGCAATAAGACAGGGTTTCTTCCTTCTAGCATATGTTTGACTGAAGCCCTAGTTGATCACTGTATTTTCTTTTTGAGTGGATACTACACAATTTAGAATTTCATAGACTTATTTTTATATGCTGCTTATGTTGGTATGTCACGTGAGCTTAGGGAAAAATTAGTTTGTTGCATAAAATAATGTATTTAAATTGTTTGAAGGATTTCTTAATAAATAAAGATGGTGTTTTAAATATTCATACCATTCCACAATGGAGTCAATGTTTTATAAAGGGTGTAATTTTTTGAAAAGTAAGTAAACATATTACAAAATATTGTTCTCAGTACATTAAATATCAACGTTCAAGAGAATTTTTAAATGTGCTCCAGAGAGATAATTACCACAAAAAACAACCCTGATTACTCCTTCTATTAGATTTTATTCATTTTTTAATTTCTTTATTTATTTTACAAATTTTCTTGTAGCATCTATTGTGGGTTAGGCATTACAAAGTGCCCTAGGAACTTAATTATGTGTTTAATAAATATTTATTGAATCAACATTAGGTAAGTGGGAGAACAAAACAGAACTTCATGTCTAGGCTTTTGCAGTCCACAGAGAAGTTGCCACCATGAATTGTCTTTCATCTGAGACCTGAAGGATGAGCCATGAAACAAAGTTCATTGGTGCTCTGGTTTATGATGGATGACTGGACCCTTCCCTGAGGTAACGGGTGATGCAAAGCACAGGGCAGGGCGTTTATTGCTGTCCTAGCACTGTGATTGCAAATGCTTTGCTTGTTGGTTGAGTGGTCTCTGTGCCATGTGCTATATCTCAGGTGACCTGAGGGGGTCTGGGTGATTAAGAAGTTACTTGGGAAGCCTTTAAGCCACTCCTTGGGAAAGTTCAACCTCTTAGCTGAATCTGGCAGCTAGGAAGTTGGTTCTGGAACTTCGAATGATGACTACTGGAGAGAGAGTTCACTCTGGCTTGGGTTATTTGTCTATCTGTTCAGTATCTCGTATCTCTTTCAATTAAGTCATTCTTATCAGCATTCCAATGCACTTTATCATTTCTAACTTGAAAACCAATCCACACCCCTCCAGGTACCACTGTATACTCCACTTCCCTCTGTTGGTAACTTTTTTTTTTTTTTTTTTGAGACGAAGTCTCGCTCTGCCGCCCAGGCTGGAGTGCAGTGACGCGATCTCCACTCACTGCAAGCTCCGCCTCCCGGGTTCAGGCCATTCTCCTGCCTCAGCGTCCCGAGTAGCTGGGACTACAGGCGCCCGCCACCACACCCGGCTAATTTTTTGTGTGTTTTTAGTAGAGACGGGGTTTCACCGTGTTAGCCAGGATGGTCTGGATCTCCTGACCTCGTGATCCGCCCACCTCGGCCTCCCAAAGTGCTGGGGTTACAGGCGTGAGCCACCGCGCCCGGCCCTCTGTTGGTAACTTTTTAAAGGAGTAGTCTACACATGGTATCTTCAGTTCTTCGTCATTCATGTCTCACTCCAATCTGGCTGCCAAACTCAGATACCCATTTTGTAGCATCCAATAGGCATTTTTCAGTCCTTATCTTACCATAGCCAACAGCATTTGATTCAGTTGTTACCCCCTTCCTCCTCATACTCTTCTGACTTTTACATCACCACCCTAACCACTGCTGCTCCTAAAACTGAAATTCTTCTGAGTCTGTCTCTCTTTCAAGGTTCTCTTTTCATATGGTCCCTAAAATATTGAATGTTTGTAAGGCTCAGTCTAGGATCTCCTCTTTTAACGCTCTATTTTCCTCCTAGGTGATAGCATTCATTCTCGTGGCTTTAAATACTACCCTTATATCAATAGCGTCAAACCTTACATTTCCAGTACTAATGAGCTTCAGGTCCATTTAGTCAAATGCCCAGTTAACAGATACGAAGATTTCAGGATAGCTCAGACTTCACATGCTCAGGAGGGGAACATTGATATTATTGATATTCTGATAGTAATCTTAATAAAAATAACTTCCACCCACCCAGTTGATAAAGAAATGTCCGTCTGTACAGTTTTCCCACTCTCACCTCCCACACTCTAGTAATTAGAAAAACCTTGTAGTTTACATAAAAATATTTTCTAATCTCTCAGTTACCTCTGCCCGAAGGCCACCTTCCAAGCTGTCCCAGCCTCTTACACCTGTTCTTGACAGCTATGCTGTGACTCATTGCAGT
This sequence comes from Homo sapiens, assembly GCF_000001405.40. Lineage (NCBI taxonomy): Eukaryota > Metazoa > Chordata > Mammalia > Primates > Hominidae > Homo > Homo sapiens. Next base: position 76,618,440 of record NC_000016.10, on the reverse strand, counting down.
CCCTTTTCCACACATCACACAGGTCAAAATTTAATATGTGAACCAGGTGTATCATTTAGTTACTTCAGCCCCATTATGAACATCCTCATCCATCAAGGGCTATATCTTTCCTGTATATTCACACAAAGCAGTACTACAGAGGAATGAAGGGTGATCAATTAACATCAGGTGCAACAACATGGGTATATCTCAGAAATGTAATGTTGAGTGAAACAAGCCAAACATAAAACAGCTCTTACCTTATAATTTTATTCATATAATGCTAATAAAAGAAGTCAAAATGATCAATGCTGGTAGAAGTTAGCATTGGAGGCCGGGTGCGACGGCTCACGCCTGTAATCCCAGCACTTTGGGAGGCCGAGGTGGGCGTATCACAAGGTCAGGAGATCAAGACCATCCTGGATAACATGGTGAAACCCCGTCCCTACTAAAAAATACAAAAAATTAGCCGGATATGGTGGTGGGCACCTGTAGTCCCAGCTACTTGGGAGGCTGAGGCAGGAGAATGGCGTGAACCCGAGAGGCGCAGCTTGCAGTGAGCCGAGATTGTGCCACTGCACTCCAGCCTGGGCCACAGAGCAAGACTCCATTGCAAAAAAAAAGAAAAAAAGAAAAAAAAAAGAAGTTAGCATTGGAGTTACAAATGGATACATAATAACTACAAAGAATTGAACTGGTAATGTTCTGCAGCAGCTCCCTGGATATCTTCACTTTGTGAAAATTCATTGAACTGTATAGTTAAGGTTTGTGCCTTTTCCTTTATACAGGTTATGCCTCAATAGGAAGCTTACTTTAAAACTCAAAGAGTGTTTGGGTCTTTCACTTCTGTTATTGTTACTAACCGCTCTGTGTACATTAAAACTAAGAAATAGAAATGGTAGCATTTTCTGCTGGGTAATTATTGTGTATTTAGAAAAATGCCTAATTATATATTCAACTAACACACAAGAATGATTTCGAAAGCTTTGGCTAATATGAAAACTATGTGTTCCGAATAAATAATATCCTGTTGTCAGAAAAGTAAATAGCCAGGCCTATGATTAAATAATGTTAATACAACTATGGTAAAGAAAATAAATTAAAAACATAAACAAAGTCTAGAAATACAATATTAAAAGTGCCATTCTGGTTATTACATTGATAGGAACAATAATACTATTCTGTTTCAATGGGAAAAGCAACACAGAGGAGCTCTGAGAATCTATGTTTTACAAATCAAATTTACAATATGAAAGCTGTTCTTGGAACTGTGAGGTTTCTTAGTAATCACTTAAGGTTGAAATTTTTATTTTACATATCTAGATATAAAAGAACTGTGACACTGAATTCAGTTTTAGGACATTGGAGTTACTTGTATACAAATTTCTTATTTTTTAATTTCATGGTCATTTTTGAGACATACAATAATATGCATTTGTGGGTCAAAATTATCAAAGCCAGTAAACAAGACATATTCTGTTTGTAAAAACAAACAATAATAAATTGGTTTTGAATTTGCAAGACAATATTATTGTATTGACTTTCAGAACAAATTCTATCCCTTGAAACTTCTCAATCAATCATACAATATGAGGTGAAATATAAAATAGAAATAACCATTCAAACGTGATGTAAATTATAGCATCAATTATTTTTCTTCGGTTTGAGAGTTATGTTTATCTGGACTGAAGAATGAAGACTAATCTGAACTGAAACACTAAAGACTATCATTTGGAAGTACGATGTGAAAACTATTAATATGATTAAGCAGTTCAATTAAAACATAAATTATTCACTACGCTTGAAAACTCAGCTTTACTAAATCATTAAAAGTTCTATACATTAAAGTTAAAATTACAAATACATGTATTATCTGGTTTATGATGGATGACTGGACTCTTCCCTGAGGTAACAGAAAATATATATTTTCTGTTTTATCATCCTTATTATTTGAATGAAAGATGTTAAAGTTATACACTAATGTGGCTTTCCTCTTGTTTCTCTTCTGTTATTTTTCATAAACTTTTATGACAACTTTAGCAGCAAATCAGAATTTTTACTGATTCTCTACAGACTTAGGCAATCAAGCATATTCCTAAGATATATTTGCATACAATTTTTAGTAGGTAAGATTTTGTAATGTTTTAATGTTTCCAATGGGGGAAAAGTCTCCAAAACAAATAGGAGTTTCATTACCAGTCTAAAGACAACTTCATTTTCCTATTTTCAAACGATTAAGTCCATTTTGCAGCAGCTGATAAACATCAGCCTGAATGAGATCTTCTTTGTGAGCATGGGGGCTTGGGTAGAGAGCTGGGCAGATGGATGTTTCAGTCAGTCATGAGCATGGAGCACGACCCCTTCAAATTCCATTTCACGACTCACTTCATGTTCAGAGCTGAATTTGCATGAAAATCAAATTCATAAATTCAGCCACGGCTTTGATCAGAAATTTTTCGGTTGTTATCATTCTTTTTGAATTGTTGTAAAAGTCATGGCAGATGGTATGTTTCTGAAATGTCTACTGATGCTCATCTTCCTTCTCTCAACACAGCACAGTACTAGAAAATCGTTAGCACCTTCCTAGGACAAGGCCTTCTTAGAACCTGAATGATCCTTAGATAACACCTTCATTTCATAAATGAGGAAAGTAAAGTTACAATCTGAAACAGGACCTGTCTCTCTTCCTCCCAGCCCAGTGACCTTTCAGATACACCAGTGTGGTCTCCAAGAAAGTGTGCAGTAAAGCCTGGGAAACATTGTGAGTAATGAGAAACTTTGCTATAGAAATGATCAAGAGAAGATAAAGCAATTTACGTACACACACATACACACTCACACACACAGACACATATCTATGCAACTTATGTGTTATATATTTATATAGCATATTTATATTTACATCTACATATACTTCATAAAAATTATAAAAGGAAATAAATCAATTTACATACATTTTCAATTGCTTTATATTTCTTTTATGTATGATTAATGCATATTTATATATAGATCTCCCTATAAATTATATTTACAACAATTAGCTAAAATAACCTGTTATATGAGAGCACAGAGTTTGGAAAGCAGAAACATTTGAATGCCAGATCTGCCACCTAACACCTCTGTAGCTGTATGACCTTGGACATGGTATTTAAAATTTCAGAGACTCAGTGTTTGTTGTTGCTTTTAATATATACGGGGCTGGACTGTGGACTAGATAAGTTAATGTTTATAAATGTTTACCATTTATCATGCCTGATGCATGGCAGTTAAGATGCTTATTTTCCAAGTTTCAAAAAAATTTCCCATGCATGCGAGCAAGTACAATAACCCATATCATTTGCCAGGAAATAGGCCAATTGCTTTTTTTTTTTCTTTTTTTGGCATAGGATCACATTTATCATGTAAAGTTGGTATGACTGACATCATGGTTACAGATAAGGACATAAATCCTTAGAGGGGTGAAATGGCCTGCCCAACGTATACTGAAAGTAACTGGTATAGCTCTTATCTACGTCACTAAGATGTAAATGGAAAAGTAATTTCAATTTAAGCCACACAAAAAGCTCTAATTCAAGGACTGCAAGTGTGTTTGCCTCAGTAATCCATTTTCCAAAATTAACCTCATTCTTACAATTTCCACTTTCCTGAAATATTAAAATACTTTAAGTTTCTACTCTGATATTTATTGCTCAGATGAATATAATATAGTCATGAGATTACACAAAGACCTTCAGATCTCTTTTTGCCTGACATAACCTATAGACAGGTTCTTAAACAATGATCAGCATTGCAATAAACAGAAATTAGATACCTATAAGTTGGAACTTTAATCACACACTATACTGTGATCTGAAATCTCCATAATCATTAATACATTTCTAGGCCAGGACCCAAGACTCTATTTAGTACTATAATTTAGAAAGCATCTCTTCTGCATTTAACATATAGGCAACATGCCAAGAAAGGAAACAAAAATGGTCTTGATTTGTTTGCCAGCTGGCACTTTGGGCTGAATGGCCAGCTACCAAAGAACTGCCATTTGTCACAAAGGAAAACAAAATGAATTCCTTGCTAAGTGTACATACTTCTTACTGTTGAAAAATTATCCTAAGAATAAACTAATTGCCTCTGTAAAACACAAGTTCATCTCACCCAGCATCCATCTGGAAACTCTGAGAGAGACAAATATAAAATTGCTGGCAGTAGGGATTTTGGATTTAATACAACTATTGATATATGGCAATTAATAACCTTTTTCTGTTGAAATTGTTTCAGTAGAGTTAGTACCCCATTTTTACTGTAAGTAATTTTCTTTTATGAATGCTGTTAATTAAATAGGGAAATTATATGGCTGTGTTATATGTATGTATATAACAAAATCCTGTGTGTGTGTATATATATAATTTAATTGGCACCTGAAGTACCTATATATTGTAAAATTACTTAAAACCCACAATAGTCTCCTTCATACAATTATAATAAATAATTCCTGGTCATTTTAATTAAATTATTTACAAGCATCAGAGATATTTAGAAACACATGAGGCTTGCTTTTGAAAATAGGATTTGAGATTGAATTCATGCAGGTAAAACACTAAAATTTAGTCATATCCATAGGCAAAACAAAAAATGTAAAATGTTGAGCAGTTATTTTCTGGCTACCACTAGTTAACCAGTTGTCATTTCAAGTATTTAGCTCAGGTTTTTCTCTGGAAGATGTGTCAATTTGGAATTTCTTATCTCTTCCGACTCTCCACATCATTCAACTTGAAGTTTGAAAAGGAGCACTGACATAGAAGATTCCACACAAGTAGATATTTTAAAATGGGTAAAATCTTACGAGACGGCTTTAATAATTGTCTAGTGCATTAGGAACTATATACTAGGATATGGTGCAGTAGCATCCATTACACGGAAACCTTGCATCTTAACATTCCCAACTGCCTTCTTTACAATGTTCACTTAACTCTTAAGTAATCACACTTGAGTTGTAAAGAGATCCAGGTCCAAAAATTCCACTTCATGATCATTCTATTCATAAATTATATGGGCCAGAGTGAGGGGAGAAGAGCAATTTGGGCAAATTTTTAATAAAAAAAAAATAGGCTAGGCACAGTGGCTCACACCTGTAATCCCAGCACTTTGGGAGGCCGAGGCGGGCGGATCACCTGAGGTCAGGAGCTCAAGACTAGCCTGGCCAACATGGTGAAACCATGTTTGTACTAAAAATACAAAAATTAGCTGGGCATGGTGGCACACGCCTGTAGTCCCAGCTACTCGGGAGGCTGAAGCGGGAGAATCGCTTGAACCCAGGAGGCAGAGGTTGCGTGAGCCGAGATCGTGCCACTGCACTCCAGCCTGAGCCAGAGTGAGACTCTATCTCAAAAAAAAAGATAGAATTTTGAAATTTCTAATGAAAAATACAAACACTTGTATAGTTAGGCAAATTTTTATATTTAAATTTCTTTACAGTTGCTTATTACTTAATTATCTTTACATTGTAAGAACCTGTTTGGAATCAGGAATCAATCAGTGGTTCATTAAACTTCTATTTTATTCAAGGAATACTTTCCTACTATTAAGCTGTGTCATTTGGATAAGCATAATGTTAGTGGATATGTTATTAACACTGATTATAACTAAATCTGACAAGCTATGCTGACCTGGAGAAATAAAATCAGAAAACTCCCATTTGATTCATTCCAAAGGAATTGAAACCCTAATTTGAAGAAATGCTCCATTTGCATCTACATGCAACTTTATGATTTATGACATGAGAGTTTTCAGCTAAGATAGGAAGTTGACTCTCTAGGAGCTATTATCTGGTGGAAATGCAATTTCCTAAACTATTTAGATGAACCGGGTTGTGCATTATCTTTCACACTGGTATCTCCTCACTGCCTTCATTTCAATAACTGCTGCTGCTATTCTCTGCCTACTGAGGGGAGAAGAAGATAAAAAAATGTTATTCCATGAGAATGTAAAATATCTCATCTTTATTATATTTAGATAAAAAATCTGCTTGAAGAAGAATAATTTTATATATATAATAATTCTATTCCTGAATTATCTTTTATTTGTTGCAATATAGAAAGGTGTGAATACCACATTTTACTGTGTTCACTTGTATTAGTGACATTCCTATACATGATAATTCAAAGAAACAAAAAAAAATAGGATTTTGAAAGTTGTGTAGTAAGGGCCAAATGTCATAAACGTTTATGAATGTTCACAATAATCACTTTTTGTATTGATGAGCTTCCTCAAGCTGTTAAGTGCTAGTATTTTTGAGAATTCTCATGATTAGCAAACTACTACATTATAATTTTGTGAGTTTTTTAAATGTTTTCTGTCTTGTCACTTTGAGAGACTTTATTTTCCTGTTATATTGGGATTGCAACCAAAGGAATTAGTAAACTAGTGTGTTCAACATGAAAACTTTGGAAATATCCTTTTAAATTACTCTTTCTAATAAACATTAAAATGTATTGATTAATTTTTTTATTTCTAAGTTCTTGTTAAGACTGGAAAATGAAAAATCACTTACATTGTAAAACTCTATCTTAGCTGAAAACTCTCCCTGTCATAAATCATAAAGCTGCTATAGATGGAAATGGAGCATTTCTTCAAATTAGGATTTCAATTCCCTTCACATTATAGCACTTGCAGATGAATGACCTTCAAAGATAGTTCTTTTAAAGAATTTCCAAATGTGGCAGACAGTGCACAAAGAGATGCTATGTGGAGATATTCTATAAGAATGTGTCAGCCAGCTGAGTGCTTACGATCACTGAGTCTCAAGGTTAGAAGGGAACTTAAAACTCCCTTGTAAGTTGGATTCCTAAGTATTTTATTCTCTTTGAAGCAATTGTGAATGGGAGTTCACTCATGATTTGGCTCTCTGTTTGTCTGTTGTTGGTGTATAAGAATGCTTGTGATTTTTGTACATTGATTTTGTATCCTGAGACTTTGCTGAAGTTGCTTATCAGCTTAAGGAGATTTTGGGCTGAGACAATGGGGTTTTCTAGATATACAATCATGTCGTCTGCAAACAGGGACACTTTGACTTCCTCTTTTCCTAATTGAATACCCTTTATTTCCTTCTCCTGCCTAATTGCCCTGGCCAGAACTTCCAACACTATGTTGAATAGGAGTGCTGAGAGAGGGCATCCCTGTCTTGTGCCAGTTTTCAAAGGGAATGCTTCCAGTTTTTGCCCATTCAATATGATATTGGCTGTGGGTTTGTCATAGATAGCTCTTATTATTTTGAGATACGTCCCAACAATACCTAATTTATTGAGAGTTTTTAGCATGAAGGGTTGTTGAATTTTGTCAAAGGCCTTTTCTGCATCTATTGAGATAATCATGTGGTTTTTGTCTTTGGTTCTGTTTATATGCTGGATTACATTTATTGATTTGCGTATATTGAACCAGCCTTGCATCCCAGGGATGAAGCCCACTTGATCATGGTGGATAAGCTTTTTGATGTGCTGCTGGATTCGGTTTGCCAGTATTTTATTGAGGATTTTTGCATCAATGTTCATCAAGGATATTGGTCTAAAATTCTCTTTTTTGGTTGTGTCTCTGCCCGGCTTTGGTATCAGGATGATGCTGGCCTCATAAAATGAGTTAGGGAGGATTCCCTCTTTTTCTATTGATTGGAATAGTTTCAGAAGGAATGGTACCAGTTCCTCCTTGTACCTCTGGTAGAATTCGGCTGTGAATCCATCTGGTCCTGGACTCTTTTTGGTTGGTAAGCTATTGATTATTGCCACAATTTCAGCTCCTGTTATTGGTCTATTCAGAGATTCAACTTCTTCCTGGTTTAGTCTTGGGAGAGTGTATCTGTCGAGGAATTTATCCATTTCTTCCAGATTTTCTAGTTTATTTGCGTAGAGGTGTTTGTAGTATTCTCTGATGGTAGTTTGTATTTCTGTGGGATCGGTGGTGATATCCCCTTTATCATTTTTTATTGCATCTATTTGATTATTCTCTCTTTTTTTCTTTATTAGTCTTGCTAGTGGTCTATCAATTTTGTTGATCCTTTCAAAAAACCAGCTCCTGGATTCATTAATTTTTTGAAGGGCTTTTTGTGTCTCTATTTCCTTCAGTTCTGCTCTGATTTTAGTTATTTCTTGCCTTCTGCTAGCTTTTGAATGTGTTTGCTCTTGCTTTTCTAGTTCTTTTAATTGTGATGTTAGGGTGTCAATTTTGGATCTTTCCTGCTTTCTCTTGTGGGCATTTAGTGCTACAAATTTCCCTCTACACACTGCTTTGAATGCGTCCCAGAGATTCTGGTATGTTGTGTCTTTGTTCTCGTTGGTTTCAAAGAACATCTTCATTTCTGCCTTTATTTCGTTATGTACCCAGTAGTCTCTCAGGAGCAGGTTGTTCAGTTTCCATGTAGTTGAGCGGTTTTGAGTGAGATTCTTAATCCTGAGTTCTAGTTTGATTGCACTGTGGTCTGAGAGATAGTTTGTTATAATTTCTGTTCTTTTACATTTGCTGAGGAGAGCTTTACTTCCAAGTATGTGGTCAATTTTGGAATAGGTGTGGTGTGGTGCTGAAAAAAATGTATATTCTGTTGATTTGGGGTGGAGAGTTCTGTAAGGACCTCTTCAAGGAGAACTACAAACCACTGCTCAAGGAAATAAAAGAGGATACAAACAAATGGAAGAACATTCCATGCTCATGGGTAGGAAGAATCAATATTGTGAAAATGGTCATACTGCCCAAGGTAATTTACAGATTCAATGCCATCCCCATCAAGCTACCAATGACTTTCTTCACAGAATTGGAAAAAACTACTTTAAAGTTCATATGGAACCAAAAAAGAGCCCGCATTGCCAAGTCAATCCTAAGCCAAAAGAACAAAGCTGGAGGCATCACACTACCTGACTTCAAACTATACTACAAGGCTACAGTAACCAAAACAGCATGGTACTGGTACCAAAACAGAGATATAGATCAATGCAACAGAACAGAGCCCTCAGAAATAACACCGCATATCTACAACTATCTGATCTTTGACAAACCTGAGAAAAACAAGCAATGGGGAAAGGATTCCCTATTTAATAAATGGTGCTGGGAAAACGGGCTAGCCATGTGTAGAAAGCTGAAACTGGATCCCTTCCTTACACCTTATGCAAAAATCAATTCAAGATGCATTAAAGACTTAAATGTTAGACCTAAAACCATAAAAACCCTAGAAGAAAACCTAGGCATTACCATTCAGGACATAGGCATGGGCGAGGACTTCATGTCTAAAACACCAAAAGCAATGGCAACAAAAGACAAAATTGACAAATGGGATCTAATTAAACTAAAGAGCTTCTGCACAGCAAAAGAAACTTCCATCAGAGTGAACAGGCAACCTACAAAATGGGAGAAAATTTTCACAACCTACTTGTCTGACAAAGGGCTAATATCCAGAATCTACAATGAACTCAAACAAATTTACAAGAAAAAAAACAAACAACCCCATCAAAAAGTGGGCAAAGGACATGAACAGACACTTCTCAAAAGAAGACCTTTATGCAGCCAAAAAACACATGAAAAAATGCTCACCATCACTGGCCATCAGAGAAATGCAAATCAAAACCACAAAGAGATACCATCTCACACCAGTTAGAATGGCAATCATGAAAAAGTCAGGAAACAACAGGTGCTGGAGAGGATGTGGAGAAATAGGAACAATTTTACACTGTTGGTGGGACTGTAAACTAGTTCAACCATTGTGGAAGTCGGTGTGGCGATTCCTCAGGGATCTAGAACTAGAAATACCATTTGACCCAGCCATCCCATTACTGGGTATATACCCAAAGGATTATAAGTCATGCTGCTATAAAGACACATGTACACGTATGTTTATTGCGGCACTATTCACAATAGCAAAGACTTGGAACCAACCCAAACGTCCAACAATGATAGACTGGATTAAGAAAATGTGGCACACATACACCATGGAGTACTATGCAGCCATAAAAAATGATGAGTTCATGTCCTTTGTAGAGACATGGATGAAATTGGAAATCATCATTCTCAGTAAACGATCGCAAGAACAAAAAACCAAACACCGCATATTCTCACTCATACGTGGGAATTGAACAATGAGAACACATGGACACAAGAAGGGGAACATCACACTCTGGGGACTGTTGTGGGGTTCGGGGAGTGGGGAGGGATAGCACTGGGAGATATACCTAATGCTAGATGACGAGTTAGTGGGTGCAGTGCACCAGCATGGCACATGTATACATACGTAACTAACCTGCACATTGTGCACATGTACCCTAAAACTTAAAGTAAAATAATAAATAAGTAAATAAATAAATAAATAAATAAAACTCACTTAGTTCAACCATGCATTCTGATGCTTGAAGTGTTTCTAGAGGGAAGCTCACTCTGGAGCTTGGCTACATGGGTTTTAATCCCAGCTCCTAGCTTTCAGCATGGGGCCAGTTACTTAACCTGCTAGAGCTTCATTTTCCTCATGTATAAAATGGGAATGACAATAATAGGACCTGTTGAAAACATTATTATAAGGATTCAATGATTTATTACATATAAAACATTTAGAATCATGTCTGGTTGGGTGAATCACCAGAGGTCAGGCGTTCAAGACCAGCCTGGCCAACATGGTGAAATCCCATCACTACTAAAAATACAAAAAATTAGCCAGCCATGGTGGCGGATCCCTGTAATCCCAGCTACTCAGGAGGCTGAAGCAGCAGAATCGCTTGAACCTGGGAGGCTGAGGTTGTAGTGAGCCGCGATCACACCACTGCACTCCAGCCTGGGCAACAAGAGCGAAACTCCATCTCAAAAAAAAAAAAAAAAAAAAAAAAAAAAATCATGCCTGATACCCACCCATCCCTCCTCCTTTCCCATACTGAGTACCTAGTCTTGCTTGGGTCATCTCAAAGAAATCTATTATGTTTGGTCAGCAAATATTATTGATGATGTCTTTCTGCCATTCAGTCCAGAGCTATCTGCTGACTGTTCTAGTTCCATCCCTTGGAATCAGGCAGAAGAAGAAGGCTTACTCTCAACATTCCTTGAGTTCTCTTTCAGCATGGGCTCCAAAATTAGACAGATTGGGTAGTGACTTGGTTATTGACTGAGGCTAGTAACCGAAATCATTTAATACCATATTTTTCCTTGGGCTAGAAAGAGAGACAGCGAGAGAGAAAGGGAGATTTAAAAGAGACAGAGAGAGGTGTTGTAATAGTGTCAACTTCTTAGAGTAGAATGTACTTATGTGCTTAGAATTTAATTAATGGTAATAATGGGAATGATGATGGCAAAGAAGATACTAATTCCCATTGTAGGTTAAATGTGCCCCAATCACCTTACACTTGTCAAACTGTTTGCTCAGAGCTTTATTGCATATCCCTGACTACCACAGATTTTACATGACTGCAAAGTTACTCTCATGGCTATACTCCTCAAACAGTTTTGTTGTGTATAAGTTCTGATTCTGTAGTTCTGACAAAACAAAATCTTGATAATATGCTTCACCTATTTTATTGACAAAAGATGTCTTTGAGAGTTTGAGTATCTTATCAAGATCAATCATTTCCCCTAATATAGAAACATTGCAGTCACTTACCTGCAAATTTTGGACAGACACCTTGATATTATCTTGTTGCAATTACTTATTAGTTCTCATGTTATATTCCTGCACTGCACTTAATTTTCATATTGAAAATAGACATCCTCCTGCTCAAATTTCCTTAAATGAAACCATATTGCTCTTCATTTCAGGAAATATTTTTTTCATGTTTCAGGTACTGTTTTTCCCTGAATTGTTTGTGTTTTCTAAGCAATACCAAGAATGTTGATAAAACAAAAGATCACATCATCTCCCACTGAAAGAATGATGATGGCCTTATCACTATGGTTTTGCTTTCACCATTCATCGCTTCTAATCTACAAACAACTGCCAGTCATCTTTCTACAGCATAAATTTGTCCTTCATTGATTAAAATCTTCTATTGCACAACATCACCTACAGAATGAGGTGCCTTTTCAAGGCATACAAAGCCCTCTATTACTGCATTAATTTCTTCACCAAATTCATTTCCTTTATTTAAGTTTCTTGCATTGTGTCTCATCTATACCACTACATGGAATTTACCAATTGATTCAGGCTGCTTTGTAGCTTCCCGATATAGTACCTGATGTTCTGGATGCATAGAAACACTGCCTACCCTCACATTAACCACACAACTTACACACACACACACACACACACACACACACACACACACACACACACACACACACCATGCTTACCTTGAAAATTCTTCCTTGTTCTTTGATTACCATCTCAAATATTTTCTTTGAAGTGTTTCCTAGTTTCCTGTTTTTTGGTGTCAGGATGTTAGACTAATTTGTATCGTTTTTTGGAGACAGGATGTTAATTTGTCTAGCTTTTTATGACTTGTATATATGAGTTTACCATAACATAATTTAATTTAAATTGTAGAATAGACTTTATTATTTGAATGTACTTTTTTCTATCTATCTATTTTGCTTTCTGTACCTGTGTTTTTTTAAAGTGACTAGAATTTGTTCCTCCAAATGTAAATGATTATTCATTTTGGATGGTGAGATTTGGGGAAATGCCTTTTTTCTACACGTGCACTTTTTTCTTTTATTTTTTTTTAACTTTTAAGTTCAGGGTTACATGTGCAGGTTTGTTACATGGGTAAATTTGTGTCATGGGGGTTTGTCGTACAGATTATTTCACTTAGGTATGTATTAAACGTATTACCCATTGGTTATTTTTCCTGATACTCTCCCTCTTCCTACCCTCCGAAAGGCCCCAGTGTGTATTGTTCCCCTGTACTTGTCCATGTATTCTCATCATTTAGCTCCCACTTATAAGTGAAAATATGAGGTATTTGGTTTTCTGTCCTTATGCTAGTTTGCTAAGGATAATGGCCTCCAAATCCATCCATGTCTCTGCAAAGGATATGATCCTGTTCTTTTTATGGCTGCATAGTATTCCATGATGTATATGTACCACATTTTCTTTATCTAGCTTATCACTGATGGGCATTTAGGTTTATTCCATGTCTTTGCTATTGTGAATAGTGCTTCAATGAACATACATGTACAGGTGTCTTTACATTACATTAATTTATGTTCCTTTGGGTATATATTGCTGGGTCGAGTGGTGTTTCTGTCTTTAGATCTTTGAAGAATTGCCACACAGTTTTCCACAATGGCTGAACTAATTTATTCTTCCACCAACAGTGTATGAGAGTTCCTTTTTGTCCACAACTTTGCCAGAATCTCATATTTTTTTTTTTTACTTTTTTCATTGCTTGAATTGTATGCATTTATCATGAAAATAATAGTGGGAATCTTTTACATGGAAAGATTTTTTCAGATTTTTCTCACTGCTTTGAAAATAGATGTTTAAAAATCAACAGTAAGGTGAAATACAATTAATCTAATTACATATCAAATTCTAAAGACTGTAAGATTGAAATTAAGCAATTTTATATAATTTTTAGAATCCATATAATCATTTGGCATAGATTATAGAAACCCAGATGGCATTAAAAAGAAGAGGAATTTTCCACATTTTTTTGGTGCCATTATGATCTTTCTACCATAAAATTTTGACTCAAGAAATAAAAATATTTATTATGTAGTGAAATAATTTATACAATATATAATTGTGAAGATATTATGGAAATTGCTGGGTAGTCAAATGTAAAAGGAATTGCTGTGTTTGCATGTCTGATAAAAACATGCCATACAAGTTTTGGCATTCTTTATGCTTTTCCATAGGCAAAAACAATTATGATAATCCTTTTTAGAGGTTCTTACAGTAAAAAATACATTTTATAAAATAAAATAAATTAACTGAACTCTACAGGCAGAGAACGTTTGAGTGATGCTGACTGGCTCTGCTCTGGCTGTCTTTTAAAACACAGGAAAGAGGTAACATTTCAGCTTTTAATAGCTGGTTAACATTTGGCTCATTTGAGTTTGCAGACAAATAATATCAGCTTCATCTCATCTAACTACATCTGACTTCAGGCAAGGACAAGAGGATCAATTCTCTCTATGATGGTAGAATGCTAAATCAGCTGCTCAAAACTGGTTTTCCAAGATATTAAACCATAAATATCATCTCGCTTGCAGATGAGCTTCCATTTCAAGCCCCTTCAGTAATGCTTTCCTGTCCTTTCTTTACTTCTTTCCTTAAGGACTGGAAAACTTCCTAAGTATCTGCTCACCCCACATACCACAGAATTTAAAAACTGGGTTTTACCTTTACATTCAATAAATAATCAGCCAAACCAAAAGACATAAGTAAAGCCAGAAACAAACAAAGCTTCAAATATTCAACTATTCATATGAAAACATTTCTATGAGTCTGATTTACCCTGGTAATTCCTTCCTTTTTTTACTTAATCATACATGTGTAAATACAATTAAGATTTCTCTGATAACCACAGGTGATAGATTAAAAGCAAAAATAAAATAGGAACCTAATAAACGTTTAGTTCTCTAAGTAATCTACTTGGAAAATTTAAGTACTTTTCTTAAATGTCTAAAACATATATATATATACATATATATACATATATATACACACACATATATATATACACATATATATACATACACACACACACACACACACACACACACACACATATACATTCAGTGCCACAGGTAGTAAACCATTAGTCTCTTAGGAGTCTCAAATCATCGAGTTTAAGTTACTTCCTAACTATAAATCCTTGGGAACAATATATATTCACTCTATAACTGAGTTTTCCCACATTTAATTTGGGCATATGGCACCTGTCTCATTGTAATAGTGAGTAGTAAATAAGATGATGAATTTTGATTTCTAAGCAAAGCACCTGAAAATAAGAGTGTGACGTAAGTGATAATAATTCTTTCCGAATATGTTATATATAAGCATTCTTTTTTAAAGTGCTAGGTTCTTTCACGTCTAAACCTGAACTCTAGAGAAGGCTGAAAGCTCATTAGGATATTGAAGCACTAATTCCTACAGCTCAGAGTTCAAGTACCTAAGTCAACCGCTTTGATTGCTGATTGAGCTGAGTCTCTACAGTAAGTTTTAGGTAACTTCCAGAATTCCTAAGTTTAAATCGATTTTATGTAGGCTTAAGAAAAAGCATGATGGTATTTATATGTGGAATGTAAAAAAGCCAAACCCAAAGGAATGGAGAAGAGTGGCTACCAGGGGATGGGGAGGGGGTGGTGGGCGGGGGAAAATGGAGAGATGTTGGTCAAAGGGTACAAACTTTCAGTAATAAGATGAGTAAGTTCTGGAGATCTAATGTACAGCATGATGACTACAGTTAATAATGATGTATTTTATTCCTGAATGATGTATCTTATACAACTCAAATGTTTTCACTACAAAAACATAAAATGGCAACCATGTGAAGGATGGATACACTCATTAGTGATTGTGGTATTGATTGTGGTAATCATTTCACAACGTGTATGTACATCAAAGCATCACATTGTGGCCAGGCATAGTGGCTCACACCTGTAATCCCAGCACTTTGGGAACCCAAGGCAGGAAGATTGCTTAAAGCCAGGAGTTGGAGGCCAGCGTGGGCAAAAAAGCAAGATCCGATCTCTACAAAACATAAAAAAAAAATTTCACTGGACATGGTGGTGCACACCTGTAGTCCCAGCTACTCAGGACTCAGGAGGCTGTGGTGGGAGGATCGCTTGAGCACAGGAGGTTGAGGCTGCAGGGAGCCACAATCATACCACTGCACTCCAACCTAGGGAACAAAGCAAGACCTTGTGTCAAAAAAAAAAAAAATGTATACCTTAGATACATACAAATTTTAGTTCTCAATCATAGCTCAATAAAACTGAAGGGAAAAGTGAAATACTGTGATGAAAGAAAAAAGCAGCATTTTCCATGTTCCCTTTGGATGTTAAAGAGTAAACAAGAGTTGATGCCTTTTACACGGAGGAAAACATCACAACTGTGGCACAAGATATCTGGGCCACGATGAACTCCCTCCCAAGGATTACCTGTGCCTCCAAAGGTGGCTTATGGTGGTTGCCAACCTCACCACCAGCTCTCTGCAATTACTTCAAACTGGCGCCTGGTTCGACAGCTCTCTATGCCTCTAATGGCATAAATGTTCTGGGGAATCCACTGACCCTTCCATGTTTATCTAAAAAAGTGTTTGACTTCTGAAAGAATTGATAATGTTCTTTTAACCTTTCAACACCACCTCTAGAGGACAGCTAACTAGTATCTCTGTGATGGGAAGCACAATTTCTATGCTGGAATGTCTTCAAAAAATGCTTCTTAGTGAGTCTGGCTGAGGCTGTTTAGCACCTTCAGGGAACCAACTTGATGCATCATGGGAGTAAAGCACCTCGGCATCCCCGTTGTCCATTCTTCTGTGCCTTGTAGCAGAATACAGGCTCATTGATCAAGCTAAGCAGGCCCAGCCTTTTACCACTGCCTTGATGATAGATGAAAGGGGTGATTTGTATTTGCCTCATCAGAGCTATGTGCTTGTTATTTCAGTATTCACTTGCAGGACCAGCCTCATCACCTCTGCTGGCTTCCACACATCAGAAGGTCCTCCCAAAGATGTGTTTAGAATAGGCATTGAGGAAACTTACAACAGGAAAAAAAAAAAACCTGTTAAGTGGCTAAATCAGAAAAACACATATAAATGTCAAGGCCTTGGTTTTCTGATGCTCAAAGCACCACCAGGAGGGAAGAGAAATCTCTTTAAAGTCTATCAAAGGGGAAAAATGTTAGATTTAGGAGAAATAACAGTAACATTTATGGGTTAATGAGATGGAGGCTAAGTCGCAGCTGAATTGGACCTCTATGCTTGTACTCTTTTAAAATTGGCTTAATGTTGATATAAATAATAAGAGTTGATAGTTACATGCTATGTTTTGCTATTTCTAATAAAATTTTTATGATGGAAAAACCATTATTACCTGCCTAATGTGTTAATCTATTCTCCTGATTTCTCCACACAACCAAGTAGCCTTTGCCAAATGATTAATGGTTTTTATGGTCACAATTAACTGTAATTCAAGCCATGCATGGAACTCAGAAGGAAATGAGAAATCCCTAACATGCAGGCTTAGAGCCCATAAAGAGTCCATAACACAACATGTGCTGGGCCCACTTAGACTCCTTGCATGTGTATTAAGACCCATTCTGTGGTCACCATTACAAATACAATGCTATTGGCATTCGTTTTCTTCTTTTGACAAGGTTTAAAAGCAGAGGTATTCTTGAGCCAGCTTGTACCAGCTCACATGAAAGTCAACTCTGTGAATTATTTTTTTTCAATTCTTCATTCAGTGATCGTCAGGTAGTAGCTTGAAATTGACTATGGTGGGAATGTTTACACCATGGATATGGGCGAAAGTTACAAATCAGGAGTGGGTTGTTGCTTTATTCTCTCCTCCTCCTTCTCTCTCTTTCTCTCTTTTCTCTCTGGAGAGAGAGAGAAACCCAACACAGGCCTACTTAAAAGAGTACATTTTAAATGTACTTAAATCAGAGTTTTCCTAGAAAGATATTTGGGGTTTAAAAGTTGCTTAAATAAATGAAACAGTTATCTGAATAAAACACTGATTTTTGTTCCTTCATTCTTTTCTCACCTTACTCGTTATCCTACCACTTACAAGCTTTACTTCCTGACAATTATATTTTCTCTTATCCCACTTTTTAAATTTTCTATTGTCTACCATTCTTTGTCCAAAAATGATCATATACTTTTACTGATACCTACTTCTTGCTTTAAATAACCACCCATAATTTATACATCCATTCAATGTAAGGTTCCCCTAGATGTTGGAAACAGGTTTCTCACTGACAGCCTGATGTGTAGAAAATTAACACATTGTGAATGAGGAAATTAGTAGTTTGGTGGAAGTAAGAATAAGAAAGGACTGGCAGTAGCAACAAAGTAATAATTGGTGTCATATGTTTCCTGGTCTGCTCTATGCTGGATGTTAATATTGAAACTTTTTACTTTTTAATAGCAATCCTGTTAAGCATCTTGTGTGGTTGTAATGATTCCCCCATTTAAATAGGTTTCTGACTTTTGATAATGTCACACAGTAAATGTGTGGCAGAACAGAGATTTGAACCGAGTTTTTATTTATGATTCCTCTCATGTTTATGGTGGCTAGTGATATGATTGAGACAATGTGTTAGTGTGCAAGTTGAATATGGTTGAAGGCCATCTTAGTGAATTGCGGCATTCAAGAAGAAAGGATAGTTAAACATACTTAGGGTGATAGACTGCTTTAAAATTGGGGAATGATGAAACATACCCTGAACTACCCAGAAGAGAGGAAAACTAAAAGAGGGGTGCACGAACTTATATGAAAAGATATACAGTCTAATCTGAGACCTGGATGATTTTTTACAGAGTTCAGCATGACTTTATTAAACTTTGTAACAAAAATGATTCAATTGCCCATGTAATTAAAAATTGAGTTTACCGTTAAGCCCGCTGGCAGTAAAAGGATGCCCTTGAGAGTGAACAGCTTAAGTCTGCCTACTAAAATTTTGATTCCTCATAATAAATAATTTACTTGGAATTTTATTTTACATATCAGATATCTGTGTCCCTGTGATTGCTGGTCAGACCCAAGAGAATGATAAACCTACGGAGCAGTTCTAGAATTGTCTGGGACAAGACGGCTCTAAGCTAGGACCTAAAGCAGCCTAGATTCATTTTCTATTTCAAGTTAGAATCACATCCTGTATGAGGCTGAGACTCCCCCAAGCCTGCATCATATACTCCAGAGTATATGGACTTCTGAGTCTTACAATTTGTCACACTATTGCCTGTCTCATTTAAATTGTAAGACCCATGAAGTCAAGACAGATATCTGTCTTGCAGACAACTGCATTCCTGCTATCTGGTATCTCAATGAATAAGTGTTGACTAATTGATTGAATGAATAAATGAGAATCCTGAGTGGCCACAGAGGTACTGTCATCCTGCACAAAACCCAATTTGTTTAGTCAGCTAGACCTCTTTATACCTCTGATTACAATACAACCTATTGCTTTGGTCTGAATGATTGTGCTTCCATCACATTCATACGTAGGAACCTAATCCTCAATGCAATCTTATTAAGAGGTAAGGCCTTTAGATGGTGACTAAGTCCTCAGGGCTCTACTCTCATGAAAGAGGCCCAAGGCAAGCCTTTTTTCAATATCCACAAAATAAAAATACCTAGGCATAAATTTAACCAAAAAGATGAGAGGTTTCTACAAGGAAAACTATAAAACACTGATTAAAAAAACTGAAGAGGACCCTAACAAATGAAACATATATCCTATGTTCCTGGATCAGAATTAGTATTGTTAAAATGACACTACCCAAAGCAATCTACAGATTCAATGCAGTCACTATCAAAATACCAACATCATTTTTCACATAATTAGAAAAAAATTCTAAAAGGAGCAAAACTGGAGGTATCACATTACTTGACTTCAAAATATATTATAAGGCTATAGTAACCTAAACAGCAAAGTATTGGTATAAAAACAGACTAATGAAACAAAATGGAGAACCCAGGAATAAAGCAATGCATTTACAGGCAACTGACCTTTGACAGAGCTGCCAAGACCATACACGTGCCGGGTCCGACCCACAGACCCTGGCTGAAGGATGGATGAACAAATGCACTCAGACACAGGTATCCAGTGAAAGAGCAGGCTAGGGAACTGGGCGGCTCACAGACACCAAGGATGGTCCTGTAAAGAGTCAGCAGCAGCAGCCCTAACAAGCTGCCGCTGAGAGCATGTATTCATCACAGATTTAATGACAAAGGCCTTGAGTCAACCCACTTGTGGGCAATTCACATGGTGCCCACCCTGCGCTCGCAGATGGTTAAAGGCCAGGTTCAGAGGCCTAAGTAAACTAACTTATCTAGATCAATTCCCTTACACTTCCTTGTTATCTACTCTGAGAGAATTCAGCTGCCTTTAGCCAAACCCTCTTCTGAAGCTATGCAAACCTCTGGCCTTCTGAGAAGGTTTGCATCCTTTTCCTATAATTTCTCCTACCACCCTGACTGATCTCCTACATACGTGGGTCAAGGACACCCTCTTCAACAAATGGTCCTGGGAAAACTGGATAGCCACATACAGAAGAATGAAATTGCACCCGTATCTCTCACGTTATACAAAAATCAACTCAAAATGGAATAAAGACTTTAAATAAGACCCAAAAATATTAAACTACTAGAAGAAAATATAGATAAAACTCTCTAGAACATTGATCTAGGCAAAGATTTTATGACTAAGACCTCCAAAGTACAGTCAACCAAAACAAAAATACACAAGTGGGACTATATTAAACTAAAATGCTTCTACAGCAAAAGAAACAACAGAATTAAAAAAAAAACTACTGAATAGGGAAAAATATTTGTAAACTACTCATCTGTCAGGGCACTAACATCCTGAATGAAAGTAGGGAGTAAAATAATGAATACCAGAGACTGAGAAAGATGTATGGGAAAGGGGAGGTGAAAAGAGATTAGTTAAAGGGTACAAGCATACAGTTAGATAAAAAAAAGGGTTCTAATGTTTGATAGCAGAGTAAGGTGACAATAGTTAACAACAATGTATTGCATTTTCAAACTAACTGGAAGAAAGTACTTGAAATGTACCCAACACATAGAAATGATAAACTCTTAGGTGATGATACCCTAAATACACTGACTTACCATTCAGGCCATAGGCATGGGCAAGGACTTCATGTCTAAAACACCAAAAGCAATGGCAATAAAAGCCAAAATTGACAAATGGGATCTAATTAAACTAAAGAGCTTCTGCACAGCAAAAGAAACCACCATCAGAGTGAACAGGCAACCTACAGAATGGGAGAAAATTTTTGCAACCTACTTATCTGATATCATTCTGAATATTAGCAAAGGGCTAATATCCAGAATCTACAATGAACTCAAACAAATTTACAAGAAAAAAAACAAACAACCCCATCAAAAAGTGGGTGAAGGATATGAACAGACACTTCTCAAAAGAAGACATTTATGCAGCCAAAAGACACATGAAAAAATGCTCATCATCACTGGCCATCAGAGAAATGCAAATCAAAACCACAATGAGATACCATCTCACACCAGTTAGAATGGTGATCATTAAAAAGTCAGGAAAAAACAGGTGCTGGAGAGGATGTGGAGAAACAGGAACACTTTTACACTGTTGGTGGGACTGTAAACTAGTTCAACCATTGTGGAAGTCGGTGTGGCGATTCCTCAGGGATCTAGAACTAGAAATACCATTTGACCCAGCCATCCCATTACTGGGTATATACCCAAAGGATTATAAATCATGCTGCTATAAAGACACATGCACACATATGTTTATTGCGGCACTATTCACAATAGCAAAGACTTGGAACCAACCCCAATGTCCAACAATGATAGACTGGATTAAGAAAATGTGGCACATATACACCATGGAATACTATGCAGCCATAAAAAATGATGAGTTCACGTCCTTTGTAGGGACATGGATGAAGCTGGAAACCATCATTCTCAGCAAACTATTGCAAGGACAAAAAACCAAACACTGCATGTTCTCACTCATAGGTGGGAATTGAACCATGACAACACATGGACACAGGAAGGGGAACATCACACTCTGGGGACTGTTGTGGGGTGGTGGGGAGTGGGGAGGGATAGCACTGGGAGATATACCTAATGCTAAATGAGGAGTTGATGGGTGCAGCACACCAACATGGCACATGTATACATATGTAACAAACCTGCACATTGTGCACATGTACCCTAAAACTTAAAGTATAATAGTAATAATAATAAAAAGAGTATTAAACATTCTATGCATGAAACAAAATTTCACATGTACCCCATAAATATGTATAGATGGAATGTATCAAAAAATACTTTTAAAATTTTTTAAAAACATTGAAAAATGAGACCCAAGGATGCTTGATCATCCTTTCCACCACATGAGGATGTGGCAAGAAGGTGCCATATATGAAAACATAGAGCAAGCCCTTACCAGGCGCAGCTTCTGGCACCTTAATCTGAACTTCATAGCCTCCTGTACTGTAAACAGTAAGTGTCTTGTTTTCTTACCCAGTACAGGTATTTTGTTATAGCAGTCCAAATAGATAAGAGACCTACTAATGAAAAATATTTTATAAGAGGTAAGTTTAAACAACAAATAGATTGTTTTAAAAATAACTTAATTTTATCCTGGACATTTATAACCTATTTTCCCAGAAATAATGGTATAAATTATTGTTAGATCTTCAGTATAATTTCAGCCAGATTAAAAGCAGATCAAGTGTTAGAAATGAATTTGAAATTTTAGGAAAAGAACATTCTCTATTTTTATTCTCTTCTTTCTGATCCCAAAACTGACCTCATCATGGTTTCCTGGCCTCCAATCAAAACATTTCAGGCAGCATCATGGGGTCATATGAATCACTTCCACAGAAGGCAGCATAATTATCAGTGTATAAAAATAATCACTGGTATGTTAAAAATCCTACATAACTGCAAACTTCTACTTGTCCTCAATCAGCACATTTGAAAATAAAGGTGGGAACAGATCGTTGGATCCATGATGCATAGGAATATATGATATAGTGGCCACACAAGATTGGAAATACAGGAAAACAATAGAACTGCAAAATGTGGCCCTAGATAATTTGAATTGGATTAAGGCCACCACAAAGAAACTTGCAAGGCAAGTAATGATAATCAATAAAATTGATATAAATAAAAATTTCTCCATTAGGAATCAAGTTTGTTGTGTAACTACAGAAAAAGAGTAAGTCTTAATGAAAATACTTTCAGTAAAATATAATTAAATAATGCAAATATTGAAATAATTTCACATTAATGTATAGAATGTCAATCACTGAAATGAGTTGCATTAATCTAAATAAATCTAGAACTATTTTTTACAAATCTGTCAACATTGATACACATGTAATTGTGTGTGTATTTGTAAGTATTGAGGCACAATTCAGGAACTAATTGATCACTTCATGCAGAGATGCATATTGACTGTATTTTATTCTTGGAAACAATAAGAACTTCATTTTTCATTTTAGTGGATGACAGTGATATTCTTAAATATTTTAATCTATAGCTGTATAAAGTAGACATATATACTTGGTTAAATAAATACTGGGCTATCTAAAACTATTAGACAATACTGGTGCTCCGGTGTATTACATAATTTATGGGATAGTTGGTTAAATTCGAAGTAAATCATTTTATTGAAAGATTATGGTGGGAATTGAACAATGAGAACACTTGGACACAGGAAGGGGAACATCACACACTGGGGCCTGTTGTGGGGTCGGGGGAGGGGTAGCATTAAGAGATATACCTAATGTAAATGATGAGTTAATGGGTGCAGCACACCAACATGGCACATGTATATATGTAACAAACCTGCACATTGTGCACATGTGCCCTAGAACTTACAGTATAATAAAATATATATATATAAAGATTATTAAAGAGCATATGATATCTCTTCTACATTAATGGAAGTAGATTTTGATGGCAGCTATTTTTAGTAGATTAATGATAGCCAGAAAGGTAACCAGTTGTTCTTGAGAAATAACTGAGATTTGTTAATAAAAGTCCTCATTGATTCAATCTACAGATCTAGCATTTAAAAACACATTTTAAAAGTTAGTTTCGTAAATTTACTTAGAGAAGTATGTCGCCTTAGCCTGTCAGAGGACTTAGAGACATTTGGTTTTGTGACATGCTCCTTAAAACCTAATTTACTAGTGACTGTTGGTGACATTTTCAACTCACACAAATAATTTCAACATGAATCATAGTTCACAAATGCTGTATAGAACCTATCAAAAAGTTTATTAAATAGTTTAATCATAACTTATTTAGCAAGTAAGTTGAGTAAATCAATTTGCCTCAAATGACTTTAATTTTTTAATGACAGAACCAACACTTGAATTCAGATATAAAGACTCTTAATTACAGAACTCACCTTAAGAAAATCAATTACTTACATATTCTAACTTTATAACTTATTTTAAAATTTTCAATACATTTGCCAATAATTTACCATTGACTTACAGGTCTTGTTGGTCTCAATCTTATTTCTTTCACAGCTCATCTCTATATGATGTCACCATCAAATTCAGAATTATCAACCTTTCAAGTGCAAA
This sequence comes from Homo sapiens, assembly GCF_000001405.40. Taxonomy (NCBI): domain Eukaryota; kingdom Metazoa; phylum Chordata; class Mammalia; order Primates; family Hominidae; genus Homo; species Homo sapiens. Next base: position 76,594,228 of record NC_000016.10, on the reverse strand, counting down.
ATAAAAAAGATAAATCAGGCTGGCCGCGGTGACTCATGCCTGTAATCCCAGCACTTTGGGAGGCCAAGGTGGGTGGATCACCTGAGGTCAGGAGTTCAAGACCAGCCTGAACAACATGGAGAAACTCTGTCTCTAAAAATACAAAATTAGCCGGGCATGGTGGTGCATGCCTGTAATCTCAGCTACTCGGGAGGCTGAGACAGGAAAATCACTTGAACCAGGGAGGCAGAGGTTGCGGTGAGCCGGGATTGCGCCATTGCACTCCAGCCTGGGTAACAAAAGCAAAACTCCGTCTCAAAAAAACAAACAAACAAAAAAGATAAATCATCAAAAGAGTATTTAATGTATCTACTACACCACTACTATGTGCATTTTGGAGGAAACTGGCTGGTCATATTTTGCTTGTTTTAGTTTTCAAATAATTCAAAAGAAGAGAGCTTCTCAGGGTAAAGCAGGTCAGTTATACCAAGTTATGGAGTTTCAGATTGTACATCAAAAATGAACCTGCCCGCCTCCGAGACTCTTCCAATTTTTTTCTTCCCTTATTATACAAAGCCTGTCAGAGGTCTTAGAGACAATTGGTTTTGTGACATGCTCCTTAAAACCTAATTTACTAGTATTTATTTTCACTTCATTTATTCGGTAGATTATTTGTTTGATCTGCTCCATGGAACCATCAAAGAAAACTATTAGGATCAGTTCCAGGTGTTGTTACTAAAATGTTTACTCTTGAATTATGGCAGAGTGTGCTCATGTCAATGAATCATGCCATATTTGGTTTTATATCTTACACATACACACACACACACACACACACACACAGACACAGGAGCAGCAGTACAAAACCCTCAAAATTCACCCCTACTCAGGCATCCCTATTCTTGTTGATATGTATTTTTAAGGTCTTCAATCCATTTTGCTTTGTTGGCTGTTTTTTTTTTTTTTTTCCTGAATGCAAGGCTCTTGCCTCCTTGTTGAGAACTGACCTTGGTTATTGACTTGGAAGCAATGAAGGCCAGTGGGGACAGAGCAAGTTTTATCCTGCAAGAGACCTGCTTTTTATTTTTCAGTAAGGGCTTCACATGGTCTCCAAGCAAGCAAGGGAAGCCAATATCCTCTGGCAAGGAGGGATACTTTGAAGGGAACTTTGAAAATCAAGGGGTCTTGTGTTTAGCCAACCATATATCCCCAATTAAGTCTGAAGGACCATTCTTTTTTTTTTTTTTTTTTTTTTTTTTTTTGTCAAGACTCTCTTTTGACACAGGAGATCTACTGGGGTTGTACATTTAGATTTTCTGGCAACTTTGTCATCTTTATATTCAGAACCTAAGCCTGATTCTTAACACATTGTTCTTTGAGGGTACAGGCAAGTCTCCCTCAAGGCTGTAATTGAGGCCCACTGGCTTTCAAAACATGTCTTAAATTGGCAGTTGACTGTCCTGAAATTGTCATCTATTTTTGTAAGTTCCATCAGAAGCCATCCTATTCCATTATCCTAGTGTACAGCGAGACTTGCTCAGTCTCTGAGGGCACTGCTGTGAGCTAGTACTTCCTTCTAAGTAAACCCAGCCACTGCATGCTAGGGATCATTACCACCCTACTCACCAGTCACAGGGACCAACAATGATTACTTTCATTTGAGTGACTGTCTGAATCCTAAAACCCGTCTTGAGGATATGCATCTTTAAAATACTTCCATTACAAATAGTCTTAGCCCAGGAACTTTAGAAAACAGGGCCTAAGGAAAGGATCTTCTGCTAAAATTTTACTTAGGTGGTACAGCCTACAGCAGAGGAAAGTGAGGGGAAAAGAAAGGGAGGTTAAGGAAGATGCTGCGCAATACGACAGCTATTGCTTCATGCTGTTCCATAAAGTGGCACAGCCGGTCACAGGAATGCTCACTCAGCACTTGAGCATTCTACAAAAATGTTCCAAGAAGGAATCTCATCCTGGGGAGGAGAAAAGGGGAATTTACTCACCTGGCTCCCTCCTGTCTCCCATTTCGTGTGGGGTTAATTTTCACCTATTGGCCAGCTAATTCCCTCCAAACCACGTGAAAGACACATAGAAAACCAAATTTCATACCGTGAAGTGTGAGATTCACCTGGTTCCAAAAGCCTGGCATAGAAGAGATGAGAGCCAAGAAAGAGAGAAAGATGGACAGTTGGGGGAATCTGAGAAGGCAGATGAAGACTGTGTACCCAAACAACTCCTGGTTTCCATTCATTCACCAATCCGCTTATGCCCTCCCTCATCAACAGGTCCCATCATAAAATGTAGGGCCTCTATTTGTCCATGAGAAAAACATCAATGCATCATAAAGACATAGTTCATGTTCATAGGCTTTCTAATTTGATTGAAGAGCACGCATATGAGAATAAGAGAATCAAGAAGGCTTTCAGTTTTAAGTGATACATAAAATAGAGTATGATTGTAGAGTAAAGGGGTACTGAGGATTGAGAAATTGGTTAATTGGGGAAAACTTTCTGAAAGGTTTGACATGTTTGGTCTACTTTTTTTAAAAGCAAAACTTTTAAACAGAACTTCTGTCTCTTGCATGTCTTGGTCCACTTTCACCAAACCATATACGGCCTAACTCCCTCTCATGCTATACTGACATGAACATCAAGTCCAGTCGGTTAATCCAGCAGAGTCCAGACACTCCAAAATCATCTTCACATATTCAAGCAGCTTGAGGATTCACAAAGCTAGATACATCTAACTTTATTTCTTATTATTATATTTTATTTATTTATTTATTTGAGCCATGGTCTCTCTCTGTCACCCAGGTTGGAGTACAGTGACATGAACACAGCTCACTATAGCCTCAACCTTCTGGGCTCAAGCAATCCTCCCACCTTAGCCTCCTGTGCAGCTGGGACCACAGGTGCATGCCAACAGGCCTGGTTTATTATTATTATTATTATTATTATTATTATTATTATTTTGTAGAGATGGGGTCTCCCTTTGTTGCTCAGGCTGATCTTGAACTCCTGGGCTCAAGCAATCCACCTGCCTCGGCCTCTCAAAGTGCTGCGATTACAAATGTGAGCCAGGCTTTACTTTATTTTTTAATATAAATAATATATCTATCACAAACTGTTTATCCATCTTAAAAATAGTCAGAGGTGTCAATGAATGTAGCTAATTCTTTAGAAAATTTTAATAAGAATAAAACCTTGAAAAAAAAGATTGGTGATGAAGAGAAATGATCATATCAGGGAGACCATTATCTTTACAATGTTTGTAACTGTGAATGTTTAATTCCTATTCAAATCACATATTTAATCTAGTAGCAATTGACATTGAACACATTTTATATAAATTGAATTTATATTAAATTATCATAAGGCCATTAATAGACAAATTGCTTCCCAAATGATTAAGTGCATAAAGATGAATACATTCCAAAAGTAAATGTATAATGGATAATTCAAAGATTCTTTATTACATTGCTTCTTTTAAATTTTCTTTAAAAATGGGCTTTATTAATATTTTGAGTGCACAACATTTGAAACTTACAGCAAACCATACCCAGATGAGTATGACATACTAATGGAATATATTTATTTATTATAGATACAATTATAACAATTTTAAATCATTTTGAGTAAAAAATAATAATGTATTTCAATTTTATATGACTACTACACACAGACACATACACACACACATCACCTCTCTATAAATATCCTATACATCAGGAATCTTGGCTGTGTTTAATTATAATAACTTGATCATAGGACATGTTTTGGGTCAATTAATTGCCTTTGTTTTCTTCCTTTCTTTTTTTTTTTTTTTTTTTTTTTTTTGACACGGAGTCTTGCTCTGTCTTCCAGGCTGGAGTGCAGTGGCGTGATCTCGGCTCACTGCAAGCTCCGCCTCCGGGGTTCACGCCATTCTCCTGCCTCAGCCTCCCGAGTAGCTGGGACTACAGGTGCCTGCCACCACGCCCGGCTATTTTTTTTTTGTATTTTTAGTAGAGACAGGGTTTCACCGTGTTAGCCAGGATGGTCTTGATCTCCCGACCTCGTGATCTGCCCACCTAGGCCTCCCAAAGTGCTGGGATTGCAGGCTTGAGCCACTGTGCCCAGCCCGTTGCCTTTATTTTCTTAAAGCCAATTAATATCATTAGGAAAAAATACAAAGTAATTTAACACTATATGAGTTAAATAATATATTCTCAAAGATTAGATTTTTATATGCTTTCTACATAGTGCCTACATAATTAGAGTAAAATACTTAATCCACATAATACATGATATTGTTTAAGACTCCACTATGATATTTACACTCTTCCCTTTTTTTCAACTAATTTTTAATCAGTTTGTGGTTCAACATTTGCCATACTTCAGTGATGACTTGAATAATTTGGGACAATTTAGTCAATGGAAATACCTTGGTAATCGCCTAAAAGAGGGATGCTTTGAAGCCTTACTGATACTTTAATTCACATACATTTTTATAAGTGTTTTACATGTGCCGGTTAATTATTTTATCTCCGTAGCAAAATTTTTCAATTGTGAAGACTGACACTTCTACATTGGTTTGATAAATATAACTTCTACATTTGTATCAAATTTTGTGGTTGTTTTGTTGAATTAAAAAACAAAGCCTTCTGGCAAATTCGTCTAGAATGTGTGTACCTAACCATGTTAAGTCAACAGACCCCTTTGACAGCCTGGTGAAGTTCCATTAAACTTCACCAAACTGATCATACTATTTTAGATTAATATTGGTATACAAACATTAAAATATTTTTTAAATTATGTAATAATATATGTTTATTATATTAAATAACAAGCTCTAGTGGTAGGGTAATAACCACTGTAATATCTAGAGATAGATATTAACTAAATTTTGAAATATCTGCAACAACTATAAGGTGACATAAAAATATCAGATTTTTTTTAATGAAAATAAATCACAAGTTTATTGGCTATTTTTCCAATTAGAATGTAAACTCCAGAAGGTGGGACCCTTGTCAACCAAGCACCAGGTTGGGAGAGTGTAGATGCAGATACTCAAATAGGAATAACATACATCTTCTCTGATGAGGAACCCATGAATCCTTAAAGTCTCTTGTTTGCCTTTTGAGGAAATGGCCCCTTCAGAAGGCACTTGTCTGTCTCTCCTTTGACTAGAAGGGACCTGACTTGCTGGACCAGTCTATGATATTTCTAGTAACTCTCTCTTCTTTGATACCATGAACAATTTGATATTTGCTTTCTTTCTTTTTTAAAAATATTTCTTTCTGGCCGGGTGCGGTGGCTCACGACTGTAATCCCAGAACTTTGGGAGGCTGAGGCGGGCAGATCACTTGAGACCAGGAGTTCAAGACCAGCCTGGCCAACATGGTGAAACCCCGTCTCTACTAAAAATACAAAAATTAGCCAAGGGTGGTGGTGCATGCCTGTAATCCTAACTACTCGGGAGGATGAGGCAGGAGAATCGCTTGAGCCGGGAAGGCGGAGTTCACAGTGAGCCGAGATTGCACCATTGCACTCCAGCCTAGGCAACATAGTGAGACTCTGACTCAAAAAATACAATACTAAATAAATAAATAAATTCCTATCTACTCATCTCCACCCACAAAGCTGACCTTAGCTTTTTCCAAAGTATTCCTAATGCTTGCTATGAACACAAGTTGAACCTCAGCTCTGCTGGTGATAATTTTGTCCATGAGAAGTTTAATTTTTCAAATTAAAACAAAATAAGTCTTTAGGCCTCATTCTCTAGCAGACTTTGCTAGCCTAAATTGTTTTTTGCTTTTAAAAAAAATACCTAATTTCTATTGGTGGAAATCACAAGCACTATTAATATGACTATGGTTAGTTGCTGATAAACATAACTATATGGAAAGCTACATTTTAGTTATTAAATCTGGATTTTAAAATAAAGTTGATACCTGATTTACAGTGAGATGAAGTAATTAATTAACACATTTTGTTTAGCATTATAAATAGCTATGACTTCAATTAACTTATCTATAATCCAGTTTGCTTTTCATCATTCCCATAAATATGTTGTGAGAGTTTAGTAAAACAAATCCTGAAATTAAGTGTCTTTCAACATAGCTTTGAATTATAATATTGCACTGGAATTTCCAAAGAACCAAAGGCATTCGATTTCATCTCTTAACATTTTGTATGCCTATGTTCTGCAGAGGAGTTGCTACCATTAAAAAGATCTCCCATTTTCAAGAGGTAAAGTCTGTAGGAACAGTATATGTGACACAATTCTGCTTTGTGCAAATTGTAGTAAACATCGCACTGAGAGAACAGGATAACCTCTGTTCATTAAACACTAATATAGATACCTTGTTCCTAACACATATTAACATTTTGTGCAAACACAAAATTATAAGTGTATCTAATATTATCATGTAAGATTTTAGTAAATGCAATTCACACAGGCAGTGCTATTTGTCTTTTAAAATAAACACTATCTTTACAGTCTCAATTTCTTAGTTTTCCTGATGTTGGTCCCTAAGTAATTTCCTCACATCATAAAAATAATTTAATTTATATTTAGAAATCACCATCCAACCAGCTAGTATACCATTGTTACCCAGCCTTTGCATCATTGAGACATATTTCATTTGAACATACATCCATCAAATTAGCTCCATATGTCAACTCAAGGAGCATTAACTTTAACTTTCACATGGACAAGAGATTCTATAAAACCAATACTGACTAGGTAGTTTCACAGCTCTTGTTTTCATGTGAAACTGAAAAGTTAATTTAAATGCATACTGGGGAAGCTTGGTTTATTGAATACGTGGGATCTATGGAACATACTATTTTAGCGTAACATCTGCTGTGTTTGGATGTGTGTATGGGTGAGCATTGTGCACACAGGCGTGCCTTAGCTCAGCAGTGATTATTGAATTCCAACAGATTACAGGCAGGAGAAAGAATTCCCCAAGATAAATGCAAAGGAGATTTGTGGGAGGGAAGTCCAGATGCAGGATGGATACCAGAGGTTCCAACAGCCTCAAAACTTCACTTAAGCCTGGCAGTTAGCATTAGTTGCCACCTTATTTTCCTTGCTGTATTTTAGCCTCAGCACTTGCAAGCTTTCTTCTGTTTAAAGGACGAAATCTTGAAGGTTCAAAGGATTCTTAAGATAATTTATTTCAAACCCCCATTTTGTCAGTTGGACAGATGATATTCAGAGGAAGTTGAGTTTACTACTTAAACTTTTCTTTTTCCCTTCAGAACATAGCTGATAGTTATGCTCTAACCACGTGGTCGTGGTAAAAAAAAACACTGACTACTAGGTATTTGGGAATAAAAATAACTGTATCTCAAAGGGGGAAAGAAAGAACTCTGGAAAACAACCTACCATAGTAGCAAGTGAAAGAAACAGGAACAGAATAGACTTCAGAGATGAGAGGATCATATTGGAAGGAAGACATGGCCTCAGGTTGCAGACAAGTAGGACTCTCTGGAATTTTCAAGGTGAAAAATTAAATGAAGCATATCAGCTCCTTGGACTCTAATCCATTTTCCTCCTGCACTGACTTTCCTTTGGAATCTTGACCTTTCACCCTAAATTGTCAGTCTAGATACTCTTTGCAACTGTAGATTTTGGACATAAACCAAATCCTGGCTAATCACAGTATAATTGCTGTAAATGCAATTTTAAAAAAATACCATTCCATTTCTTTATTTTATGTTTTTAAACATTTTTGTTTTCAAACACCTCATTTTTTATCAAACAATTTTGCAGCTTAGTCACAAATGTCCTTAAAGAGAAAAACAAAAAAAGTACCCCCAGGCTCAAACTTTCTACTTCTCTCTCTCTTTCTCTCTCTCTCTCTACCTCTCTGTCTGGCCTGCCTTCCTGGGTGATCTTATCATTAATAAGATCAAGTATCATCTCTTGATTCATGACTTCAAATATTATATTCAGTCCAGAACTCTTTCTGATCTCCAGATTCATGTATCTTCAAATTCACTCTGATATCTGCAACCAGCATCTCAAACTCAGGCTTTACATGTCCAAAAGGCACAGGAGAAACTTGAATAAAAAGTCATTGCTTCTCACTCTTCTACTGTCACACAAGCAACTATTTTATTTTTTATCCTTCTAGAGATATTACAAGTATGCAATCACACACACACACACACACACACACACACACACACACACACACACACATATTGTGGTAGGCAGCTTCTAAGAGGGTCCCAAATGACTCCATCTTCTGTGTGCAAAGCCCTTGTTAATCCCTTACAAATCCACACTCTTTGGCTATCTTGCTTCACACAAATAGGAAACATCCACTCTGAGTGGATCCCACCTCTGTGATTAGGTTACCAAAGACTGCAACTTGGGTTTGGCTAGCTGATTCTACCTATTGCTGGCCTTGATGAAGCAAAACAAAAGACAAGTGGTAAGGAACTGAAGGCAGTCTGCAGCCAACAGACAGTGAGGACCTGGGACCCTCAGCCAAACAACCCTTGAGGAGACGAATTCCACCAACAAGCATGGAAGTGATCTTGGAGGCAGATTCTTCTCCAGTTAACCTTAGTTGAATCCCCAGCTCTGGTTGGCACTCAGACTTTAGGCTTGTAAGAGGCCCTGAAGCAGAAAATCTGTGCTCTTATTTCCAACCCACAAAAATTGAGAGATAACAATTCTTTGTTGTTTTAAACTGCTAAGTTTGGGGAAGATTTACTATGCAACAATAAATAATCCACATACATTTGTACTTTTAAAAAACTGATATTCTATACACTCTTCTATATGCATAGAAATATACACAAAGTATGTGTTAACCCTCAGTTTATGTTATCTGTAAGGCTTCCCATCAACAATAGAGAGATAAGAGATAAGAAACTGAGAATGTAGGATGGATTTTCTTAGGTATAAATCTATTTCAAGGATATGCAGATATTTATCTTTTCCTTAACTACTCATTAACAGGCAGTAGATTCAAAAATATCAATGTAAAGCAATTTTTTATAAACAAATAATTAGGCCTAAGGGCAAAACAGTTACAATTAACTTCCTAGCTAAAACTGAAATGAAGTTATGGGATTCCACCATTGATCACAACCTACTTTCAAACAGATCTAGAAGGCTGTAATTACCCTGAGACTACAAGTTTCAAACAGTGCTACTGCCAATATCGGCAATTATGATGATAGATGGCTTCATGATTCTCAAGAGGTTGAATGCATCAATATTTCTTTTCCCTGAGTCTGCTCTATTTCTGATAAGGCTTCATACTTTACTTCTCAAGATCTTAATTTAGGCATCAACCCTACTGTCTTCAGAGATTTTCATTAACAGGTTCATTATTACAAGGTAATTATTTGCATGTAGATACATCAATAATTCTTGGTGATAGTCTTTCCTTAAGCTTACCTCTTGTTTTGTTTATTTTTAAGTTCCTAAGTCATTATACAGAAGTAAATATATGTGGCTTTGGTAAATCACTGTCATTTCTCCAAAATAAAAGTTAGATTAGCAGAGGAGTAATTTCTTTAACAGAAAAGGCAACTATCCACAATACCAAAGACATAGAGTCAATCTAGGTGCCCATCAATGGTGGACTGGATAAGGAGAATGTGGTATGTATATACTGTGGAATACTATGTAGCTATAAGATGAATAAAATCATGTCCTTTGCAGCTGCATGGATGCAGCTGGGGGCCGTTATCCTAAGAAAATTAACATAGGAACAGAAAACCAAATACTGCATGTTCCAACTTATAAGTGGGAGCTAAGCATTCAGTGCTCATGGACATACAGATGGCAACAATACAAACTGGTGACTACTGGAGGCAGGGGACAAGGGCTGAAAAACTAAATATTGGGTACTATGTTCATCATATGAGTGAGAGGATCAATTGTACCTCAAACCTCAGCACCACATAATATACAGAATAACAATCCTCCACATGTACTCTCTGAATCTAAAATAAAAGTTGAAATTATTTTAAAAAGAGAGAGAGAGAGAATAGGTAACTAAAACTGAGAGGTAGTGACATGCCTAAGGACCCATTTTAAGTGATGGTGCTCTAGCAGCTTTCTAGTTCTGAGTCACTGCCGTTAGGACAGCACATCATCCTTTATCCTTGTGTGTGGCGGGAGGAATGTCAGAAAATGCAAGTTCAAATAATTACAGCCATCAAGGACATTTGCAACTGGCTTGAATTTATGAGGGGGGCACTAAAATGCAAGTTGCTGAGCAAAAGACTTAAAAAGCTACTGAATAAAATTTCTTGGAATCTCATCTTTCATTTCATTTGTGACCTGAAGGGTAGTACCGAGTTTCATTTAGGGAAAAGAAATGAACTTGTTTATTTTCTTATATTTTTACATTTCAAGTCTTGAAGACCCCCCTGTCAGACACACTCATCCTCTTAAATGTGGTTGCCATTTCTTGGTTATTGTACGTGGTTTCATCTCCCTTGTTTCCACGATAGTAACTGCTAGCACATTGAAATCCTAGTTACATATTGCATGCGGTAATTAGGAGATGCTAGGCTAGAGAGTTTTTAGCTCTACCATTGTTGTCTTGGATTATACCATGAATGCCAGACCATCTGTCAGGAAAGTGCTGCCAAGAGTGGATATTTATCTGGCTTCTCTGTCAATTTAAGAGGACTTAGTAAGTTGGCCACCTGCCAGCAGCTACAGAACCAACCTTCGGCGAGATGACTGCTGAGGAAATGACTGAAATTTTACAATTTTAATCTCCCTTTTCATTTATCCAGTTTTTCCACATCTGCACGTAATGAAAGGAGAACTGACTCAACCCCCTGTGCACCCCCACGCTGACTTCTGATGATTCTTTCTCTTCCTTTCCATCACTTTCTTTCTGTCAAAATCTCATCCATCCTTCAGGATCCAGCTGAAATTACAGCCACAGGTAGAATCAAAATATTACTTCTACCTTTTGTATTCTTCTTGGCTGTTGGCTTAACACATTTATTAAGCACCCATTACACATTATGCTGTTGTTGCCAGATACCTAATAGATTGTGCATAGCTCCCTAGCGAGGAATGCAAAAGTCTGTGTAACTCATTAATCTTCTAGAGAGTATCTAAGTAATTATTGCAAAAAAAAAAAAAAATTGAATGAAGAGGCAAATCTCCAAATTCAGGGGTGGTGGAAATGTTCATGAGAAGTATTTATTAAGTTTTCCCATGGGGTCAAACATTGAAGATATAATGACAAACCAGCAAAGGAGATTAAAACTCAACACAGTAGACAGATAACTCCCATTCCAGTGTAACAGATATATTTACAATGAGCAATGGAGGAGTGAAACTTCCAAAAAATGATTTGAACTAAGATGCATATATATTTTTTCTTGTTTTTTGAGACAGAGTGTCACTCTATCACCCAGGCTGGAGTGCACTGGCGGGATCTCGGCTCACTGCAACCTCTGCCTCCCAGGTTCAAGCAATTCTCCTGCCTCAGCCTCCCGAGTAGTTGGGATTACAGGTGTATGCCACCACGCCCAGCTAATTTTTGTATTTTTAGTAGAGACAAGGTTTCACCATGTCGGCCAGGCTGGTCTTGAACTCCTGGCCTCAAGTGATCCACCCACCTCGGCCTCCTAAAGTGCTGGGATTATAAGCGTGAGCCACTGCGCCTGGCCAAAATGCATATATTTAATAACTGAATTACCTAATATTTTGTCTCTTATGAATACAAATTAAAAAATAAAAAAATTTAAATAGGAGCTTCACAATATGTTCCTATTTTAATTTCTCCTAATGGGAAGAGAATGAGTTACAGATTTTTGTGTGTTTGTTTTTCCATTGGAAAAATCTTTGGTTGCAAAATATGGCTATAAGTTTGGCAGATTGTTTTGGCATAAGAAAAAAGTTTTGAAGAAAAATGAAGACCACAGTCGTAAGATTTGGTTTATTAACATGGAAGAATGGCTTTCCAAATGTCCCTGAACATAATTATTTCAAATGAAAACCTGAAGCTTCTCTCTGGAATTAGGTTACTGGCTTTGAAGAAGAGCAAGGTAGGAGGTAGATCAATCATTAGAGGTGAGGGGTTGTGAGAAATTGTCATGGCAGTGCTGAGTCAAGTTGACTTGCATGCCTAGTGCTTAGAGTGACACTGGTATTATCAGCCTCGCCTGGAGTCTAGAGGGTTCTTCGGAGGAGTATAGTGGATATGACTAGCAAGAACATAGATGCCATGTGCATGTAATGAGGAAAAGCCTCTTAGAACATGGGCTCTGTATTAGTCTGTTCTTGCAATGCTATAAATAAATACCTGAGACAAGGTAATTTATAAAGAAAAGAGGTGTAATTGGCTCATGGTTCTGCAGACTGTACAGGAAGTATGGTGGCTTCTGTTTCTGGGGAGGCCTCAGGAAACTTACAATCATGGTGGAAGCGCAAGAGGAAGCAGGCATGTGTTACATGGCAGGAACAGGAGGAAGGGAGAGGAAGGGAAGGTATGACACACTTTTAAACAACCAGCTCTCACAAGAACTCAGTATCACGACGACAACACCAAGGAGGCATGGTGTTAAACCATGAGAAACCACCCCCATGATCCAACCAGCTCCCACCAGGCCCCACCTCCAGCATTGGGGATTACGTTTCAACATGAGATTTGGGTTGGGACATAGATCCAAACCATATTAGGCTCTTGTACTTGGCTGATGGTGGGCTCTCCAGGAAGTTCAAAATACCAGAGCATGGGTCCTTCCCCAGGGATTCTAATTTTATTGGTCTAGAGTATAGCCTAGGCTTGGGGATTTGTAAAAGACTTCAAAAAGCTTGAAAACCACTGTTATAGAAGATAAGATGATTCAGGACATAACATTAGGGTAAGTTGACACTCCCCCCCTTAATCCTGAAAACAGATACACAATATAGCACAAATCAAGAACCCCAAGATATCAAATTGCATAGAAAATTAATACATGTGAATACACAATTGGTAAAGTGGTATTCCTATGGAAGTGGTAGAGGACTTTTGAAAGAGAATGACAAAATATGATACAGAGTGATGGGCAAGCATGGAGCAAATGCAGAAGTCATTCAAGACCCTGTGTCCAGCGGTTAAGGACCAGAATTGGTACAAGAAATGTACAAAGAGATGAGAAAGGGCAATTTTGAAGAGACTTTACAGCACCAGGAACTCATCCCTTAATCCTCATTGGTAGTAACACAAGGTCACTGTTATATTAGATTTGAGAATATAAATGATTTCCATAGGTTTGCCAGCAAATATGCCCATCTATCATCTATCATGTATCACTAATGTCATTTAGTATTTCTTAGCTACTTGTTAGCTTGTAAAGTCCTAAGTTAAATAATTATTTTATATACACTAAGCCAGATGTATTTGAATTTATATATGACCAACATTCTGAAGGTCATCGGGTGAGGGGAGAAGGGGTGTATTAGTCCATTTTCACACTGCTATAAAGAACTACCTGAGACTGGGTAATTTGTGAAGAAAAGAGGTTTAATTGATTCACAGCTCCACAGGCTGTATAGGAAGCATGGGTAGGAGGCCTCAGGAAACTTATAATCATGGCACAAGGGGAAGGGGAAGCAAGCATGTCTTACCATGGCCGAGCAGCAGAGAGAGACAGATAAGGGAGAAGTGTGACACACTTTTTTTACATCAGATCTCATGAGAACTCGCTTACTATCATAAGAACACCAAGGGCAACATCCGCCCCCATGCTCCAATCACCTCCCACCAAGCCCCTCCTCATATTTGACATGAGATTTGGGCACAGATGCGAATCAAAATCATATCAGGGGAAAAGCCCCATTCAATGACTATCACACTTGCCTACCCAGATGGGAAATGTTACACAAATGCAGGGACTTTACCACAGTTTTGGACCACAGGGACAAAGTCACTTCATGTTAAGACACTGTTTTATTGGATTCATCTTAGAGAAATAACTCGTTTAGAAATCTGCAATAATGCCTATATAGTTTTCACATACTATAAAAGAAAGTACATTTTTTTAAAGACGCCCAATAACAATCAACATGAAGTTATGGCTACAGCTGAGGGAAGTTGGAGCTCTAACACTGAAACCTGGATTTAGTTTTAACAGAAAACGCTTAAACATTTTATTTTTTACAAAAAGTAGATGTTTAAGTCTTGCAAAATAACAAGACTTTTACACCTGCTTAAATTTTAATGTGAAATTTGCTAATGAAACTCACAGTATGTATCTCTGAAGCAGAGGAAATGTATGACAAAAGCAAACTAATACAAATGTGGTAGAAACTTCCCATTATGCAAAGTGATGCATGTCCACTCCCAGAGTTTTTGCACCTGGGGATTTCTAAAATCTAAAAATCTCAAAGATTTTTTACTCCTTCAAATATTTTAACACATTTAACTTAAATATTTTCCCTCCCAGATTCTACCTAATCAACTCTTACCTCCAAACATCTGCTTCTCTGCTGAGCAGCATCAGCTGGATTTCAGGACTGCGTGATTTCAAGAACTGGCTGTTAATTAGCGACTGTTCTCCCTCATGCAAAGTCTCATGGGAGAAAGAGTCTCATGTTAGAATAAAAACTTTAAATTAACTTTGAGTTCATTTGAGCAAAGAAGGATTCATGAATTAGGCAGTACTAAGAACCAGGAAGAGTTCACAGAGCTTCATCCAGCAAAGTGGGCAGGCAGTACTCAGGGACTGAAAAGGGTCATTACTTACAAAATTGATTCGTTGGGGCTCGGCATTTCCCTTATATAGGCACGCTCTGATCAATTGGCCACCTGTGATTGGCTGAAGCTTGAGTGCTGTGATTGGCTGTCACTCAGTGATTCGTTACTTACTCCCGTTCGGCTGTGGTTTGTTTACATATCAAGTTAGGTTGCCCTTCGTGACAGACAGGGAGCTTTAGATCAAATTTAATTTAACATTCACAAAAGATTTATTTCTATAAAACTATATATCCAACAAGTAATGACATAATTCTCTGATTTTCCTTTGTGTTCTCTCCCCAACTGGTAGTTCAAAATATAGTTGCTCACGGACGTGTATGCACTCAATTTAAAATATCACTATTCAAAGTGTGGTCCACCGACCAGCAGCATCTGCATCCTTGGAAGTTTGTTAGAAATGCAGACGCTCAGGGCCAACCCCGGACTTTCTAAATCAGAAACAGCTTCAACAAGATCCCCAGTGATATGTGTGTACATTAAAATGGACAATTATGGCTATCCATAACAACTTGCCCTTCAAATTCCTCGACACATTTACTATTTCATATATTTAAAGTTTTGTTTTCGTGTTTTAAATCATAATTTCACAAATGGTGATTTTTGGAAAAAGTTCATAGGAAAAGCAAACAAACAAATGAGTAAATGATTTCCTGACTGTTCTATTTCTATCTTATAATTGAGTTATCTCATACTCCCTGATAACTTTTATAATTCTTTCGCAAATTACTTCCCTTTTTACCTGTCACTCTTACCTCTTTCGATATCCAGATTCAGATTTAAAATACGCTTATTGGATACGTTCATCATGATAGGCTCACAACAAATTTAAAAAAAAAGAAACTGCTCTAAATTTTTTTTTTTTTGGTACCCATTAACCATCCCTGCCTCCACCCCAACCCTCTTTGGCCTTAGTTTCCCTCTTACAAATGGTTAAATATAATAATAAAATAATAATAATAATAATGACAACAAAAGAGATTTTCATATGATTCTGATGATTAGACTGGTTTAAAAAATTTAGACCTAAGAGCAAAATAACTATCGCTTCCCTCCTTGAAAGAGGCATCCAACCTTTTGAAATGAGATATCATTATCCCAGTCTATATCTGTGTTATATCTCAATATATTCCTTTGTTTTCTCAGCATTCTGTTTCAAATTCTAAAGTTGGGGTCTGGCCAGGCACCATGGCTCATGCCTGTAATCCCAGCATTTTGGGAAGCCAAGGAGGGCGGATCACCTGAGGTCAGGAGTTCGAAAGCAGCCTGGTCAACATGGTGAAACCCCATCTCTACCAAAAATACAAACATTACCAGGCATGGGGGTGGTCGCCTGTAGTCCCAGCTACCAGGGAGGCTGAAGCAGGAGAATCACTTGAACCCGGGAGGCAGAGGTTGCAGTCAGCCGAGATCACACCACTGCACTCCAGCCCCAGCGACAGAGCTAGACTCTGTCAAAAACAAAACAAAACAAAGCAAAACAAAAACAAAAACAAACAAACATTTAGGGGAGAAGGGCTACCTTCTATCAGCAGTAATATAAGTATATAGGTTTATTATTCAATTATAAGTCAGAAGCCCTATAAACTCTAACGTATATTCTTGGGAATTCCAATTTTCCAAATTGCTTTTGAAGAAATAATTAGAACTTGGGTCTTAACTTATTAATTGCAGCAAAAAATAAATATTTTGCTTCTACACAACTTTGAGAGCATGTCCATATCCCTAGGTAAAAAGCTTTGCTTGCATTCATATTATTGCTACTTTTGTTTAAGTCCTGGAGACTAGGGAAACCTGATACATTTTCCAGCTCAGAAGATATTCAACTGGAATGAACATCAGGCTACTTGGCACACTAGGCATTCACTCATGAACTTCAAAGGTGTTACATTATGCTTGAAGTGAAAGCTGAATGGTACATTATCTCTTCTATTCAAGTTTAAAAATAAATAGGAACAGGAGAGTGAGAAAATGGCGTGCAAAAAATATCATTTTAATCATTAAAAAACATGAACCCATGGTGTCTGTTCACATCACAAACCAGGAATGAAAGAGTTCGGTCAGTTACACTTAGAAACATTAAGTTGAAAATTGCCATTGACTAAAAAAAAATAGATGTTGATATTTTAGCTTTTTCTTAGATGGTGTGTTAGTGCTGTGGGGTGTGTGCACATTTTGAAAACACACACTTAAAATGTATTCCTTTTCCTGAGATCAATACTGAGATGACTTCCTTGTCAATAAATGCAACACTGAATCAGATGAGGTCAAATGTATAAGTTGAGTGGTTTCTGGCTTACTGAGAATGAGAACGCGGACTCTCACCAAGTTTCCCCACAGTGATTCTGCCTCATCACCTCCTGGAAGTCACCTGCTCCCCTAGGTCCGCTACCCCCACAGGCCGCTGCTTTTTATAAACATGCCCAGTTCCATTTCCTGCAGCTCTCCCCACTTGCCTTCCTCTATACAAACAAGCAAAACCTAAGAAGAGCTTCCAAGCCACTGACTCCAGTTCTGCCTTCTACCAGCAGGAAGATGTCAGATGAAAAAAATAAAAATAAAAATTCCTGTTACTCACACTTAATCAGAATGTCTTGACATAGGGGCTAAGAATACACGCCTGAGATGACTTTTATTTTCACAAAATTTTGAGAACTATTGCATCTAACACAGAGAGAATGTGGATCAAAGTCATAGAAATCCCTAGCATTTGCCAGTGTCTCTATCGTATCGTGTGAAGTGGTTGATTTGAAGGCTGCTTTGGAAAAAGATAACTTGGAACTTATGCAACAACTACTGTTCTCCCATATACCTTGGAAGCTACTCGTAGTGTTAGAATTTACAGCATGTACTTGCCAGGTGTCTGTGATGAGAGGGCTTTGGAATATATGCTGTTAACTAGGTAAAGCTAATTTGGAAGACAGAGGCACTTTGAAAACTCAGCAGGCCAAATGAGTCTACAAAACGATGTTTCCTTTAACCATCTCACTTGGAAAATAGTCTAACAACTTTTATAAATGTCCAGCAAAGCAGAAATTTAAAATGTCTTTTGGCCGGGTGCAGCGGCTCCCAGCACTTTGGGAGGCTGAGGCAAGCGGATCACCTGGGGCCAGGAATTCAAGACCAGCCTGGCCAACATGGTGAAACCCCATCTCTGCTAAAAATACAAAGAATTAGCTGGGTGTGGAGGCACATGCCTGTAATTCCAACTACTGGGGAGGCTGAGGCATGAGAATCGCTTGAGCCTGGGAGGTGGAGGTTGCAGTGAGCTGAGATTGTGCCATTGCACTCCAGCCTGGGTGAGAGAGAGAGACTCAGTCTCGAAAAAAAAAAGGGCTTTTATGATTCAGACAAATGACTATAAAAGGAAAAGCCAAACATAGAGTGGACATAAAACATACATAAGCATATATGTACACATAGGTACATACACACACAGTACACATACATACAAACACACGCGGTACATAAAATACAAGAATATATATATACGTGTGTGTGTATGAGTGTATTTGAGGTTTTATATAAATATGTATATAAATGTGTTTTAAAACATCCAAAGGAAAAAATTTGGTCCCTCAAAAAATGTAGGTGCACAAAATACGTTGTACCATCTGAAATACTCTAAAAATGTAAGTGGTCTGCAGGTAACTGCAGCCGCAGCCCAGAAAAGTAGACAGGAGGGGTGGCTGGAGAGCTCTCTTTGTATTGGACACATACTTACAGGATGTAGCCAGACTGCATGAGGAAGGGGTAAAAAGCTGTGTGTCACAACAAGGTGTTCTTAAAAACAGATTCAGAAGCTTTAGAGCTCTAGTGTTTTGAAAATAAAATTGTAAGTACATTTCTGTGTCACTTAGGACAAAACAATGAGCACCATGAAAAGGATGAAGAGTCAGAAGGATACGGCAATGTAGACTCTTTTTAAAACCCAAAACAAAAGGGGAGCCACAAGTTACTTCTCTCTTCAAATGGGAAGGAGAGGATGGGAAATCTGGCTTGAACTGAGCTATGTTTAAAACCATCGAAGCGAAGCGAGAAACGTGCTTCACATAGAGAAGTATAGTTGCTTATTTTTGCTCCATTAGGTACTTTTCTTCTAAAAAGGTACCAACGTTAAATATTTGTGGCTAAATACTAGTATCTATACTTCAATTTATTTAACAATAACCCACCTGACTTGATAACGTGATACACTGTGTCCATCCGAAAGCCACAACTGGAGGTCACTAAGGAGGCCAAATGTAGAGCAATTTGGGCAACAAAGTAAATGGGCATCACACTGGATTACAACTCAGGAATAAAGTAAATATGCACATTTCCGTACTAACACACATAAATAAATTAATTTATAATTAAATGGTGGAGAGGGGCAGCTCTTCCTTATAGAAAATAAAAATTAATAAATTCAGAAAGAGTGAGGAAAATCCAAAATCACTATTAGGGATATACCACCATAATAATTGTTGTTAGCAAGATCCACTGATGGATGTTAAAATGAGTGAAGGAAATTTTGAAGACAAGCTATCAGTGTAGGCTCAAAGTAACTTTACAAAGAAATCTGTCAGATACCACACTGACCAAGAGTTCAAGGTCCATTGCACACGTAATAGGACATATTGACATAAGCACTCCAGGATATCATATACTGAGAAGGCTACATCACCTCTGTGGTATTCTTGCCAAACAATGCATAAGTTTGTTTTAATCATGAGAAAACATCAGGCAAACCAAAATTGTGTGACATTCTACAAAAGAGCTGATCAGTTATTTTAAAAACTTTGAAGTGTCAAGGTCGTGAAAGGTGAGGAAACACTAAGGAAGTGTGACAAATTGAAGGATATTAAAAAGACACAAGGACCAAGTACACCCAAACTGGATGTCAGAACAAAACTGGAGGAATTCGCATTAGATTTGTAGGTTAGTAACTCATGTTAACTTTCTGGCTTTGATGTTGAAGTCAGATCATGTCAGCTGTTAACATTATAGAAGCTGGGTGCAGGGTAAATGTGGGCTCTCTGTAACAGCTTTGCAACATTTTGTAAATCTGAAATTATTTTAATAAAAATATTTTTTAAAAGAGAGAAATGTAGCATTTTCCTGTGGACCTGTCCTTCCTTGTGCTATTTGCAAAGTAAACCAAAAACATTACTGAGGCATTTTATCTCCCTCCTGGTACACATTTGAGTTTATTCTTCTGAAAGTTGCTAGTGGTATACAAATGGACATCTCCTCCCATGTAAACTGCCAGGTACATTGATGAGTCAGAGTCCAGCCCAATTACTAATAAAATGCATTCACAATACACGTAGTTATACCTTTTTTTTTTTTTCTTTTGAGATGGCGTCTCGCTCTCGTCCAGGTTGGAGTGCAGTGGCGCGATCTCGGCTCACTGCAAGCTCCGCCTCCCAAGTTCACACCATTCTCCTGCCTCAGACGTAGTTATACTCTTTATACATCTCAATAAGTAAAAGAAAATTACTAATGAATATAGCATGCAAAATGAACTGTTAATTGCCCGTAAGTGTTATTGTGGGTACATTGGTATTGTACATGGGCAACATTTTTAGCACTATGTATAATGTGACTAATTTAAAACACATTTCAGTACCCCAAAAATAAAATTTAGTAAATTTAGGGCATTGAGTAATGGGCTTTTATTAAGGTTTTCTTAATTAGATACTTGCTAAATAGGTTTACTAGTGATCACAAAACGAATCTATAAAGCAACTTGTAAAAATGTAGAATTTACTGTGTAATGGCCAGTCTATTCATGGTTATGACTATCAAGATAAGCTGGGCATGTGATAGATTGGCTATATTTTGCTTAATGTTTGCTTTGAGGTATTTTATTGTTCTAAATAGGTACCAAATGTCCATTTAAAAAGAAAAACAATAGTCAGCAAGATGCATAAAAAAATAACTGAAGGGCCATCTATGTTTCTACCAGTTTTAATCAAGTAAGTGAAAGCAATCACCCTCAATCCTTCTACAGGCTAAAGTCACTTAGAAATGGAGTCATACTGACTCTTATGTAAGCCACAGCAGGTGGGTTGCATTCCAGGTCCTCAGAGCTAAATACATGGAAGCAAATTGCAGCATCCAGTCCAATAAGAGTTCATTCTCTCTCTCTCTCTCATCCATCCAAGTGGACTTCAAATCAAACAATTAAAAACCAAATAGAAATGGTGACGGCTGATGTGATATGTCGGTTCTTGTCTTCTTGGTTGAAAAGAATTTAAACAAGAGACACACAGCAAAAGAAGTTCAGCATAGAGTAATTATTGCAAAAGAAAAAGAATATTTTGAAAGTTAAGTACAGAATAAACAGTACGCTGAGAAAGGAAATTTGGGGTGGGCTGCTCGTAAGGATGAGACAGCAGAGACTGGCACTTAGGGAGACTCCCTTTATGGTAGCCTTACACGATTATTCATAAGGAAGTGGAAAGAGGTGTTACTAGTAAGCATGTTCTGTGTGGTATTCCGGGTGCCCATGCGCAGTAGCTGTACATGCTTGCTCATACATCACATGTCACATTAGCATCTTAAATCTCCACCCAGGGTTGTGTTTTTACTATTATAATGAGCAAAGAGTCAGTTCAAAGACAGGTAAAATCAAAATTTGCGTGCTCGGCCGGGCGCGGTGGCTCACGCCTGTAATCCCAGCACTTTGGGAGGCTGAGGCGGGCGCATCACTAGGTCAGGAGATCGAGCCCATCCTGGGTAACACGGTGAAACCCCGTCTCTACTAAAAATACAAAAAATTAGCCAGGCGTGGTGGCGGGCACCTGTAGTTCCAGCTACTCGGGGGGCTGAGGCAGGAGAATGGCGTGAATCCAGGAGGCAGAGGTTGCAGTGAGCCGAGATCATGCCACTGCACTCCAGCCTGGGCGACAGAGCGAGACACTGTCTCAAAAAAAAAACACAAAAAACAAAAAAATGAGATGTGCATGCTGTCTAGAAGGGAAAGTCCCTACTGAAGATCGCTTTGCTTGCATGAGCACAATTACAATGCGAAGGCTGAGGCTTATTGTGTTGACTGAGTGGTCACCATGGTTGCTGCCTCCCAAGAGAACATGGTCACTTCCTTGAGTACCTATCCTTTCTCAGAACTGTATTAGAAAATATGATACACCCAAGGACTTATGTAAGACCATTGCAATATTGAAAACTCCCAAATTTTTCCAATTCAAATGCACTGCCTAATTTATTATTAGAACTGTATTAGAAAATATGATATACCCATTGACTTATCTAAGGCCATTGCGATATTGAAAACTCCCAATTTTTTCCAATTCAAATGCACTGCCTAATTTATTATCCTCAAACTATACCCTCTTTCTTTTAATGAAAATACTTATAACAGTGTTTGTAATTGTCAACCCACTGTGTGTGTCTTTGTGTATATATATATATCACGTTATATATATGTTCATGTTATATATATGTTCATGTTATATATATAACATGTTTATATATATATATTACATGAACTCAAAAGAAGAAAGTTTTGCATCAAATAATTATTGAGCAACCAGCTGTCAGTTCTACATGGTGGCATGATTACTGCTGAACAGGCAAAAATAAATAACTGATTATGACAGCACGCTTTCTTAAAATGTGAAAAATTGGAATGGAGGCTAGCATATTTTATTAAGAGCAAATAAGAGATACGAGGGCTGGACAATATAAGAATTATAACTGAAGAGCAAAGTTTTCTGTGCATCACACTTCAGGGTGCACCAGAAGTACTTTATGTATATTTCCCATTTTAACACACAGAACACTGAAAAGACTTACAGTCAAGGGTCAAGCTTTAATTAAATGAATAATTTTTACAACTTCATTAAGGACATCCTTTTTTTTTTTTTTTTTTTTTTTTTTTTTTTGAGACAGAGTGTAGCTCTGTCGCCCAGGCTAGAGTGCATTGGCGCGATCTCGGCTCACTGCAAGCTCCGCCTCCCGGGCTCAGGCCATTCTCCTGCCTCAGCCTCCCGAGTAGCTGGGACTACAGGCGCCCGCCACCGTGCCCGCCACTACGCCTGGCTAATTCTTTTGTGTTTTTAGTACAGACGGGGTTTCACCGTGTTAGCCAGGATGGTCTCGATCTCCTGACCTCCTAATCCGCCCGCCTTGGCCTCCCAAAGTGCTGGGATTACAGGCGTGAGCCACCACGCCTGGCCACATTAAGGACATTCTTAAATGAGTTTGGCTATTTTTTTCTTTCTTTTTTGCTTCCCTGTAAGAGAGGTAAAAGAAGGTTTATCTTAATTATGTTATCATATTATATATATGATACTTTAATTAAACTTTATTAATGTATTTGTTGATAAATAGATTGGTGTGCGGGAGGGGTAAATCTGTTTTGTTAATAGCAGAAGTTGCATTTGAGCATAACCGGGGTGCTTCAAGTTCTGGAGGTGAAAGTAATCAATTATTCCTTATTCTTTGCACCGGTACTTCCTTCCTTTTTTATGAGGTGCGACACCAGAAACTGACCCTTCAATTATATATGTACAGAAAACAACTTATCTTTCATCTTTATTTGATCAATATTTACTCAATTAACCCTGTGCTCAGTGCTGGGGACTGAATGTAAGACACAAAAAGACACATCTCCTGACCTCATGGGGTTTAGTTACAGTCGTGTTACAAAATTGTGCCTTCATCCTAAGAACAAGGAGAAAGTGCTAAAGAGAAATAGTGAGGGAGAGATGACATAAAGACAGGCTTGCAGAGTAGAGAATGGCTGCCATGTTGGTGTATTAGTTTGTTCTTGCACTGCTATAAAGAAATATCTGAGACTGCATAATTTATAAAGAAAAGAGATTTAAATTGCTTCACAGCTCTGCAGGCTATACAGGAAGCATAAAGGCTTCTGCTTCTGTGGAGACCTCAGGAAACTTCCAATCATTGCGGGAGGAAAAGGAGGAGCAAGGCATCTAACATGGTAGGAGCAGCAACAGAGAAAGGTGTGTGTGTGGAGGGGGGTGGGGGGTGCTACACACTTTCAAACATCTGGATCTAATGAGAACTCAGTCACTACGGCAAGGACAGTACCAAGAAGGGTGGTGTTAAACCACTCGGGAGAAACAGCCCCGTGATCCAATCACCTCCCACCAGGCCTCACCTCCAACATTAGGGATTGCAATTCAACATGAGATTTGATGAGGACACAGATGCAAACTATATCAGTTGAGAAGTTTACAGTCCTGATATGATAGGCTAATTAGGCAGCCACTTCAGTGAACTATCCAAGAGATGGCAATCTTGAATGGGGATTTTTGGAGAAAGACATATGGGATAGATTTATAATATAGTTAAGAAATAAATAGACTGTGGAGATGGATCACATAGGGAGTGCGATGAACGTGGACTCCTGGCTTGTTTTTAACTTTTCACAGCTAGGTGTATAGCATTGCTCTTCCATGAAATGTGAAACGCTGGAAGACACCAACAATGGGGAGTCGCAGAAAGATGCATTGCTGGAGTAAGGCGTAGAGCAAGAAAAATGAGGCTGATCTTCATGTCAACCCAGTGGTGGGTCTACAGGATGTAAAAGAGAGGGTATGTCAGAATCTTCTAGCTGGTACTCTGCAAGGATGAATATTCTATACTCTGGGGAAAAAAATGCACTGTCAAACATTTTGATTTTCCTGTCAATGTCTTGGGAGCTAGACCCTATCCTGTGTCTGAGTAGAGGTTTCCACCAAGAGTATGATTGTCACTGACACTAGGGCAGAAAGAAATCAGGCATTGACAAGAAACTGCCCTTTCTTTTGGACTGTGGCCTTTATGCTTGGGGGTGAGAATTGTGCCACCTGGGCAGGGGGACAAAAGTACTGAGGACTAAGTAAGAGAACCCTTGGAATGGCATGATTGGTGGATTCTAGGAAATGTGATAATGGATTTCCAACTGAATGCACTTTTTCTGCATATATAGTCTGTTATTTCAAACCCTCCGTAATTTTTATCTTAAAAGCTGTGATGTCATCATCATTGTATCTGGTGAATTAAGAGGAAGACCTGAGCTTCAGCCAGAAGCAGCTGCTCATGAAAAACAAGGGTAAGCTAAACTCTAGTTTGGTCACTAAGTAATCTAATGTGGGCCAATTGGCTGAAGTAACTTATAAGTACAAAAATGAGTTAGTTGAATCTGACACCATTCTTTTGGGATCTCTAGAAAAGCCTAGGGGAGAGAAGATACCTACCTAGAAGATCTAACTTTCTGAAGTCTCAAGACAGGAGCTCAAACTATTTGTATTTGGGTTTTAAAGAAATGGATGGTATTTGAAAGCTGTGTGAATTAGGCTAAAGTTTGCCTTGGTTCCACTGAACTGTCTGGAAATCAGTAGGAGATTCTACACTTCTCCATAAACCACTCCTTCAATGGGAATGCATTCGTATAGCAATAAATCATTCCATGTGTGTAACTAAGATTCATTTTGGCAAATTAGTAGCAATTTTTAAAAGAATGTTATTAATATCTCAAAAAATATTTCCCTTCAAATTGTGGATTTCAAGAATAAGACTAACTCTAAGTTTCTACTGTGTCTTATAGCTTAACTTCTGTACCTAAGCTTCAGTTTCATTACAGAAGCCAACAGAAAAAGCAAAATTGCTACAAAGACACTTTTAGGAACATTTCAACACTCTATCAGTTTCATACATCATGAAATTTCAACTATGGTAAGATCAAATGGGACTGTATTTCCACAAGAAAGCCTTCAGGAAAGATGAGAGATTTTCTTTAGTTTATACAAATCATAGGTACAAAAAGGATGTGTGGACAGAAAATTTAACACCATTCAAAAAGTATTACCAACATTATCACCAATAGTTCTTAATATAAAGATTGTGCCTAATTTGAAATTAGTTTGGTCAGTGTTTTCTTTTCTGTGTGTTTTGTAAGTTAAAATAGAGTACTCTTGCTATACGTGTTTTTTTTTTCATATAACTACAATCTCATTCCAGAAGATGCTATTCTCCAATAATTTATTTGTGCTATAAAAAGTTTGTCAGAGAACTCCAGCAAATGAGAAAAGTTTGTCAGAGATCTCCAGCAAATGAAAAAAATTATTGCAAGAACTGTTTCAATCCTCATAGTCATTTGTAACCATAATCTTTTAATATGTATTTTGAAAGAACAGGTCATTTCACTGCTCAATTAAAAAATTAATTTGCTCCTGTGGAAAATATAGAGAAACATGAATCATTTATAACAGCCTATTTTGAATGAAAACATGAATTCATTCAGCAAGAACATTCTTTACCTGAAAGTTTATCAAATGAACAGCTTGGAAGCAGATGTGCTGGTTCAATAGGCATAAATTCATGTCCAGTATCAGCACATGAAATAAGGAAATCATTTATCAAGAGCAAGCCCAAGTTAGTCTGGTATGACACAAAGAATTATGATAAGAACTGGTGTTGGTAGTGCCTGCCTTGATAAAATAGATGTTCACAATGTAATGATGCCTCAGAAAATTATTATTACTGCTTCTGATTTTCAGAAACAAGATGAAGGCACTAAGCAACTCGAGTTGTGAGAGTTTTCGGTCCTTTTTTAGGAGAAAGAGGGAAGGATTAGCTGGCAGCCAGAGCCATAGGAGAAGTCTAAGTTTCATTCCGGTGAGATTCACTATTTGCATTTTCTTCGTATAATAAAAGTAAGTCAGATTTATAAAAAGAAATGGACTACACATGATATACCTGACTCAGGAAATATGGGCATAGGCAGCTACTGCTCAAGAATTTTGTACATAGAAAAATAAAGAGACACCTGAACACCAGTTTCTGGAAGAGTTCAAACAAAAAGGTTCTGAAGTGACGGATCTCAGGCCTAGTTGAATGAAGGAAATTACAGGGAATGGGGGTGTGATAAGCAGAATAATGACCTGCAAAGCTGTCCACATCCTAGTCCCTGCAACCTGTGAATACATGCCATACACAGCAAAGAGGAACAAGGTTGCAGATGGAATACAGGACACAAATCAATTGGCATTAAATAGGGAGATTATGCTTAATGATTTGATTATCTGGATTGTGGTCTCAATGTAATTACAAGTGTTTAAAAATAGAAGGAGAAGGAAAAAGAAGAGGTATCAGTGATGCAGTTTGAGAAAGACTTGACCTGCCATTGCTGATTTTGTAAATGAAGAGGCTGGATGTGGTGGCTGATGCCCATAATCCCAGCACTTTGGGAGGCTGAGGTAGATGAATCACCTGAGATCAGGAGTTCAAGACCAGCCTGGCCAGCATGGTGAAACCCCATCTCTACTAAAAATCCAAAAATTAGCCAGGCTTGGGAACTCTGGCCACATCAGAGAGTCTATGCAAATAATGTTATTTATGGCAAAGAAGCTTTTAGAGAATAACTTCGGCCATGCAGGCAATCAACCATGTCACTGTGACCATGCCCCAGTATAAAACTCTGCACACCAAGACTCATGTAAGCTTCCCTGGTGGGCAATACTTCATGCATATTGCACACATTGTTGCTGGAAGAATTTAGCACTCTTCACAGGTCCACTGGGAGAGGACAATTGAAAGTTCACGCTTAGAACTCTACTGGATGCTGTGTCTTTTTCCTATGGTAACTTTAATCTGCAACCTTTTGCTGTAATAAACTATACCCCAGCATGGTAGCTTTCTGGGCGTTCTGTGAATCATTCTATCAAATTATTGAAGCTGAAGGTCGTCTTGAGTATCCTCAAGCTCACAGATGGTATCAGAATCGAGGGATTTCTTAGGGACTCGTGAACTCTTCAACTGTATACCTATGAGTGGGACTTAAGGAAAACCCAAAACATACAAGCTGACAATATTAAATTTTGAGAATGCAGACCCACACAATCTCTCATTCATTGCTGGTGTAAATGAAAACTAAAATAGCAATTTTGGCAATTTCTTAAAAAGTTATACATTCCCTTACCATACGATACAGAAATTCCAATTCTAGGCATTTACCTAAGAGAAATAAAAATTTATGTTCACACAAAAAACAAAATGGGAATTTGACAGCACCTTTATTTATAATTGCAAAACCTGGAAACAGCCTTGTTTTCATCAACAGATGAATGAAAAATCTGTGATACTTTCATATAATAAATATTATTCAGCAAAAAAAAAAAAAAAAAAACATGGAATGGGTCTTTCCTGAAGTGAAAGAAGCGAAACGCAAAAGATGGCATACTGTATGGTCCCATTTATATGGCATTCTAGAAAATGCAAAAATGTAAGTATGGACAACAGATAAGTGAATACCAGAGTAAGGAAGTGGGGAGAGGGGCTGACCACAAAGAGAAAGCCTGAGGGAATTTTAGGGAGTGATGAAACTGTTCTATATTATGGTTGTATAGGTGCACACATAATACTATGCACTTGTACAAGCTCACAGAGGTATATATCACAAGGGTTAATTTTACAGTATTCAAATGAAGAAAAACATTTAAAAAATAATAAAAAAGAAATCACAAAGAAAGATCAATAGACTTTACAAATGTAGAAGTTCTATCATTTAAAAATAAAATTCAGTGGTGCAATGCCATAAAAATTCTGAAAGGAAATTAATTGCAAATTACAATTATGTATTTCATAAATCTGTTGATCTAATGTGAAAATAAATATATTTATGAACATAAAAGTTCTCAAAATGCTTGCCTCCTACACATTGTTTCTCTGGAAGGAACTGCAAGATTTATTTCATCAAAATGAGTGAGTCAGTCGAACATGAGAAAGGCATAAGGAGGAAGACACTGGGGATTCAACAGATACATCAGGAATGAGAGGGAGGGAATTCCCAGCATGAGAAGAAAGGAAGCCTTGGGTTGACAGCTGTGAAGCAGTCTTGAGAGAAGCAAGTACAGAATGCATTGAGACAGTGGCAGGCTCACTAAAGTGCAGCAGAGAAATGTTGGGACCTGCAGGTGGAGGATAGAGGTGAAGTAACCTTACAGCGGAGAAACTTTACAGACCATATGTATCAGAGTGACCATCATCAGTTATTGGACAAATTGAAATTATGCACTGCACCCCCTGCTAGGATGCAATGAGAAAAACACAGCACCAGTTCAGTGCTTTCATTGACTAATATGAATAAACTGAATGCAATCAAGAGGAAACGTCAGCCAAACCCAAACTGAGGGCTGTGATACTAAGTGGTCTATAACCTTTACAAAGATATCATGGGTGTGGAAGTCAAGGAAAGTCTGATAAACTCCTTCAACAAAAGCAAACTAAAAATAGATGACAACTGAATGTCATACATGATTCTAAAGTGGATTCTTTTGTTATAAAATACGTCATTGGGACAGCTAGTGAATCTATGAGGTCTGGAGACTAGATGGTAATAATGTATCATACTTCCAAATTTTCTGTAACATGTTTATTGTCTCAAAGTTTGTTAAAGTAACAATCTTTTGTCTTTAAGCATGAGTCAGTTTTCAAAACTAGAAGTCACTGTATATAAAAGAGGCTGCAGAAATGTTTGCAGGGAGATCTGCAGGGAAAAGGACCCTGCAGCATCCCCATGAGTGTAGACACTAGTGATTCCCCGGGGTTTTCCAAAGGGAACTGTGACCATTTACTACAATAACTGTACATTATGTGGAGAAAGAAGAATAGACAAACATTTCAAGGACAATCGGACAAAGGATCTGAGTTGACGTTGATAACTAGAGCTTTCTCCTGGTCTATCCCCATCCCTCATAAGAGTGCAGGTATACTGGCACCAGGAAATGGAGTCCTGGCTCAGGTCGAGCCAATGGACCCAGCAGTAGTCATTTCTCTGCTCTCCAAATATATAATTAGAATGAATTTGCCTAGTGCTGATACCGCCCCCACTTTGGTTCCTCAGACAATGAGGTGACATAAGAAGAGCAGTGACAGTAAAATAATCCAAGTGGCAGAAATTATTCCCTCCCCAGCTCCACTGTCCAAAATGGCAAATCTATGCTGGGGGGCAGAGGGACAAAAATAATGCTATCCTTAAGGATTGAAAACATGCAAAGTCAGTGGCCCCCATGGTACCTCCAGTTAATTTTCTGATCTAGCCCCCGAAGGAACCAGAGGATGCTGAGAACAGCAATGGGCTGCCACAAACTTAAACAGGCAGAACTCCCAATTGCACCTGCTGTATCAGATGTGGTTCTTTAGCTAGGACATGTTAACATGGTCTCAGGTATGTACTAGATGACTAAACAACCTGAACAATATATCCTTTTCCAAACCTATCAGAAAAGAAATTTAGAAACAGTTTGCATTTACCTGGAATGGACAAATAGTCTTGCCCCAAGGCTACTCCCTCTCTCTGTCCTGATACAGTCTGAAGAGACAAGTGTCATGTGGACAATTCTGCAGAAAACACTGGTCTGCTATATTGGCTGCCCAATCAGTTCAATTATTAGACATCCAGTGGTTTAGAGAAGACATCAGAAAACTATGGCTTGTAGGCCAGATCTGACCCACTACGTGTTTAGTGAATAAAGTTATATTGGAACAGAGCAATGGTCAAAATAATGCTATGTAGACTTCACTGGAAGTCACCAGTGGGAACATCACATTGAAAAACTCAGGGAACTATAGCAGTGCCAGGTCACCTGGCGTAGAGAAACACAACTTTCTAAAAAGGTTCCAGGCTTGCTATTGGGCCCTGCTAGAGACGAAATGCCTTACATCACATTGGCACAGCAAATATGGGCAGAAATGCCCATAATGAGCTGGGTTCTGTCAGGTCCACCAAGTCATAAAGTTACCTGGGCCCAGCAGGAAGCCATCATCAACTGGAAATGATGCATCTGGAGCCAAGCATGAGCAGGTGCCAGCAAGCTGCATAAGCCAGTAGCCCAGACCCCTGTGATCCACCACTGTCCCAACAGTACCTTTCCCTCAGCTTACACCTAGGGCTGCATGAAGGGTCTCTTACCATCAACTGCTGGAGAAGGGAAATATCTTATCTTGGCATGGATGGGTTGACTTGGAATATGGGTGCAAGGTGAACATGGAAAATGCCACCACTACAGTGCCAATTAGGGTGGCATCACAAGATGGCAATGAGGAAAAGCCCTCCCAATGGCAGAACATTTGCATGGCACCCATGCTCATTCACTCTGCATGAAACGAATAGACTGAGGTTATAATTTATATATACATATGAAATTATATTATATGCTATATGGACTTATGGGCAGTAGGTTGGTCAGTTTGTCAGAGACCTAGAAAGAGACTGGAAGATTGGAAACAAGGAGGTCTGAAGTAGAAGCATGTAAATGGACCTATGGGAGTGGTCATAAAGCATAAAATTATTTGCCCACCATGGAAAGAATCATGGAAGAATCACTAAACAACAATTAGTAGATAGAATGACCTATGCATGGTTGGCATTAAACCAACTTCAATCACTGGCCACCAAAGTGCTGGGGCAATGAGCATATGAACAGAGTAGCCATGCAGGCAGGGGTAGGAGCTACTCATAGACAAGCAGTGAGCATTCCCGCTCATCAGGACTGATCTAGCTACTACCACTCCTGAATGTCCTAATGATCAACAGAGACCAGTGTTCATCCCCCAGAATAATTTCTCTCTACCAGCAGATAAATTCTGTGGCAAGCTGAGTACATCAGATCCCTCTACTCTGAAAGGGACAGAGATTCATTGTAGTAAGAATTATGACTTCCTTCAGGTTTGGGTTGTCTTTACTGCCTGCAAGCCATCAGCCACCACCACCTGTTGAGGGTCTACAGAGCCCCTCTGGTGGTGTGGAATGTGACAGGACCAGCATATCTCATGGCAATGTGCCCACTCCCACTTATCCTTTGCTGTAATGTGGATCTTTCACCGATTCAAGATTTTCTGAGAGGGTATGTGAGAAGTAACTGTCTGTAACCAACAATAAGTGAGGGAGGTGAAATTACACTCTGAGGAAGGGAGAAATGTGCTTTGCATGTTGATACTTCTTTGATCAATTTTAATGGTAATTGCAAAAGTACAGCAGATATACCCTGAGAAGGTCATAGGAGACAAGGGTTCAAACTCCTTGTAGTGTTGTCAGCTGGTGTGGATGGTAGAGGAGGAAAAAGATGAGTACAAGCTACAACTGAGAGACTACCTGCAGTGGTAGGGTCTGTGGTTTATTCCATACTACTCCCTCCTGTCCAAGATATGAAGCTCACTAGAATTCTGAAGGAGCTACTCCCAGAACTCATATGAAGCAGGTGGATCTGGTTAGCACAAGGGGGAACCTCAGAGATGCTGTACTGTGCCACTGAGACTCCTATTTCAGGACTCAGCAATTTATTCTTCTCGGCTGCTGGTGATGTTTGTCCTCCCTCTTCAGGAACCACCTAAGCTGAAAAGAGCCATTTGTCCAAGTTCATGCCCACCTCATCAAGAAGTTAACATCCAATGCCTGGTCAATGCAGAAGTATAAATTCCCATTTCATCCACCCTAACTCTGTATGTCACTAAAGGACCATGTCAGCAGGGTCGGCTGATCCCTTCTTGTGACCATACCACAGCTTTACTTCTCCATCTGCCCCACCCCACATCATTCTGTCTTCAACAGGCGTTGATCTCTACAGTAGCCCCTAACAGATTTCTTCCAGCATAATCTCTGTCTCAAAGTTTGCTTCCCAGGGAACCTAACCTGTAGCTGCTGGTTATTTATAAACACAGAGACAGTGAAAGACACAGTTGAAAGAGTTTTAAGTGTTGGGAAGGGGATCTGGCAATGGAAAGATATTTTTTGTAAGCTTTCTTGAGCTATTTGATTTTTTAAGTATGTGCATGTATTTTTAATAAATAAAGACAATGTTAAAATAGAAAAACAGATTTTTTAAAGATTGTACTGGAAAAGTTATTATACTTGTAGTCAGATTTATTTTCCATCCCCTTTTATTTTTATTTGCAAATCTTCAAAGCCAAGCTCCAGCTTTCTTAATCACATTGTAAGTACACTATGTTGTTCCCTTATCTTAATTTCTTATTATTTGTTGCACACACAAATGTGCTCACCCACCCACATCCCCAACACAAAGACATTCAGCTTCTGAACTTTTTCCTCCACGTTACCACTCTCTCCCATCCAGACTTTGGAAAAGCGAAAGACAACCAGAATATATTGAAGGTATCTAGTCGATTTGTCATTTAGTTGATACATGAGTTTGAAAATCAAACAATTCGCTTGAACATGCATTGATTTAGAATGTGTCTAATTTATCCTTCTATCAGGAGGAAAATATTTGATGATTCCCTCAGTGACATCTAATTCCTATTGTGGATTTCACAAAGCCTACATAAAAGTGCTCCAGTGATAATAATTGTCTCTCCTGCAGTCAAGGGTCATAAACCTACCAAATATTTTTAAAAGAAAGGCAAACCTATCAACAGCAATGACCTATCAAATAAAGGTTGATGTTCATTTAGAACAGATAATGGATAAGCTATAGAACTATAGATCATTGTGGACAAAGAAAGTATCAAGATCTTTCAGATTTTTCTACACCACTAAATAACTGTCAAAATTCCAGGTCTTGGAAGATCAATATCATGTGGAGTAAAAAAGGACATTGTAGTCACATCTTCAACACTTACACAATGTTACATGTCCCCTTGGGAATGTCAATTGATATATCCGCATCCTGGACTTTTCATCTGTAAAACTGTTCACACTAAATCATGTCAGTGCTGTCCAATTCTATGAGTGACTCTGTTGTTCTGAAGGACAAAAACATCTACTGAAAGATAATTTTGAAATGATTGACTTCTGTTTTGCATTTTAGTTCAAAAATGCATTTTATTAATGATAAAATAAGAGATTACAAATCAGGAAATTAAAGTCATGGCATAGGATGTGTCAATGCATTTCCATGCCATAATGTTGAGTCTCTAGCAGTGCAGACCACAGAGGACTGTGAGGCTTCACCAATAAACCTCCCTAGAGTTCAGCTACCAATGAGGTTAATACCGCTACTAAATAACATGAACATCTGCAAAAGATTCAGAGATATAATGATGTTTGCACTCAGCTTTGCATCGAATAAATAATGCCATTTCTATGTTAAATCCTTCCCTTGTCACCATAGATCTTCCAATCAAACAAAGAGTATACCATCTACCAACATAGGTCCTTAGTCCTTCGTAAACTACTATGTTAATTCAGGTTCTTAAGATTTAGTCAGGCATTTGCAGAAACATCAATATGGATATAGTGCTATGAGAAAAGAGAGGCAGGTTTTATAAGAAGAGTTAACAAGGAAAATATAGAAAATAAGATGATAGTAATGCTAAATTTACATATTTCCCGATTCTTCTGGTGTAGACAAACTAAGAAATCCAATAGTTACTTGGGAGGCACTTGAAGGTGTGAGTATGTATAATAGAGTGCCTTTATTGTATGATTGGCTTGCAGAATTCAAAGATAGTTCCTTGTATGCATGGTCTCAAGATTAATTATTGTAACAGTTCCATAAGGTTATTGATCATTCTTTGATCTCCTAGTGTATAATACACCCTAATCAGAATGTACCATTCAGCAAGTTGGATTGATTCTTGGTAATTTTTGAGAAATTCACCCCATCGTTTCAGACGAGAAGTGTCTGGAATGACAAATTCACAGTAGATCATTTAATATGCTATCTCCCCTTAGAGTGTGCATTGTTTAATTATTGATTGTGTAGATCACTGATGGTTGCAGCTCATATTTCAAAAAGTATGTACTGGAAGTCTATGCACAGCAAAATGTACACCTAAAGGGGTATATGTTTCAGAATGGGAAATGGGGCTCTATACTTCAATTTGTCTCTTTTTTGGTAATATATAAGATGATTCGTGAAGTATAATCATTGAAGATCAAGGCGAAGTTTGTGATAAACTTCAGAAAAACAGAAATGTAAACCAATAAAGGACTGATCTAGGTTTGGGCAAAATAGTCTCATAAGTATATTTCATTTGAGGTATTACAGTTGTAAATTAAATAATAATTTTTTGCTGTGTTAAGAATTTTTTTTAATATATCAACAGTTTAGTTGAAAACATTTTACATTCTTTGGGAAACTGGCATTACTCAGGGTCTTAAGTACTGTCACCATCAAACAATGGTAGCAAATTAATTGGAAAACTTTTTTTAAAAGGAAAGACATTACATACTAACAACCACTGCACTTTCTGAGTCTTGTTAAATACAACTTGTATGTTCAGAGTTGAAGTCTGAGACTCAAAACCAAATGTATTCAACATTATTAAGAAGAGACAAATAGAATAATGAGCAATACAAACAAAGCAAAGACAGCAAAACATTTTTCAAGACTATTGATGTATTGTATTGAATATAATACAGAGAAAGGCAAAGGGGCTTTATTATGCTTGTGGCCACTGAAGATGCAAACACCGGCCACACAGGATCTGAGAAGCATTTCCAGGTCTATGAATAACACCACGAGGAGACAAAAGCAAACACAGCAAATGTTCTCAAATAAAGCAAGGACATTATAGTCCAAATTTAATTTTTACCTCTAACAAAACTTATGTATTACATGGTTAAGAGACCAAGGCTACAGTTTTCACATGTAAAAACTGTAGCCATTAAGCAGGTTAAACTTGTTTTAGATCATACCAGAACAGTTGAAAATTAACAGCAATATCTAATTTCTTGTTCCATAGAATGAATGCTATGAGAAATATATCACTGGACGAGGCTTCCTGGAGCCACCCCAAGCCTGTACATGGCAAGATGGCAGTGCTGCAAGCCCACTGCCTGTACATTCAGTGTAAGAGCATTCGTTTTTCCATTGAGAACCCCTGGCTATTAAAACAAACTATCATAATTTTATGTTAAATCATAGCTGCCAATCAGAAGAAGTACTCTTTCTGATTTTCATTGACTGCATTTTGTATATTAAGCTCACTTTTCAGAACAGCCTCAGCACTGTCTACATTCTCTGACCTTTTTGCCTCACTTCTTTTATATAACCTTTTCTGCTGATAAATGCGAACAGCTATGGCAGTGATGCAAAGCAAGATAAAAATCACAACAGCTATCAGACCTAGAGAGAGAAAAGAAATATAAAGTCAGAATTTCTGTCCAAATAGAAACTGTGCTGACTTCATTGCTTAATAAGTCATCATAACACTATTTTCCACTTTAAGCATCTACTACATATAAATTGGAAATATAAAAACTTCAGGTATTTCTGGCTCAAGCAGTATTATTGTATGTTGAGTTTATTTCTGAGTTCTATCAGCCTTGTGGGTTCACCTACATTTATTATGAATGCATATTATATCGGATTTACTTGGTGCATTTATATTTAACACAAGGTATTAACTATATGTCTCTAGGACCATGTGGCCATGTGGCCACTTCATATTAGTTTTAATTATTTTGAAATTATGGAGTAGTAGCAACATCATAAAATGATTAAACTGTTTTGTGATTAAATATGTAAACATTTTAATGAAATTGTTATTCAATTGTTATACTGCTGAACAGCAGAAATGGGTTATGTAAATAAATCATTCTGACCAATAACACATATACAAATATGCCTAAATTATTTCTATATGAGGAATGTTGTTTTAACACTTCTAGTTGTAAATACAAATTCTAAGTACTGCGATTCTTAACTATGTCAATGGTTACCAACGCTGGCATTATATTAGGTCAGTAGTCCTCAAAGTGTGATCTGTAGACGTGTAGTGGTCCCTGGGACACTTTGAGAGGGCACAGGGGCTCAAAACTATTTCATGATAATTCTAAGATGTCTTTTTCACTCTGTTGACATTTCCATTTCCATTTTAATACGGAACCAAATTTGGTATAAAACAAAGTTAGGTAAAATTCCTGGTACTTAGCACAAATTAACGCAAGGACACAAAACAATAATAATAATCATTGAATTCATGAAGTAGAAAACATTACACTGCCAGACAATTGTAGGAAAAGGAATAAAAAGCCAAATTTATTTAAGAATCTCCTTAATGAAGCTGTAAAAACTCTTCATTTAATTAAATCTTGACCCTTGACTGCAAGACTTTCTAACATTTTGTGTGTTAAAATGGGAAACAGAAATAAAGTACTTCTGGTGCACTCTGAAGTCTGATCATTGTCTCCAGGAAAAGCACTTACGTGAACCTTTGAGTTGTGAACTGAATTAGTTGCTTTTTGCTTCATGTAACACCATTTTTATTTGAAAGAATGACTAACAGACAAACTATGGTTGTTCAGACTTGGGTATTTGGTGGACATTTTCTCTAAAATGAATGAAGTAAATGTGTCACTTCAAGAAAAACAATTACACAGCATATGTTGTGAAAGATAAAATTCAAGTTTTCAAATGAAAAATTGAATTTGGAAAACTATTTTCTGCCGCCAAGAGTGTGAGAGTTGCCTAATACTTAAAGAATTTTCTGATAAGATCAGTGAAGGTACAAACTAATGTCATTTTCTTAAGACAAAAATAGGTACTATGAAAATAGCAATGTGAATCAAATCTCATATGGTAAAACTAAGACTCCATTCTAAAGCAAATGTATACAACTGTAACGGAGTGCGAGGAAGTCAAAGATTTGAAGGTTTTTATTAATCACAACAGATTCCTGTGCATATAACCTGCTAGGCCGATTCACCCTGGCCAATTAGAGCACGTCCAATAGCCAAGCCAATTTTTGGCTAGGTCAGCCTTACCTGAGACAGGTAGAAAATCGTTGCTGATTAATATAAATGTGGTAACCAAATTCTGTACATGAAATCTGAAGAATTCATTAATAAATATGATTGCTTTTGTTATTAGTCATATTAATTAATGAATAACTTTAATCAGAATATTTGTTGTTACATATTTTGCTTCTCATTTTAGAAAAAATAAACAGTTGAATTGCTATAAATATTTCTACAGGCTAGTTATAGGCCTCTGGCTTGAAGAGAAAGATTCTGAACAATTTCAATGTGAAAAATTCTGAAATATGATATAGACAGCAGACAACTACAATTATAAAATGAATGTTACATTGGCCGAGACAGAATATCCAGACAGTCAAAATCAGGGATGGCCTCTGGAACTTGTTTGTTCCATGTATGTAATTTAGCACTTAATTTGGGGAAAGTGCTATGTCAGGATTTGTTGTGCTCAAGAAAAACTTTGATCACACGTGTTATACCAAAAATATAAAAATAAAAAATAAATTAGTTATTATGAATAAAATGTGGCCAGCCTCTATGATGCTGCACCTAAAGCACTGTGTGAATCTGCTTTTATGAAGATGTATATATATAGCTTTCTCTCTGGCTAAATCTATCTGTATCTGGGTAGCCTGGCCAGAAACCCCCTACCACATCTGGGTCACCACTTTTAAATGTATTATTAAATAAATTATCCCATCTTATACCATTCATTTTGCAAGTAAAAAAAAATCATCTAAGATGTAGAACATAGGGGGATTAGCCAATTTGGAAAATCCTTGGATGGGTTAATTATTATTACATAGTGGGTGCAATTTATGAGTGACTAGACAATGAACAAAGGATTCTACCACAGTTCTACCAGATTGTGTAACACACTGGAGGACGATACATTATGATTTAGCAAATAAATTGTGTGTGGCCCAGACAAGGCCTTCAGAGGTTACATGGCCATTACCAGATGCTCTGCTTCTGAAGTTTAGTCTCTGCAATGACCAAAACCAGACATCACTAGTTTCAGGGACCCTGGCAAGCCCCTGAACTACAAACCTTCCATATTGTTTCTGTCCTGTGAATTTGAGCTAAGTGAGAATTTCACAGATGAACTGTAACTTGTTTCTATTCTAGAATAACTTTAGGATGACTTATCAATGCACTTCTTGTTTAACTCTGTAAATCTTGCCAATGATGTTTGAGCAAAACAACAATAGTCTAGAGATTAAATATTTTGTTCTAGCATTGGCTTGATGACTATATACCACTCTATATTTCTATCTGTCTCTGTATCTGTATTTACCTGAATCTATCCTGGTTGAATGTCTGGAAAAAGCAATATTATAAGACTGAGACAACTTGCTTGACCAGGAATTCTAGCTTAAACTCTTGGACACATTGTAAATACTATAGCTTTAAGTGAGTTTTTACTGTATAACGTGTTTCTTTTAGACATACAATTATTAACTCCTCTTCAAATAGAGTTTTTTTGTTTGTTTTGGGTTTTTTGTTTTGCATGTTTGGTGATTAAATGGGAATCCTATTTTTTATAACTTTAATTTGTACATCATTAACTTGAGAAACAGAAAAGCAACTGAAATAGCATGGGGGAGTTAATATCCACACAAAGATTTGACTGGTATTATTTGCTGTCCAAATAAAATCCTAACTACTTGAAAGCAATATATGTCTAGATGAATAGAAAAAATACATCCAAATGAATCAGGTATAAAGCCACATAAATTGCCCAAATTGAAATGTTAAGTGGTTCACCTTTCTTTACACTCTGAATATGATATGGATATAGAAAGTAAACAATTATCCTGTTGCCCTGCCAGGGAGATACAATTTTAAAGTTTTTGTGCCAGTAATACGATTATTCATATATGATATGAATAAATAACAAGTTGAGCACCTAGAAGAGAAATGGGAAAGAGAACTAAAAGCTAAACAAACAAAACCAACTTTAAGAAGCCATCTTGAGAAGGTAGCCTGAAAGCCACATGAGAAGTTTTCTAAATTCCATGGACAAGCTGGGTTTGTGACTGAATAGAGGAAGAACTCTAAGTCACCTGCAAACGAAATATTCATATTTCATATATGAATAATCATATTACTGGCACAAAAACTTTAAAATTGTATCTCCCTGGCAATGCAACAGAATAATTGTTTACTTTCTATATCCGTATCATATTCAGAGTGTAAAGAAAGGTGAACAAGTTAACATTTCAATAATCTGATTAATAACATTCTTAAGAGCATTAATCAAGAAGAAAAAAAGCTTGTTTTTTGAGTTGCTTTTGAAAAAAAATATCAGAGAATATGCTGTCACATTTCCAGGGAGACATACTTTAAAAGTTTTTGTGTTAATTCTGCAATTTAAAGTTACTACTAATCACTTTTAGTTCATTAATCTAATATTTGATAAAAATACAACTGAAAGTGTAATATTTAGTTGATAGAAGCATCTTTAAATAGTTTACTATGCAAATAGCATCTTTATTAAGCCTTGAGGCAATACAAAATATATGCTTCTAGTGTTAATCTCAGGTTTTTCCTACTTTTTGCATGAACCTTTCCAGAAGCAGTGATATGTCCAAGAAGTGAAGAAAAACGAAATTTACTCAAATATATTCACAATTCTCTAGTGACTACCTGTGGCTATGTTCAAGCTTGATAATATTCATTATTACACATGTTAGCAATTAATCTTTGAGTGCCATGCTTCAGTGAAATTGTCAATTATTTATACTGAAAATCTCCAAGGAAGCAGAGAATTCAGAAAGATTCTAAAGACAATCCAGTACAAATAGTAAATCACCCCAATGACCTCAGGATTCAGTGCCTGGCACTTGGAGTATGTGCAGATTCTTCACAGTTTCTACAATGCTAAATATTCATCATCATTATTAATAAGAACAACCAAAGAAGAGCTCATTCATGCTTCTTATTACCTCCAATTACTGCAGAGTCACTTTTGATTGCATTAGCAAGGGGCTCTCTGTCATCTATTGTTCCAGAATGATCTGCAGTTAAAGCACAACAAAGGGGGAAGGTGATATAGGCAAGTAAAAGAAGAAATTTTGAAAACATCATAAATGTTTTAAACCACAGAGAATTATGGAGGCGAATGTGGGATCTCTGTTATTTTCAATTTAAGCAATGTCAATGGCAATGACCCCCATAAATAAGAAGTTGAGCACCTAGAAAAGATATGGGAAGGAGAACTAAAAGCTAAACAAACAAAACCAACTTTAAGAAGCCATCTTGAGAAGGTAGCCTGAAAGCCACATGAGAAGTTTTCTAAATTCCATGGACAAGCTACGTCTGTGACTGAGTAGAGGAAGAACTCTAAGTCACCTGCAAACGAGTGTGTCCTTTCCCTTGATGTGGCATCAGTGCCAGGCTGGGCCATACAGCTGGACTCAGTCACGTGTCCTGTAACAGTGACAGGGTCTGGGTGGCTGGGGTGCAGAGCTGCCTTCAGAGGGGCCACGTGGCTGAGCTGCACTGCAGAGAGGCAGCCTGTGAAGCCCTGCGCACCTGCCAGTGCAGTATCCTGGTCCACATCACTGTGTTCTAGAAATTCAAAGAAACACCGAAATATTAGTAGTGAAAAGTGAAAATAGGCGATGATGCAGAAATTGAGGATTCTGAGCTAATGCAATAGCAATAAAGTTACTAAATTCCTTTTTAATTTTATCTTTACTAAAAAGATAAAAATCCATTATTCTTTCCACTACTATTGGTAAGATTTCCAATGTTAATGAAGTCAAGTTTTTAAGCATGGATTATTAAAAGTGATATGGTAAGCTCCCTAGAAACAAAGCATAAGAATGGGTCAGGTTAAGAAGTGATGAGGGTGTCATGATACTTTTAATTTAAATATAGATTATTGCAATGTATTTACAATAGGGCTTGTAGTCAATATCAAGAGGTACATCCTGGATTTGAAAACAAGTTCAGTACAGGTTTCAAGACTTATGCCCTGAAAGTAACAGAAACTAGAGAGAAAATTGAGCCTCTGGACTTCTGTTATCAGATGCCCAACCCGACAATTTGTTATGGCTGAAAGCTTTCTGATATTTTATGGCCCCACCCAAACATAACAGGAGGATGATACTATCATGCAGTGGAGGCCATACCTCGAAGTTATTAGGGTCTTTCCCTAATTACTCATGTACAGCAATAAAACCCTTTATACCCCTATGTCTTTTCTTCTTGTTTCAATGACAACTTGTCACTGGGACAGAAATATCTGTGCCCTCTAAAGACAGATAATCTCTTCCTCCTATTAATAAGAATTTAGTTAGTATGAGACTCTTGTGGAACGGAGATTGGTTTTAATGCTGGGATATTAATTATAATTTTAACTTAGGAATATATTATACATACTCCTTGCTTAGCAAGCATGAAATCTAAACAAGAGAAATTTATCATAGGCTTTGAAGGCTCAGATGTCATCAAAATACAATGCATCCATCCACCCAGTGTGATAAAAAAAAATAGCACAACTATTGATATGGTTTGGCTCTGTGTCCCCATCCAAATCTCATCTTGAATTGTAATCCCCATAATCCCCACGTGTCAAGGGAGGGACCCTGTGGGAGGTGATTGGATCGTGGAGGCAGTTTCCCCCATGCTGTTATTGTGATAGTGAGTGAGTTCTCATGAGATGTGATAGTTTTATAAGTGTTTGGAAGTTCATCCTTCTTCTCTCTCCTGCTGCCATGTGAAGAAGGTTTTTGCTTCTCCTTCCCCTTTGCTTTCTGCCTATAATTTGCTTTCTGCCTATAAGTTGCTTTCCGATTATAAGTTTCCTGAGGCCTCCCAGCCATGTGGAACTGTGTTGATTACACCTCTTTCCTTTATAAATTACCCAGTCTCAGGAAGCTCTTTATAGCAGTGTGAGAACGGACTAATACAACTATTCTCCCCTGCACTGTATATAGGTAGGGAAAGACAAAATGTGCACTTTAGTCTTTCTTTTGAAAATATAATAATATGGGAGTGTATATTCAGGGCAACTTGAATCTACGTTCCCAGGAAGTTAAGTTAAATTAAAAGTAAAAACAATGCAATGGATATTAAGTATATATGAGTGTATATTATGTGCTAGCCAGTGTTCTAAAAGATTTGCATGCTACTGATAAAACTTTACAGTAGACACTGGAGTATATTATCCAAGTCACACAAATGGAACAGTTAAGTTCAGAATTTTAACTATTCACCTGAAGTTACACAGTTGTTGGCATTACTGGACCTCTGGCCTACTGTATTCCAAATTATGAGCTTCTTTTGTTTATAAACCACTCTCTGGTTGAGATACTCTTTCCTTTACTCTGCTTTCAGTCTCTGTAGTGGCTTTTATTTATTTATTTTTTAAATCATCTTTGCTTGAGAGCTAGACTTTAACTAACCCTGGGCATCTGAGCTCTAATATATATATATATATATTTTTTTTTTAACAGACTCTCACTCTGTCACCCAGGCTGGAGTGATGTGGCACGATCTCAGCTCCCTGCAGCTTTTGCCTCCCAGGCTCAAGTAATTCTCCTGCCTCAGCCTCCCGAGTAGCTGGGATTGACGCCTGGCTAAATTTTTTGTATTTTTAGTAGAGATGGAGTTTTGCCATGTTGGCCAGGCTGGTCTTGAACTCCTGGCCTCAAGTGATCCACCCACTTTGGCCTCCCAACGTTGCTGAGATTATAGGCATGAACCACCGCACCTGGCCAGTTATATCTAAGTTTTTAAAGAATTTTGAGGGGCTCTATTTTCATTCATGTTTTCTACGTAATAATAAAAATCCTGATACAATGTTTAGTATTTTGAATATCATCCTCTATAAAAAGAAAATGGAAAATCAGAGCGATTATATCACTTTCCTGTTGTGAGGGATCTGGTATTGAGCCATGTTCTGACCCACCTTGCTCTTCTTCATTACCCAAAGA
The DNA here is from genome assembly GCF_000001405.40 of Homo sapiens. NCBI lineage: Eukaryota > Metazoa > Chordata > Mammalia > Primates > Hominidae > Homo > Homo sapiens. The sequence continues at coordinate 76,550,910 of NC_000016.10, read as the reverse complement.
TAGCACTGAGGGAGCATCACTCTGCTGCTTACATACGATACTGTGAGCTCCTCAAACATAAAGATGACTGCCAACATCCAGCATAACGTCATTATATAGGAGGCAGTTCATCAATGTGTATGGAACCAAAGAAATCATTTAGTCCACCTTGGCAATCATTCATTTGAATATATGTAGATTTAAACATATATACATGAAAAAGACCGCATTCTTGATTTGGAGTTTTTTTTTTCTTTTTACTTTAATGAGAAATTAAAAAGAAAATAAAAATTAAAAAGAAAAACTCTCATAGGAGCATAATTGGGAGAGTGCTTTTCACATTTCTTCTACAAGGTTAAAATGTTGAATAAAATTTCCATAGGCCTTTAAAAAATCTTCCCTTTTCAGCCCCACCCCACCAGACAAGATTTACTTCTCTGGTAATAATCTGATATGAGATATATTTTAAAAGCCTCACACTTACAAACTGAAAACATTTCACCTATTTCAAAATTATTGTACAAAAACCAATGACCGCTAAAACTCAAAATGGACACATGGTCAGTTAATATTTATCCTTTTATGAGCTAAAGAAACAGAAAACAAATGCCCGGATGTTTGAGTATTTTACATGTTAGCAGGGAAAGGGAGAGAGACAATAAACATAGAAACAAAAACTAAATGAGAATTTTAAAGACTGATAATACTATGAAGAAAACAAATTAGACAATATGATGGTTGTAACTGGAACAGAAAATTACCCTGATGGATTAGGTTATATTTATGTGTTTATTTTAAGGGTGACATTTTTTGCAGCCCTATTCCCTTAGTACACTATGGATATTATTCCAGCATCTTCTGGCTGTATTACTTCTTTTTCAAAATTTGTAAGATACCCTGTGATTTTTGAATTTTCATCAGATTGTCCCTAAGTGTGTATCTTATCTCAGTATTCTGCATAGAACATGATAAGCCCTTTCAATCTGCAGACACAAAGTTTTTATTTAGCTTGGAATTTTTCATACAATCTGCACACTACTGCTGTTTCACCTTCTTCCTTTTTATTCTCTTAGAATGCCAATTTTTCACATTAGGTCTCCTCTATATATTCTCTAAATTCATTTTATTTCCATCCTGATTTCTATTATTTAGGACTTACATCTCTGTGGGTCAAATACTTCATTCACTTGATCTTCCAGATGCAAATTCAAGTAGCAAAAAAGATCATTCTTTCCTGTTATATTTTTTGTTTGGGAAAAAAAATCATATTTTTTAGATCCTCAAGGTCTTTTTTTTGCTTTATGAGAATCTCCTTAAAGTACTCTTACTAAGCCTCATTCATGTTGTTGTCTGTCTCCTTGAATAGCTTTATTTTGATAGAAAATCATTTTGGTTTAGTTTTTTTCTCCTTTTATTGATGTTGAATGGTTTTAAGTCTGGAGTTGGTTTGTTAGTTTACTTTTTAATCTGCTTGCCGGTGCCCAGCCACTGATCACCTTAGGTGGCTCACACCCAGGGCAAGTAGACAGTGTGGTGATCTGGGTGGACCAGGAGCAGAGCTGCAGGCCACAGCCCTAAGAAGAAACCTCTCCTCACTCAGCTTTGGGACAGAGAGGGCATGGCCCAAATTTCAGGTCATCTTAGCACCTTGAGAAACAGAGAAAATGGGCACATTAATACTTTCTAATGCTTATCTTTCCCCATGGGGCCCAGGGACCTCTGTAAGGCAAGCAATCCACAAGATCCAAACAATTCAAATCCCCCCCTGAGATTCTTCTAGGCTGGCCCCCGGACTTCCTTCCAACCCAGAAGGTAGGAAGCCCCACAAGAGCCTCCTCACTGGTTCCCTCCAGGATCCCCCTGCCTGTCCGCCTGGACCAACAACTCATTTCAGAAGCGTCGGTGGGGTAGAATTCGAATCGGAAGTGGAGGGAAACTACAAGCAACTCAGCCGCCGTCCTCCCAGAATTGAGTCCAAACAAAATTAGCAGCTATATTAAGTTGCTCATAAGCAAAGCTGGCCTTAGAAATACATAGCATCAGATATCTGCTTTGACAATTGTGCTAATAAGCCAATGGGCAAAAATATAAGTTTTTCTTGTTATCTGACTCCCCAAAAGCCAACACAGTGTAATGAGTTAGAACAGGGTAGGTGGAGGGAGAGACTGATGACAAATGTCTCCTGCTTCACAGAAATCTGGATAAAACAGTCATGTTTTAGGTGTTTCTTGTGATAATAATCCTTAACTGACTCGGATTTCTGGGTGTTTGTGCCTGTTAAAAAGTAACCCTCAAGTGCAATTTCCAACAAAGGGAGTGACTTCTGCTTGTCGAAAGAAGAAACCTTTTAACAAAAGGCCTGCAAGAAAAATGGAGTACCGAGAAATTAGAATTTGGTGAAGTGCCCTTCTATTACAGAGAAACGACTGTTTTTTTGAAAGATACGACAATACATGTAAGAACAATTACAAGGAGTGCTTTATGAAATTTCCTGAGGCGTAAGCAAAAAAATAAAAACTCAGAAAACGAAGTACTTTATATGTCCTACCTATGAGAAGGAGTCATTTAAAAAGAAAGATCTCAATGTCTGGAATCCATTAAGAAGGCTTGCCAAAAAAAAAAAAAAAAAAAAAAAAGGTGCAGTGAATCAAGAGAGCCAGGGTTGGAACTGAATGGTGCACTCTTACTATTTTATGCAATTCCACCAGGGACTCAACACAAAAAGGGTTAGTGGGAAAGTAAAATGGCAAAGCAGACAAAAAAATACTATGTGGATAAAGAGGCAGTTTATCATAAAAGGTATTTGTTTGCCAACCAAACCTACTGTACTGAGTTATAAACTTGAAAGCCTGATTAATGCACAGGTTATGTACAGGCAGCTATCTTACAGTGGCAGGTATTTCCCTTTTGCTTTCAGCATAACCTGTCTCATTTTAAGTGTCATTTTACAAGATGTTTGCAAAAATCACAGTGTACTTAGGTAAGCTAATTAAACTTTCTTTTTTACCCCTTTGGCTTCGAAGCTGGTTTTACTTAAAATATCCTTGAGATGGAAGATTGTCTCTAAAGCTCTTCTGGGGAGATTCAGTAGACATCCTCTTCTCTCAGACCACACATTTTATTTACATCTGGCCTAAATTGCCACTGCAGAAACCTGAGGTGTGCTTCCTGAGCTCTGCGGACTCCAAAGAGATAAATGATCCCTATGGGTCATCGCCTCTAAATACACCAAAGCTACTACTCGGAACGAGTGAAAATAATCTCCAGGCTTATAGAAAACTCCTATAACATAAAAATGAACAGAACTCAGAACTGAAATTTACAATGAGTTTTGGAGATAAAAAGCAAATGTAGCACACCCTATTAATGATGGATGAATGTCAACCAAGTTAATTTGATGCAACCTGGTTTTTACTGCTACCACCATGAATTATCAACACATTATTGTTAGTGTTCTTGTGCCATTATGTATTTGACACAAAAAATAACAAATAGTAATTATAAATTTCATTCAACTTTTGAGTAGTGATTTTTTTCAGTCATTTTTACTGTGTGTTAAATTACATCATTATTCAAAATGTGGGCATATTTTCCCATGAGAGGTTTTATACAACTTTAATAAGATTATGTAAATATCTTAATTGCGATCTCTCTTTTTCCCCATGTGGTGGAATTGTGATCCAGTAATAGCTTAATGAATTGGCAAAACAACTTTGTATCTGTATATTTCCTTTAATTAATTACATCCTAGAGAGATTTCTTTTTCTATAATTTTCTAGTAAATATTTATCTTAAGGAAGCTGATTGACAAGTCAGTCACTTCGGCATTGGAATTTATGTACATTGTGAACAAAGTACTTAGACATGACATCAGACTATCTGCCTTTTCACAGGGAAGACCAGAAAGAAATGAAATGCTTTCTTCCCCATCCTCTAGTACTAATTTCTACAAATGAGGATGAACTATAGTGACAATTTTTCACTCCAATCACCATTAGCAAGCATTAGAAGCAGATATCAAGCAAGGGGGATAATTTTTATGTAATAATATTAAATTGTACTATGATGGCATGAGAATCATCTCTAACACCCCATTACATTTAACAGACAATGCTGGTAGCATTCAAATTTCTCTGCTCTGATTCTGATTAGTCCTTTGGAATATCATCAGCCTCAGTGGTCCCCAACCTTTTTGGCACCAGGGACCAGTTTCAAGGAAGACAGGTTTTCTACAGATGGGAGTGGGGGGATGGCTTTGGGATGATTCAAGTGCATTACATTTATTGTGCACTTTCTATTATGCATTGTAATACATAATGAAATAATTATACAATTGGCCATAATGTAGAATCAGTGAGAGCCCTGAGCTTCTCTTCCTGTAACTAGACGGTCCCATCTGGGGGTGATGGGAGTTGGTGACAGGTCATCAGGCATTAGATTCTCATAATGAGCACACAACCCAGATCCTTCACATGTGCAGTTCACAATAGGGTTCTCACTCCTGTGAGAATCTAATGCTGTGGCTGATCTGACAGGAGGCAGAGCTCAGGTGGTAATGCAAGCAATGGGGAGCAGCTGTAAATACAGATGAAGCTTCGCTTGCTTGCCTGCCTGCCACTCACCTACTGCTGTGCAGCACAGTACTTGTCCGTGGCCCGTGGTTTAGGAACCCCCGATCATACTGATCTTGCAGTATCTCCTTGTTGTGGCTGCATAGTGCCCTCTCTCCACTTCACAGGTTCCATGTTCACACCCCAGCCAATCCCTTCCTTTCTCTTCCTTACATGGATGACTATTCTTTAATAAATTCACTCACATATTATCATCAGTGCCTAATCGGGGCTTTATTTTTTACTTATTCCTGGTGTGGGCACTTTTTAGTTTTTCTTTTTTTTTTTGAAATGGAGTCTTGCTGTGTCACCAGGCTGGAGTGCAATGGCACAATCTCAGCTCACCGCAACCTCCGCCTCTCGGGTTCAAGCGACTCCACTGCCTCAGCCTCCTGAGTAGCTGAGACTACGGGCGCATGCTACCACGCCCGGCTAATTTTTGTATTTTAGTAGAGATGGGGCTTCACCGTGTTAGCCAGGATGATCTCAATCTCCTGACGTCGTGATCCATCCACCTCGGCCTCCCAAAGTGCTAGGATTACAGGCGTGAGCCACTGTGCCTGGCTGGGTACCTTTTAAGGCATGTTAGTAATTAAAGAAATAAACAATCCCTTTCTCCTTTTTATTTTTGAAATTCTTGTTTTATCATTGTATGAAGGTTTGTAGATTTGAGGCACCTGAAAATATATAATTTTGGATTGGTGACTCTTGCTTTTATCATTTGGTATTTTTTTTTAGTGTAAGTAGAGCTCTATGTGTTATTATGCTTGGCTGCCAAATAAAAAGCTTTGCAGGTGACATCATTGTCAGAGGAATACACTTGCCCACTCCACGGGGACCACCTGCCTATGACTATACGTGCTTATGACAAAATCTCAACTTCCAAGTTATCATTTGTTCTACTATTAAAATCAGGTAATGTGATTCTTTCAACGTCATGAATACTTTTTGGATTTGGAACATGACACCTCTGATCTACTTTCATGTATTATGATTACGAGAATAAGCTTCTAGGTATGGCCAGCTCAATACAGTATGGCTAACCCTCTGGAATCGACTAAAGCCTTCACAAGAAGAAAGTCATGCTACGCACTGAAGACAGTCTATGACATTTTAATTATTAAAAAAATTAAAAATCAATGGACCTGATACATTTTTTTAAAAGATTGTAAGATAGATTTTGATTTTACTTTTCTTGCTCTAACTTGCACTTTCCTTTTAAAACATGCTTTTAAAATAACCAATCCATTATTTTGAAAATTATTTCATGATATATTTATAAAATCACAGTTCCCTTAATTTACCTAGGTCACCTTTTGTCTCACCTCTGAGCACTGAAGCAAGTTTTACATAAAGAATTTCTGATACATTGGAGATTTCTCTTATAGCTCATCAGAGGAGACTGAGTAGACTTCCTTTTCCTTGCTGCCTACACACTTTATTTACATCTGGCCTAAATCTCCACTGCAGTAATTTGAAAGTACATCTTGGCTCTGCAGCCCCAAAAAAGAGAAATGATTATTATGGACCACCGTATCTAATATAGAAAAGCTATATGCTGAGAAAGAGTGAAAACAATCTCTCAGTTTTTACCTAAATAAATCATAAAACTAATCTAACATATAAAAGTGTCCAGGAATAGAACTCAAGAGCTTAATTTTATAGTAAAATTAAATATAAAAAGCAAATGCAATGTAGTCTGCTGATTATGAGAGGATCTGAACTCAGCTGTTTAACTAAAACCTTTATCTTCCCACTATAGCTCTAAACTTTCAATATATTATTATTGCCAAAGTTATTAAGTACTTCTATATTTTAATTGTAACAGGTAGTTAGAAATGGTTACCATGTCATCAGAGTACAGTTTGATACTGTTTCTTAAAATTCACCCACCTTTCTCAATATCTGCTAGTAATATTTTTTAACAGGGTCAGCAATTCAAAATTACCCCTAGAATGTTTTCTACATTTAAGAAATGAGTACTGGAAAAATTCAAGAGAGGGGAGATATTTCCTTTATATCTCTTTTTCCACCTGAAAAAGCATGGGACAGTTATATACTTAAGTCGTTTGTTGTAATTGTAGGCAAATTACAACTCCAAAAAAAAAAAAGGCAATGTTTATATGCTACTCCCTTAGAAGAAATATCCAGACATTATAAAAACAGAAGAATTTTAATATATTTTAATTTGGAGGGTAATTTGGGACTACTTTATCTAAAGCAATATTGGGGCACATTACACTCATGTCGATACAAAGGCACATTTTGTTATCACGATTATCGAAATCCCCACTGCCATAAGCTCTGTAAGGGCAGATGTAACGTCTACCTTGTTGAGTGGCGTTCTCTGTTTACATGGTAGGTGATCACAAGGTATGTATTTAATATATGAATCAAGGAGTCACCTGGGCTTACAAAAATGCAAAACATATTTGATAAGTGCGGAAACGTGAGAATGTGCCTCAAAGACCACGAACTACAGGGAGATTAATTGACCAAGGGTCCCCACTGCTGGGCTCTGAAATCCATCCTCATGCTTGTACCAAGGCCATGATTCCCAAGGACTGCCCCCAGCCAGTGGCAGGTCACAGCAGGCATTCCAAGACAGGCTCATCCCTGGCAAACAAGGGACTCCTCTGGAGGCTGACTTTAACTCAATGGCTCCCTGAACATTGCTAAATCTTTCTTAGACTGCACATTGGTCTGAGACACTTCTGTGCTTCTGTCTAATTTTCCCTCTCTTTCTCCATCCCTGTAGACAGAGTGTCATGGACATCTAACGGTCCTGTCTGCCTTAGCCAGCTCCTTCACATTTTCTCTTACATGATTGTTCCCTTAATAAAATCCTCATATGCTTAATCCTGTCTTCACAGCTGTTGTTTGGAGGACCTGGACTAACACAGTAAGTGACTTCAAGACAGAACAATTCTCTTTGAAATATTAATAACTCTTGTTGATCTATTTCACTATAAATATACTGCATTAAAATATAAGGATATACTATGTAACATGTTGCTATAAATTCATATACCACACAAAATTTGACCACAAGTTATGGGTTTCCTTTGAATTACAAATGATTAGTCCCTAATCAAGATCCATACCTTAGACATATGCCAAATAAATTATCACTTATACTTTTAGGAGAGTCAGTTGACTGAGACCATAAAGTTCATTGCTCAGTTTGGACTTTCACTTTTCAGCATATATGATATGCATATTTGGATAATATGCAACTCTTGAGTAAAAACCTTAACGTCTTTAATTCTATAGGAATCTCCCTTATTCATTTACAAAAAGGGAAATGAGGACTTATATAGTGAATGTTATTCTACTGTTTGGTTAATACAATCCTCCTTATAGGATGAAAATCAGCTTCCCAATTGTTTTATAATATGTTGAATATATTTCTACTCACAGTGGTATAATATCTTGCACAGAAAACCTACTTAAAATTTCTTCTTGACATCTTGACATAGTATCAGCTTATAATTCCACTCATTAATGGTATCTACTGTACTAGTGTAGAGTTTGGGGGACGAGGACTCTTCCAAATCACAGTTGCACATATTTTTAATTCTGTAAATAACAATAGTTATGTGGCAGGTAGGCTTAAGTGAGGACAGAATAAGGAGCTGAGTCTTCTGTGAGCCTGATGTTCAGCAAAGAGGTTTTTAGACAGATTGCCTCATTGCAGAGGTTGGGGCTCCACCCTATGATCCCTACATCTTTGCCTCATCCTGGGTCTCTCTGGGGCTCTCATCCCTTTCCCAGCCACCTGCACGCTTACCTCCCCCAAAGCTGAGAGCCATCTGTAGGGAAGTAGATGGGTCCCACAGTTAAAACAGTTGAGGCTTTGTTTTTGTTGCTGCTTGTTTGTTTAGACTTTTACAATTCTCTTTGGCTTCCTACGCTATGCCATAGCTATACATGGAATAAGACCCTCTAATGTTATTAAAAAATAATGTTCAGAAATACCTTAGTCACATATCCAAAGCTAAATAGGCAGAGCTAGATAGTTACATACCCAGAGCTGAATAGTCTCCTAGACACTAATGTTCTTACCTCCACAGTGGCCTGAAATAGCTATAAATATTTCCCAATACTAAATATGAAATAACTGAATATATTCTCTTTTGTTTTTAACAAAGGGAGAGCCTAGCCATGTTTTTCTATGCATCTGAAGTTTTGTCTAAAGCTAATACCCATGTGCACAGACTTAAGAGTGCACACGGTCTTATCTGTTAATTATACATCAGAGGACAAGACTTGAATCAACGGAATAAAGTAGAATCGTCATTTCATGCTAAATATGTTATTGGCTATATACATATTCTTAGAGCAAATGATACACATGTCAGTCTTAAATAGCTGGATTTATATAATAACACTGTGAGACTCCCTTGGAATTTTTCAGTTAAGCTTCCAAACATCTAAGAAGTACTTTGCACATATTTTTTTCTGTCCACTATAGATAATGGAAGAACATTGCAATTCATGGTATTTCCCCTGTTTGTTTGGAGAATAAGAACACATAATCTTGGTGCTCATCATAGCACTTGAAAGCCTGTAAATATTTATTTGCTGAACTATTAACCTCAGGGGCCAATATTTTGATCATTCACCTATGGGTTTAATCAAACATTCTCAAGGTTCTGAGATTAGCTACAGGCAACATAAGGAATGATTAATTGAGGTACAAATAACTGCAAAGGTCAAAAAATAAAATTCCATTTACTATCTTGGACAAAATATTTCAGATTAGTGTCAAATACCAGAGTAGGAATAAAAATTAGGCTACAAGAGCCCCCCTCTCCTCAAATAAGGTGAAATTCCAATACTCTTAATGATTAATGTATAACTAAAAAATAAATATCTATTAAAATTTACTTTTCAATTTAATCCTTGTTGGCAAGTGTAAAAAAATGCAAACATATTCTGATGTTAAAATGGCAACAGTGCATTTCTACTCCAGTGCTGTAATTAAAGGTAATTGATGGAAATAAATAAGCATTATAAGGCATTTAGATTGCATCTGAGCAAGCGTGGCTGCCAAGGGCAACATTGCAACAAAGCAAATAGAATCCAAGTCATAACCTGAAACATATTAACTAACTAGAAGAAAAAGTAATTGCATTCTTCTTCCATTTTTTAAATCTAATCTTAGTTTTATCATTAGAGGAAAGTTTGTATATTTGGCACCTAATTAATACATACTTTGTTATTTTTTATTTTCAATTATTTAATATTTTTGAAATGTGAGAATAATACCATATTTCATTATACTTTATTGAGACAGGACTGAGACCAGAGTGACCTTACCATCAAAGGAAGATGCTTGCTCATCACACAGGACGCCCCTACTCATGCCTGCATATGCCTCTGTCTTGATTATCACTCACTTCATAATCAAAATAGGCAAGGGATTTCCTTTGCCATGACGAAGTGGGTGTGTGTAATATGACTTTTCTGATCCATGCTTATGTATCATGATTAGCATGGTTAGGGGAAAGGTTGTTTCTTTCACTTACCTAAAATCCTGCCCAATACCAGAGATTTGACTGCACTGAATTCTGTGCCTGATGACAGGTGAACTTGTCTCCTTCTATTATCGTCAATCTACAAAATTATTACACAAGATAAAAACATCCAAATGGATGACGTTTTGTTGAGAAGACAGGAAGCAACAGAGGACAAGAGAAAAAGATACATTAAGCAGTTGTTAGCATGGCCCCAAACATTTAGAAAAAAACAAAATTTAAAAGCTTAGCCACTTAGAAAGGTTTTTCTAAGTGTTATTATATAATTATTAATATATAATACAATATTAGTATTATTTCTATACTACCCTCAGATGCCAGTGCACCCTACCTTCTATCCCCTTGTATCATTTTATTTTTCTCCACTGGATAAGGAATCCAAAATTGATGAAGCCAACAAAAAGATACAAAAGGTTATTTTTCACCTTAACACTTTTACTTGGTATTTTTATTTGAGGTAGGCAGCTAAGAAATTTTCTTCTAGGCAGAGAACCAAAAAATTATTAGTGCTTTTCTTCAAAAACTGGCTCCATGAATAATTCCATTTTCTTTGCTGTGACTCATATCATTAACAAAAATTCTGATATTACAATCATTATTTTCTGATAGATTTATTACTGCATTTATCTAAAGTAAACCGGTTTCATTAGCATAGCAATGGTCCTACCAGTAGCACACTATGACATCATTTTCCTTCTGAGCAGAAACAAGTTAGAAAAGATTGGCATTTAAAGTATCCGATGTTAATAATATAATGAACAAAATCTTATTGCTTAAAAGAATCCTGACTACATTTGAGGTCTATTATCTGCAGAAGAAGACCAATGAAAGTGTCTCTGCTTATTGTGTTCATTATCAAATTTCTGCTTGAGATCCTTCATGCTGGAGAGTCATTAAAATGATTGCTTCTGCTGAATTTACTACATTACCTCTATAAAGACCACTCCTTCTTCTCTGTTAATCATTATGTGGTGAAGTTGTCCATCAGCCATGTTTTTAAAATCAAAGTTAACAACATCAGGCTCTTGATATTTATTTAACTTGTACCTGATCTGCAAACTTCCTAGAGTGGGGAAAAATTGTGATTCTTTTAGTAAAAATCGTACTTTGAGAGCGGCTTACTTAAAAATCAGAGTGATTTTTTGTTGCTATTTATTCATTTCGAGGGAAAAATTGGAAGATACCTTTTTATAATCCCCAAGAGTCAGTTTCCAAGTGAAATTGCAATAATGTATTTGCAAAATCATGACCAAGTATGTTGCACACAAGCACTCTCTTTCCTGCAAATCTTTTAATTTAACATCAACTCAGATTAAGCATATGCAAATCTCTGCACTTGCCTCTCACTTAAAAAATAATATTAAGTATTTCTGAAATGCCAACCTATTGCTTAATATTGCAATAATATTCTGTTCCTATATTTAAAAAATATATCTCACACTCTGGAAATACAACAATTAATGAAATTATTAAACACAAATGTAGTTTTACTAAAGAGAAGAAATATGTCCAAGTAGTCATGGTCATAGACTTTGAAATGAAATAATGGTAAGATGAATGATTTTAAGCCAAATTTACCATCACAATTAGTACTACTCATTTAATTGCCTGCAGAGATGTCAGTTAATTTATTTCACAGGATATCTTTCAATTTGACAAAGAAAATGCCCTAATATATAAATAAGCTTCAAGCTCAAAATGCACAGTAAGAATAAATACACTTATCGAACAATCTTATTTTTATTTTGGTGTTCAGTACAGTACCCTTGGGATATATTTGAATCAGTTGAAATGATATAGTCACATGTTTGTATGTTTGCTTTTCTTATCCAGAGAAGTTATTTCCAAAATTTTTACCTTTAATCTAGATGTGGGAAAGAGAAAAATAGCAGTAAATGGTTTTCTGTAGGAAACACATTTCCTAATCTACATTCCCTTAACACTGCATGGATATAACATTTTTTTCCCATGATGATTTTTTTAACTAAAAGTACAACTAAAAGGTCATCTTGTGGACATATTCTTACTCAAAATGCTGGTTTATTAACACTCCCTTAATGTTTCTTTACTTTGATTTGCAGGAAATAGTTACATACAACAAGACACCTTATTTCAAAATGAACTATGAAACAAATATTGATAGCCATATGGAATAGTCAAGGAGCTTCTAACAATAATATAATAAATGTTTTATATAAATAAAATTATACATTGAATATGTAAAATTATCAAAATCATAAAGAGATAAGGGCATCTTAATCATTTTAAATAATCCTTTTAGATTATACTTATAGGATAGTACTAAAAATATGACTACAAAAAACAGGCACACTCCATTTTTCTGTTTGTAGCTTGAGAAGCCAGAACACGAGAATGATCCATATTATTACAGAGCTAGTGTTCTAATTTAATTTTCTCTCTCTCATCTAAAAAGAACTCACCATTTTTGGCAATGATCACAGAAAGGTATTCTTTGTAAAAGGAGCTCACAAAAAGCAGCAAGCTTGGTGTTCGTGTTGTTCGGAAACTAAATTTGATCATTTCTCTGCTCAGCTTCATATCACCATGAAATGAAGCAGCGTGGGAGCTGGAGTTTTTACTTAAAAGATAATTTTCTTGAAAATTGTATATCACGGATGAGCCAGATCCAAAATATGCAGAAATCTCTGAAATAATATATATATATATTTTTGTTAAAAATTTTAAGTACAAGGATTTTGTTTTAGTTACAATAATTATATTTTAGTTTCTTTAATGAATTGCATAGATAGAAGAACCAACCCCAAAATAGAATCAAATAATAAAGTAAGTTAATAGAGCTTTCAAAATGATCTTTGAAATGGCTTTCTGTTAAAATGACATATAATTAATGCACTAGTATAATTTTACAGTTGAAAGTTAAATGCTTTCTTATCTGAGTTCAAACACAAACCAGGCTTGTCTTCTATCTCCTTGATCATCTACTTTTTTATTTAAATTTTAACTCCCATCTGTTATATTGCAGATAGTACAATCTTAAATGAAGTGTATCTTAAAGGAAGTCTAGGGCCTCCTATCTACAAAATAGTTAGGAAGGAAGGATGTTTGAGAGACTCTCTTCTTTCCCAGGATCAAGAGGCAGAAATTTTCCTTTATGTCTAAACATTTTCTCATAGTTATTGTGTACTATAAAAAGAAAGCTAAGTCTAGTATTAACATGATACAGGGAAACAGGATCAACAAACAGAACTAACCAACCTCTTTTAAATCATTTTACAAAAGTGTAGTATTTTCCTGGTATGAGATTAATATCCCAAATTCTCTCTGTCTTCCTCTCTCTCTCTCTCACACACACACACCAAATACATATGTATGAAAATGAAGAAGATGGCAGAAGAAATAACTAGTTTTAAATCCCTGAATCTGCTTCTCTCCATTACTGAAAAAGGACTGGTTATTGAATACAAGTTGTAGATGATACTTACTGGATCATACAGTAATGTTTAGGCTCCCTTGACATCTTAGAGTTTTTAATTGTTTCATTATTTTATTATCTATAACACGCATTTTATATTCAATATAATATGTGCATACAGAGTAACATTTACGGTTGCACTTAGCAAGATGAACTGGAAATTATTTATATCCAGAAAACAAAGACATGTTATTTTAATGAAGTGGTCTTAATGATCACTTTAAACATGAAAAGTGTCCTAGAATGGTACCAGCAGTATATGATTATGATCACAAGTTGATTTGTAAATTATAGATTATTCCTGAGAAAAGCAGATGACTTGAAAAGAGCATTTGGCCATCTTTTTATTAACTCATCCCATGCTTTCTTTGTAAGTCAGGAGTTGTTTTAATCTGGAGCCAAGTTTTGTTAGCCTCCTTCAGGAAAAGGTTCAATAGCCAAGAGACACTTTAAATAAAGTAAATGAATTTAAATTGGATGTCAGTCTTCTATGAGGAACTATGAAAGAGTAATAAATGTTTGTATATTCATGGAAGTCTGTCCAGAACACTTAATCCTACAACTGTTCTTTTCTTCTTCCATGAGGCATATCAGATAATGAGAGAAGCTGAAAAGTATTCTACTATTTTATTTCACCAGCAGATATTCAACATATCATACAATAAAATGTATGATTAATGTATAAATGTGTCTATTTTTGTAATGCATCGATATTTAATGGTATATTGTTTATATTTCTGGAAAAACTATGTCTGAAAAACTCAAATAAAAAACAATGCATCTTAAATATCCTTGCATTGTTGAATATCTTCAACAAATACAATAGTAACAGGGCCGGGCATGGGGACTCACGTCTGTAATCCCAGCACTTTGGGAGGCTCAGGTGGGTGGATTACTTGAGGTCGGGAACTTGAGACCAGCCTGGGCAACATGGTGAAACACTATCTCTACTAAAAATACAACAATTAGCTGGGCATAGTGGTGGGCTCCTGTAAGCCCAGCTACTCGGGAGGCGGAGGCAGGAGAATCGCTTGAACCTGGGAGGTGGAGGTTGCAGTGAGCCGAGATTGCGCCACTGCACTCCAGCCTGGGTGACAGAGTGACAGAGTAAGACTCAGTCTCAAATAAAAAAAAAAGTAATGCTTTAAATGATTTTAAAATAAAGAATTGCCCCATGGGGCAGGTTGCTGACAGCCATATTATTTAAGAGCATCAACACTAGGTAGAAAAAAGCAGATTGAGCAACTAACACTTTATAATACATAAAGGTGACTATTAATGGATTTACCATCAACAAACACTAGTTTTTCATAAATGAGTCAAATATTTAAGTAATGAAATATGATGCGCTCCATCTTTGAATATATGATGCTGTCTCATCACCAGGATCTTGTACTCATTCTTTACATTCAACAGATACTTTGCCAAAGCAATTCAGAAATTGAATTTTTTTTGTTTCAAATAGCTGCATAGAAAAGAACTGCCAGACATTTAATCCACATTGAATAAATTTTCCTCTTACAGTCTTCCATGCCACACTTACCATTTGAGCAGAATGGCCCTGTGTATGCAGAGAAAGTGCAGTCACAAAAGAACCCAATGGGTCTTTCTCTGCATTTCCCTCCATTGCGGCATAACTTCCCATAGCTGCTGCAATGTCCCCTACAACCTGGCTGCACTTCTGGAGTCACCTGGGCTCTTTCTTCCAAATCCAGGGTCATCCCATTCAACTGCAGAGACCGAATGCAGCCCAGAAAGCCTCTCTGTCTGGTGGCCGTTCCACCTAAAAGGGAAATACTGCAAATGGAAACATGTTCCTAGGTGTTTTATTCAGGGTTTAAAGACCAAACAAAACTGAGGCCTTACAGAGAACGGCAAAAAAAATGGATGAGCAAATATAATTTTGGAAACACAATTCATGGTCAAATATAGACTCCAAGAAAGATACAACTTTAATTCAATTTTTTTAAAAGTTGAATATGTTACATTTTTTTTCTAAAAAATATTTATTGATCTTTAAATTGAGGAATAAAATAGAGGTCATACACTACTCTCATTGAAAATAACAGTGACATGTATCGTTATTTTAATGTAGAAACTACTTTCTGGGAATTTGAATAAGTATATATTGCTGGGTAAGTGTGGTTTGTCCTTCATATTTAAACCTGATCTTGATTCTGGTACAGTTTTAACTTTGTGAGAATTATGAAGGAGTCCTTGAGATCTTCTGATGGTGCATTGATATGGTCCTTTGGTTGTTATCCATTCATTGAAAAGATGGTAATTGAATGTCAGATTATTTGTTTTTGGCTGACATATTTCCCAGTGATTGTTTTTCTAAAGATTAGTCTAGTGTTCAGTGTTTTATGCTTGGAAAGATTCTTAACAAAATTGCAAAAGGGGATCGATACAGAAATAAGTGATGTAACGGTAACGTTTATTGAATACATAACCATATGTACCTATCAAGTCATCCTTGAAGAGGTCTACAATGTTGGGTTGGAATCAGACCCTATTATTCTAAGGTAGAGTTTCTCAAACTTTAAGAAATATGGGTAACACATAATCACACGGAGAGCTTCTAATAAATAGACTCGGTAGCTTGCTCCAAGAAATACTGGTTCTGTGGTCCAAAAATAGGGTTGTGAATCTCAACAGTTAACAAAGCTTGCAGGAGATTCTAATTCAGATGATCACTAGACCATCATTGTATAAGCACTACCCTGATAGAAGTGTAAGCCCTGGGTAGATTCATACATAAATTTGTGTCCAGGAATACTCTTAAGTTAATGCTCAGAACTTGAAGCGGGAAAAGAGTACCCTAACCTAAATAACCTGGCAATTCTATTGAGAGGCAATTAGATGGTTATGAGGCCTCTAAAAAGAAGCTCCATCTTTGGATAAATGATGGTGTCTCATCACCAGGACCTTGTATGTACTCTTTACATATAAATTCTCTTTTCCTAAAACATGTTCACTTCGTTTCTTCCAAATCATTTAGGTAGCTCCTTAACCTAGCCTTCATTCAACAAGGGCTACTTCAATTGCTACTGTATATCCAGCACAAAGAACAGTGGTAGACAAATAATTTCTGTGTTATAACTATGAAATCCATCCATTCATTTGTTAAACCACAATATACATAGAAATGGGAGAAATGGGCATAGTGCTTCAAGGGTAAAGGGGGACCCCTTTTGCCCCACAGAGATGCTTGGGTCTCTGAGACTGAGAATGAGGCCCGAATTTAATGAACATTTCTAATAAACTAATTATCTCTTTGCAAATAATGAAAGACTATGAAAAGGAACCTCTAAGAATTCCTGAGAATTCTGGACTTACGGACACTAACACTATTCAGAATTCAGATTCATAGCTATAACTATATCCAAATTGCTGTATTTAAATGTCTATTCAAAATGTTTCCATTTACATACTTGGTTTCTCCTCAGTGAAGGATGCCAAGGTCTTAAGGGTGTTGGCTGTTCTATTTATAAATCTATTTATAAATCTAGAGAGTGTCAACATATTGCCATTGTCACAAGTGGGCATGGTAGGCATGGAGTTAATTTCATCACAGAGTTTTGGAATGCCTGGAAATCTTCTTGTTTAATTCCTCCTACATTTACATTTACTTCTGCCATTTTTTTTTTAAGATTTTTAATATGGGTGCCCAATTGAGTTGTTTATTCCTTTTTGTTGTTCTGTTGTAAAAATTAATAGACACATAATAATTGTTCATATTTATGGGGTACATAATGTTGTGATATACATGATATTAGTGATCAGATCAGAGTAGTTAGCATCACCATCACCTCAAACATTTATCATTTTTTAGTGTTGGGAACATTCAATATCTTCCTAGTTATTTGAAACTACATATTATTGTAAACTATAGTCATTCTACAGTGGCATACAACACTAGAACTTTTTCCTCCTGTCTAGCTGTAATAGTATATCCTTTAACAAATCTCTGTGCCCCTTCCCTGTACCCTCCCCATCTTCTAGTATCCTCTGTTCTACTTTTTACTTATGAGATCACCCTTTCCTTAGCTTCCTTATATGAGTGATACCATGCTGTGTTTAACTTTCTGTTCCTGGTTTATTTCACTAAACATAATGCCCTTCAGTTCCATCCATGTTGCTGTGAGTGACAGGATTTTATTCTTTTTTATGCCTGAATTGTATTCCATTACATATATACACCACTTTTTTTTTATCGATTCATTTGTTATTGGACAACTGGGTTGATTCCACATCTTGGCTATTGTCAATAGTGTTGCAATAAACTTAGGGGTGCAGCTGTCTTTTCAATACACTGATTTTCTTTTCTTTGGATAAATGCCCATTATTGAGATTGCTGGATCACATTGTAGTTCTATTTGTAGTTTTTTGAGGACCTGCCGTTCTTGAAGTCTCTCTTCTGCCCTTATCCTCAGGATTTTTCTTTTTCTTCCTTACCAGAGCTGCTACTTCTTTATCTTCACACCTCCCTATTCTTCCACTCTGTTGACTCAACTCAGTGAGCTCCCAGGGCTCAAAGTCTTTGGCCAGGATTCTTTTGGCGTCCTTGTTGGATATTTCTTCCCTGGGTAAGGTCCAGCTCACATCTTGGTTTTCACTTTGGCACAGGAACTTTTTGCAGGGGGGCCACATTCTGTGAACTCTGAATTAAAGGTGTGCTCTTGGTGTATTTAATTTACTTTGTATTATCCCACATTAAATCATGGTATACAGTCTACAGTATACAGTAACATTAAATCACATTGTTATACATTTGCTGCTCTGAAACATGCACAGTCTCCCTAACTCACAGGCTTATCTCATTCTGCCAGTAACAACGTAACTAAATAACTTGGGGTCCAACAACTGACTAAAGTCCATTTCCAGCTGTTCTGATTTTTTTGTGTTTGTTTAGTTTGTTTTGGATGATGGGAAACTAGGGGCATAGAGAATTTCAAAGATTGGTCCACAGGTCCATCTGAGGAAATACTAGAATAAACACATTTCGTTAGAGGCAGAGGCAGGATTCAGACCCACAGATAGCCTTCCATTCCAAGGAAGTTTCTTTGCACTTCACACCACTATCTGGTAAAAGAAGACTTATCCGTTTTCTTGTATGCATCAGCTCATCTTTGGATTGAACAACACTTCAGCTCTCCAAGCTTTATTTAGCAGCTCTTTCTGGGCACTGAAGGTATGAAACTATATGAAATCAATCTTGCTGACAAAAAGCTCTAGTAATAAATTTAGATGGGGAAACACAAGATTACTACAAGATAATAAAAATAAATACACAGTAAAGAAGAAGGTCAGAGTGTGGGGTGAGTAGCAGAAGAAAATAAATGTATATACATGTGAAATATATGCTTAGATAATATTTGTAAGAGTGAGAAGAAAATCAGTACACAACTTTAAAAACATGACATCTTAATTCTGTACTTTCGTTATTTACCTAACCAAATAGTTTTAAGCCACACTCTAAATGACCAGAAAACATAATGTCTAATTAGACACAAACCGTTGTGTCATACATGTATTTAGAATTTTTCCTTTACTGTTAGGTTTCAAGTCAGTAACTTTATTTTCAGATGTAACTATTTGAAAAACGTGGCTAATGTAAATAGGACTGGGCTTGAAAGCTTAATTAAAGATTCCAGTGCCTTTTCAGGGTTAGAGTGTGTCCAATTAAAATGAGTTGCAGTTTGGTTAATTGATTCTGGATGTTTCCACTGAGCTATTACGTTTGGAACTGTCTTCCAATTAATTTTCTATCAATTTACCTGCCATGTTATATCAGATATAATGAATTTCGGGACTTCACAAACACTGAGTATCCTGTGAAACAAATGCCCAACCTTTCCGTGTTTATTGAGTTTAACTGAACCTGTCCACTTATGCAATGGTATTGAGGGCCTGCATCTGAATAATTTCTCTGGGTGCTGAGTAGAGACCCAGCACCAAACCCTTTCCTCATGTTTATTATTCTCAGGAAATTACTATAAGCGACAGACGTTATTGTCATGGAGTAGAAGCTGGTTCTTTCCTATGCCAATTTTCCACTATTTTTGTGGCAGAAAGACCTTTGAGATTACACTTTAAATTTTTAATGGCAAATTATTCATGTGCTGTGCTTGAATATTATTGAGAATTAATTGGGAACAACTGCATAACTCACCCACTCACCCAGGGGCCTTACAGAAATAAAGAAATCAAGATCCTCAACCTTCTCTTTAAAATTCAAAGCTATAGAGATTTGCCTGGCACAGTACAAGGACACTGCCTGACTTTGACACTATGGCAAAGAAAAACAGGCAAAGCCTCAACCACAAATTAACTTGGGGCAGAATAGTGACAGGGCATGCAGGCTGGGCCCAGGACCAAGTCAGGAGATTGAAGGGAAAAAGTTGTCTTCTATATGTCAAGCATTGGACCGTCAACCCTGTTCGCTTCCTGGTGGAAAACTCTGCCTTGCAGAAATAGTGCTGTTGGTTAACATAGAAGGTAGGGAATCTGGAGGCCCAGCTCTAAGTTTGTCACGCAATGTTCTTCATTAAGCAAAGTCCTGGAAAGGAGGGGAGGAACAGGACTATTCTTCCTTGTGTTCAAAGAACTATCGTGGTTCAAAGAGGCAGCTGTTGCAAGTGACAGTGTCATGGGAAGAAAATTCAGTCACTTTTCCCTGAACCAAAGTCAGGGGTGAAAACGTGCCCCAGTCGTAGTAGCAGCAGAAAGAACGAGTCTATTTAGACTTCGCACACACTGAAGCCAGAGCGAGTCTCTAGTTTGACCATGCTAAGGCCTATTTTAGAGAAATCAGCTGTTGTTCACTGATGAATAATCACATTCTCTTGTCCCCAGACATCCCATCTGAATTCTGACCTCAGTCAATGATCGCTAAGATTTACCTACTGGATATAGAAAAGTACACTCGGGGCGTCTTAGGCTAATCATGAAAAAGATGCCTCAAGGATGGGAGAAGTGCGTAATTAAGATAAACAATTTGATTATATTAAAGAGAAATGCGACCTCTATTGTACTGAATTCAAACCTAAGGCTGCTTGATATTCTCTTCCCATAACTACATTTTAGCATATAAAAAACCGAAATTAAAAAAATAAAAATCTGGAATATATTATAATTAATAACTTGTGTCCATTCAAAGACACTATTAACAATATGAAAGCACAATCAACTCACAGAGAGGTCGAAGATCTTATAATAAATTTATATGAAAAGGACTCACCTAAAATATATAAAGAATTCTTATGAAGTTTTTTTTAAAAAAAATAAGACAATCTCATAGAAAACGGGCAACAGATCTGAACAGCCACTTTATAAAGGAAGCTATCCAATGGTGAATAGAGATATGGCACTATTTCCTGTGCTTAGCCTATGCATATGCCGTGACCTAGAAATTTCACTCCCAGGTGAAATCACAGAAATACACACATGTTTACACACACACACACACACACACACACACAGCTGAGATTCATCACTACAGTCTCAGAGCTTCAATATGTTTAGAGTTCAACATCAACCTTTGCATGTGGTTTTTAGAAATTGTTCACTCTAAAAAGTCGATAAATATTTATAGATTCCATGCAATTCAAATGCAAAGCAAGTTACTTCTGACTATGTCAGGGGTCCTTACTTCTCCTCCAGGTGAGAGTCACAAAGTACTGAAATAAATTTAGCCCCGTTTGAAAACCTGTCAGTAAAAGAATTGAGACTGGAAACAAAAATTGCGGAGCTGGTTGAATAAAAATCAATTCAAGGCTAATTTAAGAAGCTTCTACGAAAATGCTGAGTTTACAAACCAAAATAGAAAATGACCACTGTCACATTTCAGCTTTAAAAATGATTGATTCTTTTCTCTCCATCATTTCTGTGGCTGGACAATGTTTGTGAGTCTACGATAACAGCAGTGACTGGATGCTAAGTCCTCAGTGTTAGCAAGTCAAGGGCACGTGTTCAATACACTGATTAGCATTAGGTCCTAAAACATTTTTTAGAAGACAATAAGAGGCAGTTCTGAATAGGACTCTTTAAGATAGGCATAAATCACACACACACACACAAAGGACAAAGTGAAAGAACATGAAAAGGATAGTAAAGACCCAATGTCACAACTAAGAACAAAAATGGAGAAAGACAGGCTACAAAGAGAAGGCGAATCCATTTTATTATAAAAAGCAATGTGATGTGATGGCTGGAATTATCTGGAGGAGAGGAGGAGATGTTCATTGCGTTGCTGCTCATTGTGTCTAATCTATCACATTACGCTGATGTTAATTCTTATCACTTAGTCATACAAGGGTTTTGTGCATTATTTTATTCTTCCTTTACTTTGCATGACATCCTACAGTTTAGATTAGTTGAAGTTAATTGTTCTAATATTTGAAACGTCAGGGATTGCTCAAAAGCCTTCTGATCTGTATTGCTCGGGTGATGTAGGCTAATGCTAGCTGCATCTCTGAAACTCCATTTATCATTTCCTTATTCCTATTTCAATTGTCATATATAACTGCTGCCCAACTGGATCACATTTTTTAAAAGTGCTTTCTATTTATTTTTACTGATTTTTCTCAGAAAGTAAAGCATTAATCTTTCCTCACAGTTTCACTCTGAGATGTGAACACACTTTATGACCGGCTTTTAGCAGAGAGGGTGAAGAAGCAATGGAGTAAATACACTGGATTCTTTCACGTGGTCTCATTGCAACAGCCACTTCTGAGAGATTACCAACAATGCTAATCTGCAGGTGAGGCGTGGTGGCTCACACCTGTAATCCCAGCATTTTGGGAGGCCAAGGCGGGTGGATCTTTTGAACCCAGGAGTTCAAGACCAGCCTGGGCACATAGGGAGACTGCGTCTCTACAAAAAATACAAAAAATAGCCTGGTGTGGTGGCATGTGCCTGTAGTCTCAGCTACTCTGGAGGCTGAGGCAGGAGGATCACCTGAGCCTGGGAGGCGTAGGTTGCAGTGAGCCAAGATTGCACCACACCACTGTACTCCAGTCTGGGTGACAGAGAGAGAGATCCATCTCAAATTTTTAAAAAATGTTAATCTCAAAAAACTTAATGCTAATAAATATTACCAACATAGACCCAGTTAGTAAGATGGAGAATATAATTTAAATCCAAATTATATATCCAAATATCCACACATTTTATTTGCAGGTAAAGTGTTAAGCACAGTATCTCAAATTAATATATTTCCATGTTATTGAAATTTCTAACATTTCATATTTATATTTTAAAATAACTTTGTTATTTGAAATATTCCACAATAGGGTTCTACCAAATTTGTTTACCAAGAAGAAGGTACATTTTTAACAAAACTACTTAATGCTGGAAAAATAACATCATCTATCTTAGAATGAGTAACACTAACAGTCTTTCAGTCTTGTCCTATATTATAAAAACAGTGTTTCCATGTAATTTATTCATTTTTAAGATAAATTTTATTGTGTATATTTGAGGTTTACAACATGATGTTACAGGAAACACAGAGGTAGTAAAAAGGTTACTGTAATAAAGCAAATGAACAAATCTATAATCTGACATAGTTACTTTTTTGTGACAAATCTACTATATTTAACAAAAATCTCAAATACCATACAATTTTATTAACTATAGTCCTCCTGTTGTATGTTTAATCTCTAAACTTGTTTAAACATTATTATTATTACCATCAGTCTCTGTATTTAAAACATTCTTATTAGAAGAATAAAGTCATGCTGAAAACTGTACTTACTTTTCAGAATCACGTTTACCTCATTCATTTGCCCCATATCCAGATACAAAGGATAGTCGATATGCACACCGAAAATGCTGATTAGCTATAATTATCTTTAAGATGGACAGATGAACCACAAATTAAATTCTTGAACTTGCAAGTAAGGGGAATTAAATTACCCTTTAAAACTGTAACCAGAAAATCAATTATATTGGATTGAAGTAGAGATTACCAGTCACCCACGGAGTCACCAGCTCTGAGAATAGAGCAAGACTTAACCCTAACATATTTCAGGGTATTAATATGCGAGGGAATGGGAGAAGGGTCCTTCTACATATGACATGTGCTGGAACAAAATCTATAAACAAAGAAGCCCAATTTACTGCTGAGAAGGTGATTACAGAGCAGGTGTGTCTCATTAAAGGAGAGGAAGAAGATTAAATATTTTCTCTGGCCTGTGAAGAAGGACCAGAGACTCTTTGCAGCCTGGCAAGCTTATGGCTTGTGGTATATAATTTGGATTGTGGAGCCAGGAAACAGCTTTAATCACTGCTATAAATTAAGATGAAGGGAGAAAACAAGAAAAGCTAACTCCAAGTGAAATTCAAAGCTAGGCTGGTGCGGTGCCTCACACCTGTAATCCCAGCACTTTGGGAGGCTGAGGGGGGTGGAGCCCTTGAGCCCAGGAGTTTGAGACCAGCCTAGGCAACATATCAAAACCCTGTTTCTATAAAAAATACAAAAATTAGCCAAGCGTGGTGGCATGTACCTGTGGTGCCAGCTACTTGGGAGGCTGAGGTGGGAGAATCCCTTGAGCCCAGGAGATCAAGGATGCAGTTAGCAGTGAGCACACCTCTGCACTCCAGTTTGAGTGACATAGTGAGACTCTGTCTCAAAAATAAATAAACAAAAACAAAAACTGGCAAATAATGTGAGAAAACCAAAGAACTACAAAGAAGCATTTCATCCCCAAGCATATTATCATAGATAAGTGGTAAAACACTAACATCAATGACCAATTCATTAGCAAGTTGGGTGCATCTAAATTTCAACATGTCTACTTTAGCCTGCAGCACCATCATCTCTCAGAGGGACCACTGTGATAGCCTGCCTGCCCTCCATTTCCTCCATCCATACCCTTCTGGGTAGTAAGAGAGAGCTTGAAAAATGAAAATTATGTCACTCCTCTGACTCCTTAGAGTAAAATCCATAGTCCTCGCCATGGCCCTACAAGGTCCGATATATACCTCAATCTTGTTTCCCATCATACTTTCCCTAAATCTGATTCTTTCCAGCCACATTGTTTTTTTCCTTGTTCCTTGAATCCCTAAAGCTTATTCCCACCACTTTGAGCCATGGCCTGGAATTCTCTTCCTTCAGATGTTCACAGGGTTTTCTCTTCTGTTTCATCTGGCCTCTGCTCAAATTAGGAGGACTCTGCTAATGTCGCTAGAGAGGACTCCAGAGAAGACTGCACTGACCACCCTACTTGACATAGAAGTCCCCAACACAAATCACTGCCTGATTCCATGCTACCCTTTTTACTTTATGGTATTTATCACTACCTGAAAATGTATATATATATGAGCACACACATGCATGCATACATGTACGGATACATACATATGATGATATATAACCATATATGAACTATATGTAAATAAACTATATATTTTATATATGTATAAACTATATACAAAAACTATAGTTACATAGTTTATATATAGTTATATATGTAATTATATATAGTTATATATAAACTATATAGTTTAGCTTAACTATAAACTAGTTTAACTAGTTTAACTATATAGCTTATACTGTTTATATATAAGCTATATTATATACAATATATAGTTTATATATATTGTATATAATAGTTTATATATATTAGTTTATAATATGTTTATATATAAATTATATAACTATATATAATTTTATAGTTTATATGTAGTTATAAACTACATAT
Source organism: Homo sapiens (assembly GCF_000001405.40). Classification (NCBI taxonomy): domain Eukaryota; kingdom Metazoa; phylum Chordata; class Mammalia; order Primates; family Hominidae; genus Homo; species Homo sapiens. The sequence continues at coordinate 76,525,619 of NC_000016.10, read as the reverse complement.
AAACTATAAAACTATATATAGTTATATAAAATTTTTTATATATACAAATAGTTCTTTTTTATTGGCTGTCTCTTGTCTCTTCCACTGAAATATATAACTATGTAACTATAAACTATAAAAACTATATATAGTTATATATATATTTTTTCTCTATATTATATACATTTTTTCTCTCTCTATATAGATTTTTTTCTAGATAGATGGATAGACAGATTTTTTTAATTGCTTGTCTCTTCTCTTCCACTGAAATATACTCTCAGGAAGACACAGAACTCTTTGGTCCTAGTAGGTGTTTTATTAAATTAGCTCTAATTACTACTGATTTTTTAAATTAGTTTTTCACTCACCATACTCTAATTCAGTATAAACTTTTCAATTATAATGTGTCTTTCACTGAGTCTGCCTACAGGGAAAAAAAAAATATCTCCAGTTACAATTTTTCTTAAATTCTGATTTGTGTGATAGTAATGTTGTAAATTGATAAATGAATATTTTGTCTTGCAAGCACTGTTTTATCAGCTTGATTGAAGCCCTTTCCTAACAGACTAGTTCACTCTGGTGGAGGTGAAGATAAACCCAAGCCCCTCATGTGGTGTTTTGACAGCCAGTAATTTTCTCTACCCAAGACTACAAGTGTTTTTTTTTTCTTTTTTATGAGCCCTTCCCTTAGTATCACCACACTAAATCATGTCAGCTTGCTCACAGTTATCTGTGAGCAGGAAGGAGGAAAATGCATAAACAGATTTTTATTAACAGTATATGTCACCTTTTTTCACAAATCTTTATGTTGCCTCATCTTTTTTATTTTCAGTGACTTGACTTAAATATAATCAACAGTTATTTTTTATACAACATTGGAATAACACCCATCCTTACATTTCAACACATACAGTGAGGTCAAAGGCCTAACCAATTGCCTCCATGAAGACAAAATCTTTCAGATCCTTATTAAAATTGTATCACATGATCGATGTTAAAAGACTCAAGTCTGTTTTAAAGCAGTTTTCTGATGACATACTAGTGCTTCATTTCTGTCTGAAATCAAGTTAAGGCCAAGATTCCTACACGGCACAACACACAGTCACTCCATCTCATGAAGCTGAAATTCATACCAAGAATGAAAGGTCATCCACAGGCAAACTGCAGCATATTTCACTGAAAAATTTGAGGACTATTTCAGCCTCTCAATTTCCAAGAATAGTAAGGCTATTTCCAAGCTACTGACAGATTTTAAATTGCCATACCTTTTGTTGTGGCCATCTCTCATTTTTTTGTAATTCAAGAAATAGCTTTGTCAATTTCCTGACTGAGCTTCTAGCGTGTTATTAAAAGTTATATATTTCTTCTCATACATTCTTTATTATTTTCATACCCTTAAGTAAGTCAATCAAGTGGTCACAAGATCATGATTAGATTGTCTATTATAGTGCCTTACTCATAGAAGCTATTCATTAAATATTTGAGTAAAGGAAATAATAAATTATCAAAACAGTAATTACACAAATATATTGGAAATCCCAAAAATGTCTTCCTCAAATATGTTAAAAATATGCTTCATCCTTTCCAGTGAGAGAGGGTTAATAAGATCAGACTCTTAAGAAATAAAAGGTGTAATGGGGATCTGATCAAATTTCTTCAAAAGTGTAACTCTTGAGAATTCTTGAAAAATAATTTCTTTGTTGTTGTTGTTGAGACAGGGGCTCCCTCTGTCACCCAGGATGGAGTGCAGTAGCGTGATCATAGTTCACCACAGCCTCCAATTACTGGGTTCAACCATCCTCCCACCTCAGCTTCTTGAACGCTGGGATTACAGGCGAGTGCCACCATGCCTGCCTAATTTTTTTAATTTTTTACTTTTTGTAGAGATGGATCTTGCTGTGTTTCCCAGGCTGGTCTCAAACTCCTGGCCCCAAGCAATCTTCCTACCTTGGTCTCCAAAAGTGCTAGGACTACATCATGCCTGGCCTTGAAGTACAATTTCTAATAACTTATCATTTATTCTGCTTTATAGTGTTTTATGTCTTCATTTATGTTAAACTATATGAGAAGTGATCAAGTAAGAGATAATTCATGGTCCATAACTTCTACAAACGAATTAGCAAAGATTCAAAGTAAAACAAACACATCCAGAAGGATTCCACTATCAAACCTATAAATGCCACATGAATGGATTTAGGAAATAAAGGAACAACATTCTGATATAAATATTAAGAAGGTGACCAGAAAATATCAGAAAAAAAAATGGGCAAAATGAGGGAAAATAGCAGAGGAACTGGTGAAACTGTCAAACATGAATTCTATACACACTGGGTATCTGTTTTGTTTTCTTTTCTTTTTGCTATTGGCCTGTTTTTGATGTGATGGTTGGTGGGGCGGGGGGGCCGGGGGAGTGTTCAATGTTTGGCATCGGCTGGATGATTTCCTCATCAAAGAAGGCTTCCTCAACAATTCTGAGAACAGAGATAAACATTCCTGGTATCATAATAAAACAATAAGATAATAAATAAATAAGCTGAAACCAATCATGTAACCTGTAATATTAAGAAAGCAGGTAAGGCTGGGTGCAGTGGCTCACACCTGTCTTCCTAGTACTCTGGGAGGCTGAGGCAGGTGGATCACCTGAGGTCAGGAGTTCAAGACCAGCCTGGCCAACATGGCAAAACCCCATTTCTACTAAAAATACAAACAAATTAGCCAGGCGTAGTGGTAGGTACCTGTAATCCCAGCTACTCAGGAGGCTGAGGTAGGAGAATTGCTAGAACCCTGGGGGCGGAGGTTGCAGTGAGCCGAGATCGCACTATTGCACTCCAGCCTGGGTGACAGAGCGAGACTCTGTCAAGAAAGAAAAGAAAAGAAAAGAAAAGAAAAGAAAAGAAAAGAAAAGAAAAGAAAAGAAAAGAAAAGAAAAGAAAAGAAAAGAAAAGAAAAGAAAGGAGAGAAAGAGAGAAAGAAGGAAAGAGAGAAAGAGAGAAAAGAAAGAAAGAAGGAAGGAAGGAAGGAAGGAAGGAAATAAAGAAAAGAAAGAGAGAGAGAGAAAGAAAGGAGGGCGGCAGGCAGGCAGGCAGGCAGGCAAATAGGAATTAGTTAAACACAAATCTGAATCTCATTTATGAGATGAATTTCTGTAGGCAAGTCAACCCTGGAAGCTCAGCTATCTCATCTGTAAAATACGGATAACACCCATTTCACAGGCTGGTTATGCAGAAGAAATGAAGCATTTGGACACAGTTTGTGAATCCATGGTGATTTGTTATTATTGCTTGTTGTTATTATCCTTGTTTCTATAGTTGGTATTATTTTATCTTGGGCCATTTCTGAACACATATCATACAATAAAATGATTGCTTAAAAAGAGAACTTACCCACGAAGAGCTGACTGTTGAGCTGTAACAGGACATGCCCATCAGCGGGGGCGGGCTGTGTCTTTGGTGTCAGCTGATCCACTTGAAGGGAGGCCTCCTTCATGTTCCTTTCAACCCTCACATGGTGCCACTGGTTGTCGTTGAAGTGGGTGGGTGACTGCACTGAGATTTCAAAAGGCCCATTCCCCACATCAAATGAAAAAGTCACTACTGTCGGAGCTGGAAATATTACACATAAAGATTGTTCTAGTGAGTTCCTATGGCGAAGTGCCGAGTCTCCAATATACTTAGGAACACACTACAGCGTAACAATCGCTGAACAGAAAGATAACGAACATAGATGGTTTCAATGCTATTGTTTGAAACTCATGACACTGACACAGAGCTAGGTCTTCTGATGTGAAATGAGACAGTTAAATACATTCATGTTTTTGAAAAAAAAATGGTATTCTAAGATAGTCCTCCTCAGAGCTAATTTTTCCTATCGATAAAAAGTAAAGCTATTTATCCAAGGCAAGGAAACTAAATAGCAACTGGCATTGTACGTAAAAATAACTGTTACAGTAACTCAAAGTTTACATAATTTTTAAGGCATGCTATACACATTTGATATTAAGATAAGAGCAGCTTAGAAGTATATCAAAATGAGTGGTTGATTAAGTAATTTGTAATTAACTAAAAAATTGTGTTTTAGTTTTAATTAACTGAAATTAAAACTGCATTTAAATTGGTACAAGAAACTACCAGTTATTTCCCCAAATTATCACATGTTAAGTATCAAATTATTTTCTTACAAACAGGATAAGTTAATATTATTGAGTTTTTCAAAGGGGCGCAATGAAAAGAATCAGATGATAAAGTAGACACATGAGTAGTTTAAAAATTAGTTAAAAGATTTACTACTAAATGATAGAATCTCATACACTTCTCTGGAAAAGGAGACTTACAGCGAAGCTCTATCCGTATAAAATCAGCAATCCCCAAGTTCTCTAAAAATACCCCAGATGAAGCTGTTGTCTTAAAAAAGAAAGATACATCCGCGCTAAGTTCTCCGTGGAAGGTAGGAAAATGAAGATATGAAGCCTCGGTATCAAAGGAAGCTGAATTCCAAAATGATCCTGTTTTGTGAAAAAAAAAAAGAAAAAAAAATTCAGAAAGAAAACAAATTCATGAAATAAAATGAATGACAATTACATGTTCTATTTTTAGCACTTTTGCTATTTAAAATGTTATTTATACAAATCTGCTCTTTTTTTCTGTCAACTATGTAGTATACAAGATATGAGTATATCATAAGAGATTTTACAGGAATTGAAATCCTGGATTTTTTCCAATAGAGAGTAAGAATGATCATTACAGAAATGGTCTAAATGTTATATTTTATACGGAACAAATATCCTCAGCCTCAATAGTATATCCTCCACCAAAGTGATATTATACGATCTGCCAAACATTGATAAATAGGCAATCTTTTATAACTTCAAAATTAAAACACTTACCTGCTTTAAACAAAAACCCAAGAGAAGCTCACAGTATTTTTTGTTCTAACACTTCTAACACACACACTTCACAGAGTTACATAAACTGTTTTCTTTAATGGGCCTTGTGATTTTCTAAACTGAGACCGGCATTCTAAATAGTCTTGTCTAATTACAAACCAACATGCAGCTTACTCTGTCCAAGCTGACATTCTCATGAAAATGCTCTTTTTATTCAAAATTATCTCTTACTTTGCCAATAAGAATGAAGTAGATGACAGCAAATTAAAAGTGTTCTCAAAATGTTTACAAATGTTCAAAATGGGCAGAAAATGTTGAAAAGGTTGGGATATAAATTAAGAGATCTGAAAAAAATGTAGACTATAAAGTTAATTATAATTGCTGCCCAAATACCACTTATCTTTAATTTCTCACTCCTTTTTTCATATCTACAACTTTTCTTTCGAAAAAATATTATGAACCATATATAGCAAAAACTATGGAAAATCAAATATAAATGCAACAGCATGAGCTGACAGGAGTGAAATCCGACTGGATACAGGAGGTTGATGAGGAGTAAAATCAGAGAAACAAACTCTGTATTGTCTGCTGCCACTAGCAAGTTCTCTGCACATCAAATACGAATATACATCTTTAGTTTTAAGCAACTGCCTCTACACACATTACCTACATGGATAAAATTCTATCTAAATTACCTTCCTGGAAGAAAGATGTGTTGATCCTCTGATGTTGGAAAACAGCAATTTCAAAACAACAGTTTGTTATGTTAGCAGAGAACAGATACCAAGATACAGAGTTAAAAATCACAAACTTGACTTTGCTTATACGTGTTTCTTAAATTTTAATTTACTTTGTATAAATTCTAGACCGAATAATGCTTCTATTTTTGTTTGTTTTTCTGGTGGATCTGATTCAAAAGTCAATTCTCAGCTTGTGTGTGGACAATTTTAGAGCTGAATTTATTCAACTAATAATCTACTTTGAAGTTTTTCCTCCCAGAGTCAAATGAAACCATATATTATCAGAGTCACATCAAGCCTATTCCTTTTGTCCCTTTTACAGCTATTCCTGTACTAGACCTTTGGATCTCTAGGACAAAATAAATGCAAGAAAATGTAAAATATCAAGTCAGGGATAACAACACATTTGCATTCTTAGAAGTTCTTAGCTGATCTGTTTTCAGAAGGAATTAGATGCCTTTTTGTTTAAATGTTATACATTAACATAAAAATAAGCTTCACATTATGGAATGTTATTAAATCTTATTTTGTCTGATTAGAAAGAGGAACATTCATAATTACTTAAAGGTTTAAATTAGGTAATATTATGACATAACATTTATTTTTTTCATATTATATCATAACTAACTCAATAAAGCATCATATAGAAGGCTTCAAGGAAGTGCTTGAACCAGATGAACAATTCTTTGAATTGCTGCTATCTGTACATGAATGTCTTTAAAGCAATGAAACCAATTTATTACTTTAGGCATATTCAGCACTCTCATATACATAATAATGTCTATTTCATTTAGTTAGGAGACCTTATTTTATACGTTCACAAAAGGTAGAAAATGAGGTAAGGAAGTTTTATTGGGTTAAGAAATTGCTGCTAATTCAAAACAATTATAAAGAAAGCAAAGGCCAATATTTCCATGATCAAATAATGTTAATGGCATGTGGTATCCCAGCCCTTTACCCCCTGTGCTAAGAGACACCCACCAGAATCTGGGCCACCTCAGAGAAAGGAAGGGCAAAGAGAGGGAGGAAACAGAGCTCAGCAGGCAGGCAGCAGCAGGAGCTGCAGGCTTTTGAAGACAGCATTCTATGGATTAGGTGGTTTAAAATTCCCTAATCTCATGGAGGGGGAGAGGAGAATGATAGTAACCAGAGGCAGGAAATGGCGGAGGGGGAAAAGAGGAAGAGAGATTGGGCAATGAATACAAAATTCCAGTTAGATAGAAGGAATAAGCTTCATGTTCAATAGCAGACTGGGGTGACTACAGTTAAGAACATTGTCGTTTGTATTTCAAAATAGCTAGGAGAAAGGACTCAAATGTTCCCAACTCCCAGAAATGATAAATGCTCAAGGTGATGGATATCCTAAGTCCCCTGACTGGATCATTACACATTCTATGCATGTAATTCTATGCATGCACATTCTATGCATGTAACAAAATATCACACGTACCCCATAAATATGCATAAGTATTATGTATCTAGAAAAAAATTTAAATAACAATCATAAAAAAGTAAAAATAAAATTCTCTAAACTACATCATTGTCAATTCAATTCAATATAGGGTACTAGAGATTTTAGAATAATTTTTTAGGCCAGGCACGGTGGCTCATGCCTGTAATCCCAGCACTTTTGGGGGCTGAGGTGGGCAGATCACTTGAGGTCAGGAGTTCGAGACCAGTCTGAACAACATGGTGAAACCCTGTCTCTACTAAAAATGCAAAAATTAGCCAGGCATTGTGGCAGATGCCTGTAACCCCCACTACTTAGGAGGCTGAGGCAGGAGAATCACTTGAGCCTGGGAGGCTGAGGTTGCAGTCAGCCCAGATTATGCATCTGCATTCCAGCCTGGATGACAGAATGAGACTCTGCATCAAAAAATAATAAATAAATAAAATAATAATTTTCTAGAAACCCTACCTTTTATCTTACCAGAATAAAGGAAATTATATAAAAGAATAAATCCATATAGTCATTCACGTAAAAGAGGAAGATGTACTAAGTATTGAATTTCATATAGAAAGTTAAAAATGAAGTCAATTTAGGAAAATTAACTTAGTACTATGCTAGGACTATAAGTACTTTTAAAAATAATTTATTTTGCTAAACATTTATAGAATTCCTTTTTTAAAAAAAAACAGGCTTATGGAGACAAAGTAGATTTGTGGTTTCCCAGGGTTAGGGAGATGGAGCGATCGAGGGAGAGCAGCGGCTCAGAGGGGTAAGGTTTCTTCTCAGGGTAATGACCATGTTCTAAAATTGGTGTGGTCATTGTTACACAATGTAGATATACTAAAAGCCATTCAATAGCACACTTTATATTACTGAATTGTGCAATATATGAATTTGATATCAATAAAGCTGTTTATAAAGGAACAGTATTTAAAAAACACATTGTTTTTCAAGGTAATACATTGTACTTTTAAAATCAAAATGCATATAACATGCTAACACTACCTTTCTTAAAAGCAAAATAAAATGAAATTTAGAAATGCCGAAGCAAGGAATCATTCACTATTCAAATGAGTCTTTCTGAATGCTTAATAATCATAAAGAAATAAGCCAGAAATACGGATTTAATTAAAATGTTTATTTCCAAATGTTTGTAGATTCTTACGCAGGTGTAAGAAATAACACAGAAAGATTCCATGCACCCTTTATCTAGTTTCCCCCATGATCATACCTTACAAAACAATAGCAGGATGTCAAAACCAGGATAGTGACACTGACGCTAAGAGGCAGAACATTTCTATTGCCACAGTATTCTTCATCCTTCCCGCGCACAGCTAAAACCGCTTTCCTCCCTCCTTACCCCTTCTTTAACCTCCTGGCACAACTAATTAGTTCCTCATTTCTATAATTTTGTCATTTCAAGAATGCTCTCAAATAAAAGCATAAAATATGCAGTCTTTTGAGACTGGCTTACTTTTAAAAAAAATCAGAATTACTCATTTTTGTTTTTGACAGATTCTTGCTCTCACCCAGGATGGAAAGCAATGGTGCAATATTGGCCACTGCAACCTCCACCTCCCGGGTTGAAGCGATTCTCCTGCCTCAGCCTCCTGAGTAGCTGGGATTACAGGTGCACACCACTATGCCTGGCTAATTTTTGTGTTTTTAGTAGAGACAGGGTTTCACCATGTTGGCCAGGCTGGTCTCGAACTCCTGACCTCAGGTGATCCACCCACCTTGGCCTCCCAAAGTGCTGGGATTACAGGCGTGAGCCACCACTTCTGGCCCAGAATTACTCTTTGAAGATTTACTCATATTGTTTTCTGTATCAATAGTTCATCTCTTTCTACTGCTGAGTAGTATTCCATGGTATGGATATATTAAAATTTATTTAACCATCTACCTGCAGAAGGACACCTACGTAGCTTTCAGCTATTACCAATAAAGCTTTTGTCAACATCTGTGTACAAATATTTTGTGAACGTAAGTTGCCAGTTCCCTGGGGAAAATGCCCAAGAGTACAATCACTGGATTGTATGAGAGTTGCAAACCATTGTGGAAGACAGTGTGGTGATTCCTCAAGGATCTAGAACCAGAAATACCATTTGACCCAGCAATGCCATTACTGGGCATACACCCAAAGAATTATAAATCATTTGCACATGTATGTTTATTGCAGCACTATTTACAATGGCAAAGACTTGGAACCCACCCAAATGCCCATCAATGATAGACTGGGTGAAGAAAATGTGGCGCATCTACACCACAGAATACTATGCAGCCTTGAAAAAGAATGAGTTAATGTCCTTTGCAGGGACGTGGATGAATCTGGAAACCATTAGTCTCAGCACACTAACACAGAAACAGAAAACCAAACACCACATGTTATCACTTGTAAGTGGGAGTTAAATAATGAGAATACATGGACACAGAGAGGGGAACATCACACAATGGGGCCTGTTGGGGGGTGGGGGGCAAGGGGAGGGACAGCATTAAGACAAATACCTAATGGATGCGGGGCTTAAAACCTAGATGACGGGTTGATAGGTGCAGCCAACGCCTGTGGCACATACACACCTATGTGACAAATCTGCACATTCTGCACATGTATCCCAGAACTTAAAGTAAAATAGAAAATTAACAAAAAGAAACTACTAAACGGTTTTCTAGTGTGGTTTTGTTATTTGACATTCCTACCAGCAGTGTATGAGTGATCCAATTTCTCAATATACTGACCAGTATTTTGTGTTGGCACTATTTTTTTTTTAAATCTTAGTCCTTTTGAGAGGTGTAAAGTGGTGCCTCATTGAGGATGTAATATGCATTTGCCTAGCAGTTGATGATGCTGGGTATCATTTCATGTGCTTTCTTGCCATCTGTATACCTTCTTTGGTTGAACCTCCTTCCACGTCTTTTGCCCATTGTGTTAGTCTGCCCAGGCTGCCATAACAAAATCTCACAGGTCAGGTGGCTTAAAAAACACATTTATTTCTCACAGTGCTGGAGGCTAAAAGTCAAAGATCAAGGTGCTGGTAGGATTGGTTTCTTGTGAGACCTCTCTTCCTGGCTTGCAGATGACTGCCTTCATCCTGTGACCTTACATGGTCTTTCCTCTGAGTCAGCACAGAGAGTGGGGTCTCTGGTGTCTCTTTCTTATAAGGACACTGGTCCTATTGAATTAGGGCACCACCCTTACCACCTCATTTACCTTAATGATCTCCTTAAAGGCCCTATCTTCAAATATAGTCACATTGGGGTTAGGGCTTCAACATAAATTTTGGGAAAACAATTTAGTACGTAACACCCATATTTTAATTGTGTTTTTAACTGTCAACTTTTGAGGATTCTTCATATATTCTATATACTAGTCCTTTCTCAGATAGGTGGTTTGCAACTGTTTTTTGACCAGTCTGTAGCCTGACTTTTCTTCCTCTTCATGCAAGCTTTCACAAAGTAAAATTTCATTTTGATAAAGTCTCATTTATCAATTTAGCCTTTTACGGATTGTGCTTTCGATGTCAAGTCTAAAAAATGTTTAGATTTTTAGATTTCCTAGCCCTACAGGAAATTTTATATGCATATAAAATTCCAACAAGCCTTTTCTTAAAAGTAAAAATGCTTTAAATGTTGAAATGCTGATGTGAAGAATATTTTAGTAATCAGTGCATCTTCTAAACACATGAATTATTTTTAAATAAGCTGAAAAATATAGATTTTAACAGAAATAAAATTCTAAGATTAAATTATATGTTATATTATCAGAACACAATAACCTATGTATTGGTTTCATAATTCACTGGTTCCTCTTTTTAGCACATCTATTATTGTTTTCAACTATTTATTAACCTCAATAGGAATCAATATAAGCAAAATAAAAATGAAGAAAATAAAATCTGGCTGGAGATAATTATAGCTTGTGGTTTGCAGAGCAATATAAAAGAGAACAAAGCTGTTCATAGATGTTTCCATAAACACCCCCTAACCACCCCCACACATGCACATACAGTAAGATAGATGTGGCAAATGGAAAGTGAAAATTCCTTTTATGAAGGCAGAGCAGAACTTGTTTTTATAATCAAAAGATCTTACAAACTATCACTGAAGAAGATATTTCTTTTCATTAGTCTTATACTAGTTTTGCACAAAACTGTTTTGATATTAATAGCAAAGAAATAGACTTGTGTATTTAATTATTCAAAGACATACACACATATAATTTTATTTTAGAAGAAACTGGAAGAACAGAATTTTGGAGCAACATCCAATTATTTTTAGTCTGGATGTAAGAGAATATATAAAATAGTAAATGAGATAAGTAACACTTATCTAAGTTTGCCACTGCATCATCCCTCAGTCATTCCTACGAAGGTCAGAGTGACAACAAAGAGGTGTGGAGTTGGGCATCAGACGAGAGAGCCTCCCAAGCGTAACATCCTTATTCTATTTGAAGTAACCTATTCTGAATTAGCAAATGACGATCATTTAATATAAAAGGAGAACATATTATAAATTCAAGGTAAATCTGGTCAATCCAAGATTGATGTCCTCCATGAACACACATGATCATGCAATAAAATTTGAGTCCAGTTATTTATCAGAGAAGAGGACCAAATTCATTTATTCAAAAAACATGAGATAGAGTGATTCTGATTTCAGCAACACAAAATAATTAAGTGCCCAATCAGAATTTTGAGCTTTTTATTGGCCATTTACTAACAAAAGTGCGATTCCTTTATTTACACGGTTAAAGTCAAAAGTCACTTGATATTCAGATTACTGTCTTTTAAAAAATTATTTTAACTCGGCAATTAACAGTAAGTAGAAGGGTTCTTAATAACTTCCTGCATTTGCACACTTATAGTCTTTACAGCATACACATTACTGTTTTTAAGTAGGCACATCTATACACTGGTCTGTTACAGCCCATTTGTAATCTGGCATGTTGAATATTTTTCCATGTATAGAAAATACATTTAAATATTAATTAAAGTATTAGACTAAAATAATTGAAAATAAAAACTAGTAAATTATTCATAATATACTTATTGCCTGATACCTGCATACAGAACTTAGTTACAAATCCTTATGTGGGACTGTGTATAAACATCGGGTTTTAAAGAACACTACAGGTAAGTACACGTGCTGTAATATGATGCCAAGTGTGCACACTCAATGCTCCTCTGCGATCACACTATATTTCCTTCATGCCTTCACTGTCCCATGCTCTTAGAGGATTACTTCACACTTCCTCTCCCCAATAATACATCTCATTTCTCATTCTTTAACTTTTCTAGTAATCTCTAAGAAAAGAGCAGAAGACAGAAGTGACCTCCTCTAAGCACCCACCACCACACCTGTTCACCTTCCTGCAACATCACCTGTGTTCTCCATTTTCTCCTGTCAGAATGAATTAACCGTCCACAATGCAGGGATTTATTTACTGGATCTCTCTTACTAACACAGACATGCTATTAATTCTCTCATCTCAGAAACCCCACTCTCGTGATCATACTTTCTCCCCCATTTACCATTACATTTTCCCACATTTTTTCCTCCCACTATTCCTTGAATCTATCTGAGGCTTTTATCCCCAAACACTTGACAAAACAAACCATCACCAAGGTCGCTATAACATCCATGTTGCTAAAGCCATTATCAGTTCTCAGTTTTATCTTACTTAAGCTAACAACATTTAACACAGTTGATTGCTCTCTCCTCCTTGAAACACGTTCTTCACTTGGAGTCCAGGATACCCACACTCTTCTTTTCTCATAGGTGATATATTCTCAGTCTTCTTTCTTGCTTCCTCTTCACCTCGTCAATTTATCCATACTTAATTGCCCCAAAGCCCTGTTGTTATTTCTTCATCCAAAATAACTCCTGCTGTTCCATCTTGTGGCTTTAAACATGCTGAAAACTGACAACTCCACATCTCTTCCTGAATGTTTAATGACATCTCAACCTTAATATGTCCTAAAACTGGGCTCTTTATATTTCTCTACAACTCTGACCCCAGCAGCAATCTCCCCCATTTCAATTAATGCCAGTTCTTTCCCTCTAATTGATTAGATCAAACACCTTGGTGTTATTTTTGACTTTTCCTTTTGCAAACTACAACAATTCATCAGGAAATTTTACTGGTTTTCCTTTCAACTCTACCCACACCACAACTCTCATCATTGCACCCATGGCTCAAGCTACCATAATTTCTCAGCTGGGTTGGTGATATGGTCCCCTAAATGGTTTCCTTGCTTTGAGCTTTCCCTATTTAATCTCACTAAAACCTGAGTTAGATCATATCACTCGTCTTCTCAAAAGTCTCTAATGTTCTCCAATTTCATTCAGATTGAAAATGGATTTTCAAAATCTTTCCTGATCTGACCACCAGGTTTCTCTCTGACTTCTACCACTCTCTTTCTTGCCCACTCTGCTCCAAACACTTGGACCATATGGCTGTTCCATGAGTATACCATCTACACCCCATTTCTGTGTGGTTTATCTGGCCTTTCCCTCTGTGTAGAGTACTCTTCCAAAGGTAGACATGTGCCTTGCATTCCTGTTTTCTTCAAATCTTTATTCAAATGCCACCTTCTTCCTGAGCTTTAAATGACCATCCTATTTAAAATTACCCCACTCCTGCCTCAACTTTATTTTCCTCATAGCTCTTACCAGCTTCTACTGTACCACATATTTCAATTGATTATTGTCTCTCTCTCTCTCTCTCTCTCTCCAAGAAAATATAAGCTCCAAGAATACCGATATTTTTATCTATTTTGTTCATTGCTCTTTTGCTCTTTCCCACAAGTGGAAAGAGGGAAGAAAAGTGGAAAAACAGAGACAAGAGAAGAGGAGGAAGAAGAAAAAGAGGAAGAGAAAGAGGGCATACAAAAGTGAAATTGAAAAAGATAAACCCAATAAGATAAAGTAAAATATAAAAGTTAAAATAAAAATGTTATAATAGAGAATTATCAAGCATAGTGGAGCTAACAAAGTTACATTATTTTATTATGTGTTGAAATGGAATTGATCCTCACTTTTTTTAACGGTTTATATGTAGTCTGCCAAATGGAAGAGAACTCTGTCAAATGAAAGAGAAATTAACCAAATCACTAGTCAATATCTTTTTCCAGTTGAAGAGTCTCACTTCTGCAAAGTTATTTATTGCCTACATGCACCTTTGATTATTTAATGCACTCTGGGCAGCTGTGATTTCTCAGACAGCTGTACTAGTCGATGCAGACAAAATGAAGAAACTAACTCCAGTGACTCAAGAATTTTTTGGAACGAGAAACTTACAGCAATCTTTTCTAACTATGAAGGCTTCAGGGTGCTTTGATTAAACATAAAATTTCAATGTAATGAATTACCTGAAAAGAAATACATGTGATAAAATGGGTTGAAAAATTCAAACGCCAAAGAGTTAAAAATACTGCCTTGCTCAGATAGAGAGACTGAGAGCAGAAATTCAGACCACATTTGCAAAAATTTTAACAACTTATAAAATGTGTATATACCTTTTATCACATCACTTCTATTTCCAGAAAAAGTAATACCAAATGAACAACATTCAGGTACATTCTTGTTAAATTAGTGACCTTTAAGGATAATTGTTCCTTCGAGTATTCAGACAGAAAAAGCAAGTCACATACAAGGTGAAAAAAACCAGTATGGCCTCAGAGTCCTTCACAGTACTCAATGGCATAAAATAAAGGAAATCTGTCCATAGATTCCTGAGAGAAAGAAAATTTATCCAGTCTAGTTTACTTCTGAAGTGTTAAGGCAATAGGCAGACACTTTCAAGTCTGAAAGAATTCTGAAAATAAAGCATACAAGAGCCCTGTTGAGAAAATTTTTCAAAAACAAAACCTATATTCATAATGAAATACAGTCAACTAAAAAGACATTTAGAAAAGCAGTAGAAGACGAGACAACTGCATTCCTCAGCACAGACAAGTATGGGATCATATATGCAAACTACTGAAGGTTACACAGCATGCCACATAAAAATTACGCCAGTTCCTAAAGAGGTTAAATGTAGGGAAATTCTACTCCTAGGTACATACCGAAGAGAAATAAAGCCTTTGTCCACAAAAAAAAAAGCATACATGGATGTCCACAGAAGCCTTATCATAATATCCAAAAAGTGGATCCAGCCCAAATGTCCATGAACTGATGAGTGATTAAACAAAATGTGGTATAGCCACAGAATGGAGTATTATTTGGTCATAAAAAAGAATGAAGCGTTGATGTATTCTACAACACTGATGAACCTCCTTGACAATATGATGCTAAGTAAAAGTAGTCAGTCACAAGAGATCACATATCTTGTATTTTTATCTATATGAAATATTCAGAATATGCAAGTCTGTAGAAAAAAAAAAGCAGGTTACTGGTTGCTTAGGGCTGGGATGGGGAGTGCGTGAAATGGACAGTGTCTGGAAAATGGGAGCAGGTCTACTTTGGGGGTGATAAAAATGTCCTCAAAATGATTATGGTGATGGTTGCTCAAATCTGTATAGTACATTAAAATGATTAAATATACTAAAATTGATTGAACTGTACACTTTTAAAAGGGTGAATTATAGGCTGTGAATTATATGTCAATTAAGCTGTTCCCAATAGACAATATAAAGTTAAAGCATCAGAGTTTTAGAATCCTAAGGCAACAAATATTCTCAAGCACATACAAAATCAAAAAAATGCAACCCTCAAGAATCTTTCTAAAGACAAAAAAAAAGGTAAAATATCAACTAACTGACAAAAAGAAATTAATCAAAATAAAAAGCATTGGAGAATAGAACTAGTGGTTAGCCTTTAAAAGTAACAATATACAAATAATAGCATAACTAGCAAAAACTGGGAAGGGGGAGATAAAGAAGGGGAAAGAAGAAATGAGTGCTAGCTTTTCCATTTCTCACAGTAGATAAATGCTGCTTATAATTTAAAAATACATTTAATATAAAATGTAGTGACTCTACAATCTTTTAAAACGCGCATAATCTTTTTTTGTAAGTTTAGCGGGATCACTTACGTTGAATATACTTCGTTAGATATATAAATTTCATGAGCCATCTTGGCTTAAATTTGGTGTTTTCTTTCTCAATTTTAATGAATAAAGTTTTATAAATTCATTTCTCAACCTCTTTTTAAAATTATTTTGTCTAAAGTGGTGATTCTCCACCTAGGGCAATTCTTTACCCAGGGGACATTTGGCAATGTTTGGAGACATTTTTGGTCGTCACATTTGGAGGAAGGATGCTACTGGCATCTCTTGGGTAGGAACCAGGGATACTGCTTAGCTCCAACAATGCACAGGACGGTCCTCAACCACCATGAGGAATTATCCAGCCCACATGTCAAAAGTGGTGAGACTGGGAAGCCCTGCACTAGAGATATCTACCAACATTTGGAATGATATTCAATTGATATTAATCATTATTTCTGAGTTATGTGATTCTTGGTGTCTTTTTTACTTGCTTTTTTGGTATTTCTATATAGCTTTAAAAAGTTATGATTTTGGCCAGGCACGGTGGCTCACGCCTGTAATCCCAGCACTTTGGGAGGCCAAGGCGGGTGGATCACAAGGTCAGGAGATCGAGACCATCCTGGCTAACATGGTGAAACCACGTCTCTACTAAAATTAGAAAAATTAGCCAGGCGTGGTGGTGGTTGCCTGTAGTCCCAGCTACTCGGGAGGCTGAGGCAGGAGAATGGCGTGAACCCAGGAGGCGGAGCTTGCAGTGAGCCGAGATCGTGCCACTGCACTCCAGCCTGGGCGACACAGTGAGACTCCATCTCAAAAAAAAAAAAAAAAAGTTATGATTTTGTATCAAGTCAGTCATTAATATTTAAGACAATTAACTAAAGGTATGCATATGTATAAAATTCCCCCAAAAGGATACCATGGTCCTGACAACTATCAGGGTTCCAAAGTGAAAACCTTTTGAAAGTACTAAAAACAATTTTTGTTCCCTCACATTGATCAAGTTTCTTGCATATAAATTATTGGTTGGTAATAAAAAAGTGAACAAAAAAAAAAAGCAAAATAGACCATAAAATAATCTATTTTCCAAGAAGGGGCAATCATTTCAGTTTAATAAAGGCACTGTATTGAGTGAAAAGTTAAAAAAAATTAATATTAACTAAAATTATATTCTTATTTGAAAGTACTTTCACTATTACAACTTCAGGCATATTGATGAGAAATGGCTTAGATGGAACTAGACATTCTTCTACTATGTGATTTTTATATCAGAATCAATAACTCAATAGAGTCTAAACTCCTTTTAGTAAAAGTATATATTTACTTAATTGCTTATAGAACCAAAAATGTATTCATGTCTCTTACTAATAATTCATAAGCTGTAGGTTTCTTTACATGCATATATTAAATCATTCTCTTTATTTCATGAACTGTTATTCATTGATTATCTTTTGTGCAATAGGTAATACATTAGTTATCAGGAACACAAGAATAAATGAGGAATGTACCCTGCTCTTGAGGGGCTCAAAAATAATTAAAAGCCAGTATGAGAAAGATATCTTTGTAATATGCTAAACATGTTTTGAGAACGCAGAATGACTAGGTCATCTAGAAATCATGGTGGAAGAGTTTTAATCTGAGTGTGAAAGGGTTTGGTAAAAGAATTAGGGAGATTTTGCAGATAAGGGAGAGTGAGTGACAAGGACGTAGAGCCAGATGCCATCGTGGTCCAGGAACTCCCTTTGTGTTGCAAGATTCACTGAAGTAGCACAAAGTCTCTGTAGACTTCTTCTTGCTGTGTGTCAAGAAAGTAGGTTTAACCCTGTGTATGAATGCCTAGGCTTCTACTCTGAAACTCTGTTTCTGGTTCTGAACATACTGCAACTACAGTTAGAACACTTGGGCAGGCCCTATGTCAGCACCATTGGTCCACTTCATACCCAACCTTTGACCTAGAGCTGTGAGTCTTAAACTACCTATATAGAAAAATGTGCTTTTTTTTCCTCTTTTTATTTCAGCCATATAAAATGAGAATCCATCATTTGCAACAATATGGATGGAACTGGAGGTCATTATGTAAAGTGAAATAAGCCAGGTACAGAAAGACAAACATTGCAAGTTTTAATTTATTTGTGAGGTCTAAAAATGAAAACAATTTAACTCATGGAGACAAAGAGTAGAAGGATGATTACCAGAGGCTGGCAAAGAGAATGGGAGGCCAGTAGGAGGTGGGGATGGTTAATGGGTACAGAAAAATAGTTAGAAAGAATAAGACCTTGTATTTGACGACAAAACATGGTGACTACAGTCAATAATAATGTAATTGTACATTTTAAAATAACAAAAATAGTATAATTAGATTATTTGTAACACAAAGGATAAATGCTTAAAGGGGTGAATACCCAATTTTCCATGATGTGATTATTACACATTGCATGCCTGTGACAAAATGTCTCATGTATCCCATAAATATATACATCTATTATGTACCCACGAAAATTTTACATTTTTAAAATTAAAAATTAAAAATGTAAATTGCTAGAAAAATGAATGGGAAAAGCAAAGGTATACAAAATACTATCTCCAGTCCATTTTTTATTACTATTATGTCCAACAGACATAAATTACTCTGTCCAAATGGCAGAAGTCATTCTGAAATACTCTATATTTTTGTACTAGCCTCCTCACAGAATGGTAGCAAAGAATGTGCAGACCAGTACCAGCCTGTGAACCTCACTGGCTGGGGGCAGCACTACATGGAGTGGTCCATGGACCGGCAGCAGCATGTGGAAGCCTGTTAGCAATTCTCATACCCAGGCAGGTGGGGTGGCTCATGCCTGTAGTCCTAGCACTGTGGGAGGCCGAGGTGGGCAGATCATTTGAGGTCTGGGGTTCGACACCAGCCTGGCCAACATGATGAAACCCTGTCTCTACTAAAAACACAAAAATTAACTGGTCCTGGTGGCACACGCCTGTAATCCGAGCTACTTGGGAGGCTGAGGCAGGAGAATCACTTGAACCCAGGAGGCGGAGTTTGCAATGAGCCAACTGCATTCCAGCCGGGGCAACAGAGGGCAATTCTGTCAAAAAAAAAAAAAAAAAAAAAAAAGGAACGGAAGAGAAGCGGAAGGGGAGGGAAGAAGGGAAGGGAAGGGAAGGGAGGAAGGAAGGGAGGAAGGGAGGAAAGAAGGAAAGAAGGAAATGAGGAAGGGAGGAAGGGAGGGAGGGAGATAAGGAAAGATTCTCCTACCCCCACACCCCCTGAATCACAGTCTCTGGGATAAGGAGTGGAAATCTGTGCTACAACAAGCTCTCCAAGTAATTTTTATACATGCTAAAGTGGAGGAACTGTTGGTCTAAAAGACTTTGGATGGTTCCTCAAAAATAAATACGTTCCCACTGCTCTTGGCAGGCTGATTACGTAGGAAATATATAGGTGACTCCTCCTACTCATGACTTTTCTACTAACTGATAAACCCAGATGTTTCCCCTTGATTCTTTCCTTTGACTCTTTTTCTAAAGTTTCTAAAGTCAATATAAGTTAGAAACATATTCAGCACGATTCCAGAAATGTGCTGGAGAATTGGAGAATATCCATATTACTGAAATCTTTACTGTTCCATGAATTTACTTCTAGTGGTCGGTTGTTTCTCTGTTTGTTTTGATGACCCAATTTTGTTTTGTAAGAGACAAGGTCTCACTCTGCTGCTCAGGCTGTAGTGCAGTGGTGCAATCATAGCTCACTGCAGCCTCGAGCTCCCAGTCTCAAGCAATCCTCCCACCTTGACCTCCTATAGCCCTGGGATTATAGGTTTGAGCCACTGCACTCAGCCTCCAATTCTTAAAATTAAGCAAGTATAGCTATGCAAACTGTTATTAACGTTTTTGTTTTGTTTTTCAGTCAGATGTGTTGAATAAGACATCATTTATTACTTATTAAAATATATTAATGTTATGGTAATTTATATAGAGTACAACTCAGCCTGTTTTTGTGTGTAGCTCTAGAAGTTGAAAAGGACCTGAAACCATAAAAACACCACCACCCTCAAGATATGGAACATTTTGTTCACCTGACAAAGTTTTCTTGTACCCCTGTGTAAAATTCCTCTCACCTCAAAGTTCTTGCAGCAGAGATCCTTTTTCTGTTCCTATGGTTTTGACTTTTCCAGAATATCTTAGAAATTGAATCATTCAAAGCATGTAGGCTTTTTAGTCTGGCTTCTTTCACTTAGAGTAATGCAGTTGAGATTCATCTATGTTGTTGCACGTTATCAATAGTCTATTTTTTAATTGTTTAGTAGTATTCCACTGTGTATTGTGGGTACACCACAGTAAAATGGAACGTGTATCCTTTCACTAGTTGATAAACATTTGAGTGGTTTTCATTTTTAGGGGACTATGGAATAAAGCCAATAATAATAACAAAAAACTGACTATATGCATATAGATTTTCCTCTTTTCTTGGATAAAATCCTAAGATGGGGATTGCTGGGTCATATGGTAAATGTGGGTTTAACATTATAAGAAACCAAATTCTTTTCCAAAGCAGTATGTACCATTTTGCATCTGTAGTGCAATGTACCAGAGTTCTAGTTGCTCTAAATCCTTACTAGCACTTGTTATATTTTGGGGTTTTTTTGTTATTATTATTTGTTAAATGTTAACAGTTACATATTGGTATCACATTGTGGTACGAGTTTGCATTCTCCTAATAACTAATGATGCTAAGGATCTTTACTGTGTTTATTTAAATCCATATTTTTTCTGTGATGTGTATGTGCAAATCTTTTGCCCATTTGTAAATTGATTTTTCAAATATTATTGCACCACGAGAGAGTTACTTTTATATTCTGGGTATTAGCCTCTATAAAACATGTATTTTGCAAAGATTTTCACCCAGTCTGTAGCTTTTCTTTTCAATTTCTCGACAGTGTCATTTTAAAGGCAGAAGCTTTTTAGTGAAACCCAATTTATTATTATTTTTATTCTATGAATTGTACTTTTAGTGTTGTATCTAAGAAATCTATGCCCAACCCAAGGCCACTAAGATTTTCCCTTGTATTTTCTTAGAGCAGTGTTATAGTTTGTGGTTTTAGATTTAAGTTTATGATTAATCTTGAGTTAATTTTTGTATCTGCTTTGAAGTATGAATTGACACTCTTTTTTTTTTCATTCTGCTTTTCTTTTTCAATTGGATTCGAATTGTTCCAGATCTGTTTCTTGAAAAATTCTATCCTTTCATCATTGAGTTCCCCTGGTAGCTTTGTAAAAAGTCAAGCAACCATGTATACATGGGTCTATTTTTGGGCTCTCTATTCTATTCCATTCATGTATTTGTCTATTGTAATGTCAATATCACACTTCCTTGAATATCTGTTAGTTTTACAGTAAGTCTTATAATCTAGTAGTGTATCTCAAACTTTGTTTATATTTTTCAAAACATTTTTGCTATTCTACTTTCTTTGCATTTCAATATACATTTAAAGATAAGCTTTCCAATTTCTACTCCCCTCCCAAAAAAGAGATTGCTGGATTTTAATTGGGATAGTTTTCAGTCTATATATAAATTTGGGAAAAATTGACATCTTATCAAATCTTTTAATTCATAAATTTTTAAATATAATTTTCTTAATTTTTTCTTAATAATTTGTTATATTTACACCAAAATATTTTATGTTGTTGGTGCTAGTATAAAAATGGTACTTTTAAAATATCATTTATAATTTTTTATCATTAGCATATAGAAATACAATTTACTTTTGGAAACCATCATTCTCAGCAAACTATCGCAAAGACAAAAAACCAAACATCACATGTTCTCACTCATAGGTGGGAATTAAACAATCAGAACACTTGGACACAGGAAGGGGAACATCACACACCGGGGCCTGTTGTGGGGTGGGGGGAAGGGGGAGGGATAGCATTAGGAGATATACCTAATGTAAATGACGAGTTAATGGGTGCAGCACACCAACATGGCACATGTATACGTATGTAACAAACCTGCACATTGTGCACATGTACCCTAGAACTTAAAGTATAATAATAAAAAATATATAATTCACTTTTGAATATTGACCTTGAATCCTGTGACTTTGCTAAACTCACTTTTTAAAAATATAATTTGAGATTTTCTACCTAGAAAGTCATGTTACCTGTAAACAGACATTTTATTTCATTCATTCTCACTTAAGGTTGGTGCAAAAGTAATTGCAGTTTTTGCCACTTCTTTTAATGGCAACCTGATTTGCCATTAAAATCAGGTTGATTAACTTTTGCTGCAACTTAATAAATGCCTTGAATTCCTCTCCTTGACTTATTACATGTGCTAGGACCATGAGTAATAGATTGAATAGGAGTAGTGAGAGCAGACATTCTTGCCTTTATCCTGAACTTAAAGGGAAAGCAGTTATATCCTTGACTATTCAAAGTATGACATTAGCTATCAGATTTTCACAGATGTCCTTTATGCCATGGAGGAAGTTCTCTTATTTCCTAGTTTGCTAGTTGATTTCTGATATCAACAATAATAGCAGCAGTAAAATGAAATTGAAAACAAAACGAAAAGAAAGCTTTGAAAAAAGACAACATAAATAAATTGGGGTAACCTCATAACCGGTACTAGTAGGTCCAACAGTCATGTTTTATTTGTCCTGCTTTCCCACAACTTCACCTTCTTTCCTAGAAAAACATGGCTGATCTACATTTTTCAATATCTCTCGTTTGTGTGAGAAAATGAAAATACTACTTTTTTCATTCTCACTTTTTTTTCTGTTAAAAAAAAAAAGTGTTAATCTCCTGTCTCAATGAATGACACTAATGGCTTTATTCAAATCAGAAAGCTGGAGATCATCCCCAAGGCTTTAACTCTCAATCTTACATCTAAATCATATCGAATTTACCTCGTAGTTGATCCCCCTTTTAAAGCTCCATGCCAATCATTGCCTAGTTCAAGCTCTCATCTTTTCCTTGTCTTACATCAGAGGTCACTTGACTGATCTTTAGATTTATAACTGATCATCAGGCTTTCAACTGAATCATGAGAATTAAGTTATTTCTCAGTCTTAAATTATTCAATGTGTAGTCCTGATGCCTTCAAAGTAATGTCCATGCAGCTTTTCTCTGCTTATAAGGCCTACCGTGCATGATCCTCTATCTGTTAGTCCTATATCTGTCCAGTGAGCCTCACTTGGAAATGAAAAAAAAAAAAAAAAAGTACCTATGGCGTTGTAACTTAAGTGGTACAGATTTCCCATATGGAAAAAAGGAGTATTCGCTGTTCTGAAGCCACTGCTCATCCAACTGAGAAAATAAAGAACGCTTCATGCAGAAAATAGTCCTTAGTCCTTAGTCCTTCATGCAGAAAATAACCTCACGTGACGATGAACCTCAACGCTAAAAATAGGTACAGGAGGCAAGAAGACCAATCACTTGATTACTGTTTAATTAATAAGTCAGAGATTAATTAGTGGGTCTCTAAATACTTGAAACTATTTGTAAATTCTTTTTTTTTTTTTGAGACGGAGTCTCGCTCTGTCGCCCAGGCTGGAGTGCAGTGGCGGGATCTCGGCTCACTGCAAGCTCCGCCTCCCAGGTTCACGCCATTCTCCTGCCTCAGCCTCCCAAGTAGCTGGGACTACAGGCGCCCGCCACTACGCCCGGCTAATTTTTTGTATTTTTAGTAGAGACGGGGTTTCACCGTTTAGCCGGGATGGTCTCGATCTCCTGACCTCGTGATCCGCCCGCCTCGGCCTCCCAAAGTGCTGGGATTACAGGCGTGAGCCACCGCGCCCGGCCGTAAATTCTTAGTGCTAATGTAGTAGCTCCCCTCTGTATTCCCATGGTCACAGTAGTTCAAAGCTCTAGTTTCTCAGCCTCAGTACTACTGACATTTGGGGCCAGATAATTCTTCTCTGTGGAGAGCCGTCTCATGCATTGTAGGATGTTTAGCAGCAAACCTGACCTCTCCCACTACATGCCAGTAGCATCCCACTCCCCAACAATGTGATAACCAACAATGTCTCCGAACACTGCCAAATGTCCACTGCAGGGCAAGATTGCCTTGGATGGAGAATCACTGCTCTAAGTGGAATGATGTTGTGTGCTTAAAATGATGACAGGAAGTCTGGGAGAAAGAAAGTCTAAGGGAGAGAGTTGGTAGGGACCTCACTTAAAACATACAAATAGGCAGGGGTTTTGGCTAATGAAATAAGGAAGGCAGAGGAAGCCAGCCTGGGTCCCTGCAGGGTTAAGATCAGAGCAAGAAGTGAAAGGTACACGTGATGTATAAAACAACTTCTCTACAGCCATGAAAAATCGTTACACTCTCCTGGATGCATCCGAAGTTTACAACCTCATCTCTTTGCACATAATTTTTCTTCCCATGAAATATCCTATATCATCTTCATGGGATTGTGTAAGGCTCACTGGTAGAACAGGAAGTAGAGGTGATACATATCAGAGATGGTGAGTATAATGGTAAACAGTATTTACAATGTATATATAATTTTTAAGGCCAGTATCATCTTTGCTTTTTAACTAAGCAACTTCTGCTCTGTGTCTCCATAAATCCACTGAATTATCAGATTCCCTCTTATTCTGTTGTGCCCCTAGCATAAAATTTTATTTTAAGGCGTGGTGTTAATGTAAACAAATATTTCATCTATTTCCATTTTAAGTTCTGGAAGTACTAAAAGCATACATATTTAATGCACTAGTCGCTAATCTAACTATTTTCAGAGAGGTTAACAATCTATAAATGAATACATATGCTCATTTCATTCCCTGATCAAAGAAAATATATATATATAAAACATATATATGTATATATGGAACATAAATATAGTGGAACTATATTTGAACTTTAAAATTCTGGTTTAAGGTGTTAATGCATTGCATATGCAAAACAGCATGCACCACTGGTTTAAAGTAAATGCACACAGACACACACACACACACACACACACACAAACTGGAAAAAAAAAAAGAGATTTACAGGTGAAATATATTTGGGGTTAAAATGACATGATTCCATTGACATTCTAATTTCATCCCAGGCCTAACAGTAGGAAATTCACATGAATTATTAATAACTGTGTTTAGCACTGAGGCTTTCCTATGTGGGTAACAGCAATTAGAAATTCAGGAATGCTGGAATGTACTCATGAACTAATCAAGTTGAGATGCCCAGTGGTTTCTTTCTCTTAGAACCTTAACAAAGTTTGCCATCATAGCTTTGTACCTCATAGGAGTACTTATTTGTTGACTGACTGAAAGAGTATTTCAGACCGTACTTAAAAATGTTCACAATACAGCCCCCGCCCGGCCAGCCGCCCCGTCCGGAAGGTGGGGGCAGCCCCTGCCAGGCCAGCCGCCCCGTCCGGGAGGGAGGTGGGGGGCAGCCCCCGCCCAGCTGCCACCCCGTCTGGGAGGTGGGGGGCACCTCTGCCCAGCCGCCCCGTCTGGGAAGTGCGGAGCCCCTCTGCCCCGCCGCCACCCCGTCAGGGAGGTGTACCCAACAGCTCATTGAGAACGGGCCATGATGACGATGGCGGTTTTGTCGAATAGAAAAGGGGGAAATGTGGGGAAAAGAAAGAGAGATCAGATTGTTACTGTGTCTGTGTAGAAAGAAGTAGACATAGGAGACTCCATTTTGTTCTGTACTAAGAAAAATTCTTCTGCCTTGGGATGCTATTAATCTATAACCTTACCCCCAACCCCGTGCTCTCTGAAACATGTGCTGTGTCCACTAAGGGTTAAATGGATTAAGGGCGGTGCAAGATGTGCTTTGTTAAACAGATGCTTGAAGGCAGCATACTCGTTAAGAGTCATCACCACTCCCTAATCTCAAGTACCCAGGGACACAAACACTGCGGAAGGCAGCAGGGCCCTCTGCCTAGGAAAACCAGAGACCTTTGTTCACATGTTTATCTGCTGACCTTCCCTCCACTATTGTCCTATGACCCTGCCAAATCCCCCTCTCCGAGAAACACCCAAGAATGATCAATAAATACTAAAATAAATAAATAAATAAATAAATAAAAAAGAACTTGGAGTTTTATCTAGAAAATTAGCTCTATAGAAATAAACAGCGTTGTAATAAATTAGTAGGAAGTCTGGCTGAATTACCAAATCTAGTAGCCATATTGAGGGCAGTGATAGGCCTTTTCCATTCTTAACTGGTCAGTGTCATATTGAGGTCTACAGTCTCAAACAGGGGTATAGTGGCTGGAGAACATTCAGAGGTGAGTGACTGGAGGTATGAATGGACTTTAATCATGTCACATGAAGAATGGTTGAAGGAAATAAATGTGTCTACTCTGAAGATTATTCCAAGGGTCATGATAGTAGCCTTCAGATAGTTAAAGAGTTTTTTTAATTAAAAAAATTGTGCAGGAGGCTGAGGCAGGAGAATGGCGTGAATCCAGGAGGCAGAGCTTGCAGTGAGCCAACATCGCGCCACTGCACTCCAGCCTGAGCAACAGAGCGAGACTCTGTCTCAAAAAAAAAAAAAAAAAAAATTGTGGTAAAAGATACATAAAATTTGAAATTTTTACCATTTAAGTGTACTTACAGTTCAACTGCATTATGTCCATTCACACTGTTGTGTAACCATCACTAAAACTCATCTTTTCATCTCCCAAATCTCTGTACTCATTAAACTGTAACTTCCCATTCTTTCCTGTCCCCAGTCCCTGGAAACCACCATTCTACTTTCTGTCTATGAATTTGACTACTAAAGGCACCTCATGTATGTGGAAACAAACAAAAAAAATGTTCACAATAGAAGTCTGATTAGTTATTATATGATAGAAACGTGATGCTTAAGTGATGGTACTTTAAGTCATGGTTCTTTTCTCAAATACGGTTTCAACACATTGTAACCACTTACTGTCTCCCTGGCAGAGCAGAGGCCCCAGTTTATAAGCTGCTTCTGAATGCAGTCGGCCTGTGTCTGTAATCACGATCTTAGTTACTGGAAGATGTTCTTTATAAGCAAGCAATCCAGTGTCATTGGTCCTAAAAAACAATAGCAACAACAAAATTCTTAAGAACTTTTAATAGTCCTTATTGCATTGCAAAACCAAGATGTTCTGAACTAAATTTGCACCTACAAAAGAGTATGGATCCAGTCACTCATCGGAGCACATAAAAACAGAATGACATTTGATTTATTTACTATTATTATTATTTTGAGACAGGGTCTCACTCTGTCTCCCAGGCTGGAGTGCAGTAGCACAGTTTTGGCTCAATGCAACCTCCTCTTTCTGGGTTAAATCCATTCTTGTGCCTCAGCCTCCCAAGTAGCTGAGATTACAGATGTGTACCACCACACCCAGCTAACTTTTGTATTTTTTGGTAGAGTCAGGGTTTTGCCATGTTGGCCAGGCTGGTCTTGAACTCCTGGCCTCAAGTGATCCACTTGCCTCAGCCTCCCGAAGTGCGGGGATTACAGGTGTGAGCCACTGGGCCTGGCCAAAACATAATGACATTTAAATGTCTCTTGTAGAAAATATGTAATAGAGAATATAAAATATAGCATATGTTAAAAATAGAACACAGTTGGAGATTTTTTAATTCAATGGACAATTTTCTACCTTTTTACTGGAATTGGTTAATACATTAACATTTAGTGTAATGATTGATACTGCAGTTTGAGGTCTACCATTTTGCTATTTCTTTTGTTTCCCCCATATGATTTCTTTTTTATTTTTTGAAATGTTGTAGCATTTTATTTTATTTTATTATACTTTAAGTTCTAGGATACATGTGCAGAACATGCAGGTTTGTTACTCAGGTATACACGGGCCATGGTAGTTTGCTGCACCCATCAACCCATCATCTACATTAGGTATTTTTCCTAATGCTATCCCTCCCCTATCCCCCCACTCCCCAACAGGACCCAGTGTGTGATGTTCCCCCCCATGTCCTTATGTTCTCATTGTTCAACTCCCCCTTATGAGTGAGAACATGCAGTGTTTGGTTTTCTGTTTCTGTGTTATTTTGCTGAGAATGATGGTTTCCAGCTTCATCCATGTCTCCACAAAGGACATGAACTCATCCTTTTTTATGGCTGCCCCCCATATGATTTCTTGTACTTCCATTTTCCTTTGCTGCCTCCTCTTGGTTTATTCCATATTTTTTGTATTTCATTTTATTTTCTTTATTCACATTTTAGCTATATTTATTGTATTTCAATGTTTGCTTTACAGATTACAAAGTAAATTCTTAATTTATCACAGTCTATTTAGACATTATGTTTTTTAACAATGTGAAATGTCAGAAGCTTGCTAAGACATAATTCATTTAACGCTGCTCCCCTCCACACACATATTCTTTTATCTATTGCTGTAATATATTGTAAATCCATATGTTATAAACTTTATAATAAAAGTAAACAGTGAATTTAATTTTTTAATTAAGAAAATAATTTAAACACTGGCTTTTATATTTACCAACATATTTGCAATTTCCAGTGCTTTTCACTTCTTCCTGAAGATCTGAGTTTTCATCCATTATTTCTCTTTAGCCTGAAGAATTTCTATTAGAATTTGTTATTTCAGATGCTCTTTTCTATTCTAAAATTTACCTTTGGTTCCATATTACAGTTCTCACTTATCTACTTAAAATACCCTTTGTTTACACATTGTGATTATTTTTACCTTTAAGTCTTCAAATATTTTTATAATAGTTGCTGTAAAGTTTCTTTCTGCCAATTCAAACATCAGTACCCCAAGGTTGGTTTGTAATAACTGCTCTTAATTTCTTGACTTTAGATGAAAATGTACTCTTTTTTGAATATTCAGTAAATGTTATAACATGCTGGATATCATGGATACATTGTAAAGATTCCAGAATCTTTTGTTATTCTTTAAAGATTTCATTTTTGTTTTCATAGGCAGTTAAATCACAGCCTTATCACAATAAATTGCCATTGTTTGGTTTGATAGTTCATTAGGTGGAGCCTGTGTGAATTTTGCTTAATTTTCAATCCTATCTCTATATCTGGGATATTGTCTTTGCTGTAAACACATGGGCAGTTTCTGCCAACATTTGGTTACTTTCTGCTTATTTCAAGTAGTTGTTTTTCTAACATTTTTTTCCTGGATTTACAACAATTATCTGAGAAGGGTTAGCTCTATGCAAGTTACTTCACCATTAGCGGAATTTAATACAAGAAGTTTTATAATCTTATTTTTAAAAGTCATTTTTAATTAGCAATATGTTATGGAGGCATTGGAGAGTTATTGATGATTAGGTAATTTTTATTGTTGCTAAGCATTACTACTAGCATTTTATGAACATTTTAAAATACAGTATTACTGTGTAGGTATTTTTTTGTGAAAGTAGTGATAAGAAAAGGGTGCCTTCCAAAGGGAGTAGAAATTTGAAAAATGAGAGTTTAAGTAAGAGAGACAATATTCTTCATACCAAACATGTAACACTAAAAGTAAGTGCAATTCTAAAAGAAATACACGCACACACACACACACACACACAACATAATCTTGATGTTTATGATATAACATAATCTGTTGTATGATATAATCTTGATGTATGATATAACATAATCTTGATGTTTCCCAACTAAATGAAATATTAGTTTCCCAACTAAATGATGTTTAGTTGATGTGATGGGATTTAGTTGATGTTTCCTAACTAAATGAAATATTATCTAATTCAAATTATGACCTACATTAACAGATTTATCACTGTAATCAGTATGCATTGTGTAACAAAATCACTCATATTACATCCAGATTGACTATGAATATTTGTTAAAAATAAGCCTTCTGTACAGGTCTAGTTGCTTAGCAATGTAACATATACGTTATGCTGAAATGTAAATATAAACATTTAAAATATTTTCACTTTACAAATAATAAATAAGAGCAGTATACATGCCAACTCTAGTCTCAAATACTATCAATGTCTTTTTTAAACTTTTCAGACAAAGAACACATGCATAAGATTCTTCTCTGCTTAGAGGAATATTTTAAATTTGATTTTAAAATTCCTAAAATGTTACAGATCTATTTTTTCAAAATATAATCCACAGAACATTAGTTCTTTGTGGTATGATTTGTCTTTTTAAAAATATAAAACAATTGCATGTTAAAATAATTGTAGTAAATTCTAAGTTGATAATTTTAAAGCTTTTATAGGTAGACTATTGAAGAAATGTGCTTTGGCTGTAAACATATTTTTAAGATAATAGAATATCTACTTATATATAGTTTTAAAAGGAATAATAATTAATTCCCCATATAACAGGTGTCTCTGTTTGATTATAAAATTAAAATATACATGACTTATGGTCCATTACAGAAAATAACTCAAAAAGGCATTGACTTAATACTAACGATTATATTGACTACACCACGTTTCATTAAAACAAACCTTTATTTAATTACTTCATTGCACTAACTTGTTCAGTATCTGGCTAGCTATACATACTTTGAGTGATTAATTTTTTTAAATGAACTTTTTCTTGCATAAAGAAATCATATGGAAATCACCATTCATTCCGGTCAGCATCACAATTGCAGTAATACTGAGAATCAATGCAGTTTCCCTCTAATCCACAAGTACATTTTTGAAGATCAGGCGAAGAACCTCCCCAGTAGGTTTGCGTTTCATTGGTTCTTCCTACCCACCAACTCAGAGGGGTTCCATCTGAAAGAAAAACGTGAAAAATGTGACATCTGTTTTATGTTCCACCACCTTCTCTCCCAATATAATTCCTTTTCTTCCAAAATCATTAAAAAGAATAAAAGGAGAAAAGGAGAAAGATTGATTGGATTTAAGGATATGCAAAACAGTATGATTGCTGGCATTTCCTTAAGAACACTTTTTTTATAAAAAAGTTATTATTTAGGCTTAAATGACCAATACATTTGTTTTTGGGTAGAAAAGAAACCAGCAGTTCCTATTTAATTTAGGCATGATAGTAAAAAATGAATTGAGAGCAGCTCACATATGCAATTTCTTTAAAAATAATTTTGAAACAAGTTAGCATCAAAATATAAATCATAGTAATTAACATACCAAAGCAAAATTGATTTGAAATCATGAAATGCCCATTAAAGCATTATGGAATGTTATGTAAAGTCCCTGATTTATCTCAATAAATTTATTCTCTAAAAATATCCTAGCTGTTAAAAAACGTTAGGCATGATTTGGCACTCCCTTGTCATGATTTAAGATTTATTTGGAAGTATATATTTTATCTTCCATTTAATGGCTTGGCTATTTATTTGAAGACTACAGAAATAACACTGAAAAATCTTCATGCTGGAAGCGAATATTACACTCAATGGAAGTTTCCCTCAGCCAAATGCATCTCTTCCTACGATAAATGTTCAGCTACCAGCTCCTTCTCAGAGTTAAGACTAAACACGATGCCAAGTAACTAGAGCAAGGAACAGACAGAACATCTAGGAAAGGATTTTCAGAGAAGGACGTGAAGCATGTAGCCAATCTATCATGGAAAAAAAAAAAGTATGGAGGAAAAATTGTAGTCATCTGAGAATCAGGGCATGAGAAGAATGTAAGCAACATAGAATCAGTCAGTTTCTCAAAGGTGCTTGACCATTTTTCTGTCGACTTTCAAACCTTCAAGTTGTCACCATTAGCCCTACTGAGAATCTGGGATTTTTACTAATTTCTCCCTTGCTTATAAATGCCAATGCTCATTTTAACTTACTATTAGATAGCCCCATGCTAATGCTGACAAGCTCTCTCCCAGGGTTACTATACATGCCAGTCTGGCCACGTCAAAACAAAAACAAAAAACCAGCAAAGAGTTATTAGAAGCTGTGTTATGCATAAATGCATTAATATGAAGAATCTTCGTCTTTTTTTAATTACATGATTAGCCCTTCACCAGAAGGTGAAAATTGCTTGAAATACTTAATAAATATATTTCAATATACTGCTTAAAACATTAAGTTTTCATAGATTAAAAAGAAAAATAGTTATTCTTAAATACTGAGCCATATTCCCACATCTAAATTTCATGTCTTCCCTATAAAATAGAAATCACTGAATGTTTTTTAAGGTATAGACTGTGGTTCAATCCAAGACTTTAAAAAAAATACTAAGGAATTTAAATAAGTAAAGGAATGAATTTTTAAAACCCTGAGAAATAAAAATTAAAGGTAAAAAATACCCGTGGATATGGTAGAACATTCCACCTCCCATAATTACTTTCCTAAATGACTTGAGCATTCCCATTGATCACCCTTCCTGTGTGCTGAGTCACAGATCCTCAGCAGCAGAAAACATATTTTCATACACATTTCACTTTATTCATTCACATATGGCATCATTATCACTTGACACTAAATCACCAAGATCTGAAACTCCAAATATAGCTTGTCTGAAAACAACTTCCTGTTCTACCCCATTATATTTCTTATTGTGACCTCAGAATCCAATTGTTCTGTCTCTTTTAACTCTCTCCACTTCAAATCTATTCCACACGAATCATGAGGTCACCAATCTGAGAAAAACTTCTGTATTTAGTCATGTTCCATGCCTTTCTAGATCCCCTCTTCCATGCCTTTCTGGAGTTGACTTTCTAAAACTGGTTATTGAGCCTGAAAGACCAGGGAAGCATTAAAAAAAAAAAAAAGTGTGCAAGCACAACTGGCCTTAAAGGTGGGGATTCCTTCACATTCTGTGTCAATCCCTGTATTAGTCTGCCTTCATGCTGCTAACAAAGACATACCTGAGACTGGGTAATTTATAAAGAAAAGAGGTTTGATGGACTCATAGTTCCACATGGCTGGGGAGGCCTCAAAATCATGGCAGAAGGCAAGGAAGGGCAAAGCCACATCTTACATGGTGGCAAGCAAGATAGCTTGTACAGAGGAACTCTCATTTATAAAACCATAAGATCTCATGAGACTTATTCACTGCCATGAGAACAGTATGGAGGAAACTGCCCCCATGATTCAATTATCTCCATCTGGCCCCGCCCTTGACACGTGAGGATTATTACAATTCAAGGTGAGATTTGGGTGGGGACACAGCCAAACCATATCAAGCCCTTTTACTCTGTGTGGTGTTTGCTCAACACTCTCTCAGGGATTTTGCTTTCTGGTTCTGTTACAGCTTGACTTCTTTGTCAACTTTGATAACCATCCTTCTTTTGTATTTTCTTACATTTTATTTTTCAGCTTCGCAGTAAAATTGACAAATAAAAATTGTACACATTTAAGGTGTGCAAAGCAATGTTTTGATATACACTGTGAAATGATTACCACAATCACACTAATTAACATACCCACCACTTAACATAGCTACTTTATATTTTTATGGTGAGAATACCAAAATCGACTCTCTTAGCAGATTTCAAGTATACAATACATTGTTGTTAACTATAGTAATCATTCTGTATACCATGTCTCCAGAATATATTCATCTTACAACTGCAAATTTGTACCCTTTGACCAACATCTCCACACCAGTCCCCTTCCCTAGAAATCACTCTTTTACTCTGTTTCTATGAGTTAAACTTTTTTAGATTCCATATATAAGTGGGATCATGAAGTATTTGTCTTTCTGTTTCTGACTTATTTCACTCAGCATAATATCCTTCAGTATCTTGAAGAGATGTTTTCACTCCCATGTTCATTGCAGCTTTATTCACAATAGCCAAGATACGGAAAAACCTAAGTGTCCATTGATGAATGGATAAAGAAAATGTGACACACACACACACACAATGGGATATCATTCAGCCTTAAATAGAAGGAAGTCCTGCCATTTGTGACAACATGGATGAACATGAAGGGCATTATACTAAACAGAATAAGCCGAACACTGAAAGACATATACTGCATGACCTTCTTTTATCTCTCTTTTCCACATAAATGACCTGAGTTCATTTTGTTCCACAGCATTCATTTACTCTTCCATAATTACCATTCTTCTTCTTAGAATACCCTTCCAGATTTGCTTATCTGTTTTTTTATTCTAAGATGAATATTCACCAACAATGAACAACCCATTACAAACTAAACAGTGTATGTTCACGATGGCCACAATGCCCTGGAGAGCTGGAAATGAGGGGGGCTCATGCCATGCACTTTGTACGTGCTATGCCACCCAATCATCACTGCAACCCTGTGAGGCTGGTATCATTGGCCCCATTTTGGAGAAAAGAAAACAAAGACTGAGATTCATTAACCATTCGTCCATTTCATGAATCAAGGTTTCATCTATCTATGTTCTAGATGCACCTAGCCAATGAGAAACACACCCACACCTCCAGCTGTAAATCCTATGCTGTTTGCACTACAACTGTCTGATCCTCATTTGCACACAGAATTGAGGTTCCAGGAGGAGGTAAGTTTGGTGTGGGTTCCAGAAAGATGGGATTGGAGGGGTAGAGGCCAAATGAAAACATTCTAAAAAAGGAAAACGAGGAGGAGAAAGAGGAGAAGAAGGGCAAGGGGGCAGTCAGTCACAGGGGAGAAAATAATCTGATTTTTAGTGGGTGGAGAATAAATAGAGAGAGACTTAATCGGAAATGCAGGGTTCAAATGTCAGAACGACAGTTCAGCGTTTTTGCATGATCTTTATGACATATGCTATTTCTATACGAAACAAATTTCTTTTTAAATTTTTGTCATTCTCTCTGAAACTCCAGCCCTTCTTAGGACAAGCAGGAGTGAACATGAAAGAAGTAGCGTTATTGTACAGACGTCTTAGAATTTTATCTAATATGTAAAGAAAAATACACCTCAATGCCACTGCTAGAAAATACGTGTTTGAGGGTGGCACGAGGGTTGTATAGGCAGGGTGGACACAGAATACGCAATTCCAGGATCCAGCAGAAGAGGCTGTGTTGGACAGACAAACAACAGAAAGGCGGTAGAGCTTCTTAAATAGAACTGTGTTTCTTAAAAGTGGGGGCAGCATTTCTTAAAGGTTAATTTTCTTCATAGAGACTAATATTTTGGATTTTGCATTGGATGGTTAGAAGATGTGAAGAGATGACAAGCTAGGAGGCCAGCTGGAAAGCTCTTGCAGTGACTTCAAGAATTAGCTCATGAAGGCTTACTGTAAGGCAGATGTGGTGGAAACAGAGGCTCTGACATAATGAGATGCCCTAAAGAAAGACCAAAACCAGAACTCAGGAGCAGACTGGTTATTCACAGCAGAATCAAATAAAGAGTCAAGATGGTTTTCTGATTCCTCCTTGAACTAGTGAATCAACTGTGTCTCTGGCAGCCTTTTCTAATTTTCCATTATACCCAGAGGCTGTCAACAATCCATGAGAAAGAGGCACGTAGAATAATCGCTTTCAGAAAACTAAGTCGTATTTTTATTAGCTGTTTTCCATGATAAAATAAACCTTATGTGTCACTTGCCCTTTATCAGGGATAAACACTGTGCATTCACTGAGTATCAGAAGGAGGCCTTTGCTGTACAGTTATCCAATTAATGCCAGGAAGAGAGTTTAAAAGCAATCAAGGCTTTGAATAAAGCTCAGTGTAAATTGACCTTGTTCTTTTCTTCAGGCAGAAGCATCTTTGTGACTTCCAGACTGTGACATGTTTACTAAGTATGTGAGATCATATACCCTCAGTGGCTAGACACCACCACTTTGCAGACTTAAAATTCTCAGGAGCTAGTTGAGTAAGTGCATGATGTGATGTGTGCAACAAGACAGACACCATGGTTTACTTACCTTGCTTATTGACCAGCCGTGACTTCTTGCAGTAATAAGTAAACTCCTGTTCACAGTGCTCTGCACGGTTAATAGTGGCCTGAAGTTGCTCCATGCTGGCCACATACTCGAAAAACCCAGCATATGGGTTCTCTGGATTAGTATTTCTGACTCTTGTTAAGTCAGAGCCGTTGTGCTGTATGATGGTCCATGCAGTTTCTTGTATGCAGAAATGGGGGGAGAAAGAGAGGAGACCATCACTAGTCTGCAAAAGTTAAAATAAATAAAGAAAATCAAAATCACCTTTTATCTGAGTCAAATGTTTCTAGTCATCAAACTTCCCTGAGAGGTAGAATCAACACAAATGGATTCTCGGAATTTTTAAGTTATGGTAAGTGATTATTTTTCCTAAAATATATACTATTGCCATGCATTTACAGTAATTTTATTTAACATTTTCATATAATTTAGCCACACAATATTTATGATGAAAAATATTAAGAAATCTGATTATTTTTGTGATGTATTTTATTTCATTGAAATCGATATTCCATCTTTTTAAAGATGCATCATTATTTTATTTCTCTGCAAGAAAGGAAAAATGCTGCCTATTATAACTACAAAACATTATTCATCAACACACCCAAAATCCAATGATATCACAATATTTAAAAAAATGTATATTAGAATTCAAGAAATAATTTATATTACATAATGTAAGCAGCCCCTTTTCTACTCTTAACAACTATTCATGGTATCAGCAAAAATAAAGTCAAAATTTTGTAGCCCTCTATATACCTCTCCTTAATCAACATTTAATTATGAGTGTGCATCTTTTTAAAATTAAATTTGAAATACTCATTTTGATATCATGTGATCTGGACAGTTAGGCAGTTCAATAGGAAGTTACTCTTTTGAATTGAATGCATCTGACACAGCATCTCAACTAACACAAAAGTAAAATATCTTTGAGTATCTACTAGAGTTATCACTATTGGTGCCTGAATGTCTGTAAACATTTCCATCATACTGATTATCAAAATTTCTTAGATGAAATAAAAATCTCACAATGTTTGTAACAGATGATAGGCATGTGATATCTGCCCTTCAACTTTACCAGCAACAGACTTTATACTATATTTTCTGTGATATATGCAGACACAAGAACAGATAAATCAAAAAGCCTCTGATTTAGTAGACAAGAAAACAGAGTGAAAGTTGTCAGAACTCTACTACATATGTGCTGTTAAGTCACATAACTCTTCTGTAATACAGAGGAATATCCCAAATTGGAGAAAAATAGTAATAGTAGGCAAAACTTTCCCCTCTCTTTTTAGCTAAGACATTCACATGGATCAACAATCCAAATAAGGAGGTATACTTTGAAAATTTCATTCCCATTCCTTTCCCAGTCATCAGAGTTTGGATTAGAGAGGCAGGCTAAATGAGGCTGGACCAACTTCACAGAATTATTGCCTTCCATGTGTGGATTATTATTTTTCTGCGAAACAATAGCTGTTATTTTTGTATTTCCCCCTTGCATTTCAGTTCACCCTTCAACAGTAGAATGCTCTCAAACAGAACTTAATCTACCAGCCAATGAAATTACGGGTGGCCAGCAGTATAATGTCGAAGTCAATTAAGAGATCTGAGTTGCAGATCTGGCATGGATCTTGTGCCCTTAGGAAAGTCAGGTAAAATCTGAGCCTCCATTTCCAAATTTGGAAATTAAATTGGCAGAACGAGGTCTGAAATTCTGTAATTTCAGCCAACTCAACCTTGGCTATCGGAAGTTTAAGGTTATTATTAACTAGACAAACCTGACAGCCTAGCCACTGTTGGACTCTGTTTCTTTTGTTCAAAAAAACTATTCACCTTTTCTTGCGGTAAATCAATGGCATGCAAGAAGAAGCTAGCTACCAAGCAAGGCGGACAATATACCTGCTTGAAGCCTTTGTCTCTTTCCCTTCTGGATCACACTGAGTGAGACTTCCCTGTAGTTTAGCATCCACTGGGTCACAATTAACACCTGATTCTAAAGGTATTTAAAGGTGTTGCAAGAGATTCAAGGCCATAGTGCATGGCAACCATTAAAGAGTAGCTCATAACAACGTTTCCTTTTGAAATTCTAAAATATTTCAATATTATGATAGTCCCTGTAAGTGATTTTATTCTCTAATAAAAAGCACTACAAGGTATGATGTTAAACAGACGCCACACTTATCAGGCCATCTAGATTTCCAGGGCAGAACAGACACAATGAAATTGTCACAATAGATTTTGAGCAACGGAGATAGGTGCCTTAAAAGCCAGGTTCCAAACCTCATGTGCTTCATTAATCTGGAAATCTCTGAAAAGTCTCAAATTAGAGCCTCTTTACTGTTCTTTCAGACATGATTGAGTGATCCGAAGTTTCTACAAACACCTATTTAGGAATAAGAGTGGTAAAAGACATGCACTTCATCACAATTTGTAATTCAATACTTTGTGGTTGACTTTACTGGTCTTTCCTACCAGTCTGTAAGCTCTATGAGAATAGCAATAGTTTGTGATCTGGTAACAATCATATCTCCAGCACACAGCACAAGGCTTGATAGAAAACGCAGAAGACATTTGTTGAAGAAATGAGGGAATAAACAAACGAATGAATAAAAACAACACATTGTCTAGATTAGAGCACAACCTCCTAGGTTATCTGATTCAGATGCTGCGGTGGCTCTGACATGTTCGTTGCTTTGAGCTGTTATATAATTCTATACATTGTAGATAACTAATAGAATTGCTAAATAATGTTAAATCTGAAACTGTGCTGGGCCCTGAGATGTTATCCCACTTGCAAGTTAAGGAGTTATCTTGCCAATACACAGATAATATCTATCTGTTTATGATCTATCTACTACCTACCTACCTGTCTAATCTATACTAACAGACACAGAGGACCTCTGAATCAGGGACCATTCGCTCATAGAGAATCTAATCAGCATCAATCTCTCATACCTCAATTTCCCACCTGCACATGCAGTGAGTGCTAGATAGAGCTGTGCCTGCTGGACTTGCACCACAAGAGGAGGTTCACAAAATTATGAGGCTTGGGCTTACAGAGGGTGCCTGGCACACTCTCTCCTCCTTCCCTCCATACAGTGATAGAGAGACTTTGGCTCTGGAATGTCACAAATTTTCTTTAGAGGAGAGAAGGTACAGTCCTTAGGTTTTTATTACTCTTAGAAAATAAGCAAATGCATCTGGGGGAGATAAGCCTTTAAATCTCTTCAGAGCAATTCTCTATCTCTAACTTCCAAGATGCATTTAATCATCCTTTAACGTAGGTTGCCAGACTTTTTTTTTTGTCTTTGTCTAGAAATACAGGCACTGTTTCCTTACAACAAATAATTCTTGTCTTGTCTGTAGACAAGCAACTGCTACCTGGTTGAGGTTCTAGTGACTTCCCTCCTCCACCATGGATGAATCCAGTGTTGCCTCCGTATGCACATTTGTTTCTGTGTTCCTAATGTGTAGATACATCTTTTCTTTGGATTCTCCTTCGAACTGGTTGTAATATCTTTCCAATTTCTTCATTAATAATGCATTTTAAAAATCTTTAAAACTTTTAAACTTTTATTTTCATATCTGTATGAGAATCATGATTTTACTTTATTACCAATTATCTTTTACTAAATGCAAAAAGAGTGGTAGGGTAAGGAGACAGGGAAATGAATAAGAGATGGCTGAAATAGGCAGAAAATCTCCATTGAATGGTAGTTTGGGTCTACTCACGTCTCCCCCTGAAGAGATTTCAATATTTGTAAATAAAGCAACTGAGTAATTAACAACTGGATTTACCTTAGGCTGGCTGCTATTTTTTAGTGTGATAACAGTGCAAAGTGAAAACATGCTGTTTAAGCAATACACTTGCAAAGCTTGTGTTGCTTCACGCTGAATAGCTGAAGGTGATAGATGTGATAAAGACCCTAAGAGCAGGTAGGAAGTGCTGTCTTAAGGAAAGCAGAGGAGACAGGAGGGGAGAGAGCCAGCCTTCTGGAGCAAAGCTTGATGTAAATAAGACTGCATTTGAATAATGGACAGTTATGTATTAACCCTCATAGCTGTTAAGAAGGCCTTTATTATTGAAATCTCTAAAGTAAAAATAATTATGCTATTGTAAGTCTTATGCTCTCCAGCTTTCTCCTGAAATGGTCTCAGGAGCTCCTATCTCAGAATCACCTGGGGTACTTGTTAGTAATGCAGAGACCCAGACCTTGTGTTCTAAACTTACTGAGTCAGGGAAACTAAACCCAGGAGTCTCAGTAATGGGACCATGAGAAGGGGTGAGTTTAACCCATAGAGTTTTCACTTTTAGAAAAACTTGAAAGTCTCTGTTCTGGCACTCATCAATTTCTCCCCTCTGGAACAATCATCCTTACAGTGCAATATTTGATAACAAGAAACTTCTTGAACATAAAACAATTTCATTATAGAAAAAGCAATGAAGGCTGGGCACAGTGGCTCATGCCTGCAATCCCAGCACTTTGGGAGGCTGAGGCAGGCGGATCACCTAAGGTCGGGAGTTCGAGACCAGCCTGACCAACATGGAGAAACCCCATCTCTACGAAAAATACAAAATTGGCTGGGCGTGGTGGTGCATGCCTGCAATCCCAGCTACTCGGGAGGCTGAGGCAGGAGAAATGCTTGAACCTGGGAGGCGGAGGTTTAGACCAGCCGAGATCGTGCCATTGCACTCCAGCCTGGGCAACAAGAGTGAAACTTTGTCTCAAAAAAAGAAAAAAAGAAAAGAAAAGAAAAAGCAATACGGACAGCCCCTGGGATTCACCTTACTCTAACTAATTATTTTGAAACTATGTTTGGAAAACTGTTTACAAAGAAATTTCAGCTTTTAACATCGTTTAAGAAATTATCCATTCAAAATAGAGATTTTTTTTGTAGATTTTAGCTTATAATGCTTAGAGGTATTTTAATACATGTGGAATCACTTGACACTAGTTCTAGACTAAAAACTGGATTTTTTAATAAGACACATATTTGCATGTTGGTGATTCAGCATTTTGTCTTATTTTCAGCAGTCATTATACCTGATCTATATAACTAGAAGATATGCTATTGGCTGCAAGCAATGAAACATTGATAGAAGGTAACTCTTCCTAGTGGAAAAACTTTCAGGCTGTGAGAAAAGAGACCAGTGCTTGATCTATTCCTACCAATATTTTCACCCTGCTACACTTAACCTCCCTGAGCCTTGGTTTCCTTATTTGCAAAACCAGATCAATAAGGAGAGTTTCAAGCTATACCTCCTACACTTAACCTCCCCCATTCTTGGCTTCCTCATTTGCAAAACTAGATCAATAAGGAAAGTTTCAAGTAGTAACACGTATTTCTCACTGGGTTGCAATACTCTGGGTTGTCACTTTTGTTTGAATATGTTCCAATATTCCAGAGCTACTGGAGACATTTAGCTGTCTCTGGGTATCTGTGTTTCTGAACATCTTGCTATCCACGTGGCTTTAAATTTTCTGAATGTCCTCTTTTCCATCAATACTTTTAATCTTGCTGAATGAAGCACCTTTAATCTCTGCATACTTCCAGTGACTCCAGTCTTTTTTTTTTTTTTTTTTTTCATTTCTCTCCTCTTTGGGATCTATGACCCATCTGACCTCATTTCAAAATCTAAGCTCCTAAAACATGGAATTTGTTCTCTCTCTCTCTTTCCCCACACACACATACACACTCTTCAGGTCTCTTAGAATTGTTTAGTCTTAACTACAATTTTTTCCCCAAATAATTTGTTTATCAAAGATATATCTTCTATAATAATGTACATTAATTTGCTATGTAATATAAAAAAGTAAATGTTGATTTAATTTAAATAATATATTCAATAAAATAAAATTGATAATTTCATTATCATTTAGTTAATAAAAAATACATATGGCCTATAAATTACTAAATTATTGCCCATAATAAACATAAGATATATAGTCGATATTCATCACACACAGATTCTCATTACTTGTGAATTTGCCTACTTGCTAAAATTTATTTGTAACCCCAATGCTTTCACAGTCATTTGTGAACACAAACAGAGCTGCAAAAATTTGGCCTGCCTGACATTCACATACCCCGTTAGAGCTGAACAAGGAAACATTGTTTTCCTGTTTCAGCTCTCATACTATGAACAAATGTCTCATTTGTAGTCTATTAAGTGCCACATTTTTTTGCATTTTTGTGCTACTCATTGGTGATTTTGCTGTTTAAAACGCCCCCTACTCCCAGAAATGTTGTCGAGTGCTCCTAAGCACAGAAGGTTGCACGCACTGAGCCCTAGAAAGAAAACACGTATGTTAGATAAGCTTTGCTCAGGCGTGAGCTACAGTGCTCTTGGCCATGAGCTCAATGTTAATGAATCAACAGTATGTATTAAATAAGGTGTCTTTAACCTGAAACACACATAAAACAAGATTATGTATTGATTGGTGAATGAGACCGTTGTGACCAGAGGCTTGCAAGAAACTAATTGTACTGTGATTCCCCCAGGAGTAATTTGTTCAGTGTTTTCCAATCCAGTGTTCTTGGTTACTTTACGGAACATAACGACTGCAAACAATGAGAATGGATGTGTGTGTGTGTGTGTGTGTGTGTGTG
This sequence comes from Homo sapiens, assembly GCF_000001405.40. Taxonomy (NCBI): domain Eukaryota; kingdom Metazoa; phylum Chordata; class Mammalia; order Primates; family Hominidae; genus Homo; species Homo sapiens. The sequence continues at coordinate 76,483,250 of NC_000016.10, read as the reverse complement.
TGTGTGTGTGTGTGTGTGTTTCTTAAAACTTCAAAGACTAGAGATATTTATCAACCTATCGCTGTCTAATTTCAGAATGAAACTTCCTATAACATGTGTATGTGTATAGATCCGGATGCATTTATGGGAACATAGAATTTACAGGTTTGCAGTGGTGGATTGTTACATAAATCTCACTCACAATCCAACCTATCCAAGCTGGAAAAAAAATAATAAAACATTTTGGCACTGGAATTCATATCTTACACTTGTAAAGTCTTCTCTCTTTTTTTCTCTGTAAAGTCCTCTCACATTTGTTATGTTTAATTCTCGCATACCAGAGTTGCCAGTGCATACTGAAGTTTGAGAACCATGAAGTCTAAAACAGTGATTCCCAAACCTAAGTACACATAAGAATCATTTGGGAAGATCCATGATGATATTATTTCCATTGGCCCAACTCAGTGGTTGCACTGGATGAGAAGCACCTGCAGTGCTGTCTGGGCATTTGTACTGCACAGGCGGGAGAGCTTCATTGAGAAGACACATATGCAGGAACACCATTTGTTTGGGCTGTTTTGGTGTATGAGGCAATGTCCTCAATGGTTGTGAGACAGATAGAAGCTACCAAGTTGTGTTAAATGAAAAACCTTTGAAGATACTAATTTATAGCAATTTCTGCCAAAATATGTGTTGGCACAGAGTTTGCCACCACCTGCAGTTTTTAGAACTAAACATTCATTAGTATAAAGAAGCGGTTGCTCCCATATTCAAATGCCTCCTCAGAATCTTGTTTGAACATGGAAAAACAGACATCTCAAACTAAAAAAAAAAAAAAATTGTGTAAAACAGAGCTTATGATCTTTCACCTTAAACCTTTTCTGATCACATCTTAAATAATGACAATTCAAACACTCAATTACTCAGGGCAAAAACTGTGTCGTTATTTTTGGCTTTTTGTTTTCTCACACCTCATAGCTATGCAAAGAGAAAAATCTAACACCTTTCCTCCATCTACAGTGCTATTATCTTGTACAATCAGTCCTGGATTTTTGCATTACTTGAAATGGTCTCCCAATACAATTAAGATACTGAAATTGTATCTTATAAAGTACAATATGCATAGTCTCATCACTCTTTTCCACCCATGCTCCTGAAGAAGCATTCCCTAACCCAGGAGCAGTTGCAATCCAACTAAAGGAAGTCAGATTGCATCCCACCGTTTCTTAAAACTACAGTATAATAAAAATTAAAAAAAAAAATAAAAAAATAAACTCCTCAGTGTCTTCTCATCTCATTTCAGAGTAAAAAACCAAAGGTCTTACAACATTGTCATGAAGCCCATACTCTTCCCCTCCCCACCCAACTTGCCTCTCTCCTCTCTTCCTACGCCCCACTTACTCACCATACTCCCGCTATCCTAGGTTTGTTGCTGTTTTCTGAACACACCTGGTAAGTAAGATCATCTGTCTCAGAACTTGGTACTTTCTGTTTCCTCTGCCCGAAAGATATGTTCTTCAATTTTAAGTACCAAATCTCCCCTTGCAACACCCTCTGCCTCAATGTATAATAATTTTGCCCTTTTCCTTTGGTTTTGCTCCATAAAATATTGACTTCTAACACTGTTCATTGTAACTTTCAGCAAATGACAAGGTTCTACATCTACAATGATACACTCCATACTAGCCCCGGGAGGCTATTAAGCAGTTAAAATGCAGCCAGGGAGACTGACAAAGTAAACTTAAAAAAAGAAAAATAGAGATGGGGTCTCACTATGTTGCCCAGCCTGGTCTCGAACTCCTGGGCTCAAATTATGCCCCCGCCCTGGCTTCCCAAAGTGCTGGGATTACAGGTGTGAGCCACTGCACCCGGCTGTTATTTAATCCTATTTTAGTTAAATTTTTAAATTTAAGTTTAAATTTTTAAAATGCAGTCATTTTGTTTTGTAATTAATTTTAATTAAATTAGAATTCAAATAGGCACTTGCTAGTGGCTACCATGTTGGACAGCACAGTTCATCTAGAATCTATTTTGTGTGTGTGTGTTTGATGAGGAGGAGATCAATACTCCTTTTACTGACATTTAAGTACAAATTCCACCAGCACTACTGGTTGAAAAGACCATCTTTCCTTCATTACATATCAATGCCACCTTGGCAATAAATCAATTATCCATATATGAGTGAGTCTGTTTATAAATTCTCTATTTTGTTTTTATTGGTTTATTTGTTTATCTTTGTGACAGCTATATACGGCTTTACGTAGCCAATCAGTATAATGCCTATATCCAGTAGAGCTGAATCCTTCAAATTTGTTCTTCAAGACTCACTGACTTGGTTCTTCTTGCCTCTGTGTATTTACTCATAATTTTAGAATATGCTTGTTGATTTTCACCAAAATAATCACACCAACCTACAAACAAACACCCTGCTTGAGTTTTAATTTAGGTTTGCACGGAATCAATATCTAGTTTGGAAGAACTGATATTATACAATATTGAGTCTTCTAATCAACGAACATATTTTTTTCTTTTTTTGAGACAGAGTCTCACTCTGTCACCAGGCTGAAGTGCAGTGGCACAATCTTGGCTCAATGCAACCTCCACCTCCCAGGTTCAAGCAGTTTTCTTGCCTCAGCCTCCTGAGTAGCTGGGACTGCAAGCGCATGCCACCATGCCCAGCTAATTTTTGTATTTTTAGGAGAGACGAGATTTCACCATGTTGGCCAGGATGGTCTCAATCTCTTAACTTCATGATCTGCCCACCTCCCAAAGTGCTGGGATTACAGGCGTGATCAATGAACATTTTATATTTCTCCATTTATTTAGGATATTAGTTCATTGAAAGGGTGTTTTCTAATTATCGGTGTAGAAACCTTGTACATCTTTCATTACATTTACTACCATGTGTTTGAGGTTTTTATGCTATTGAAAATATGATCTCCTAAAAGTTTATTTTCTAATTTTTATTGCTGATATACAAAAATAAAATTAATTTTATGTTTGTTGTTCAATGACAATCCTAATAGTTTATCTGTAAATTGTTTAGAGTATTTTAATACATAACCTGATTATCTATGAATAGTGAGAATCTTGGTCTTTTTTTTCCCCAATATTTATATTTTTCATTTCTTTCTCTTGTTTTATTGCACTGTCTAGGACCTCCAATACAATGGTGACGAGAATGGTATTAAAGCCGGTAATGGGAAAAGCTTTCAAATTCCACTATAAACTAATATAGGCTGTAAAGTTTTCTGGTCTTTATCGAAACAAGGTAACTTCCTTCTATTGGTAATTTGTTGAGTGTTTTAAATTATGGATGAATGTTGAATTTAATCAAACATATTTCCATGTTTATTAATTTCTATGTAAATTTATGTAAGAATACAAGAAGACGTAAACTTTATGTTTACATACATTTAAAAAGTAAATATTCTTCAAAGCTTTTACATGTATCAATCTTCTCTCATAAATAGTCTATCCTTTTTGTTTGGGGACATAATTGGAAACATTTATTATTAGATGTTTTACACAGATGCCACATGCATTAAAAAAGACATTTAAAATCATTACCATTTAATTATTTTTTTAAGATTTATGTTCAGTTTTTCTAAGGAACAATACATATTTTAATCAAGTTGCAAATTACGTCAACATTCTGCTTATTTCATTTTAATTTTGCCTATTTAAAACATGCATGCAAATTTAACTGTAAAATAAAAGCTGATTAACTCACCGGTCATATTGCAATATAGAAGAAATGGTTCCAGGGGACCACTTCCATCTGAATCTATATAGTAAAACCCTGAAGTATTTCCTCTGTGCTTATAGGCTTCACATGACTGCTCATAGATAGCTTTAAGAAAAAAAATCATCATTAATGGAATAGCATGAAATGAATCTCTTAACTTTTAATTTGGACATGAAATACCGCAAATCTTGAAATTTAAAATGTACATTACTGACCAGGAGAAAAGGCAAAACTTACTTTAAAACAAAACTCATTCTTTTTTAAAATTAATATGGATGAAAGTGATTTGATAGCAAAAAAAGAAGTTGATTTTATGACTTTTTTTAATCACTAAAGGAAAATGAAATTACTTGGTCAAAATCAAAATTTAGCTACTTTGACATTATGAAGAACAAGGAAAGAGAAGGTAGGTGTTTAAATGTTGGAGCCTTATAAGTATAATGTCATAACTTATCTTGTGGCACACATTTTGGAAATCCTAGTAGCACCTTGTAATAACCTAAGGTCTGAAGCACAACAGTGTAACTTCCTTAAAAAATCTGCTGTTAGCCAATAATTATACAACAGAAACACTTTAAATCATGTTACAACTATATTCTCACAGAAAATTAACTATAAAATATTTTTTTCATAAAACAAATGGGATTCACAAAGCTCATCAATAATTTTAAGTAATTTACAAAAGAAACTCCCACCAATGCTCCATAATGAGAACTCAAGATAATTAAAATTCAAAGCAGAAGACATACTTGTATGAACTATGCCTTCAAGTGGTTTCAGTGTGTTTAGATCCATAATCGGATGTTTGGATGTTTTTAATTATGTAATCCTAAATTTGCCATGTACAAGGTTTCATATTAATACACTTGTGTATAATGCACACCTCTCATTGAACACTTGGCCAAATATACTGATAACTTCTGTTAAGCATTTTATTCTGTGAAATGAGAAATAATCCCCTGAATATTTGTCCCTGAATCTATTTTACTTTTGAAAATTATGTTAATGAGTGTTTAAACAACGTGAAATACTATGGCTAATTTGTTCAATGTTACCAAAATTTCAAGTAATCATGTAAATTTACTTCCGCACTTCTCCACAGTGTGACAGTTTTATTTTGTTCCTATAATATATCATGCTGATAGAGATATAAGCATGGTTCATCTTCCAGTCACATTTGCATTTTGTGCACTGAAGAGAGTACGTAAAAATGACTAGTTTATACATTTCTATGTACATATGCATATGTTCATAAAGTCCTTGAAAGAGCTTGGCAGAATATCATAACTTTGTGGTGGGACTGGTTGTGGAAAAGGATTGGATGAGACTACTCGGAAGGACTTCTGATTTATGTGTATGGCTTGACTTTTTATAACATGACTGTTGATTTATGTGTATGGCTTGACTTTTTAAAACATGACTGTTTAATGATTATTTCCTAATAAGGCTTTTTAACAAACTCCATCTCCTGCCCTCCACTATAACCAAGACTGTCATTCTGGCTTCATTTCTCGGAATAGTTATGGGCAAAAACCCTTCAGTTCTATTACAGCTGTCTTTTCAAGAACCTAATAAATGAAACTCAATTATTGTATCAAATTGTGGGTCACAGATGAAAGTAACTTTATTTATTACCTAATTTTTGTCTTCAGAGTTGTTTGGTTTATATTTAGATTCAGTCACTGATAACAATTAAAATGAATAGTCGATGAAAACACTGAATAGCTTTCTGTTTTGAGTTAGTTACTACATGGGGATAATGGAGGATGTAAAAAATTAAAATATACTGTCCTTCCACTAGCTGGGTGTCCTGGGTCAAATAACGTGGCATGCAAGTACAGGTGAGGTGTGGCTTTATTACCAGCCAATATTCTTCATAAAAATCTTATGAGGCACCTCAGTATACACAATTCATGCCCAGAAATGACTCCAACAACAGTGGTAGAGCTGAGAGATTCTCTTGATGATGTCTTCCCCAGCACCGAATCAGGGCTTCTGAGGGTCCTCTGTGCAGGCCCCCAGAGCTGGGAGCCCAGGATTCCAAACACTGGCAGGAGCACAATGCAGTGTATAGTGTAATAGACCAAGGGTGGTGAGACTGATGGCTTTGTACCTTATACTCTTACCTTAAATCAAGGATATAGGAGGTAATACTAAGAGTTCAGTTGCTCAGAAATGTCAGTAATAATCGGAAAAAATGGGGGGGAAATGGGCATTTTGGTCTTCCCATTTGTGCGCCAGAACAACTGGACAATGAAATAACATGGGCCTTACAACACATGCAATCCATTTCATCAGAAAAACAAATTCATGATTTGTAATACAGGAAAAAGGGATATTGGTTGTTATCCCAGGCTCTAGAAGATGTTGTCACATGTTCACATCCTCACTCTGCCTCAACTATTTTAAGTAGCCTTGAACAAATAGATTAATATCTATTTCTTTATAAGTAAGTTGCATATAATAGTATTCACCTACTAGGGTGAGCATCAGAATTAAACGAGTTAGGACATAGAAAATACTAGATCAGTAGCTGACATTTAGAAAGTATTGAATAAAATTAACTATTTATCTACCATCATAATTTAATCATTATCTACCACCCTTTTCCTTATCACCCTCATTAAATAGGGTTGCAAGATAACATAAGAATTATCTAGCGCAATAGACTGAAGGTTTGTGTCCCCTCAAAACGTGTATGTTGAAACCTAGTCCCCAATATGGTGGTATTGGGAGGTGGGGCCTTAGTGAAGTGATTAGGCCATGAGAGTGAAGCCCTCATGAGTGGGATTTAGTGCCCTTGTAAAAGATTTCCCAGAGAAATCCCTCACCCCTTTCACCATGTGAGGACACAGTGAGAAGATGGAAGTCTATGAACCAGGAAGCACACCCTCACCTAATCTGCTGGCATCTTGATCTTGAACTTCTCAGCCTCCAGAATGGTGAGAAATACATTTCTGCAGTTTGTAAGTCACCTAGGCTATGGCATTATGTTACAGCTATCCAAACAGACTATGGCATCTAGTCTCTACTGGATATCTGAATCTTCATACCACAAACCACCCCAACCCACTCCAACCAGGGCTGTTTCTGAGAATCTCTTTGTTTAATTGTATGAATAGTAAGAATTTGGTAACTGAGCATGTTTCCACTTGTACTGCGCCTTCTAGAAAGTTTAGTGTCAAAATGCTGGCCCAATTTGAGTAACAGAACAAGATAACAAAATTCACGTTCTGCATTTTCTTAGTTTTCAACCCTTAGCTACCTTTCATCTTCTATATGTATTTTCCCTTTGCCAAGTTTGTTTCATATTATGTACTTTTATAGGCTATCTTGACGACTTTATGAAATGAGATGTGGATTAACCACTGGATGCTGAGTTTGCACAGAACAGACATATATACACACAGCAATGAAAAGGGAAATGGGACAAAGAAACCATCACAGGGGCAAGAAAAAGCAGATGTGTTCCGCTTACAGTTATGGCAAGTAGCTCCTCTGTAACCAGTGTTGGTACAGTTACAATGAAAGGTGCTCCAGGACTGGGAACACTCCCCACCGTGTTCACAATAGTTGGGCAAACACCTAAAAGAAGGTGCAGATACAATCACCAGTTTCCATTTTTAGATATCTTAAAGTATTGACCATTTATACTTGGTCATGAGAAAGACAGATGTCAACTATAACATAATGACTAATGATGCTTCAGTCTGTTGTTAATCACTTTAATCACAGAACTAAACCTTAGATCAATAAATTCATCAGATTTCAGCCAATTCTCAGATAGTTGTGACTGCTTAATTTTCAACATGTCCCACTACATCAGAGCCCTTCATTTTCCCTCAGTGACATAACACGAATTCAATATGTTGGCAGAAATATCAACAGCATACATGAAATAACATTTTATCACATTGAATTGCTACATTGTTTGAACACTGAAAGAAGGAATACAGATAAAAGAAGAAAAGAAAAAAGGAAGACAGAGGAATACCTTTCTTCACTTGAGGTATACTTCTAGGAATGTAGGAGAATACACAGTATAGGCTCACAAATTTCAAGCAGTGTGTTGGGGTGCTCTAAGGTGCAAAACAGAACTCATAGGGACTCCCAGGATAATTTAAGTCTTCAAGAGAAATATCTGTCATACTCAACATCTATCAAACACCGTGTGACTAACTAGCTTGAGGTAGTTTAGTTTCAACATTAGATCATTATATATTCCCTTTAATCACATCCTATCTTTGGGGAGCAGAGTTTTAGTAACTGATTTTTTAAAAAGCAAGTACCATGTGAAATCAATATTGAACAAAAATATGAGGCTACTGGAGTCTCATTTTTTTTTTTGAGACAGCTGCTCACTCTGTTGCCCCAGTTGGTGTGCAGTGGCACAATCTCAGCTCACTGCAACCTCCGCCTCCTGGGTTCAAGCAGGGGTTCTGCCTCCTGTATTCTCCTGCCTTAGCCTCTGGAGTAGCTGGGATTACAGGCTTGTGCCACCACGCCTGGCTCTGGAGTCTGATCTGGTTTCAAGTCTTGAGAAACGGTGCCGTGTTCAACAGGTACACATGTCCAAATACTAAGTAACTGTGTTTAATTAAAAATAATTTTTTCCAAATCATGTATATTATTTTTTTCAAAAGGCTCCTAAGTTGTTATGGCATTGTTAAGTTTTTTGGACCTAAACCACTTTTTAAGGTTAGGGATACATTGCTAGTGTTACGAAAGTCTTTTGGGTTAGCAGCACAGTCAAAATTACTGAGACACATAGGGCACCATAGATGAAAAAGTTTGGAAAGTTTTGTTATTGACTCAAATAGCCCTAATCAGATTTTTGATGCCTTTTAGGATTTAGAATGAAAGATACACTGAGATCAAGACTTTAAATGCCCTCATTCATTACAGATTAACGACTAAATAAACTACAAAACCTGCAAGAACACATTTGTGATGGGGTTTCTACCGTCTCCTTTATTAAAACTAAGGATGAGAACTTCCCGTTTTGCTTATAAAATTTTTCCAATTTTATCTGAAAGAGATATTATGGATTTTTTTTCCTTATTATAAGGACTAAAATGGTACTAACATTCCCCTCTCCTTAACCACAATTTAGATAGGTTTCTTGCGGACTACAGGCCCTTGACCTGCCTTATCTTAGAGCGTTTACTTTAGAAAACTTTCAGTGATCAATTCTTTCTTTGTCCCCTTCAGATGTAAATCTTCTCCCAGCCACTTGCCACTTTTACAACCCAGGTATGTCTTTCAAGGACCTGGGAGTCACCCCTTTGAAATGTAAGCATTAAGAAAGATACAGCCCCTGTCTCCCAGTCTCTGGGGAGGTAGGAGCCTAACTTCTTTAAGCACCAAGAAGCAAACACAGATGGCCTCATCTCACTGTTAGCCAGTTGTAAGGAAATAAACACTTATTAAGTTATTTGTAGCTAAGCCCCTTATAAAATCAAAGTGTTAGGTCTATCTTTTGGCTTACAGGTGCAGCAAACAGTTACTGAGACAGGCAGAGCACCATGCACCAACAGCTTGGGAACTTGATCAAATAGCCGTGATCAAATTATTGATACCTGTTAGGATTCAGAATGAAACACACCAAGAGACAAAGGTTTTAAGTGCCCTCATTCATCCCAGATTAAAAAACAAAACAAAACAAAACAAAACAAAAAAAAAACCTACAAAACCTGCCAAGAATATATACATAATAGGGTTTCCGCAATCTCCTTTATTTTTATTTGTTTGGGATGGAGTCTCACTCTGTTGCCCAGGCTGTAGTGCAGTGGCGCGATCTTGGCTCACTGCAAGCTCCGCCTCCCAGGTTCATGCCATTCTCCTGCCTCAGCCTCCCGAGTAGCTGGAACTACAGGTGCCTGCCACCACGCTTGGCTAATTTTTTGTATTTTTTAGTAGAGACGGGGCTTCACCATGTTAGCCAGGATGGTCTCGATCTCCTGACCTCGTGATCTGCCCGCCTCGGCCTCCCAAAGTGCTGGGATTACAGGTCTGCCATCTCCTTTATTAAAACAAAGGATGGAAACTTTACATTTTGCTTACAGAATTTTTTCCAATTTTAACTAAAAACAATATTATGTATTTTTCCTGATTATAAAAAAAGAGATGTTCACTGTAGAGAAATTAAACAATCCAGGAAAAAATAAAAAAGAAATGTCACTGACAATCTCACTGTGTATGAATGACCACTACAAACATATAGATATGTGTGTATATCCATAAATATAATCATAAAGAAATGCTACTTTACAATCTGCTTTTTAAGAAACCAAAAATTAATAATGGGCATCTCTTCATATCCATTAAGTTTATACATATTTAGCTTTTTTATAGATTCACAGGAATTCATTAAAAATGTGTCAGGATTTATTTAATTTTAAGCATTTCAAATCAATGACAATGTGTAAAAACAGGGAGATTTAAAAATATTAAAACAATAAAAATTCTAGTTGGTAATCAAACCAGAAAGGACATTATTCAGAGAAGGCTTCCCCCCTCTGCCCCCCTCACGGAGTATACTTATGTCTTTTTATTTTTTAACTCTTATTTTAAGTTCAGGGGTAACTTATGAGCAGGTTTGTTACCAGGTAAACTTGTGTCATGAGGGTTTGTTGTACAGATTGTTTCATCACCCAGGTATAAAGCTTAGTACCCATTAGTTATTTTTCCTGATCCTCTCCCTCCTCCCACCCTCCAACCTCCAGTAAGTCCCAGTAAGTGTTGTTCCCCTTTTTGTGTCTATGAGTTCTCATCATTTAGCTCCCACTTATAAGTAAGAACATGTCGTATTCATTGCATTAGTATTCACAATGGCAAAGAGATGGAATCAACCTAAAATGCCCATCAATGATAAACCAAATAAAGAAAATGTGGTACCTATACACCATGGAATACTATGCAGCCATAAAAAAGAATGACATCACGTCCTTTGCAGGAACATAGATGGAGCTGGAGGCCACTTCCTTAGCAAACTAATGCAGGAACGTAAAACCAAAGGCTATTCTATAGCAAACCTCAAACCATGTTTTAAAAAGAGTTCAACATAAGTGGCTTTGCCTAAAATCCAAAAGAATGACTCTTAAATGGTTGTGATACATATGTTATTTCTATTTGATCTGCTTCAAAAAGACCAACTGAGTCAATTTTTCTTGATTCTTGTTAGACTAGATTTTTCCTATTTTTAATTCAAATGTGAAAGATTAAATTGTGAATTTTATTTAAAGTCATTATATTATCATAATGTTTACTACTAGTAACCTATGGCAATTTAGGTTCTATAGTACTCATTCTCACCAAATGTTCTAAACCATTGTATTTTACACTTTTCTCCTCCCTACTCACTCCAATACAAGATAAGACAATTGATTAACCCATTTTCTCTAGCCACGAAAGCTTTTCCTTGGACATTGCCATCCTTTCCATTGCTTGTGAACTTGAACAAATGCTTACATCAACATACCCAAACCTAAAGTGATAGTAAGATTTTGATTTCTCATGATTCCCTGTCCATTACAATGTAAATTTCAAAAACTTTCATACAATGTAAAGGTTTGCTGGAATTAATATTGAAGTAAACTCTATACAACATTATCACATTTAGGGAAATAAACTTAAGTGCCAATGAGCGCTAGGATAATGGTCACCACCACAATTCAAATCTTACATTCTTCCGCAAAACTTTGATATTGACAAGAATCAACCTCCTCATATCCCTAGCCCTCGCCTCCAAAAGGGCCATGCCTTCAGTATTACAGGAGGCGGAATAACACCACGATCTTCAAATCAACTGGAATAAACCCTGTGTGTGAGTATAAGGAACAAAGGGCAGGCTTGGGGCTCCATGGAGAAGAGGGGAGGGAAGGTAGGCAGGTAGAAACTCCACCAGAAAGGAAGAGGAAAACAACGGGCCTGGATGGAGGACGGTGCCATGGAGGCTGGAGGCCAGAACCTGAGGGCTGGATAGTAGGGGTGGATTGGAAGGACAGGTGACGGAGGTGCAGAGGCTGGAGGCAAGGAAGCCAGGAGGTGGGTGCTGTGCTTGCTAAGGTCACAAGGTTGACGTTGTCACTCAACAGCCTCTTAGTTCCTGTCAGGGGTCTCTGCAGCCCCAGTGTGCTTTGATACCAAATGATATACTAAACAATTTCCTTTAATAAGTGTTTTACGTCCAAGCAACTTTGTAAGAATTGTTGTCTTAGTAGCCATCACTCCTGCCCCAGCCCCACTCACATTTCAGCCCCAGATGTGAGGACTTGGATAGCAGCTGCCTTTTCAGTTCTGTACTCACCCCTTCGCCACCCCTCTCCGAAGTCCCTGGACTGAGGGCCACCCCACTGCATGTCCACAGAGGACAAGGGGAGGGCTTCTAAGAGTGTGTGTGTGTGTGTATGTGTGTGTTTGTGTGTGTTTGCGTAGGGAGTGACTCTGTGTAAGGAAGATGTGAATATAAGAAGTCTGGGAAGGACTTATGAGTGTAGAAGTGTAAAAGGATGGTTGTGTGTGAGTGTGCATGAGTAAGGATTAATATGTGAGTTGTGTAAACGTGTGTGAGGATGGTGTGTGAAAGTGTAAGGAGCTTTGGACTATGTGAATGAGCATATGAATGTGTCCACATGAGAGAAACAGTGTGCAAAGGCCACATTGGTGCATGTGTGTAGAGTGTGTGTGAATAGCCATGTGGTATGAATGTGAGCATGTGTGTGTATTTGTATTTACACCTTTATCTGTAGGTTTGAGCCAACTTAAAGTATTACAGTTTTTTTTTAAAAACCTGCATTATTTTAAGTTCCCGTCAGATTGTTAATGTTTTTAATGTTACTTCCTGGTTTTTTGTTTGTTTGTTTTTGTTTTTCGAGACGGCGTTTCACTCTTGTTGCCCAGGCTGGAGTGCAATGGCACAATCTTGGCTCACTGCAACCTTCGTCTCCCGGGTTCAAGCGATTCTCCTGCCTCAGCCTCCCGAGAAGCTGGGATTATAGGCATGTGCCACCATGCCCGACTAATTTTATATATATATATATTATTAGTAGAGACGTGGTTTTGCTATGTTAGCCAGGCTGGTCTTGAACTCCTGACCTCAGGTGATCCACCCGTCTTGGCCTCCCAAAGTGCTGGGATTACAGGTGTGAGTCACCGTGTCTGGCTGGCTGTTAATGCTTGTTTTTAATTATAGTTTATTGAACCATCAAATGATACATTTATTACGCATGGATTAAATACTAACCACCCCAAATGTTAACTTGCACCCAGAGGGGCTGCATGGCATGGCAGGCAAACATTTCAGGGAGACTTCCCTGGATCCAGAGTGCTGGGGTTAGAGGCTGGGCTCTGCCTTTTCTTAGCCATGTCATTTTAGCCAACTTATTCTCTCTGTGCATCTGTTTCCATACTTATAGGAAACAAACACTATGAAGAACAGGTTCTAAGAGATTTTGTGAGGCTTGATTTAAATGCTCATTCATCTTAAGTGCTTAGCATAAGGCCTGGTACACAGATTTTTTTTTTAAGGCTCCATTTAATTCTTGGGATGCCATCCATCTTGGGATGCCATGTCAGTAGGTATAGTATATAAGACCAAACTAAATATACATCTTCTTCTGAGTATAAGACAACAGGTTTACAGATACGCTTGGAAATTTAAAAAGTATGCAAATGTTACTTTGATTTTTGCTATATTTTTAAGATTGTTAGGATTACTGTTAGCCTAAAGCATCTTTTAAAAAGAAACATGTATAGTCAAGATCTATCCATAATTTGCTAACTATTTCTGAAAAGCATTTTTAAGGTATGGCACTAAAGTGATGTGTTCTCCAAATGTGCTGATGGTCCTCTATTTTACAGAAAGTATGTACCTTCAGAAAGTAGGCAACCGGGAGTCCTTGTGTGACATGGCAGCTCCAGAACATGTCCACACAGGACGAAGGGTAGATATACTTGTACCAAATGAATGTTCAGCAATCTGAGATAATCAACATGCACTACCACTCAGAGTGTGCGTGACTGAGCCTCTCCCTGCCAGTTTCCCTGATGGCTGCTCCCCATCAGGGGTTGGGGAGTCCCTGCTCTGTAAGCAAGTCTCCTATTGAGAAGCCAGGCCCAGGAAGCCTCTCTGCGTGCCCTCTCCTAAATCAGGTTTTAGGTTCCAGAGCTGTTAAGGTTGTAACTATGGACAAGTTCACAACAAACGGACCCAAAAGTCATTCAATCCCCAAATCTAGCCAGTTGAGGTTTAACGTCTAAATTCTCTCTTTTCATATCATCTTTCATTATATAAAGAATTGTTTTCTCTGCAAATTGTTTTAAACAAATAAATGAGTATTTGTGGGGAGGAAATTATGTCCTGCCACTCTTATTGCTGAATATGGTTATTATTACTGTTTTCTAGACATAATGAAGTATTTATTAGTGTTCAAAATAGGATTGACAAATATTACTGAGTGGTCCATTGGATATAAATAGAAGAGTCTTTTTGTTGACAAAATGTCTTATAAAAGTAAAAAGTTACTTTTGATTCTCATAATTTATGTATTTATTCAAAATACATATTGAACATTACTACAGGGTAGAGGCTAATTTGGTCACACTGTTTTAAAAATTGTTTAATCTGTAATGGTTATGGCATTCCATTAAACTCAATAATTAAAATTAACAGCCTTGATATTAAAGCATGACTGGCAAGATGACTTAGCTATAGTTGCTCATGCCTAACCACAGGTTTCAATTATTACTATTAATTATTATTTTTGGCTGGGCACAGTGACTCATGCCTGTAATTCCAGCACTTTGGGAGGCTGAAGTGGGCATAACAACCTGAACATGGCAAAACCCTGTCTCTACAAAAAAATACAAAAATTAGCTAGGCCTGGTGTTGTGTGCCTGCAGTCCCAGTGACTCAGGAGGCTGAGATAGGATGGCTTGAGCTAAGGAGGTGGAGGGTGCAGTGAGCTACGATCGCACCACTGCACTCTAGCTTGGGCGACAGAGCCAGACCTTGTCTCAAAAAAATATTATTTATTTATTTATTTATTTTGAGCCAGAGTCTCGCTCTGTCGCCCAGGCTGGAGTGCAATGGCGTGATCTTGGCTCACTGCAACCTCCGCCTCCCTGATTCAAGTGATTCTCCTGCCTCAGCCTCCCGAGTAGCTGGGATTACAGGCATCCGCCACCATGCCCAGCTAATTTTTGTATTTTTAGTAGAGATGGGGTTTCACTAGGTTGGCCAGGTTGGTCTCGAACTCCTGATTTCAGGTGATGCACCTGCCTTGGCCTCCCTAAGTGCTGGGATTACAGGCATGAGCCACTGCGCCAGCCAAAAATATATATTATTTTTAAGGTTATTTGTCCTCCACAATTAACTCTCAAGTCCTGCCTTGTCATGTCCTGTACTGATGCTCTTGTTGAAACTCTTTGATCATCCTTATACCTTGATCAATACCACAACCCCAAGCTTCTCTAGAGAAGTTCATTTTCATTTTCCCTCCAGAGAAGATGGTAATGGGTTGTTAAAAAGGCACATTAGGAGAAGTGCAACCAGCTGAATTCCCCTGCCTTGGAAAATATTCTGCTGTCAGGGTAGCAAATGCCAGTTTGATAACTGACTACATAGTCTCAAATTTATTGGTACCTGATGATCAATTTTACTGTTCAAGTGCCTTAATATATTGAGTTTAATGACATATTTTTAATACATCTATACTTGTCTAAAATTATAGCAGCATCAACATTATCTTTGGCGAACTGGTAGCATGTGTACATACGTGGCCATACATAACATGGCCAAGTCTTCCAAATGTTGTCATTTAAAATATGACATTTAAACAAAGGGTGCATTTTTTCTTATTTCTAATGTAAATATAATTCATTTCCTGTGGAACAGATAAGAATGGGGAAGAGGAAAGAATAATTGTTCATCTTATACATAAATTTTAATCTGATGCCAAAGTTTGAAAGCAGGTCAAAATGAAGTGAGATTGCCCTTACCTGTCTGAGATGCCACATGAGTCTATCTGAAGGTCACTGAAGTTCCCAAGGGACCCCTGCTGAACTGAAATCAGATCTACCACTTTGCCGCTGATAGAAATGAGCCTCATACATCCCTGAAATCCACCAAGTGGACTTTTACATTTGGATCCAAAGCTTTTGTCAGGACAACCTGATAAAAACGAAATAAATCCAGTACGCATCACAATGAATCAGAATTCAGGATCATAGATAACTTCATTTAAAAAATAAAAGAAAGAGGCATATGATTATTTTCTGTATTAAAGGAGGGAATAATGACTGCAGTCATTATTAGTTTGATCTAAATTACAAACTGAAATTCATACAAAGAATTTTTTATTTACATAGCATTCCCAGGAAGTCACTAGTATTATAATAATGTGCAAGGATATTAACTTGATCTAGATTTGAAAAATATAAACATTGGCTCCAGAATCCTAAACATGCCAGCCAGCAATATTAAACTATATATAACTTACAGATGGGAACTTAGTATTTTGAATTGCAAAATTAAGAACATAAAAGATGAAAACATGTACTATGTATAAGAAAAGATACATTAATAATGATGAAATATCTTTGTATTTATAAAGCTAACTATTTGGAAAATGGGTTCTCTTGGCTTGGAATAAAATTACCAACTGTTTATCTAATTAATTATTGTATTTTCCTATACATAAAGGAACCACATACACAAGGATTTTAGTAAGTCTTGATGGCTTAATATCAAAAATATTTCACAGTTTGATTTTATTCTTTGCCTCATAAAAGGATGTTTCATCTATATTGATTTTTTTCTAACATTTATATAAGGCTGGTTTATAATTATTTAAATAATAAATATAATATTAACCATTATTGTCTGTGGTCTAATGACATTCTAAATGTTTCTCTATCCAAGTGGAATAAATAAGTTTATCGAGTATGAATACATATATTACATTTTTTCAATTTTTAATTTGTATGGATACATGGTAGGTGTATATGTGGGTATATGAGATATTTTGAAACAGGCATGCAAAGTGAAATAATCACACCATGAAGAATGGGGTATTCATCTTCTAAAGCATTTATCCTTCATTTTACAAACAATCCATTTAAACTATTTTAGTTATTTTAAAATGTACAATTATTAATGACTATAGTTACCCTCTTGTGCTATCCTATAGTAGGTCTTATTCATTCTAACTGTATTTTGTACCCATTAACAATCTCCTACTTCTCCCCAAACTCCACTACCCTTCCCAGCCTCTTGCAACAACATGGATGGAACTGGAGATCATTATGTTAAGTGAAATAAGCCAGGCACAGAAAGACAAACATTATGTGTTCTCATTTATTTGTGGGACCTAAAAATCAAAACAATTGAACCCACGGAACGGAGACTAGATGGGTGGTTATTATTTTTTTAATTAATCTTTATTTGCCATGATAGTCATCAACCACTAACACAATTTCAAAGAATAAGAAGTGAGTCAGCAACTTCTTAATTCCTGTATAATCCACACTAGTTTTCTACTTGTGAATTTCCACTGTAATTAAATTGTTTGACTGATAATATTTTTCCTTAATGCTTTGTTTTGCTGACAAAATACATTTACATGGCAAGTAAAGGACAGCATTCAAATTTAAAACTATTATCAGACACACCGAAACATTTTATTTTAACCTAATGGAGACTTTGAAGTTTCAAATTTAATATATCAAGAAAAATTCATCAAAGCTTTTTGAGTGTTAATTTATTGTACATGGTACTACACACATTTCCAGCGCTTAAATTTCTTCTGTAGTGTAAGATATGGTTACCATAATCTCAGTATGTATTCTGAATGACTTATTAGCCAATTAAGAATGTTAGGGTAAAAACTGAAAGGATAATAGTTCAATAATATTTTGAAGCAACTATAATATGCCAGGCATATAAATAACTCTGCTAATCTTCTTTTCTCCAGGTGGCGTTTCCTGACACATCTCAAACTAACTCAGAATAAAATAAATTGTGCAATATGCCTGTAGGGAACAAAGCTAAGCAAACCCAGAGTCACCAGGAAAGATCATGGAATTTTACAGAAAGCATACTATCCTATCATGAGGCAATTCATATTCCTAGCTACAATGTTCAATAAGCAAGAGATTCTATGAACAAAGAGGGGTTCAACCCAGGTTAGCCTCATTAGTCTATGATAAGAGGCAGCAACAAGTTAATATAATGCAATACCAGAGAGAAGCTCAGCACTGAGCCCAATTTGAGATGAAAGTCCTAAAATAGGAAGATTTCTGAAGAATACTTAGTGCTGAATTAATGGATGGATCCATTACTGGAGGCAGTCAGCATGTTAAGCACCTCCGAGGATAACAGATAAATTATCGCTATATGTCACTGCAGCAGAAGTGAGATGTCAGGTTAGACTTCACAGTGCTGTAGTCAGTTCATTGGATGGAGAATGTTTGCTTTACACAAGGGAGGGGGATGTGAGAATTTTGCACACAGTATCCCCAGATTGTGCTGCATGTTGTGTTAGGCATTGCAAAAGATTCCATAGGGGAATGTACAGAAATTAGACACCCAGCCATTCTCAATCTAGAGAATCTAAATTTAAAATGTATAATTTATAAATGATAAAAGCTGAGCAGAATGTACCACCACAATACAGTCCGACTTTGTGAAAAGCACCTGTTTGAGGGTGGAAAAAAAGCTACAGAGTAAAAAGTGATGGATGGATAAGAGAAGTCTGGTGTGGCATATACACAGTGCTGCTAGTTCAGGAGCAGCCCACTCTCCCAATATGACAGCCACTGTCAAGACTGGTAAAGAGTGGAGGTATAACCCGGGCTGTTGGAACAGCCCAGATAAAATAACTGGAAACTTGCAGTTAAATTTAGAGAGAAGGAGAACTGATGAGACGTGTCTCACAACACGGAGTAACTTTTTACTTGAACATAAACTGGCTGAAGAATTATCTAAAAAACACTTTCCACCTAGACAACACAGATCCTAGTGATAGAGAGCAGCCTTATCTACATAGAACTTTCCAGGGGGAACGACTGTCACAGTTCCCCAGGACTGGGGGAAGGAGGTTGTTCCCAGGATGAAGGTCGTTCAGCTAAAGTTGGCAAGAGTTGATCACCCCACTGCCTGTACCAGCCAGGTCCCTGTGGCAGTCTTGCATTTTAGGGACCCTACTTTAGCCCTCCTCCAGTCATGCTCTTGCCCATGGTACCAAAAGGCCTCACAAGAAAAGATGATGTGTCCACTTAGAACCCTTTCCCCTCTAGTTCACTCCCAGGATCCAGAATTTTCAGCCCAAAACCCCTAAGTGGGCTTCTTGGAAGATGGATCGCCTTAACCTGGTTCTGGAAGTACAAGGCTGGGAAGTGCAGGGCAGAGTTTGGCAGCAGGTCTTCTGCTATCATCCGGCTCCTTGCTTCCAGCCCTGGAACTGTTAGGGTGGCCTGGATTTTGCAGGGCTTGTATTTAATGACCAATAGAATCTCATGCCAAGGTCAAGCATATTCTGATGTGAAAGAACATCAATTGAAAAAATGATTGAATAAACAGAGATACCTAAGTAAACTTGAGATTCGTAATTTTTTTTAAGAAAGCCCTGAAGTTGGAATTTTACTGTGGAAGTTCTTACAATATATTATTTAGAAACACCTTAATAGATGTAAAATTATAATACACATGAAGCAAGCATAAAACCCAAATTCAGGAGAGCATTTACATAGGAGATCAAAAGATATGATACAAGGGACAGACATGCATTGATCATCTTTCTTTAGCAGAGAGACACATGGGTAGGTGTATACTTAAGAAAAATTGTTAGTTATCTTTAAAATGTGTATATTATGTAAGGTGTGAACAATAGAGGAAACTGGATGTCGGGTGTGCAGGAACTCTCTATATTTTTGCAACTTTTCTGTAAATCTAAAACTATCCAAAAATACTTTTTAAAAAGATGATGTATATCATATGTATCATAATAAAAACAAGCAAAATTACAGAGTACATGTGTGATATATTTTACTATAAAATTACATTACAGTATGACTAAAAGCAATCACTAGAGTAAAAATTTATATCAACTAGCTAGGCATTGTTAAACCTGAACATGAAGGACATAAAATATGTGAAGAATGATGATTCTATTTTCATGATTTACAAACAATTTTATCCAGTCTTTTATTTTGCATCATTTAACAATATGCCTATTTATTTCCTTATCTCTTTTACTGCTTCTAAATCTTTTCCTTTGAAGTAAAAGCTCTGGGTTAAGTTGTTCTATATATCTTACTATTTATTAAAAGAATGTGTTACTATGGATTGCCATAAAATCAATCATATATTCCAAAAGGTTTTATAAGCAGCCCGGTTTAAACATCTCAGTAAAGGAAACAAGTATATATTTTCAGATTGTTGGCCCTAAGCAGCCTTTCACAGTAATGGATTATGTAGCAGTTTTTTTGTTTGTTTGTTCTTTTGCTTTTAGAATCCTATAAACTGATTCATGGACTGTGTGCTCACCGTCAATACTTAGAAAATAATTTGTATTTTATTAGTGAATAATAGAGACTCAGCTACCTCTATCAAATGCAAAAATGATTCCAGATACAAGCAATTAGTAAAATGTAACATAACGATGACAAAACAACGCTAATATAAGCAACACCTCAACATGATTAGAAGTGAGTCTTACTGCTGGCAGTTTTAAAACATTGGATTTCTAACGGAAAAGAACATTTGTTTTAATTTGCCAGTGATAAAAAATTCATTTCCATTTTTTAGGTTTTCTTTTCCAGGCTTTTAGTTCAAACAAACATCCACTGGGCGGGTGGATGCTTCATTTGCTTTTGTTCTCTAAGGGAGATGAGCTGGTGTCGAAGGCTGATGCCCTGATTTCATCAAATGTATCAGTGCATTATGCTTAACAAGGAGAAGAGGTTGCTGGGGCTGATTAAGTTAAATTATTTGTCCTTTGGCATAATATTGTCCTTCTGTACTGGACAGTAGGGAAGCAATAAGGATGCTCTGAAGGAGCTAAGGGCATAATCAAGAAACTACTGCAATTAAATCAGCCCATAAAATCAGAAGAAGACATATAAGGATCATTTAACATTAGGAAAATATAGCAAGGTTTGAAGGTGAGAACTGAAGAGGACAGCCTACTTAAAATCAATCTCATCAAGAAACTGTAAACAGAAGTAAGTCCACCTTGCAGAAATGCATTTCAGGTCAGAATTTTTCGACTTGATCCACCCAAAATGTCCGTGATCAAAGACAGTGAAAAATTATTCCTTAGTATTCATATTAGTTAAAACATGATGACTTCGCCAAGACACGGGGGCACTAATGCAAATATGGTTCAGTTGCTCATAGAGCCTGGCACCTATTCTTACCTCCAAAATAATAGGTGCCACCCGAATAAATCTGCTCAGGCCCCAGCAGAGGAGCAGCAGAAGCCATCTGGCCGTCCACCGCCACACTCAAGTGATTCTTTTTAGCAGATAAAGAGACAGAATGCCACTGCCCATCATTTAATTCGACACCTAGGGAGATGAAATCAGTTAGAGATCGCTCTCAATAGTGAACACTATAAGGAGTTGGTTAGAAACAGCAATATACACATCACTCAATTGGCTACAGTACTTAACTCTATTATTAATTAAAAACAATGACATCAACAAGGAAAGGGAGACAAATTGGAAATGAGCATCCTCTATGTGGAAAATGGGGCATTCCAAATTCCCAACCCTGGACAATCCTGGATGGTTACAATATTTCAATAATTTGTCATAGATTGATTTCAGCTTCCATCTATGTAATTTCCTTCTTAGGGAGGAAGGGTTTAGGAATTCCCAAAATTCCAAGATATACCCAATAAAATGGTTTACCTGCTACTTTGCACTGTTTTATAACCACCTTTTTATGGTAGGATAATAGAGTATTTAGCAAACTATACCATCAATCATTACAACAATATTGGAATAAACTATTAATAAATAGTGAAAGTTTACAGGTATAAAGTTAAATATAAAGCACCGTGAAAAGCCATGTATATGCAATTGATCCTCGTAGTTTGTAGATTTGATATTTGAGAATTTGCCTCCTTATTAGAACTTACTTGTAACTCTCAAATCAATATTTGAAGGGGTGTTTTCAGTCATTTCAGGACATGTACAGAGCAGTAAAGACCTTAAGCGGCCCTGTCCACATTTCCTGCTGAGGTCAAACAGGGCAATGCTCTCCCTCATTGCTGTAGCTCTCATACTGTAAATAATGTTTTCTTTAAATTTTTGTAAGTTTGTTTGTGATTTCACTGTTTAAAGTGGCCCCCAAACATAATGCTGAACTGTTGTCTAGCATTCCTAAGAGCAAGAAGGCTGTGATGTGTCTTTTGGAGAAAATACATGTGTTAGATAAGTTTCATTCACGCATGAGTTAGGGTGCTGTTGGCCATAAGTCCAATGTTAATGAATTGACAACATTATACTAAAGCAGACGTCCTTAAACAGAAACACACATAAAACAAGATTATGTATTGACTGATTGAGAAAATGTTGTGACAGACGCTCCCAGGAACCTAACTCTGTATTTCCCCCAGGAGCAAAGGTTCAGTATTCCCTAATTCAGTGTTCACAGACTTTTTAGAACATAACTATAGTAAACAATGTGAATAAACTCTCTATATATTTATATACAATTCTAAATATATATATATATATATATATTTTTTTTTTTTTTTTTTTTTGAGACATGAGTCTGGCTCTGTCGCCCAGGCTGGAGTGCAATGGCGCGATCTCGGCTCACTGCAAGCTCTGCCTCCCAGGTTCAAGCCACTCTCCTTCAATGTAGCTGGGACTACAGGCGCTTGCCACCACGCCTGGCTAATTTTTTTTGTATTTTTAGTAGAGACGGGGTTTCACCGTGTTAGCCAGGATGGTCTCGATCTCCTGACCTCGTGATCCACCCGCCTCGGCTTCCCAAAGTGCTGGGATTACAGGCGTGAGCCACCGCGCCTGGCCCTAACTATATTCTTATGTAAGTATGGGAAGGGACTGAACAGAAATGTTCTTACATAGAAATAGTAGTTTTTGGCCAGGTGTGGTGGCTCATGCCTGTAATCCCAGTACTTTGGGAGGCTGAGGCAGGCGGATCACCTGAGGTCGGGAGTTCGAGACCAGCCTGGCCAACATGGAGAAACCCTATCTCTACCAAAAATACAAAAAATTAGCCAGGCGTGATGGCACATGCCTGTGATCCCAGCTACTGGGGAGGCTGAGGCAGGAGAACTGCTCGAACCTGGGAGGCAAAGGTTGCGGTGAGCCGAGATTGCACCATTGCACTCCAGCCTGGGCAACAAGAGTGAAACTCCATCTCAGAACAAAACAAACAAACAAAAAAAACAAAAATAAAAAGAAACAAATAAAAAGTTTTTTTAATAAAGGAAAAATATGATTGTTTCTATTTACTTACATATTTTCCAAGTTTATATATATGTAGACATGTATAAAGTCAAAAGTTGCTAAAATCAAAAATCGAGGTATTCTTATCACCTCTAAAAAGCAATCTCTAGTCCCTCCTAAGGAAGCCCCAGTGTCATGAATCCATCAGAATGCATAGACTTTTCCTCTTACAGACAATCGATTCTACAAGGAGCTGTGTAGCTAAATGTTGAGCAGAGGTGAAATCTAAGAGTCTTTGTCGTGAATTTACCAGTCAGGTTTACATCCATTTGAATAGTCAACTCTGTGTGATTCTGCAGATCAAATTAAGAAACAAAAAAATAAGCAATCTATCAAAACCAAACAGCCTTTTTTCTGATATTGCATGTGATTTCTTTACTGATTTTATGTAAAAGAAGTTTACATAAATATGTGATATATGTGATTTCTTTTATTTTCCCGAAGAATTTCTACCACATACATTTGGATCAAAAATGCATCAAAACTCCCTTAGGTGATTACATGTCTTTGCCCTGGACATATATGGTCTAACACAAATTTTAGCCAGGGCACAGAAGCTCACTTTTACATCACATCCATGAAGCAAAAAAAGATTACTGAAGACCCAACTCTGGTTTGGTTTGTGTAAGATAATAGGAAAGGCCTGAAAACTGGAATGGGAAGAATGTAGGTTAGATACATTTAGACACATTTTCTAAGAGTGGACTCTGAAATAGACAGCTGAATAGAGTTATGTAATCCTTGATGGTACAGGACTGGATTAAAATAAATCAGATGTCCTAGATTTGTCATCCAGTGCTTCCTTTAAGATAGATTTCACTCATTTAGAGAGAAATTTCTTATACACTCTCTGTGTCACGTGTATATTCTACCCACCTGCCCCTGGCATTTCTCCGACATCTCATTCTCAAAGCCCTGTGTGCAAGACTCTACTTCTCTTATTTCATTTTAGACTTTCCACTGGTGTCCAACAGTTCTTCTCAAACTATCTGTGGGGATGAACATTTTATTATCTGATCTATTGCAAATTGATACTTTTATAAAATATGATGAAAATAAATTACTAAAAAAATAGATTTTGGCAAGGCTACAGAAAAAAAAAGGGGGAACTGTAAATTAGTTCAGCTTCTGTGGAAAGCAGTTTGGAGATTTCTCAAAGAACTAAAAGTAGAATTACTATTCGACCCAGCAATCCCATTACTGGGTCTATACCCAGAGGAAAATAAGTCATTCTACCAAAAATAGGCGTCCCCAATCCCCAGGGCCATGGACCGATACCAGGTCTGTGGCCTGTTAGGAACTGGATCACACAGCAGAAGGTGAGTGGCTGGCAGGCAAGTGAAGCTGTATTTACAGCTGCTCCTATCACTTGCATTACCACCTGAGCTCTGCCTCCTATCAGATCACTGGCAGCATTAGATTTTCCTAGGAGTTCGAACCCTATTGTGAACTGCACATGCGAGGGATCTAGGTTGCACACTCCTAATGAGAATCTAATGCTTGATGGTCACTGTCTCAAATCACCCCCAGATGGGTCAATCTAGTTGCAGGAAAACAAGCTCAAGACTCCCACTGATTCCACATTATGATGAGTTGTATAATTATTTCACTATATATTACAATAATAATAGAAATAAAGTACATAATAAATTTAATTTGCTCGAATGATCCTGAAACCATCCCCCAACATTACAGTCCCTAGAAAAATTGTCTTTCATGAAAACAGTCCCTGGTGCCAAAAAGGTTGAGGACCACTGACCAAAAAAGATGCCTGCATTCACGTATTTATTGTAGTATTATTTACAATAGCAGAGACATGGAATCAACCTAGGTGCCCATCAATGATGGGTTGGATAAAGAAAATGTGGCACATATACATCACAGAATATTATGTAGCGATAAAAAAGAATGGAATAACATTGTTTGCAGCAACACAGATGCAGCTGGAGACTATTATCCTAAGTGAATTAACACAAAAACAGAAAACCAAATACAGCATGTTCTCACTTGTAAGTGGGAGCTAATCACTGGGTACACATGGTCATACAGATGGGAAAAACAGGCACTGGGAACTTCAAAAGGGGAGAGGGCATGGGGCAAGAATTTAAAAACTACCTATCAGGTACCATGTTCATTATTTGGGTAATGGGTTCAATTGAAACCCAAATCTCAGCACCATGCAATATACCCATGTAACAACCTGCACTTGTACCCCCAAATCTAAAATTAAAAAAAAATAAAAAGTAAAATAACAAATAAATAAGACATAAAATACAAGCCCACTAACCATGTGCTTAGATGTTGCAGTGATCTCTTTTTACCAGTTTCTAGGAGTTTAATCTCAATTTTAACATTCATCTCATCATAGATCAGTTAAAAGTATTTCACTGAGCCAGTGCTGGTCCAGGACCCATACTTTGAGTAGCAGGGCTCTGGGCAGTCATTGGTTAGGCATGCAGCAGGATTAACTAAAAGGCTTGGGGAGGCCTACTGTCCATACAGAAGCAAAAAATAGATCAGGAACAAAAGACTGCCAGAGTAACCCACTCTGTAATTTGGCACACATTTAAACACATTCATCTAACAAGCTAGCAGGTTACAGGTTGTGAATAGAATGAAGTTGTGCCATGTTTGTGGGGGAACCTTCAGAAAGCTTTTCCCAAGCCTCCTTTGTAACAAACATTATTTGCCTATGATGAGGAGACTTAATACCTGTCAATTGGAATTTATTACTCAAATCACAAAATGTCCCTTTAACTCATTTCAACTAACTCTACCTAATTTTAAATTAGATTCTAATTGTTTTGTAGCTATACAACTCCTTTCCGTTACTAGGTCTGATAATAGGTTGGCCCTTTTCAAGGGCCGCACCACTGTGAAACAGGAAGGAGAAGGAGAAATCATAGAATTTGAATTTGTTTTCTTGTTTCTGATATTGTGTAAGTAAATGAAAATTCTATGCACCCAGTCCCACCACTCATAACTTTTAAGTCTGGGGAGGAACATGTTGTCATAATAATAAAATAGTAATTTTATTGAGGTATTACTTATAACAAATACTGGGAGCTTTCTATGCATAGTATCATTTAATCTTCACTATAACTTATCATTCTCACCTTAAATACGGAGAAAATGAGGCTCAGAGAGGAAAAGAAACTACCGAGGTCACATCCAGCTGCTGGATAGCTGAAGGAAAACAGAAAACCAAGACTGACTCCAAAACCTACACTCTTCCCTGTCTGCAAGACAGGTGTCTGCCTTACTTTATTTTATTTTATTTATTTTTTGCTCATATTAAACAATTAACTCTAAGAAAAATAGGCCGCAACAGCTAGGACACAGCCTGGTACCACCAGTGAGACCTTGGTGTTGTAAGAATCTGGCTGGCACTGAGGGCTGGGCTTTGGTGTTCTTCTGTTGAACATCAACAATAACACAGAACACCAACATCAGACAAGGCCATTCTGTGACTATAATGAAATGAAGGTGGGGAAAAATCATGACTACTTATAAACTTGTCTAAACACAGACAGAAGCAAGGCTATTGTACAAACCTCAAAAACACAAACTTCTTTCTCTCCTGATACTTATGAATGACCAACTGTTTTGTTCTGTATTTACCAATTACAACTTTAGCCTTACTTCGTTATTTCATCCTTCTAGATAAGGTTTACAAAGATATTTAATCATAGAATTACCCTCACTTCGTGACAGCATTTAGTCTACAGCAATTTTTCACTTCCTTGAAACCTCCCTCAAATCAGCTAACACAACCCCAAATCCTATGCCATTCTAACAACTTTGTCTTCAGACAACCGTTGGTTTCCAGGGTGTGTTCTCTGTGTTGCAATAAGCAATAAATTCAACTTGTTTAACTCCAGATATGTTAATTGCAGTCTTTGGATGGAAAACATTGACAATGCCAATTGGAATAATGGAAGGATGGAATAGTAGATGGAAGTGTTTGCAATTACACGTTGGAGACCATGAGATTATGGCCTAGAACGTTCTCTCTCTCTTTCCCTTTCTGTTGCTCTCTTTGTTCTGTCTTCCAGCCTAAACCACATAAACATACAAAATACAGCAGGAGAAAAAAGATTTACGTCTACTTCCATTCTACAGATCGTCTTCTAGTTCCAGTCCTAAATTGCATCAGAAACATGAGAGCTTAGTTGTCATCACCCTCTCATAAGACTACAACACATATCTGTAGTGCACAATGTATAAGAAAAAAAATTAGCCTGCCATATAGGGTAGGAGTTCAGCAAAGGTGCAAAAGGCAATTATACCTAGGCCATTCCTCAGGGAAAAACCAAAGGGTGTTGCCTCTTTCCAAGCGTATTTCAGCGCACTGAAGTGCCAGACATTCTTATATCCACTAACCGTAGTCACTAACCAGAATTAAGGATTCAGATTACCAGATAGCTCTTGTCAAGATGAAAATATGGAGGTGGTTGGTACCCATCACTTTGGTGGAGAGCAGAAGTTTAAAGGGTGACAGGTTTACAGCCCGAAAGTTAGGAATATTTCAACAGTGAAAGGGAGGAAGGTGGATTGACAAAAATGGCTCTCCTGGGTGCAGCAAATCAAGGGGGCTGCTCCATTGTCAGAGGCACAAGAATTGAGAATGCTTAGTAATAGAAAAATGCAGAAACATCTCAAATACTGCAAGCCTGCCTCTGCCAGGCCCTGCCCATGGGGACAAGAGGCATGGTTATAAGCCTGATTTTCACTGTTACGCAAAAACAGCAGCAGAAATGCTAAAATCATAGCAGAAATCTCAAATTTGATATCAAAAACTTTGTTTTAAATGGGAACATAAAACTGTACTGCTCATTGATTTTTGCTTTGACATTTATAAAGGTGGCAACGACTAAAAATATTTTGTGTCATAAGGGATTTTATAGTGATGCTAATATGTTTCATGATTTATACTAATATAATGTGTTGAATATTTCAAAAATGATTTAAGCTGACATAATATTTTTGAATAATTCCAAATGACAATTTGCAAAACTGTACATCATATTAAAAATTTAGTCTGATAATTCAAGCATTTGCACAATTCAGTTCTTTCTCAATACAATTTAATCTTAATTTCATTATAAAATATATTAAAATGTTGAGTTTTTCAAACATATAAGATTTGTAAAATATATCTCCAGTAGCTGAGAAAAATTAATCCATCCTTATATAATGAAAAGATTTAGTACAATGTGATAGCAATCCATCAATAAAGACATGGTTCTCTTGAAAGTCATTATAATACATCCTGACAACTGGTTTAATTATCAAGTGTCGCATACATAAAACATAAATGGAAAGTCTTCCCCTTGGGAGAACAAGCTGACCTCCCACCCAACTACCATTTAAATAGTCTATTTTCAAATGCAAAATGTACTTGCTTCACGGGAACTAGCAAAAAATAATATTGTGAAAGAAACGGAAAAAAAAGAGTAGAGAGAGTTTTTAAATAAAATCCTACTTGTGTTATCCTCAGTGTACTGACATTCATATTTAGTCTAGTATCCTTATGATTAGTATGAAAATAATCATACCAAGTCAGATGATGTCATAACAGATTATATTATACATGAATTTAAACATTCATTTAGAAATTTTTAAATCCCTCAGGGTATTCTATGAGACTTATACCTAGTAATATATTAACTATACATGCTTGTAAAGCGGTTAGAAATGGACTGGCTTCAGCCTGATCAACATGGAGAAACCCTGTCTCAACTAAAAAATACCAAATTAGCTGGGTGTGGTGGCACATGCCTGTAATCCCAGTTACTTGGGAGGCTGAGGCAGGAGAATCACTTGAACCCGGGAGGCGGAGGTTGCGGTGAGCTGAGATTGCACCATAACACTCCAGCCTGGGCAACAAGAGCAAAACTCCATCTCAGAAAAAAAAAAAAAAAAAAGAAAGAAATAGGCTGACTTCATGGAGCTCCCCAAAGTAACGTTGCACTGAAGCGGTTTCTTTAAGATGCTGAAAATTAGGGTATGAATATAACCACTTCAGAAGATGTCAGATACATCACAATAAATGACACACTAATGGCAAGCTTACATTTTTAGACCTTCATTTTCAGGGCCTATTAATTATTAATATGAGACTCATTAATTTATTTCTTTTTGTCTAGCCAGCAAATCTACCACATTTTGAACACTAAATAAAAAGTCACAGCATAGTATCTCTTTAAAAATTATAACTAATATCGAATTCTCGGTTCCGTATTTAAACTACAATAGTAGTACAGCAACAAAAAGACATATAAATAATAGGCATTTGTATATCCATTTGTATACTTGTTTTCTCGTATTTAATTTTCAACTGTATTTTAACTTCTCATTTTTTTCTCCTCTCCAAGTTACATTCCACTATTTTTTGGTCATACTTAATATAGAGGAGTAGTACAATGGAATCTTTAAGTTGTTTTTAAAGATTATTTATTAAATTAATGTAGTAATTTACCCCAAGGCAACCTCTAGTTGCTTGGCTTGGATGCCATTGTACATACGTAAAAATGTGATGTAGAGCTTTTGTCAAGAACTTTATAATTTTAATGAAGAGACAAAAACATCCCTCACTCAACGCACTGGCCTAAATTAGACATTCATTATCCAGATACTCATATAGTCACCTCAAGTACATTACTTCTAATCATTAAAACAATACCGTATTGCCTAGAAGTAGAGAGAATTTCATTTGGTGACAACTGAGGAATCTTGCATAAATCTTTGCATCCCCTCAAAATGTATTCAACTCTTTACATAAGACATCAGCAAATAAAGTTACCATTCACACTGTACACTCATACAGAGATATAGATATAGATCCCAGAAAGACCTCTCCCTTTTTCTCACAGACCAGATAAGACTAACAAGTGTGTTAGGAAGAGTCTAGTTTTCCATTGAAGAACACTTAGTTAACTTGTTGGCCTATTTCAAGGTCTTCATGTTTTCCCCAAAACACATCACCTTAGGATATGTTCTTTGTCTGGAGTGGGAGACAGGGTCGTGAAAGGAAACTTCAGTTCCCCAAAACTATCATTTTGGTTAATAAGAACTGCTAGTGTTGGAACCATATTTAAAAGAAAATTGGAATCAAGTTCCTCTAAGGAAGAGTACTTATAATCTTATTAACCTGAGTATTCATTTATTAAGCAAATATTACATTTTTGGTTATGCATAAAATTTGGCCACAGAGATAATGAAATCTTTCAAATCCATATGCTTTGCCCCAGGGAATACATTTATTACCTGCTGTGATGTCACTGGGTAATTTTCCTGGCTGGTAGAGATTCGACTTAAGTTTTCCATCACTCAGAAAGAGGAGGATACCCCCTGAAATCAGCTGAAGTTCACTGAACAGCAGAAGCCCTGCCTTATTCCAAGTTCGAAATTGAAAAGTGGCAGAAACCTCCTCCTCTCCAGAGAAGTCTGGCAGTGCTAAATAACTCCTGGAGCTCAGAAAAGTCACGGGCATAGATTGTGGTTGTGAACAAGAAAATGACACATTTCCCTGAGAATAAAGTAAAAGAAAAAGCTTTCAGAATGTTATTCACATCACATTAGTAACAGAATTTGAAGGCTGCTTTTCAATCTCACATTATCCGCGATTTAAAACAACTGCCTGCTATCAACATGACAGTCCAAACCACTGCCATATTTCTTAAAGGTTCTTCAACCCTTTGCTCTGCTCTTCTCTCCATTTCTCAACTTTAATATAAATTTAAAAGTCAATGAAGTCAAGCTTATTTAGAAGAATACACATTGGAATAAAACATTTGGTCTTGGTCAAACGAAAACATTTGGCTCTATTATGAATCTGTGAAAAGTGAATTCACTTTTATTATAAACAAATACATTGTTCCAATGAATGAAATAACAAAAGCTGAACAGCAAACTACA
This sequence comes from Homo sapiens, assembly GCF_000001405.40. NCBI lineage: Eukaryota > Metazoa > Chordata > Mammalia > Primates > Hominidae > Homo > Homo sapiens. The sequence goes on along the minus strand of NC_000016.10, from coordinate 76,452,118 downwards.
CTAACCCATATGTGTAAAGGCAATTTTAAGACTATCAAACCTAGGGAAAAAAAAAAAAACATTTTTACCAGCTGCAGCTTGGTCTTTTTTCTTAGTGATACATAATAGTTGTATATATTTATGAGGCACATGTGATATTTTGATACATATATATAATACGTAATGAGCAAATCGGGATAATTGGGATGTCCATCATTTCAAACATTTATCTTTTCTTTGTGTTGAGAACATTACAAAACTTATCTTGTAGCTATTTTGAAATATACTATAAATCCTTATTAACTATAGTCGCCCTACTGTGCTATTGAAAACTAGAATTTATTGCCCCTCTTCTTTCTAATCATATTTTTGTACCCATTAACCTGCAGCTTGATCTTATGCATCATTTGGATAGCTGCATGATAGCTTACCAGCAGCAAATCCTCTTGCCAATGAAGAGTGAATGGTCCTTGCAGTTTCTAGAAACTCATTTTATGGATAAAATACACACACACACACACACACACACACACACACACATCTATCTAAAATATTTTTATTTTTATTTTAAATAATTTTGCTTTTATTAAAAATACTATTTTAAAATCTTGCTGGCTGTTGTGGTCATATAAATACCACCAATTCACATAATTAGAAATAAAATGCTGTTTAAACAATAAATACACTTGTGATGTGCTTTGGGATTTGCTGACACATGAGCTTAAATTTACCCACTTTGGATTTTAAGCAATGAAAGAAATTTATTCAAATCAATATGTGCCTGTATTTTATTATCAAACTGGTAAAGCTAGAAACCATGTTTCCCAGGATCCCCTTACTTGTCTGCTTCTGAGTAAAAGCCAAAAAAGAGAGCTTGGGTGATACTTGATAGTTAGAATTAAAACACCAGCAACACATTTTGCCCCTAAGGTTGTTTTTCTAATCATGTGCGATGAGGGGTGGTCACACAGCGGCTGGTTTGTTCCAGTCTGTCCTTGCTCTCCTGCACTATGGCCCATCTCTTCTTCCTGACAGCTGGCCCAACCGACCGACAGCAAGCCCAGGCCCATCGCTGGATGCATGGCTGGGGACACACAGGGGTGGTGGCTACCCACAGGCAACAACTGCCAAAGTTCTCTTCAACCCTCCTAGGCTGAAAATGTCTGTAAGTTCCAACATGCCTCCACACATCACTGCTTTGGGCAGAATTAATGACTTCTCTGATCCTCGCACTTCCCCTGCCAGGCCATTCATTTTTTAGTTCCTCTGAAAATTGCTGAGGTCCAAGTCCTAATATAGATCCACTGTTCACAATACCTAGCATTGGTGCTGCTTCCCTAACTGAAACCTAACCAAGACAGCTATATTTAAATTGTCCCCGTTTCCACAGAATTAGAATGTAATGCAGTCTGACCAACATTGCCATTTGGACAGATTGGCCGATGCAATATTGTAACACAACCTGTATTTGCTTGCGGTAGTAAGATCTCTTGGTGCAGATTTCCTACATGTGATGTTTCTTACATGCTGTTGTCTGTTCGTCTCTTTTATTTATCATGAATGACTATGGCAAAATACAAGTTTTTCAAATGTCTCCCTAATATACATGGTTGTTATCTGATTCCAGAAACTCTTTATGCTCATCTGGTAAGTTTGTCAGGGAATATCTTATTTAAAAAATCACAGAGCAGGCTGGGCATAGTGGCTCATGCCTGTAATCCCAGCACTTTGGGAGGCTGAGGCAGGCGGATCACCCAAGGTCAGGAGTTCAAGATCAGCCTGGCTAACATGGCAAAACCTTGTCTCTACAAAATATACAAAAAATTAGCCAGGTGTGTTGGCAGGACTACAAGTCCCAGCTACTCAGGAGGCTGAGGTAGGAGAATCGCTTGAATCTGGGAGGCGGAGGCTGCAGTGAGCCGAGATTATGCCACTGCACCCCAGCCTGGGTGACAGAGTGAGACTTCATCTCAAAAAAGAAAAAAAAAATACAGATTAAAAGAAATTAGGCTCCTGTGAGTAATGACATCACAATAAAATTAAAATATCAACCATAAAAACACTGCTTTACTTCATATAAAAATAAAATAATTATGCCCCCAAAATTATAATTCCTTCAGATAGAACCAATCTTTTATATGCATATTGCCAATCAAAGAAAAATATTTAAATAAGAGTACCTCTAAAACCCCATGTCAAATGGGAACCTAAAATGGAGGAATTTTACTGTGTGGAAAAAAGAAATATAGTTTTACTAATGTCTTCGCATAAAGACTCTCACCATAGCAATGATCTGTGGTTTTTGCTGCTTGGCCAAATCAATGATATCCACTCCATTATAATAGAGATTTTCTAAACATCCATGAAAATTTCTATGTGGGAATGACACTGATTTTCCAGGTGCTGGAATCCCTCCAAAGCTGATCTTAGAAAGAAAAATGGCATCAATAATATTGTTTAGTGATTTTCTAAAAATCTGCTTAATTATGATTAGCAAGTATAGCTATAATCATCACACACAGATCAATTTTTCATAACCCTACACACACAAAAATTAAGATATAGATTTAAAACAAATTTATGTGCATTTAGCTTTTATTTACACTAGAACTTTATTTTTACAAGTTGCTGATCACATCTGGCTTTGATATTCACTGGTCGATGAAAAATACATCTTTATAACATGGTAAAACTTGATCTGTTTAATACTATAACCAATTATAATATTTTATTTTAGATACGCTTCTAGCACATATTGATATTTGAGCATTTGAATCCATTGCTAATGAATTAATTAATCAATTTGTTGGTACATTCTCCTTATAAATCTATACTGCTCACAAATACCCTAGAACACAAAGAAGTCATAGCAAACATCCTATATTTGCTTGTGGTAATAAGATTTTTTTGGTGCAGAAGATTTCCTGCATATGATGTTCTGTGACTACATATTTTAGGTAAAAAAGATCATCTCCCTCTATAACAATAAATTTACATACTGTGAGAAAGATGAAGGTTCAAGTACTATACACCGAAAGCTGCCACTGTGAGTTAGACTGCCTTGGGAAATGCTTCACCTGTTCTATGATTTACTGAAAAGGTGGGCTCTTTATAGTGTATTTTCCTCTGGGAGATTAAACCACATATACATAATAAAATCAGCATTAATTGAAACATAACCATCACACCTCATAATCAAGATTCATGAGATTGAATTCTCCCCGTGCATGGAAATGATGCCTGTGTTCGTCCACTGTGAAGTTGACTTGTTTGCCCAAACGCTGGATGAGCACTGAATGCCAATGCTGATCATCTAGCAGGCTGCCCAGGGTGAGATTGACCAGGGTGGAAGTGGAAGGCAGTTTAGCTTCACCTTAGAAGAGGAGAAAAATAACAGCACCATTATTGCCAGTCTAAAGAAAAAAAAAAAAGGTTCCCTTCTGTGGACCACCATCTTTCATAATAATTGCAATCTCCTTCTACGCATTCCGTTTCAAATACTAGGATGCATTTCCCCGAAGTTTCAATATAATAATATCTCAACCTTGTTGTAATTTCCTCCGTTGTTAATTCTTTTTGTCATTATTACTGATTGCACGCTCATTTTCTATGTAAATTTTATCTTTGCCACAACCTCATTATTTTTACTACCTCAACATTTTTCAATGACCCATCCCTTCCTTTATGATGTTAGAAAATAGCTATATGGTTCTATCAGCACTATGTAAAAAAACACTGAAGATTTTGTGCAATTTGCAAAATATGAACCATTTTTACATGAAAGAGCAATATTGACATATGTACAAGCCCTTGAATCTGAAAATAAGGCACTCTGACTGCTAAAAGATAAGCTATAAAAGCATAAAGTGACTTAGGTGATATCTAAATAATCAGATTTTTGAGCACTTCACCGAATAGTTTTACCTGAATTAATAAGTAAAAAGAGTCTTGCTCTTCTTAATTGCAGTGTGATGTGATCTCCATTTGGCCCTTCCCTGTGGAGTAGAATCCCATCACTCTGCATGGTTTTGAATTTCAAAGAAATAATGTCTTTTATTGGGCTCAGGGATTTTTGATCAAATCTGTAGAGAAGGGAACTTTTTCCATCAAGATCAACCACTTCTGATCCTAGAAACAAAGATAGTAGAAGGCATTCTAAGGATAAATATCTTTTCCATTAAATCATTTTAAATGCATTATATATTGAGAAAAGGCAGTATACGTACTCATACACATGCATATACAGATGCTCCTCAACTAATGATGGAGTTATATCCTGATAAACCCATCTTAAGTTAAAAATATTGTTAGTTGAAAATGCATCTAATACATGTAACCCACCAAACCTCATAGTTTAGCCTAGCCTACCTTAAACATGCTCAGAACACTTACATTAGCTTATTGTTGAACAAAATCATCTAACACAAAAACCATTTTATAATAAAGTGTTGAATATCTCATGTAATTTATTGAATACTGCACTGAAAGTGAAAGACAGCATGGCTGGATAGGTACTTGAGGCATGGTTTCTACTGAATGCATATTGTCTCTACACCACTGTAAAGTCAAAAAACTGTAAGTTGAATCTCTGTAAGTCAGGGACTGTCTGTGTAGTCCAGCTTCTGACCAGTCAATAGTAAGGGAAAATATGACCACCAAACATCTAATTCCCTATTGACACATGGGGTTGATTTCATTTTAGTCTTTACTAACCTGTTTACAAAATTCATGATCTAGAAATACATTTTTAAATGTATTCCTAAATTTCTCATATATATATATAATTTCATATATATATATACATAATTTCATATATATAATTTTTCAGGCAGGGTCTTCTTTGTCACCCAGGCTGGAATGCAGTGGTACTCACACTATCTTGGCTCACTGCAGCCTTGACCTCTGAGGCTCAAGCGACCCTCCCACCTCAACCTCCTGAGTAAGTGGAACCACAAGGGTGCACTACCATGCTCAGCTAATTTTGTTTATTTTTTATGGAGATGAAGTCCTCATTATGTTGCCCAGGCTGGTCTCGAATTCCTGGGTTTAGGCGATCTGCCTACCTCAGCCACCCAAAGTGCTGCGATTAAAGGCGTGAGCCACTGTGCCTGGCCTTTTTCTCATATTATTAAAGGCTATTTCTTCTTATTCCATTCAACAAAGTTATAATTAATATACATTAAATCACTTTGCATATTTCACAATCAATGTTTTTTAATGGAGTTCTTGGAATTCTAAAGTTAAATGCTTTTTTGGCTCCAGAAAAAGTGGTTTTGATATCTCAAAATTCTTTCATCCATACAGTATGTTAACGAGGTCTATACACAAATATACACACATAGCATAGACTCATCAAATGCCGCCTTGAGTACACATTAAACTGATCTTTGTGTTTTGTCTTATTTTCCGTCTGTGGCTAAGTGGTAGTATTTAAGGGCAATACTATTTTCTGTCTTCTCAAGGACATTGTTGGAAAGACCCTGACTTAATGATATTGTAAGGTCTGTTCTGTAGTATTTGTGGCATAACTGTGACATTGACATGTTTTTTTCAACTTTCTGACTGTCTTATCTACTTATTGTCAAAATCACTCTTACTCATTTCATCTGAAAAAAGATGTCATGTTATACCAGTAACCTAACAATACATCTGTCAAAATCAGTTGCACCTGAACAAGAGACATTAAAAAGAACTCATAACACTTGGAAATCCTGACGGTATTGTCTACATTTCACAAGTCAAAGATTTTTTTAAGGCAATTACCCTTGAGAGTGCACTTATGTAATAAATGAAGAGGCTCAAAAAATACAATAAAATATGAAGCGATTTTTCAACTGGTAAGCTGGCTTCTTCCAGTCAACGAAATGACATTCCAGTTTACTCATCTTGTTTGATGTGACAAAGTTATTATAGCTACTTGTAAGCCCAAATATGCATTTGATTCAGATTATCCATCATATTTTATGTGAAATGTCTATACACACCACCCTGCAAATTTTTTTCAACTATTTTATGCAGCCATCTTTTGAAGACTCAGAGGTTTTATTTTTTTCACATTTTGCTAATGTGCTTATAGAGAATTCATTCACCAAGTGCACATGAATAAATACTGCATTCTGTAGAAAGAATAATGTTAGCCTAACAATCCTTCCTCGTTACATAGCTGAATGAATGCGCATGGGAAAAATACAACTGTGTCAAATACAAATAATGCATCCTATGATTATTAGATTACAATAAATTAAGAAAAATTCCAGTAAGACAGACTTTAAATGCTGACACATTTGGAGCAATGCAGTTATCTCCGAGTTAATGTATCACTTAAAGGCAACTATGACAGTAATGATTTCATTTTAGGTAAAGACTATTTTTGAAATTAGCTACCAAGAGAATTTTTCCCATTAAAGGTTTAGCTTGTGTTACTTTAGCTACTAGTACTTTTTTTTTCTTTTTCGCTGCTGTTATTATTACATTATAATGATGATATGTATCTTCTGTGGCACCTAAAGCTTTTGTGCCTGGAATATTTCAATCAGCAAAATGGCATAGAGAAAAACATATAAAACCATTAATGCCTAAAGCAATTGCATACTCTTAAACCAAGGCCACTTGTCATTTTCTGTCATTCTTACTGTCTCCTTGCTTCACAGGTACACGACAATGCAATTCTATGAATTCATTCAATAAAACTTTATTTGACCCATCACGTTTGAATCAGTGTGCCAGATTCTGGGATTTAAAAAAAATTCAACATAAATATGGCCCCTGTCCTCATGGTGTTTCCATTTAGTGAAGACAGACAATATTTAGCAAGTAAACAACTAAGTTCATAAAAGCATTACAGGTTGTAACAGGCATTCTGATCAAGAGTAACAGAAGGCTGGAGTCACTTAAGGTAGTTGATAAAGGGCTCTCTCAGTTCTCAGGTCTAGAAACAGGAGGCAAAGGGAGATCTTAATCAGTAATCTTGCCACCCTCTACAGTCTTCAAGTCCTATAACTTGTCCCCATAAACTAGGATTACTCTTGGAACACTTAATTTCAAGAGGCCTAGACATTTTCCCAGCACTGTCCCATTCACTGTCATAAGAGAGAGCTCTGAGGATTGCTGAGAAACTACAGTGACAGGAAATAATTTAGTACTCAGAGTAGGAGTGAGGTTGGCTCACCTTGAAAAAGGGGACCTGAAAGGAACAAAGTACAGAAAGACGGAAATCAACAAACTGGCTACAGTCGCATCACAGATTTCCCATGCAGGTAAACAATACCCTTCAGAGAAAAAAAGTTCAGTATAATTCACAATGCGAGTACATTATCAGTACAGGAAAACTTCAAAGGATACACATTTAATATATAGAAACAGACTCTCAGGAAATGAAAAAAAATTCTGGATGATTTTTAACAGTATTATTTTAGATATAACACTCATTGTAGGTCACTTTTTATAAGCAATTTTTATAAAAAGTTATTTGCACCCATTTGATATACTTTAAAAATCATCTTAAACAATTACAAAATTCTGAGTTATGTGGCATAAAGTTAATCATATAAAAACCTGAAAAAATTAATCTTTTGAGAGAGAGAAGGAGCATTTCAATTCTATATATTTTGGACAGTACTCAGCTGTCCAAAAATGCTGGTGACAGAGACAGGAGTATAGATTCTCTTGAAAGTGATCTTACCACTGTTAAGAAAAATTAGAAAAAAAAGTGGAAATAAATAAAGCAAAGAAATAACTTCACATCTTCTCAATGTCATTGTAGAACATCTTCTAACAGGTAAAGATTATTTAATTCTAGGTGAATTAATAAATTCTGATTTTACTATTTATTACTGAATGAATAATAATTAAGGCCAGATTCTATAAAGTTAAACATAATCTGTAGATTTTTGCTCAGTAGAGATGCAAATTGCTTCTGTCTGGTAGAAACTATATCTCCAAAGGTTATGGGTTTATTGTCCTGTTGAATATTAACTTCTTGCGTATCTACCTAGTAATATTATTCTAACATGCTTTCCTGGATTCCTATATATACACTCAATCTCTTGAATTTTCTTTGAAACTAGTTTTACCATCCTTCTGATTCCTTCATTAATGAATCAAATACTTCTTTGATACATGTATATTCTGTATTTGAATGGAAGTTATGTTTTTATGTTTTGAAAATTTACTTTAACATTGCGAACTGAAAACATACGTTTGGATTTCACATCAATGACCAAGAAAGCAACATATCAAATCTTAGCCATCACCAGAATTTATTTTCACTATTCCACAAAGATTCTCAGATATTTGAGCTCTTAAAAAAGCAACAGCAATGCAAACAGATACAAAAATAAAAAATTTCAGGGTGATTCATAGCAATATGTCTTTGTATTGTACTAATCTATGAAAGATATGAGTAAATAGAATTGCTAAAATTAGTACAAATCAATATTTATTTTAGAAACACTAAATTAAGCATCCAAAATAAAATTAATATTTAAATTAACAGTCAATATCATACTTACTCCTATCTTTTGTAAATACCTTTGGGAAAATATTTTTTTTGGACAGGGTCTCCCTCTGTCACCTAGGCTGGAGTGCAATGGCATAATCTCAGCTCACTGCAGCCCTGACCTCCGAGGCTCAAGTGAACCTCCAACCTCAGCCTCAGCCTTCCAAGTAGTTGAGACTACAGGAATTTGCCACCATGTCCAGCTAATTTTTTGTATTTTTGGCAGAAATGGAGTTTCTCCATGTTGCCCAGGCTGGGAAGACAATCTTTTGTACATAGTTGAATTGTATAAATAGGAAAAGTAGAAGTATTATAAAATTGACCATAGGAAAAATGTGAAATCTGAAGTTAACAAAATTTGTAACAGTAAAAGGCCTACAGTCTAAAGATGTAAGAGGAGACTTTTTGCTTAACTGAAAGGAAGAATAAGAATTATTTTTCTAACTGTGAATTTGTTCATTAGTATGCTTATTAACTGAGGTTTTATATATTTAAGTATATATTATACATATTTTACATTCTATATTTTAAATGATTGGGTTATTATCGAGATTAATAATGTGGCTCTGTCATACACTGGCTCACTATGGGCAGGGTATGAACTCTAGTTCTCTGACCACAGTTGCAAATTGTTCTGACAAATTCCCCGCTTTTTAGTCTAGCCCCCTTTTCAGCCATTTCTAATAATATATATTTCATGTTGGCATAGTAGTTAAGGCAACTAGTCTGTGCTGGTTTGAATACTCACTCAAACTTGAGCAAGTATATTATTTTCTGCCATGGTATGGATGTGGTTTGTCTCCACCAAAACTCATATTGAAATTTGTTCCCCAGTGTGGCAGTGCTGGGAGTTGTGGCCCAGTGGAAAGGGTTTGAACCATGAGGCAGATCCCTTATGAATGGTTTGTGGCTGTTCTCAGGGTAGTGAGTGAATCCCTTCTCTCATGAGACTGATTAGTTCTCATGAGAATGGATTTGTTCTTGCAAGAGTGTGTTGCTATAAAGCAAGACACCCCTCAGGTTTTGCCTTTTTGCACTTTTCCACATCCCTTTTGACCTTCTCCACTGTTTTGACCCTGCAAAAGCCCTCACCAGAAGCCCAGCAGATGTTAGCACCATGCTTCTTGAACTTCCCAGCCTGCAGAACCATAAGCTAAATAAACCTCTATTTTTAATAAATTACCCAGCCTCAGATATTCTGTTATAGCAACATAAAAGGATTCAGACAGCTTCCTATTATTGTTGTAAAACAAATAACCACAAACATAGTCTCTTAATATATCACAAATTTATTATCTTACAATTCTGGAATTCAGAAGTCCTAAAATCAAGGTGTTGGCAGGAGCTTTTTCCTTCTAAAGTCTCTAAAAAATAATTCATTTCTTTGTCTTTTCTACCTTTTAGAGACCACTTGGCTCGTGGCCTCTTCCTTCATGTGACCAGTGTCACAGCATCTTCAAATCTTCCTTTCTTTCCCTCTCTCCCTCCCTGCCTCCTACTTCCCTTTTATAAGGACCCTTGTGATTACATCAGGTCCGCCTGGATAAACCAAAATAATCTCCCCATTGTAAGATCCCTAAGTTAATGACATCTGCAAAGCGCTTTTGCCATGGTAACACAACATATTTACAGGTTTCAGGGACTAAGATATTAGGGAGGTATTATCCTCTTTATCACAGTGAGTTACTTAACCTCTTTGTCCCTGTTGTCTCATTTGTAAAATGAGAATAATAGTATAGTCTTCTTAGGATTGTTGTATGCATGCTTATCTGCCTAGTTTTTAGAAGCTGACACACAATTAGCAATAAATGAATATTAACTACTAATGCTAGCACTAGGATTTATTGTTAGAATATTGGGCAGGAAAAGGTGCATAGCAAAAAATAGTTTAATAAGTACATTTGGTGTATTTGTGACTCTTTAAATAATAATGAATTGCTGAAGTACATAAGAAACCCTTAATTATCAATGTCATTGCCAGGTTATGCAGCAAGGATGATTTCAAGCCATCTGTGGGTTCTGTGGCTTTTTCTGTGTCTGTCAGCTCCTACCCAAGCTGACTTACCACAGCAATTGCTGGTGACCTGATTCCCCCTCAGTGAATACCTCCATCTCAAATCTTCACATTTACAGCAAGAATCGAGGAAAGAAGAGACTCAAAAAGATTGTACGCCCTACTCTCATATCAATTCTCCCTGTGCCCGTAGGTATAGCTTGCTTTATTTACACAATTCAGAAATACAATCTGCCATGGAATTAAGAGCTTTGCAATAGAAAATATTCAAATATCTTTCAGGGAGTTGTGTCAGATGTAGTATTCTTGAAATGTGTCTTCTGCCTTTTTTCCTGCAGCATGTATTTATGGAGAGCTTTCTGTGAATACCGTGGAAGACACAGTGATGCATAAAAACAAAGAACACTTTTTGTTTTTTTGAAAGAGCTTATAGTCAATTGGGGAAGACACACAACCCTGAGATGCAATTATTCATGCCTGTCTTCAGAGTTCCGCTTTTGTATCACGGCTGGGTATTGAATGATTTCTAAGACATGCAGGAGAGGGAGTTGATCCGCTGTAGCCTCTAAGAAGGGTCTCAACTAAATTGTAAAAACGCTTTACCTTCTTGAGCAGCAAACTTTTTCTACCACTGCATATTTCACATACACACACACCCCTCATGGCAATATATTCCAGTTTTCCTGGTATCTTCTCCCCACCCCTGCATCCTAGCCCTTCTCCAGAAGTTTGAGGCTTCTCAAATTTTGAGGGGTTGTCACTTGAAAAAGCAATGTCCTCCTCACCCCCAAGTGAATTACTAAGAAAAATATTCAAGACCATGAACTGAGCTCTATGGTCCAGTTATATTGGAACCAATGGAAAAGAATCCCTTGGGATCTCCATAAACATTCAACATTCTACTTCCTGGGCTTGGCCTAATGTTCACCAAATTAGAATCTCTGGAATTCTAACCTGGAACAGGAATACAGGTCCCTAAATGATTCTGAGGCAGATGGCAGCATGAGGGTTGTTTGATAGGAAGAACAAGTAGGTTCCATAAACCTATTCTCTGAAAATAAATAACCCCATTGCATATTGAATTGTACCTGGAAATGAATTGTACCATGGAAATGAATGTTTTATTTATTTATACTGTGGGTGGTACTTGCCGATAATTGTGGAGGTGGTAGAGATTTGTCCCTTGAAGATGTTTTCGGGATAAATTGATTCTGTGAGTGAAACTATGAATCATGGAATTTTTGCTGAGGTCAGATGACTAAAAACTTAAAAGAGAAAAATTGGAATAGAAAATGTGTAAATTAGAAAATCAATTTTTAAATAATAGAAAATTAACTGTATTTGAAGGTCATGAAAGAGTGATTGAAAAAGACACTAGAGTCTTTTATTAATTCTTTAGGAATCTCCCCAAAATGTAAATAGAACTAGAATGTTCCTGTCAAAGATCAGAGAAAAAAAATATATAGCTATTTCATCAACTGGAAAGGGGTATAGACCAAACTCTTCTTAGTTAAAAATGAAGTCAGCCTTAAACACTGATCATACTGTTTATTTATTTGAAAGTTATTGCCCATGAATTACTAAACAAACAGAGGTCCAATTTTGACTTCTAAGAAACACAAATCAGACTGAGTCGCTGTTTAACTATTATATAGTGAAATATTAAAGTAGCAGCATGATAGATAGGCACTTGAGACCTGCATTACTGAACTGGTTTTTTAAAGCAATGGAGAAGAGAGACCAAGTACTCAAGAAATCAACAGGAAATAGATTATACTATTTTTGCATGGTAGCATAACAGAACACAGAATGATTTAAGGACTCTTAAGTTTAAAACAACTAAAATTAATACAATAAAAAGGAAGAAGGCACAGAGATCAAGTGCTATATATAACCACAGGGAAAAGGTGCCCTTATTATCTTTTTAAATAGACCAAGTTAAGGTCAGTAACAACACACCAGCAGGTTATGGGAAAAAACATGATCATTCTCACTTAATTTTTGTCAATGTAAATTAATCTTTTAAACAGATTTGAAATTAGTAATATCCACTATGTCAAGGACACTTGAATGCATCACCGGAGGATGTAAGTTGCATTTTTGGCTCTAATATTCATTTGCAACTTTTGCAATGTCACAGAAGTCACCTAAATGTTGATTCTCAGTTTCCTTATTTGGCTATGTACTGAAAAATTCCAGCCTCTCATACTACACAAAGATGCTAGAGGGATCAAATGGAAATATCAAAATGCCTCAACATTATTTTGTATACTGTTATGATTTTAATAATAACAACACTTGAAATCACGTTTATCTCAAAGTTATCTCTCTTTTGATCAACTACTGCTGTATGAATGTAATACATTTGTGATTTTTATGTATTTATGATACAATTTACATCATGGATAATCAGATTTTTTTTAATTCAGCCATTTAACCAATAGTTATTGAATGCTGTGTCAAGTGCTACGGTGGGAGCTGCTGTTGCTACAGTGAACACACCTGGCCTCAAGGATGCTCCATCCCGAAGGAAGAGAGCAGGCAAATCCTCCTGTGTGTACAGACATATTACACATTATAATGTAAATATGTACATTTACAAGTTGGTAAATATGTACAATTACAATTGGTCTATTTAAAAATATAGTAAAGTAGTAAAGATATGTAATTGTACATATTTACAAGTTGTAATTGTACAAATGTACACATGTACAGACAAATGTACAAGTTCCAAAGCATGGAATGAAAGGACAGGGTTACAGGAGAGTTTTGAACACGGAGATTTAAATTTGTTTGGTGTTCAGAAACAATATCTCTAAGGAAGTGCTATTTAAGCTGAGTAGGTAACCCTATGTGTCAGCAGCGGCCAGGAAAGAAGGAGGAAGTGGGAAAAGGGAGAGTGTGGGTATGGGAGGGATGAGGCCTGTTAGGAGTGTAGGAGAGACAGTGGCGAGCTGGATGGCACTGGCGGGAAGTAAATGGCAGTGGTCCACAGGGAGGTGAATTACTGGCTGATCACCTAGACCCTGTGAAGCCTTAGTTTCAAGTTTTGTTGGATAAGTCTATTTTGGTTTTGTCCTTAGCTCTAGGATATAACAATATGTCCTCAGGTACAGTCTTTACTCCCAAGGCAATACTCTTGTGGGATTTCTTTCTTCCCTTTTTAAAAAACATCTCTATTCCTGTGACAGATTACCTTGTGGCATTTCAGTAAAACTCCAAGGTGTTTAACAAATTCCTCTAAATTGGCAGGACTTGAACTCCAAAGGTGGTCCCCTTCCAGCCCTACGTAGATACTGAAATCTTTAGACTTTTAAACCTCTTTCTCGTGCTTTCTCTAGGGCTGCTTGGCATTTCACCTTGAGCATGTGAGTTACAAGAATTGGCCAAGGATCTGAGGGAAATGTGTCTGCAGGAGCACGGACCCTTGCTCTCTGATCTTCTTCTAAATATTCCCTACTCAATTTCTAGCCTCTCTGGCAACTTGAAATCTGACCTCTGTCCCCACTTCCTAGTAAAATCTAGCTATTTTCTGCTGGTCCTTTGGTAAAAGCAAGATAAATGTGGATTTCCCAAAGTTTACTTCCCTTATTCCAAGAATCAATTCTGCTCCAGTTTCTTTCATTTTATTAATACCTTAAACTTCAGAACTCTGAAGCAGGCTTTTAAAATATATTTTATTTAACACTTATAATTTTATGGACAGCAGCTTAGTCCAATAAAAGCTACAACGCCATGACTGATACTGAAAAACTGATCTTCTCCCTTGTTGTGAACCGTCATAGTTAGCTTGAACCAGTCATTTATTTAGTGCTGCCAAATAGACATTTTCTAATTCTATTATTCATTTTTATTTATTACCTAAAATATTTAATTAAAGAGATACTCCTCTCTTCTATCTGGTTACCTGGAGGTTCAAGTTACATAGGAAAATTAAGATATGGTTCGTGTTTCCTCTATTCGTTCATTAGTTTTCAAAATAAGGAGTTGGGTCTTTATGTCTCTCATAGGTGATCAATGGGGCTTTTTCAATTATTATTATCATGAACCCATTCATTCAAACATACTTAATTTGTTGCAAAACTTAGCAGTTACTATCCTTTTTGATACTAAAACATTTTCACTTTTGGTCAGTGAGAGCCTCTTCAACTGATGCTGAATTCTTTTGCCATGACCCTGATAGGTTTTCATAGTTTCCTTATTTTCTAGTATCTTAATAGCTAATCTTATTTTAATTTTAATATAACTCCATGTAATGATTAATACTGAGTCTCAACTTGATTGGACTGAAGTATGCAAAGTATTGATCCTGGGTGTGTCTGTGAGGGTGTTGCCAAAGGAGATTAACATTTCAGTCAGTGGGCTGGGGAAGGCAGACCCACCCTTAATCTGGGTGGGCACCAACTAATCAGCTGCCAGCAAATATAAAGCAGGCAGAAAAACACGAAAACGCTGGACTGGCTTAGCCTCCCCGCCTACATCTTCCTCCCATGCTGGATGCTTCCTGCCCTCAAACATCAGACTCCAAGTTCTTCAGCTTTGAAACGTGGACTAGCTTCCTTGCTCCTCAGCTTGCAGATGGCCTATTGTAGGACCTTGTGATCATGTGAATTAATACTCCTTAATAAACTCCTAGATAGACAGATAGATAGATAGATAGATAGATATTCTGTATTAGTCAGATTAATACTGACTAATACAGATTTTGGTACCAGGAGTGGTTCTACAGGAACAGAATATTAAGGATGGAGTTCTTTAGCTGTTTTGGGGTTTCTGGAGTTGGCTGCTTAATATGATTAGACCCAAAAATGCTAAGGACTCTACTTCTAATAGTATGGAGAACACTGATAGTCCTTGGCATGAACTGTTTAGAGAGTTAGGCAAAATTAATGCATTGGACACTCCTGATTTACCACTTGTGAGAGGTAAGGAGTTTAGTGACTCTATACATAATACCTTTGACCATATGTGGAGAACCAAGGAACATAATGAAGCTGGTTGGTTGCTCCTCAGTTCACTGGACAAAGTGATGAAAGAAAATGATGAACTCAGGGATTCTGTCTCCTGGCTTCAGAAGCAGATAGTGGGTCTCAAATCTTCTAAGACTGACCCGAGTCAGAGTCTTATCTCCTTTAGAGAAAGCTGAAATTGTGGAAAATCAGACATGAGCTCTTATCATGTGAGTGGCTGAACTGCAAGGAAAGGTGGATGCACAGCCTTGCCATGTCTACTGTTAAAATGAAGGCATTGATTGGAAAAGAATGGAACCTTGCAACTTGGAATGGGGATGTGCGGGAGGACCCTGATGAAGCTGGGGACACTGACCTTGTAAACTCTGATGAACCTTTCTTGCCAGAAGAAACAGCTTTCCCATCCCCAGTAGCGGCATCATCCCCTCCCTGACCCACACTGCCATCATTCTTTCCACCTTTGTCTGAGGAGATAAACCCTGCGCTGCCTGAGACAACAGTGATGGCCTCCCCTGAGGCAGTTGCCAGGAGAGATAATGTTGATTCTCCTGAGGAACCAACCCCAACACCCCTGTTTGTTCTATACCTATAACTAGACTAAAGTCCTGGCGGGCCCCTAGAGGTGACATTCAGAGTGTGACCCATGAGGAGGTGCACTACACTTGAAAAGAACTTCTTGAGTTTTCTAATTTATATGAAGAGAAATCTGGAGAACAGGGATGGGAATGGATATTAAGGGTGTGGGATAATGGTGGAAGAAACATAGAATTAGATCAGGCTGAATTTATTGATTTCAGCCCACTAAGTAGGTATTCTGCATTTAACGTTGCAGCTTAGGGAGTTTTAAAAAAGGTTCTAACAGCTTATTTGCTTAGTTAGCTGAAATAAGGATTAAAAGATGGCCCACTGTGAGCGAGCTGGAAGCCTGATGTCCCTTGGGTTAATGTAGAGAAAGGAATCCAAAGGCTTAGGGAGATGGGGATGGTGGAGTAGATTAGTCACTTTAGACCTACTCATCCCAGCTGGGAGGGTCCAGAAGATATACCCTTGACCAACACCTTGCAAAACAGATTTGTGAGGGCAGCATCTGCATCTTTGAAGAGCCCTACAATTGCTCTTCCCTGTATGTCAGATCTAACAGTGGGAACCACAGTCACTCAACGACAAAATTTAAATAAAATGGGAATAACTGGATCCTGAGGTGGCAGGAACCAAGTGGTGGCACTCAAACATCAAAGGCAAGGCAGGCGTAGCTACTGTAATGGACAGCAGAGGCAAAACAGCAATCACAATAGTCTGACTTGTATAGAGCTCTGGCATTGGCTAATTAATCACAGTGTTCCTAGAAGTAAAACTGATAGGAAGCCTACTGCACTCCTGCTTAATTTATATAAGTAGAAAACTTCTAGGTTGAATTGACAAAAGACTCATTTGAATTATAAAAACAGAGAATCACAGCCCTTCAGTCAACTTCCAGACTTGAGCCAGTTTACAGACCCAGAACCCCTTGAATGAAGGGGAGGCCAGGTCCCTTTGAGGAAGGACCCTACTACCCTACTGACAATGTATGCTGTTAATCTTTCTCCTATCCTTCCCCGAGGAGACATTCAGCCTTTTACCAGGGTAACTGTGCACTGGGGAAAGGAAAATAATCAGGCACTTCAGGGACCACTGGACACTGTCTCTGAGTTGACGCTGATTTTAGGGGACCTAAAACATCATTGTGGTGCTCCAGTTAAAGTAGGGGCTTATGGAGGTCAGGTGATTAATGGAGTTCTAGCTCAAGTGTGACTTATAGTAGGTCCAGTGCGTCCCCAGACTCATCCTGTGGTCATTTCCCCAGTGCCAGGATGCATAATTGGCACAGACATACTTAGCAGCTGGCGGAACCTCCACATTGGCTTCCTGGCTGGGAGGTTGAGGGCTATTATGGTGGGAAAGGCCAAATGGAAGCCCTTAGAGCTGCCTCTACCAAGAAAAATAGTAAATGAAAAACAATATCACATCCCTGGAGGGGCTGCAGAGATTAGTGCCAACATCAAAGACTTGAAAGATGCAGGGGTGGTGATTCCCACCACATCCCCATTCAACTCTCCCATTTGGCCTCTGCAGAAGACAGATGGATCTTGGAAAATGACAGCGGATTATTGTAAGCTTAATCAAGTGGTGATTGCAATTGCAGCTGTTGTACTAGATGTGGTTTCATTGCCTGCTCCAATTAACACATCTCCTGGTACCTGGTGTGCAGCCATTGACTTGGCAAATGCCTTTTTCTCCATTCCTGTCCATAAGGCTCACCAGAAACAATTTGCTTTCAGCTGGCAATGCCAGCAATATACCTTTACTGTCCTACCTCAGGGGTATATCAAACTCTCCAGCTTTGTGGCTTTGTGTCATAATCTTATTTGGAGAGACCTTAATAACTACTTAACGATAATACTTAATACTCAGTAAACTACTTAATAATACTTAATAAACTCCCCTTTATATATATTCGATATTTCAATATTTCTAGTATATATATTTATAAATATATATATTTTAATTATACAAATGTATCTTATTAGATATATATCCCTTTGTATATATAAATTTCTATATATGTGTGTGTGCATATATATACAGAACACACACACACATATATATATTAGTTCTGTCTTTCTAGAGAACCCTAATACACTCCACTTGTCATCAAACTTAAAATTATAAATTTTGCAAAGAATTAGAGAATTTATACTCTTTGATTTTAGGCCAATCAGAGTCTATCTTCTTTTCAAACTTTGACATAAAACAGTATTTCTCAGCTACTATATTAGCTGATAGATAATCTGAGTGTAAGAACTATCTAATTCACCTTACTCCAGCTTTTAGCAGTTAGCATGTGGGAGTTGCTCAATAAATAGGTATTGAACTCAATTATAACTATCATTTTAATAAATCTAACCAATTTATTGCTTTTCATTCTTCCCCCTAACCAGACAGGTGGTATGAGAGATTAGCATCCTGAATAGACAGAGACTATTATCTAGCTGTCTTTCAATGTTTTGTTTTCCTCACCCAGGTAAATGTCTGTGCTTTTACAGTACTTTTTAAATTGTCCTCTTTATATGTTTTCTAAACTTAAATCTGCTGATGGTTATAATTCCAACTTTATAGTTTATTATGTAAAAAAATTGGAATTTTTTTAAATAATAAAGTATACATTCCTATTATGTGCAAGTTAATATGTTTTAAAATGATTGATGTTTAATTTATTAAATATGATCCATAATTTTCTCTTCAACTGTCTGCATTGAAGCAATTAAACACAATGGTTTAACACATCTGTACATTTGCTCATCATGTCCAATCTTCTCCCTCAGTTCTCCTGGTAGGCTAACCTTTATTCCTGATCTTTAACAAGTTGAACACTAGAATGATGGAGAAAGCATTCCTGAGGCTTACTAAGCTTGCCCCCATTCATTCATTCTTCATTGTTGTTATTAGTCTTTATCCAGAAGACTAATAACAAAAAAAGAATGTCTGGTTGCAACCCAGTATAACGTGGGCATGTCATGATTGGGAGAAGAAAAGCTGTTCTACAAGTGGGTGGAAACATTCCCAGATTTGAATGTGGGGTATTAGAGAAGTTGTCAGAAGCAGAGATTTCTATGCTGAGAAAAGAAGAATGAGTAAGAGAGTTATCCAAATAGAGAAATGAAGGCTGGTGGGTACGTGGTGATTGCCCTAGGCATCATGCAGAAACCCTAAGGCTAGAAAAATCATAAAATCATGGCTAGCCAAAGAAACAAATTAGTTGAGTATGGCTTGACAGTTGGATGTTCTTATTCTGTTGGGGATGAGGAAGAGATGATCATAGGCTGCAAAATGAGGATGTTTATACAGTAACTAGAGAAAAGGAAATTAGAATTTACACTAAGGACAACTGCCTCAGCAATTCATCCACAATTAAAGAACATTATCTCCTATGGTTTAATTGCTGCTTCCTAAGGACATTGCAGATATATTCACTTTCACCCATTTATTTTCCTTTGTTCACCATTGTTTACTTCTCTTTCAGACATGTAGTATTGTTTCTGTAGCATCAAACATTTTCTTTTCTTTTTCTTTCTTTCTCCCACCAGTAATTTACTTCTATACATTTCTTCTCCAGATCTGCAAACAGGATCACTGCTGCTATGGCCAAGATATTGGAAATTTATAGTTTCTCTTTGATCCCATAAAATTTAGCCTCTACTTCTCTCATTACTCAGGAAACAACTTCAAGTTTACTGACATAAAAGTAGAACATGCTCTTTGATATGGATTTTCCATTCACTTGATGTTCCTTCATAACAAGTTACTGCCCTAACTTGTTGGGGTAAACGGCAATTTATGTGTGGTTTTCACAATAGCCATTTTCCTGTAATAATCACAGGATAGGCTTGCATCTATGACTTCAGCAAACATGTATTAGGCACAAGGGGAGCCTGGCATAAAAATATTTATTCCACCTAAAAAATAGTACAAAGGAGCTGCTTTTATTATGACGGAAATGCATTCCCATTTTTCAAGACATGAGTAGTCGATCAAACATAGCACTTCACGCATTTGTTATTAACTGTAGTACAATAAGTAGAATACTTTATGATTTACTAACAATAATGATATTTATATAGGTTTTAATTCTACGTCTTCAACTCAGAGGGCTTGGAGTTCCAATCTTCCATATATCAAAGGCCCTTGAACTCAATGTGTCAAAAACAGGATTAATTATCTCTTGTTTCCTTCCACAATCTATTTATTGTCTCATTTCCCATCTTAGTAAATGACAGCCCCTTCCAGACAGTTGTTCAAATTTGAAGGAAAAAAAAAGGATCAACGGAGGAAAGAAAAAAAGCAAATTTGATAACTCAGTGTTCCCTCACATACAATGACCAAGATATCTTGATTCAATATCCTAAGAATATTTTGAATCTGCTTACCTCCCCCTTTACTTTTGAGACAGAGTCTCACTCTGCTGCCCAGGCTGAAGTGCAGTGGGATGATTTCGGTTCACTGCAACCTCCACTTCCTGGGTTCAAGTGATTCTCCTGTCTCAGCCTCCCAAGTAGCTAGGATTACAGGCGTGCGCTGCCACGCCCGGCTAATTTTTGTATTTTAAGTAGAGACAGGGTTTTGCCATGTTGGCCAGGCTGGTCTCGAACTCCTGACCTCAGGTAACCCCCCACCTCCACCTTCCAAAGTCCTGGAATTACAGGCATGAGCCACCGCGCCTTGCCCTTCCTCCCCCTTTACTGATTGCTGTTCCTCTAGCTTGGGGTTCTACCATCACTTGTCCAAACAAGAGTGAAAGCCTTCTAATGAGTTGCTGCCTCCAGATTTCACCCTCTAACCCATAGCCCTAATTTCAGTCTGAATGACTGTACTCAAATAATCATTCCAGCAATCCTCTTTCCTGTGCTTGACTGGGGTACAGCACTTTTCCTATTTGGACCATCCTTTCAGTCTCCCATGTGAAAATATCTGCAACTTTGTTTCAAAATCTACTGCTATAAACTTTCTTATACTAACCACAATTTATCAATCACTTTATCCCTCACACCCTATACTCCTTCTACAATATTTTATACTTAGTTCATATAATTTTTCTAACATTGCACATGCCTGTCTTTATTAAGAAAATATTTATGACTTTAGAATATCTCCCTATACCCCATACCTAGTTCTTTTTGGCAAGTACCAATAAATGGTTAAAGGCTCAATACATGTATGATTCACATAGTTATCAAGGGCACTGGCTTAGGAAAATGAGACAGCTGATTTTAAATCCTAGATCTAACACGGGTTGTGTAGTTCTGCAGAAGTTACCAATTTCTCTTAAGTTCACCTTCTTCTATGTCAGAAGAGATGAAGCAGTCTGCGAGGTGTGCTACACTTGAGTGAATGGCTCAGGCGAAGCGCACCTGAGTCACGTTAATTTGGTGCAGATGAGGAGGCACAGACAGGGGAGGATGGCCAGTTGCATGCAATCCTTCAGGCCTTCCTCAAGCTCAGGGGAAACCTACTTTGTTGGGCATGGATGAATGTCCTGTGGCTGTGATTCAGTAAAGAAACCCTACCCACTCCCCAACACCACTTTTCCTTTTAATAGGGATTTCGGGAGAACAGTCTTTTGTGTCTGGGGAAAATCCAATCTGATCTTGGGTCTGTGCTACTTAAGGGAGTTGCAGACAAACTCTTGCAACAGGATACTTGTGATGATAGCAACTACAGCCCTTCCTTCTGAGGGCAGGGAAAGCCAGTAGTCCTAGCTATTTCTTTGCCATGCCACCCAGAGCAAGCTGTATGTCTTATTCAGTAGATAATTCTGCTTTTCTCCTCTGACTCCTGCATGAAATGGCAATATTCATGTGCCTGCTTCCCTACATTACTAGGAACAAATCAGAAGATGCTTATTCTTTACAGTCTCTGACACATATTAACTTTAATAAATGATGGCTATATAATATCACATTTTAATAAATATATTGCAATGCCAATGCTATGAACAGGTGGAAAATGTGAGCATGACTATGGTGTAATTGAGGTATAAAAGCCAATTTGATCAAATACATTCCCATAAGGTACTCATGCCCAACCCATTCTTTGGTTATTTTCTGATTATCTACAAGAATGTTTATCCATTAAGTTTATTACTTTTTCTCCTTTAATAATGGTTTAAAGTTACACAACCATCATTTGTCATTAACTCCTGCCACACTATTTCACTATATGTGTTTAAGTTTGAGTTTAAAATCCTGCTGGCTTCCAGTACTACTACTTCAACCATGGGTCAATGTGAAAAGAATATTGACCAAATACATGGACAGTATGCTCACCCCAAATATAGCAAATGAAGTTGCAACAAAAAGAACATTCCAGAGAGCTGCAGATCAAGACAGGTGAGGGGGAGGTTTGAGTTATCATTAGCCACAGAGCAGCAGATAACTCAAAAGAACCTGTACCTTAGCTATCACCACCATGTGGACATTATACCTGGTGCTTTAGAGCCAGCAAAACAGCATAAACAGTCCCACTAAACTGTTGCTCTTAATGTTAAATTTGTTAATATTGAGTTTATATCCTAGGTTTAATGCATACTAAGGGTGTGGTACTGAACAAATTGCTTAATGTTTCTAAGACCCAGTTTTCTCTCTAATAAATGGGTGGTTTTGAGGATTAAATTATTAGTAGAATGTCTACAAAAAATACATGCACAATAACTGTTAGCTATTTTTATACTGTGATAGACAAGTATTTTGCAAGGTGGATGTTCTGAATAAGTGGAGAATATAACTGTAAACAGGAAGCACTTTGAAATTGGTTTTACTAGTTGTCCATCATGTGGCATGAGCTTTGCTAAGCTCTACGATCCAAAGACAAATAAGACTACTGTCCAACTTCTAGTTTGCAGGATCATAATTGGGGGTAGGATTTTTTTAATGCGTGATTTTATTCAGGTATACTAATTGTGACGTGAGGAACTAACATGGTGTAGCTAAGCTGGATTGTTGAAGCCACGAAAGCCTGCAATTAAGGCGGACAGATAGTGAGAGGTTAGTTGGCCACTGACTCATCTCTGTTATTCAACAACTAGAGGAAATGTCAATATAAGCTTGCTTTCTGGAGTTTGGCAAACTTGGCTGCAAACCCAGCTCTGCCACTTCCTTTCTGTGTGGCTTGAGCAAGTCAACCTCTCTAAGCTTTAGCTTTCTCATTTTCAAAAGAGGTAAATGGAGTAGTTACCCAGTAATATTTATCGGGGCTATTTTGAGGAATCGTAAACTGCTTGGAATAGTGCATATAATAAGCACTAAGGAAACGGTGCTATTTCTACAGTTATAGAAAGGAATGCTATTAATATTACTATTAGTGTTACTGCTATTATTGCTATTAATATTATATTAATACTTTTATTAGTATTATTCTGTAGGCCCTGGAGGAATCAGGTCTGTCAAATATGTTTGATGGTAGAGATGGACACTGAAAACATCACAAAATACAGGAGAGTACCCACGCAAACCATGCAATGTGATCTCTCTGTCGGATAGAGTTTAGACAACTTCAACAAGTCACTTGATCTCTTTATCACCTGCTTTTCTTTTATGTAAAGAAAGTGAATCAGAACTTAACTTGGCTTACATCACAAAGTGACAGCGTATGTATGAAAAAAGCTTTAGTAGCTAAAAATAAATGTTTACTAGAGAAAAAAAAAAAACGATGTCGTGAATTGAGCAGTCCTGGGTTCTCTTCCAGATTATTTCATATGTGAGGCTCTGAGCAAATTAGTGAATCTCTTCAAACCTCACACTGTTAGTCTGCTAATTGTAAATCATATTAACTAACCCACTGTTCTATAATAAAAGTGTATCTAACAGGATAATGTGGCTTGAGGTGCACTATCAATAACTCTTAGGTCCCTTCCTCACAAAAAATATATATAATAAAATGCTTCATTAAGAGGAGACTAAGTGAAATCTGTGGTTTCTATCTTTTTTATGTGAAAGTATTTTAAACACATGTTATATTCAGGCAGAAGTCTTCTCTTTTTCTATTAATTTATACTGACAGCATAGCACATTTAAAGGTGAATTGCATGATATTGTTTTTAGGCTAAAGAAAAAATATTTTTTGGTTTCATAACATGACGGTTAAACTAAATGGAACACTGTCCCTTTTATTAGACTCAGGATACCTAAATGAAATATCATCAAATATAACTCATGAAGGAAACTTCTAATATTTGAAAGTTACAACATAGTCAATAATATTCTATTTGAAGAAATACATTCCCATGTATCAGTAAATATGTATCTATCCATCTATCAAGTGCTTCCATCTCTGAATTAAAATGTTAAAGTTGAACATGAAAGTCAATATTGGCATGTACAGGCATGCACAAAAAAGCTTTCCACAAAAATTATTCCTATTTTTTATACCTCTTTATGTAGCTAAAAAGTCCATTTCAGTTTGTAGTTTGGCTTTTAAAACATCTCTTTTGATATCTATGTCAGTGTATTGGATAAACAAACACTTACTGTATGCACATCCGAACACTTCGATTCGCATTCCAATTCTGCCCTTGGGGTTCCATTCCAAAGGGATGAAGCGCAGAAATCTGGCTTTGATAGAAGGCTGGAGTCTATAGTACACAACACTGTCTGCATTTGCATTTCCTGAAAAACCCTAAAAGAAAAGGGAAAGAAGCACATCAATGTATCTGGAGAACATCCATTTCAGCTTGTCACCTATAATGTCTATTAGCAATGTGTGATCTGCATTTTACTATGAATGGTGCTACCTTCTATAAGAAAATCACATTAACAGTTATGTCATGATGTCTCTGCATCCAGAGAAATTACTGTCGCTTCAACTTTTCTTTTTTCTTAAGAGAGTTTAAATTCTACCACCCCATTAAACTAGTTTTCAACCACGATACCTGTAACAAAAATTGCTTCTGTAAAGTGTAGATTAAACGTAAAAATGTGCCATGTCTGTAGCACTTAACATTGTGAATAGCACCAAAAAAATTGAGAAAATATTCTCCAAGGGTTGAAAAACAATCATTCGAGTCAACAAAGAAGTTGCTTACATCATTGATGAATGAATTAAGCTATGATGTCTTTTGGTTCTTTCACTTTCTCATCTTACTCATTAACATAAAGAAAAGTACCACGCAACATTCAAGTTGGAGCTACACTCAGCTAACAGGTTGTTAAACCTCAGCAGCACAATGCCAGATACACACATTCAAATTGTGAAGGGAAATTGGAAGCAATAATAATTTGGAAAGACCTGTAATTAAACTTACGGACTTTAGAATTTGAAAGCTAGAGAAATCTTGGGAATTGATGCTAAGCTAGCACAGTCAAATTGCAGACAAGGAAATTAGAGGTCAGAAAGGAAAGAAAAAAAAATCCCTCCAGTGTTTGCAACCATTGCAACCATTACATGGTAGGGCCAGGAGCTATGTTTCTTCCATAAAATCAGGATGCATCGACATAATAGGTAGCTTACCTGTAAAACCCACATACTGCAGCCCCCAACATTTATGCAACTTTTGTTTTCTTCCACACAGCACACTGTTAAGACTACAGGTGGAGAAGTCAGCATGAAGCAGAAGTTGTTCTCAATAATTTACATTTCATTTTTATTTCTCACCTTCCTTGTCATGGTCCTCCTTCTCCTCTCCTCCACCTCTTTCTTTCATAATAAGGGGACATGCAACTACATTTGCAGGTTCATGATAAGTCCCTTGCCTATGACTGGGTCAACAAATAAGATCAACCTCATGTAGACTGCACAAGGCAAAGATAAATACATTAGAAACACCAATACCCAGGGTATCTGATCATCTGCCTGTTTTTCTTTCTAATTCACAAATATTCCCTTACTATCATTTACCAAAACATTTTCTAGTACATTTTTAAAAGATTGGGTGTTTTATAGTTAAATTAATTTGATTCTCCTTGTCAATCAATCCCCTACCTTCTGCCCCCACTCCACCAGTACCCCATACACTAAATGTTCAAGCTCACATAACACAGGCACAGCTGTGATGGCATCTCCAAATTATATCCAAAATCGGGGCATCTCTTTATTTCAATATGACCACTCAGTTCAACAAAGCATCACCTCACCAGAACTTCCCTGACAGCCTCTTCCTGGTCTTTATTATTATTTTGTTCTTTGCCATCACCCCCAATGTCTTCCCCTCTGAGCACACAGTAACACTTGTAGAGGTAAATTAAACTATGCCATCCCCAACACTTTCTTTGCCACTTAGAACAAAATCTAAACTCCTTATTCAAACACAGTCTTTAGCAACCACTTCCATTATGCTCTATCCACACTGGACCTCCTTGAACAAGCCAGGTTCAGTTCTCTCAGGGATTCGCACCAGCAGTCCATTCTGCTCTGAAAGTTCTTTCCCCAGATCTTTGCATGCCCTGCCTCTCTTGTCCTTTTAAGCTTTGACTAAAATATTACCCCCAAGACAGGCCCTTTTTGATCACAGTCTCTAAAGTACCTGTGTACCTGACACTCCCCATAAATATCTTGCTATTTTCTCTGTATTTCTCTTTATTTTAAGAGGGATTTCTCTTATTTGATCATTATCTGCCTGTTTATCTTATCCTCCTAGAAAACAAACTCTACTAAAGCAGGGAGGTTTATTGTGTTCCATCCGTAACACCTAGAACATTGTTCAGCTCAAAGTGGTTCTCAATAAAATATATGTTGAATGTGTATGTTTGAGAAAGACTGAGCTTAAAAACAAAACAAAAGTTCAACGGATGTCTCAATTACAGGGCCTCTCAGAGCATGTCATGTGCTAATGTGCAAATTGCAATGTATCAACCCATGGCAGGGACACTTACCTAGCGCATCTCAAACATATAAGGCCAGAAAACTGCTCCCCTCTGTTTTTGCTATTGTTGCTGCTGTTGTTTTGCAGAACAAATTTCCAGACTAGTGTTTCCCAGAACATAAATAGGAGAACATTGTTTAATTCCATGGATATTTGGACTCTGATAACCAGACCCCTGAGAAGGTTCCATTCTGTTCCACTGGTCAAAATTTTTTACTGAGGTTTGGTAAGAAAGGTTAGCTGTTTTCTATATTGCACTAACCAAATCTTATTCCCACCCAACCTCTAGAGCACTACAGTCTCAATTTCTATGGCAATCCCGATGATTCACCTAAAAAATCGATTATTTCAATTTCTTTTAGGATGGCTGATATAGGGCAATGTTTCCCGAACTTAGACTGCACATTAAAACTCTCAGCGCTCATAGCCTGAGCATTGATTTTGTTCTCTCTTTCTCTTTGGGTGTGTGTATGTGTAAGCTTACGTCTTTTTGTTTTTGTTTTTGTTTTTTTAGACCGAGTCTCACTCTGTCACCCAGGCTGGAGTGCAGTGGCACAATCTCAGCTCACCGCAACCTCCACCTCCCGGGCTCAAGCAATTCTCCTGCCTCAGCCTCCCAAGTAGCTGGGATTACGGGCCCCAGACACCATGGCTGGCTAATTTTTTTTCTGCATTTTTACTAGAGATGGGATTTTACCATGTTGGCCAGGCTGGTCTCAAACTCCTGACCTCAAATGATCTGCCCGCCTCGGCCTCTCAAGGTGTTAGGATTACAGGCGTGAACCACCGCACCCAGCCTGTATGCTTATGTCTTTACAAGCTTTCCAAATTAGAGTAATGTGCAGCTTTGGTTGAGGATCTTAGATCTTCTTATACTTTTGATTCTATTTCCTAGGTGCCACTGGCAGACTAACACAATCCCTAATTATAATTTCTTGCAGAGTGAACAGCTGGATGATTAATTAAATTACCCTCCAAAAGATCTCACATTTGTTTCAAAATTAATGTGAGTTCAATGATTTTGGGGTCTTAAGGGACTGGGAGAAAAGATGCACAGTGGCAGAGACAGCCAACAGGTAAATGGAATAAGACATCTGCAAATGACAGCCTTTCACTTTTCACTTGATCAATTTATGAGCTATTTAAATTTTGAAAACGTTAAGAATAAATATAAGATACAGTTTATATTAATAATAAAAATATCATTGTCATATTCAAAACTTTTAGCAATTATCTCTTATGGAGGGTAAGGAAAATTGTGAGGTTGGGGATATGGGACTTACAGCACATTCCAGTCAAATCTAGATTTTTTAATGGGCATGTATTAATTTTATAATAATAAAATAATGGAGACACACATAGGAAGAGTGTATAGCCATACAGCAGGCAAAAGCATTACTTAGTAGCACTCTGGATACTTTAAATAACTTTCTAATGCCAGTGTCACTTGGAAAAATATGCAGTTACTATTTATTATATTTATTAACTGATCAATAAATTTGCAATTTTTGCTCCACTTGTTGAAATTTTTTCATACATAACCAAGATTCTGCTTTGGATTTTAATATTTGATGGAAATTTTCAGAATGTTTGTGAATGATGCATATGATGCTATATTACTTTATAAATGAAAAGTTCAGTGCATGCTATTGAGTTTCAAATGTATTCCTTTGCCTAGGAAACTTTCCTCAATTTGCTATGAAGAATTGTTGCCATAACAATTCACAAAGGAATGCATGGATTTAAGTATCTCTTTATCTTTTTTCAAAAATAATAATTTTATTACAGGGACATTTATGTCTTCCTTTAAAGATTCAGAACTTTAGTATATGTCAGCATTACTTGAGGTGTTTCTTTAGAAACGAATCTTGCACCTGTGTACTAAATTTGTGGGGAGGGTCCTGAAATTTGCATTTTGAATGCATGCCAAGCTAATTTTGTGCTTTGGATCTTTGTTTCACTCTTAAAGTACTCCTCTGGTTTGTGTATAAATCCTATTCTTTTATGTTCCCTATATTATCTCACAACTTTTCAGAGAGAAAAAATATTTTAGAAGGTCTCACTTCAAAAGTCATAAACTGAGTATCTTATAAACAACAAAAATTTATTTTTCACAGTTCTGGAGGCTGGAAAGTCCAAAATGAAGGCACCAGCAGATTCGGTGTCTGGTGAAGGCCTACTTCATGTTTCATAGAATGCCACTTTCTAGCTGTAGTCTCACATCGTGGAACGGTGAATGAGCTCCTTTGGGTCTCTTTTATAAGGAAACTAATTACATTTCCATAACAGGACTCTTGACCTAATCAACTCCCAAAAGGCCCCACCTAATACCATCTTGTTGAGGGTTAAGATTTCAATATATGAAGTTTGGGGAGACACAAATATTTGGACCATAACAACTAGTGATTGCGTTCTATGTTACCAATTTAAATGTTTTCAACATGAAAGTTAGGGGCTCAGCATCAGACATAGCAGAAATGTATTAGCTAGCTTTAATATTTGCATCAACTCTGTGAAGTAGTTATTTTTGTACCCACTTTACAACTGAGGAAAATGAAAATTATAGAGGTTATGTGCCTAAAGTCACACAGCTAGAAAGTGGCAGAGCAAGGATTTAATTCCAGGCTTTTCTGACTCCAAAGCCCATAATTTAGCTAAGCCATCAAAAGGCATCACTTCAACAGAACATGAAAGCAAACAACTTACCCTAGAGGAAATTTAATATTTTATCTGAAGCTTTTTTCATTTTTCCTCATAATTTATGTTTAAAACCTTTTACACATTTTAGAATAATGCAACTTAGGTTATTGTTGAACTGGGACTCAGCTCCACCAGCTGACTTTTATAGACAAAGAACTTTTCTATTAAACTTTATATCTTCCCAAAATTATTGGAGTCAAAAATAAATGATAAACATTGAATAATCAATAAGACTCTTGCATATAAATAGTAACCTCCTAATAGACACAGAATATATGTTATATCATTAAGTACATAAAATATCTAGAAGTAAAATGAACTTTATATGTCTTACATGATAAAAACCAAAAAGCCTTCATTGTATTTTTCTTTTCTTTTAGACTTGGTGATTTCCAAACTCAATGAGGTGTTCATAGACAATTTAGGAATGTATTTTAACCAAGAAAATTTATGGAGTTAATGAATTAAAGTTTCTCACAGGATTTTGAGTATTTCCAAAGTGATTCTAAAGTTTATGAAGAGGCATAATAGCACTAATTTCTTTTTCAAATATTAATTGAGCAACTCACGTATAAAAGCCAAGAAGTATAAAGGGAGATGCCCATATGGCAATTTGTAAGAAGCTCTAAAACGTCACTG
Source organism: Homo sapiens (assembly GCF_000001405.40). Classification (NCBI taxonomy): domain Eukaryota; kingdom Metazoa; phylum Chordata; class Mammalia; order Primates; family Hominidae; genus Homo; species Homo sapiens. The sequence goes on along the minus strand of NC_000016.10, from coordinate 76,421,930 downwards.
TTATAAATCAGAAACATGGGACCCGTTACACATAGTTGCACAGCAGACTCTGCAATTATATAGAAATCAGTCCAGCTCCATCCAAATAAAGAGCAGCACCAGTAGAAGTTCAACAAAGAAACAGGGAAACATGAAAATCCCCTTGTCATTAATAACCTCCCTTGTTGTGAGAATTCTTGTGACCTACATGTGTCCTACACATGACCTATTTTCAAGTACAATTCATTTTGACATAGTCAGCTGACATTCAGATGCTAAATAAATCATAGCAACATGCTGTCAAATAGAAATCACTTTTTAATTTTATGATGTCAGGTATAAATCTTTACTAAATGTGCCTCCCAAAAGGTTATCTAGTCTAGAAAAGTATATAATAAAAGCAAACAGAAATAAGAACTACTGAAAAGTGGAAAATTTGCTAACATAAACCCAGATGAGAGTAACTTTTAAACATATGTTGAACAAGACATCAGGACTGTATCTTACAAAGTTGATTCAGTCTTGATTATGAATGTAAAATTCATTTATTATAATAAAGAAATAGCAATGAGAATCCACTAATCAAATTAGAATGTTAAGTTTTGAGCTGCACGTATAATACATCTCAATTTGCAAAATTAAAGGGAATGGAATTTTATTTAACAAACTCTACCACCTTCCAAAAATACTGAATATTATTAAAATATTTATTTGAAGGAACACAATTATTAATGATAACTTGATGAGACCCCTTGTGCAAATCATTATATTAGAATCTATGGAGATACAAGTTATAAAATATACTGTTTAGTACCTTTTGCATAAAAGGGTTTGAATTCCCAAGACAGATCAAATAGCCAGAAGAGAAAAAGCACAGGAAAGATGCAAACTTGGCTGTAATCTGTAACTATTGTTGAAACACAGCAATAAATTGTTTTATGAGAGATATGTGGACAAGTCATAAAGCTTACATTTATATTAGGATATGATATGTACGATTTTGTGGAAGACTAAATTTTTATTGAGATGGACAATAACTATAAAAATTCACATTATGGTACTGCTAGACTGGAAATTCTGAACCCTCCTTTTGGAATAAAAAAAAAGTTGAAGAGATAAAAATATAATAAAATATTAAATGTCCAAGATCTAGAAGAAGAAAACCCAAAGAGGTGAGCCCAGCATTTGAGGCTTTCTCTTTAGGGATAACTAAAGGATTTCTGAAGAGGAGAAACAATAGCTGGGTAGTTTCGTTGTTGTTGTTGTTGTTGTTTTTGGTCATGGTTTTATGAGCAGCTTTCATGGGGTTAGGGACAAAATTTTAGTTCTAGAGCCCTCAAAGAAGAGAATATTTTACAGGCTTCCATAGGCTTTTTGTAAGAATTTAGAGGATCTACTTTTTAGGATAAAGGGAAAGCCAGAGATGGGACAGCCCCGCACGGAGATTAAAGGTAAACTTCCCATCTTTCCAATCTGTGGGGAATTATAGTGAGGATGTCAGAGAGGTTCAGTGCTTCTGGTTGCCTGTAAAAGTGAATGAAATTACACTTTGCAGAAAGATAGCCTTCTAGGCCTAAAATTGTCTATTCATTTTTTTCTTATGTAGTGTCCTACGTACAATAAAAAATAATAAAATAGCAGCAAAAACTGTTCTTAAAGGGAAATTAATATTTATCTCCTATAGAATATACATTATTCTAATATATATTCTACAGAATATACATTATTCTAATATATATTCTACAGAATATACATATTATTCTGTTAGAATATATTAGAATATTTATACACACACACACAGTACCCATCTCAGAGTGAAACACTGCTCTACACTGCACCACAAGAAAAAAGACAAACAAACTAGAAATCAATCACTTTTCTTAGACTCATCAGAGAACTGTGCTTTCATGGTGCTATAGAATAAATTGCACCCTCTCAAAATTCTATGTTGAAGCCCTAACCCACAATGTGACTGTATTTGGAAATGAGGTCTTTGGGAGGTATTCAAATTTTGATAAGGTCATGAGGTGGGGCCTTCATGAGGAAATTAGTGCCCTTATAAGAATACGAAGAGAGCTCAGACTTCTTTTTCTTCACCAGGTGCAGACACAGCAGAGAGATAGCCATCTGCAAACCACAAATAGGACCCTAACCAAGAAGTGAATTGGGTAGCACCTTGTTCTCGGACTTTTCAACCTCAAGAACTATAAGTAATAAATGTCTGTTGTTTAAGTCACCCAGTCTATGGTATTGGTTATAGCAGCACAAGCTAGTACACATGACACACCACCATGCTGAAATCTAGAGGGACGGGACCATCCAAAGAGTCAGAGCTGAGATCCATCCACCTGGAACAAAAGCCACTGGCACCAGAAACTGACAGGAAAACTTCTATGATAATTTTGGTGAATCTCTGGAAACTGAGTGTAGACTAGCATGAGAGTGAGAAGTTCCTGACCACAGTCTTAGAGGGCTCCACATTTCTGTGGGCTTTACCTCCAAGAACCCATCCATGCATTCTATGAAGATTAGAAAAAGACTCCCTTCTGGCTCTGTCAGGAAGTGGGAAAGGGAATGACTGTGAAGTATGCTCAGGGTTTTCTTCATAACAAAGGGCTATTCTCCTGAAGAAAAGACTTTGCCAGAACCTCTCCCAACTGGGGGGCAGTACTTCTCCCATTCCAGCCTCCGTACCTTTCCTGTCTTACCTAAGGAAAAAAAAGCAACAGGAGTCAGAGCGTCACAGAAATAGATTGGAAACCTAGTAGCCAGGAAAGACAGTAGCTGGCAGGAGGGAAAAAAGCTATACCACCAGAGATATGCTTGTGAAGGTCACAGTTCTGAGACAACAACCCACTGAAACACTTAAATTGAGTTGGAATATTACAGAACATTGCTCCTCTTACACATCGAACCACCACACAACAGGAGTCCAGTGCAATAATACTGGATAACAGTTGAAAGACTTAAAAAACAAAGACCGCCTCTGAAGAGAATTTAAGTCAAAAGGAGGAATAGAAATAAGTGCATTAGATGAACCGGAAGCATCTGGTACCTATAGTACCTATAGCAAACCTAAACTGTAACCCATTTCTTAGCCAGAGTAATGTAAATCTTCATACTAACAACCTATTTGTCTTAGTTTCTATTGTCATCAGATATAGCGCATTTTGGTTTCAACAAAATATTACAAGGAATGGCAAAAAGTAAGAAAAAAAAAAACCCCACACTCTGCAGAGACAAAACAATTATCAGAACAAGACTCAAATATGCCACAGATGTTGAAAATCAGACAAGGGCTTAAAACAACTATGATTGATATGCTAAGGGGTCTAATGGAAAAAGCTCAAAACATGCAAAAACAGATGGGTAATGTAATCGAGAGATGAAAACTCTGCAAAAGAATCAAAGAGAAATGCTACAAATTAAAAATGCTGGAACAGAAGTGAAGAATGCCTTTGATGGGCCCAACAACAGATTCAATACAACCAACAAAAGATCAGAAGATTGTGCACATGTACCCTAGAACTTAAAGTATAATAAAAATATATATATATAAAAGAAAAGAAGATACAAATTTCTCAAGCTGTAATAGACAAAGAAAAAAAAAGCTGTAATAGAAAAAGAAAAAGAAAAAAACCTGTAATAGAAAAAGAAAAAAGAAAAGCATAAGATAGTATCAAGAATTGTGGGCAATTATAAACGTTGTAACATATGCGTAAGTGGAATACCAGAAGGAAAAGATAATAGATCAAAGAAATACTTGAAGTAATAATGGCCAATAACTTTTCAATATTAATGACAGACACTGAACTGTAGATCCAGGAAACTCAGAGAATAAACATGAAGATTAAAAACCAAAATAAAAACTATTCTGAGTCATATCAGATGCAAATTACAGTAAACCAAAGACAAAAACAAAATTTTGGAAGAAGCAGAGGGCATCGAAAGGTAGCTATATTACTGATAGAGAAAGAAAGATAAAACTTACATTGGACTTTTCATCAGAAAACAAGCAAGCAAGCAAAGAGAGGAGTAAAATATGTAAAGCATTGAAAGAAGTAAAAATAAAACTACAACTCTATATCCAGAGAAATTATCCTTCCAAAGTGAAGGAGAAATAAAGACTCTCAGGCAAACAAAAACTGAGGGAATGCATCGAGAGCATTCCTTCCCTATAAGAAATGTTTGAAGAAGTTATTCAGACAAAAGGAAAGTTATATAGCTCAGAAATCTGGATCTACATTGAGAAAGGAAGATCATTAAAGAAGAAATAAAAGAAGTAAGATCATTTATTTTTCTTATTCTTAGTTAATGAAATCATTAGTTAAAAGACAAACATTTACAATAATAATCATGCATTGGGTGCTTATAGCACATGGATAAATTAAATGAATTTAATTTTTATTGCAAATTAATATTACATTCACCTAAATTACAAATGAATGTTGTCAGGTACGTAAGGGAGAAGTTAGGAATACTCTGTTTTAAGGGACCTGCACTATATAATAAGTAGAATAGTATTATTAATATTTGAAAATAGACTTTGGTTTAGTTTAAGGCAGCCACTGACAATTTTTAAAGTATGACTGATACAGTAAAAGAGCAGATAAAATAGAATCATAAAAAAATTTTCAATTAAAATCAGATAAGGAACTTAAAATGGGGCAAAAAATTAAAAACAACTGCAACAAATAGAAAACAGTTAAAAGCATGATACATATTAATTCAAATATATCAATAATCACTTGAAAAGTGAGCAATCTAAATATACCAATTAAAGAGATTGTCAGAGTATATAGAAAGAGTAGGCCCAGCTATGTTGTCTACAAGAAATCCACATTAAATATAGACTAACGTACATTAAAAGTAAATGGATGAAGAAAGATATATCACACGTTAACACTAATAAAAAATAAAAGCCGAAGGAGCTACATTAATTTCAGACAAAGAAACCTGAAGAACAAGGAAGATTACTTGGGATAGCAAGAAACATTTCCTAAAGACAAAGTGATCAATTTTCCAAGATGGTAAAATAATCCTAACTGTGTAGACAACTAACAACAGAGTCGTTAGATGAGGCAAATACTGATAGAATGGCAAGTTAAAAACAGAGAAGTCCATTATTATAGTTGGAATAATTGATGTATCAAGGAAGCAGGAAAGCAGTAAGAATATAGAAGACCTGAACATCACTATTATTCAACTAGATTTAATTAACATTTTGAGAACATTTCACCCAACAACAGCAGACACACTCATCTTAAGCTCACATGGAACATTCACCATGTATTATCGGTCATAAAACACACTCTTGCAAATTTATAAAAATAGAAATCATACAATGTATGCTCTCAGGTCATAAAGGAATTAAACTATAAATTAATAACAGAAAAATAACTAGAAAGTTCCTAAACATCTGAAAAAAATTCAAGTTAAAAATAGAAGTTTCATGTGAAATTATCTAGAATGTTTAAATCTGTATGAAAATGAAAATATAACATCAAAATACGCAGGATAGAGCAAAAGCAGTGTTCGAGGAAAATTTGTAGCATTAAATGCATATATTAGAAAACAAACAAAGATCTAAATAAATAATGCAAGTTTTCATCCTAGGTTATTAGAGAATTTAGAATTGAAGCCTAAAGAATGCAGAAGGAAAGAAATTTTAAAAATTAGAGCACAAAGAATAAAATTGGAAACAGGAAAACATTCGAGAAAATCAACAAACTAAAAGGTGGTTCTTTCAAAAGTTTGCTAAGATTGATAAACCTCTAGTTTGCTATCTATGGGGGAAAAAAGGGAAAGAAAAGACCCAAATTATCAATATCACAAATGAAAGCAAAGTCACCAATATTGAGCCCATGGATATCAGAAGAAGAAAGGCAGAAGATAAATGAGTTAAGGATAGAAGTTAAGACATTAGGGGGAAAAATAAAGCAAATTAAAGCCAAAAATTAAGAAATATTTTAGAAAAGAATGAATAATTGACAAAAATAAGACAGAGTTAAAAAAAAAAAACAAACAGTATATCTATACAATGGGAAATTACTCAATAAAAGACATAAACTGATGATGTACTCAACAACATAAAACAATTAAAAAAATATTTTGTAGAATGAAAAATGCCAGATATAAAAGTGAACACAAGATGATTTCATTTATATAAAATTCTAGAATAGTAAAAATACTCTACAGTGACAGAAAGCTGATTATTTCCAGGGTCAGGGTGTGATGAGCATTGTCTACAAAGGAGCATGAAGGAACTGTTGGGTGATGGATACATTCTGATTCCTCTTTGTGGGGTTAAACAGGTGTTTACATTTATCAGAACTCATCAATTTCTGCACTTTATTTGGGTGCATTTTATGGCAACTAAATACTTTCTCAATAAAAATGATTTCAAAGGTAATAAATAGTATTGTACTATAAAACATGTATTAATTCAACGTATTATTAGACTTTGAATTCTAATTCAAATAATAAATTCTAAAAAGATATTTTTACACTACAAGCAGAAGTCAAATAGCCTATGATTATTTTATGATATTGCAGAACTTATAAATTATGTTAGATATGCTCATTTTAAGTTCTATTTAAAAACAAACTCCTTATTGATTATAAATATATTTTGTAGAATCTTTGAAGAAGGTCATGCAATATTAAATATGTTTTAAAATAATCTAAGCAGGGAAGTAGTAAGAAGATGTATAAATGAGGAAACAGTGGTCATATGTATCAAATAGCATTCAGTATAATTCTATATTTCATCTGTGTGTGTTTAGAAAACATACTTCATAAATACATTTGTGTTATAAATCTGAAAGAATATACACAAAATTTGGAGGAATTGTGTTTATCCCGAATTTTGGAAATTCAGACTATTGTAATTATTTTTCATTTTGACTTCTGTATATTCTTCTTTCTACAAGAGGTATTATTCCTCATGATTAAAATACATATGAAAAATTACCAAAATTAGGGAAAAAAAACACAAGTTGGTTTTTGAAAAGAACGTTTAAGTTAACAAAACCCTAGTTAGGATTGATCTGGGAAAGAAAAAAATAGGAGACATGAATAAACAATATCAGTAATGCAAAAGAGCATCTTACGATGATCCTATACACATTAGAGTGATAATGATATTTCGAATTATGCCACTAATTTTACAAATTTAAATGAAATAAATTCCAAACCAATCGCCACTTACCAAAACAGATGAGAACAGGAAAACCTGAACTGCCCACATCTGTTAGATTACATGCATAATTGTAAACATATTCACACAGAAAATTGCAGGCCTCGATGTCTTTCCTAGTGAATTCTTCTAAACATTTAAGGACAAAATCACACCAGTATTAAACAAGTACCTTCAAAGAGCAGAAAAACAGAGAATGCTTCCCAGCTTGTTTTGTGAGGCCAGCATAACCCTGATATTAAAATCTGACAAGGAACTTGCAAGAAGGAAAATAAAAGTCGATCTTACCCATGAATGCCAATCCAAAACTCCTTAAAAATAGTTTAAAAATGATTCTACAATATAAAAATATAGAAAAAATAATAAATCATATCTCAATCGAGTTAATTCCAGGAATGCAAGAATTGCTTAATATTTAAAAGTCATTCAATGTAATTTATCACATTAAGTAACATATGGTTTTCTCACCAAATACAGAAAAAGCATTTCATAAAATGTAATATTCACACAGGATTAAAATTCTTAGCCCAGCAGGCAATGTCTAACTCTGCAAAGAGTATCTGTAAAAATCATACAGCAAGTATCATACATTATAGGAAATGCTGAGAGCTGCTTTGTGTTTGAGAATGTGACAAGTATGTTCTGTATAGACCCTTTCATTAAATATGTAATGAACTTCTAGTTAGTGTAATAAGGCAAGAAAAATATTTAACAGGTAGTAGGATTGGAAAGGAAGAAATAAAACTGCCTTTATTTATAGGTGTATGAGTGCAAATGTAGGAAATTTGAAAAATCTATAGAATTAGTTTAGCAAGTCTGTTAGATAAAAGTCTATATATAAAAATGAATTAAACATTTATACAAAAGCAACAGAAAGTGAAATTTTTGAATGACATTTACATTAGTATCAAACTATATTATTTAACTGTAAAAAACTAATAAAATATATTTAATGCCTTTACATGAAAATTATAAAATATTGAGAAAAATTTTAAAGGTTTATAGTAGAAAATACATATTGAAAAGATGTCAATACTCCTAAATTAATATATAGATTCTACCAAATTCAAACCAATGTTTGTGTGTGTGCACAAATTACAAGATAGTTACAAGTTTTATGTGGAAATGTAACAAAATGGAAATCACCAAGATACTCCTCAAGAAAAACAAAGTTGGAGGGTTTTTTTTTTACTGGATATTAAGTCTTATAATGTTATAGAAAATAAGAGAATGTCTTATTGGCAGGTTCTTCAAACAGATCACTGGAACAGATCAGAGAATCCAGAAACAGATTCAGCATGTATGGAGAGTGGATTATTAACAATGTTTGCCATGCAGAGCAGTGGGGAGAAAAATAATTCTTTTAAATACATGGTGCTGTATAAATTGGATATCCACATTGGAAAACAATTTAAAAAGAAAAATCTAAAAATCAAAAAAGTTGAGTTCATGGACATAGAGAGTAGACAGATGGTTACTAGAGGCTGAGAAGTGTAGTGGGGGGCTTGCAGGGAGGTGGGGATGGTTAACGGGTACAAACAAACAGAAAGAATGACTAAGACCTATTATTTGATAGCACAACAGGGTGACTATAGTCAATAATAACTGTACATTTTAAAGTAACTTAAAAAGTATACTCGGATTGTTTGTAACTCAAAGGATAAACACTTGAGGGAATGGATAACCCCATCCATGATGTGCTTAGTTCACACTGCATGCATGTATCAAAACATTTCACATACCCATAAAAAATTAAAAAGAAAGAAATTTTTAAAGAAGGATTGATCACTACCTCAAACCGTATGCAGAAGTGAATTCCAGGAAGACTGTAGACATAAATGTGAAAGGCAAAACAGTAATGTTATAGGAAGATAACATAGCTGAATATTTTCACGATTTTAAGGAGTTCAACGATTTTCTTAACCATGAAAGGAAACTGATGTCAGAATACATTAAGAACTTTGTTCATTTAAAAATGTTATAATAGAAAGAAACCACAGAATGGTAGAACCTATTTTTCAGTATATTAGTATCCAGAATACATAGTGAACTACAAAGCAATGAGAGAAAAAAAGAGAAAAAAGTATTTAAATGCCTAACAAATCTACGAAATATTTGCTAATCTTATTAGACATTGGACAATGCCAATTAGAACCAAAGTGTGAGAGTTATGCACACCAACTAGAATGGCTAAAAATGAGGGTAACAATAAACATCTAAAACAAAAGAAAATTAATACCAAGTGTTTTCAAGAATGTGGAACAAATGGAATTTTAATACACTGCTGTTGAGAATATAAATTGGTATAATTTCCATTAAAATTAGTTTGCATTTTCTACTAAAATTAAATATATACATTTTTTATGAGTTGGCAATTCCACTCTGAAGAATGATGTACCCAGCGCAAAATCAGGCAGTTTTCCAGCTAGCAAAAGACATGTATGTACGTGAATATTTTTGAAGCATTATTCATAATTGACCCAAAGTATAATTCATATGTCCAATTATAGAATGGATTTTTAAATACTGCTATATTTTTAAATTATATTTTTAATTGTATTGTTTATACTTTTACTTATTTTCATTACTGTAGGACATTTCATTATATAAAAATAAATCAGTTATACCTATGTAGACACAACATGGGTGTTTTTCATAAGCATGATGTTAACCCAAGGAGCCAGATATTTAAAAGTTCATATAGTATGATTCCTTCTGTATATAATTCAAAATAAGCAAAACTAATCTATGGCAATAGAATTCATGGTCATGATTATTTGGTGGGAAGAGGGAGGTAAGAGTCAACAGTAAGGGCATGAAAGTTACAATAATATGTTTGGCCTACGTAACATTTACATAGCATTTTCACTTTTTGATAGTCCAATGAGTTGTATATACATTTATGCTTTTTGTCTTTTTCTGAATGTGTATTGTCTTTCATTATAAAAAGTTACATGAAAATAAGCATGCTAACTATGAAAAAGAAATAGGTCCTTGGCACTTTAAAAAATAGTTCAGCAAAGACAATCAAGATTTAAATTTTGCATGTATTTATCCAAAAGCAAAAATAGAAGATTTTTTTAAGAATACCTCATTAAAATTCTATTTTTCACTTTTGTGCTTTTTTATAGATCATTAAGAACACTATGAGAAATACCTTTCAACTTCATATTTTAGATATCACATAATTTATCATGCATTATACCATAAAGAGCTCAATTAGCATCTCTCATTTTACCATTAATATTACTAAGAATAATGGCATTCTTATGACCATTACCATCAAAATCACTATTGTTCAGTGCTGAAAGAAAACTACTGAATTCCCCACTACAGACATTATAAAATTTAAAGTAAATTATTCCTCATTTACCTGTATATTCTATTGTTTTTATACAGTCATTCTAATATATTGATTAGCCTTCAGTCTACTTCAAAATGTCATTTATTTATTAAATTGCTAATTGTTTTCCCAAATGGAAACTTAAATATGTGCTTTAGAAAGAGACTCGCAATCAACCAACATTTCTAAGCAGATTAAAATAAATATCCAGTTTATTATATTTAATTTGAAAAATTAGAATGTTTAAAAAGTTTGGATAGAGTTGAATCAGCCCTTACTGTTTCATAGAGTTCAGAACTGATGACCCTCATCACGGCCTCTGAAGCCATATATTATTTAATGTATATTAATAATGATACTAGTGTATGTATGGATGTACATTAATGTATACTTCATATTATAATGTATATTGTGATGTACATTAGACACTATATGTCTTATTTACCTGAGTACCACTGTATCTTTATGTAGATCTTAACCTATACTTTCATAGAAGCTAGACACTGGGAGAAACTCGGTAACCTCTGAGACATGCCCAATTGTAATATTAAGATTTAGTGAATACAAAAATTAATTATCTCTACAGTATTATTTTTTAAGTTGCCACCAACTTTAAATTTTACCAAATGTTTTTAGGACACACAGAGAAATGTATGATGGTGTGTTATTTTGGGTTTTCTGACCTTCAGATTCTGTACAATTTAGTCACATAATTAAAGTTTCATTATAGAGAAAGTCAAAAGAGAGAGTATTTTATTTAGTAATAATGTAATCAGGGCTTAACCTATTCTTCACAAAGACAAACTCATCTGTCATTTGGGAGCAGAGGGTGAATAAATGCATGCAGCGGACACTGTTTTAGACTGGTGTAAACTGCTTATTTCAATCAATAATAACACCTGCCCACTTGCATTACCTTTTGAAACACTGCCAGATGTAACAAAACTACAAAACCAACCAGTAAATGGCTCACATACCCATGGGTATCTTGATATAGATAAATGAAACAAGAACAGAGAAAGCTTGAAGGCTTTAATACATGTTCTCCATTTTTAATGCTAGGATGTCTGAAATTTGGGAAATATTTCTTCTACTCAACACAGATGACAAAATCTCATTTATTTCATGTTCACAAAAAATCTTCTCAATCTTTGTAGACAACATTTTTTTCAAACATCAACAATCATTATTCCAGCAACAAGTGAAATATTAATACTCCCTTCAAGCCCTTTCCATAAAGAGAAATTAAGTATGCTCATCCAAACTTTTGTACTGGAGACCTTAGTATGACCTGGAAAAAAAATAATAAGACAATCCTGGCTCTTAAAAGATGGGGATCCATCACTTAACAGCTGGAAAATCTTGAATCAGATTCCTAAACCTCAGTTTCTTTATCTATAAATTGGAGATAAGAATACTTACTTCCAAAGTCTGATATCCAAATTAAGTAAGATGAAGAGATTAACATCTGCCTCCTTCATAACAAGCCTCAATAACATGCAGTTGTGATTGTTGTGTTGTATAGTGATTAAGTCTTCACAGATGGCACAGTGTTACAGACAGTTTATTAATCTCTGAATCTCATTACTTGAGTTTAACATCCAAGTCACCCCACTAGAGAGTAAAAGGAGAAATAGCAACGCCTCTCTATATGCTTTGATCAAAGTGACAATTCCATTTGGGAAATAAAGCCAAATAATTATTTAAACATAGTAGACAATATTTTTAACCTCAAGACAAAAGATACCAATAGAATACTTCCTAGGAAAGTTACTTCAACAAAAATAGTTTTAATTTCTTTACTGTAGAGTTTTATTTTCTTTTTAACTAGTTTGCCTTTGCATATAATTTTTGGAAATTATACTTCAGCCAGTGTAATTATAGTACCATGCAGCAACCAGAAGTTCCTAAATATCCATATTGTTTCTATTTCAACGCAGTTTAGATTGGTTGATCAACATTTTCAAATTATTTTAAAGGTGCATACATAACTTTTATAGATATTTGTATGCATCCTCTGAAGTCACTTTATAAAACATATTGCATGTTATTTTAATGATGCTGTATACGTACTTTAAACTCTGCTTATTTTAATTTTAAGAAACTACATTATTCATAATATATAGAATAACCATAAGTGTTTCTGTAAGGAACCAGATAAAACGCCTTGCTGCTCCCTAAAGATTAAAAAAATTAAAATAAATGTATCTGAGGGGGAATTCTTTAGTATTCTGATGACACAGTATTAGGGCTTATTTTACACTTAAATGATATTTATCTTAATGCCACATGTAGTGTAAAGCCTATTGTGCCATACATTCAAATTTTCCTTTGAATTCTTCCAGGACAGTCACAAAATCTTAGGCCACAAATGTATAGTAATGAAAAAAAGAATAACAGACATAATGACTCATTGTGGCTTTGTTCCCGCAGGTTTGAAAACCATGGCTCTGTAAGAATAGGAATAAGCATCTTCTCTGAATATATGTACCTTCAGCAATTCCTCAGGGACTCAAATCTTGATTGAGTGGCAGATAGTGGATGAGGTAAAACTACACAGAGAACATGTTCAGAGAATGGACTCTGAAATCAATAGTCCTTACTAAGAAATTCTCTTTTGTATCATATTGAGGTCTTTGGAAAGTTGTTGTTAAAAAAATAGTAATAATAAAATGCTGTTTTCCAGTTAACTATTGAAAATTTGAAAAACAACTGATTATTTGATGGTGCAAATAAATTATTGTTCACTTCTTTAGATTCTATTTTAAGAAAATAGAATCTTAAATTTCAGGAATTTGCACACAAATATTTAAGGATATAAAGCTAGGAAGTTTTAAATTTGCTTCAAAATAATACAGATCATGGGCAACGTATGAAAGAGTTGCACGGGGGAGAAAAGGCCATGGGGTTGATGCTTGGGACCTCGGAATGGGTACAAGAGGGTTGGTTTTGCTACTCTGTTTACTTGTGTGTATCTAGTGAATGTGGGTGGTGGTTGTTAATTGTTAATAGATTAACAACTGTTAATTGTTAATAGATTAACAACTGTTAATTGTTAAGCAATAGCTTAATTAAATTAGTTCTATGTAAGAAGCTTAGTAATTTACAAGCTAATATATTCCTTTATAACATTTCTTTACTTATCATAGGTACAGACACTTCAGAGGTACTGTGGATTCGGTTCCAGACTACCACAATAAAGTGAATATTTTGCAATAAATTTCATCACATCAAGTTTTTTGTTTCCTAGTGCATATAAATAGTATCTTTATATTTTAGTAAGTGTATAATAGCTATATGCCTTAAAAATGTATATGCCTTAATTTTAAAATACTTGATTGCTAAAAAAAATACTAATCATAATCTCAGTCTTCAGTAAATTTTAATCTTTTTCCTGGTAGAGGTTCTTGCCTCGATATTGATCGCTGCTGACTGATCAGGGTGGTGGTTGCTGAAGGTTGGGGTGACTGTGGAGTGAATTTTTAAAAAAACAATGAAGTTTGCCACATTAATTCTTCCTTTCATGAAAGACTTCTCTGTAGCATGTGATGCCATTTGATATTTCACCCATAGCCAAACTTGAAAATTAAAGTCAATCCTCTCAAACCCTGCCACTGCTTTATCAACTAAGTTCATGTAATATTCTAAATCCTTTGTTGTCATTTCAACTATGTTCATAGCATCTTCACCAGGAGTAGATTCCATCTCAAGAAACCACTTTCTTCTCTCATTCATAAGAAGCAACTCCTCATCCATTAATGTTTTATTATAAGATTGCAGCAATTCAGTCACATCTTTAGGCTCCAATTCTAATTCTAGTTCTCTTGCTATTTTCACCACATCCGCAGTTCCTTCCTCCACTGAAGTCTTGAACCCCTCAAAGTCATCCCTAAGGGTTGGAATCAGCTTCTTCCAAATGCCCATTAATGCTGATATTTTTACCTTCTCTCATGAGTTACAAATGTTCTTAATAGCATCTAGGATGGTGACTGCTTTCCAGAAGGTTTTAAATTTACTTTGCCCAGATTAATTGGAGGAATCAGTATCAATAAGAGCTATAGCCTTACAAAATGTATTTCTTCAAAAACAAGGGCTAGACACAGTGGCTCTTGCCTGTAATCCCAGCACTTTGGGAGGCCAAGGCAGGCAGACTATTTGAGCCCGGTAGGCTTCAATAGTGGGTTTCAAATATTCAGTAAACCATGTTGCAAACAGATGTGCTGTCATCTGCCTGTGCTTTACAGAGAAGAATTTAGCATAATTCTTACGTGTCCTAGGATTTTCAGAATGGTAAATGAGCACTGTCTTCAGCTTAAAGTCACCAACTGCATTAGTCTCTGACAAGAGAGTCAGCCTGTCCTTTGAAGTCACACATTGACTTCTCCTCTCTAGCTATGAAAGTTCTAGATGGCATCTTCCAATAGAAGGCTGTTTCATCTATGCTGAAAATCTGTTGTTTAGTGTAGCCACCTTTACCTATGATCTTAGCTACATCTTCTGGATAACTTACTGCAGCTTCATCCTAAGGATTTGCTGCTTCACCTTGTACTTCTATGTTATGGAGACAGCCTCTTTTCTTGAACCTCATGAACCAACCTCTGCTAGCTTCCAGCTTTCTGCTACAGCTTCCTCACCTCTCTCAGCCTTCATAGAATTGAAAAGAACTTAGGGCCTTGATCAGGCTTTGGCTTAAGGGAATGTAGTGGCTGATTTGATCTTCTATCCAGACCACTAAAACTGTCTTCGTATCAGCAATAGGGTTATTTCACTTTCTTATCATTCATGTGTTCACTGAAGTAGCACTTTTTATTCTCTTCACAAACTTTTTCTTTGCATTCACAACTTGGCTAAATGTTTGCTGCAAGAAGCCTAGCTTTCTGCTTATCTTGGTGGACAATGTCTTCCTAAGTGCAGTCATTTCTAGTTTTTGACTTAAAATGAAAGACACATGACTCTTCCTTTCACTTGAATACTTAGAGGCCATTGTAAGGTTATTAATTGGTCTAATTTCAATATTGTTGTCTCTCAGGAAATAGGGAGGTCCAAGGAGAGAGAGAGAGATGCGGGAACAGCCAGTTGGTGGAGGAGTCAGAACACACACATTTATCCATTAAGTTTGCTGCTGAATATGAACATGGTTTGTGGCGTGATATTACAATAGTAACATCAAACATCACTGATTGCAGATCACCGTAACATATAATAATAATTTAAAAGCTTGAAATATTGCAAGAATTACCAAAATGTGACACAGAGACACAAAGTGAGCACATGCTGTTGTAAAATAGCACTAACAGTAACTAGGACTACAGGCGTAAGCCACCACACCCGCCTAATTTTTTTTTCTTTGTATTTTTTGTACAGACATAGTTTCACCATGTTGCTCAGGATGGTCTCAAACTCCTGAGCTCAAGCGATCTGCCTGCTTCTGCCTCCCAAAGTGGTGGATTATAGGTGTGAGCCACTGCACCTGGCCCAACTTAATGGCTTCTAATGCAGCACAAAAACGTATTTCATTTAGTAATTGAGATTGATTATGTTTCATAAAATTATCAGTTTCTATAAGTCATATTCTTTAGCTATGTAAAAAAAAAAGGAGACAATTTACATGCTATGCATATGTTTCCAAAATACAGTTGACCCCTGAACCTCATGGTTTTGAACTCTGAGGGTCCACATATATGCAGGTTTTCTTCTGCCTCTGCCACCCGTGAACAGCAAGACCAACCCCTCCTCTCCCTCCTCCTCCTCAGACTACTCAACACGAAGACAATGAGGATGAAGATTCTATGATGACTCACTTCTAGTTAATGAAGAGTAAGTATTTTTTCTCTTCCTTATGATTTTCTTACAGTTTTCTTTTCTCTAGCTTGCTTTGTTGTAAGAATACAGTATATAACTCATATACAAAATACAAAATAGCTTCCAGTCAACAGTAAGCTATTAGCAGTTACCTTTTTGGGGTATCAAAGGTTATACATGAATTTTCCATTGCATGGGTTTCCCCTCCTCCCTGTGTTATCCAAAAGTCAACTAAAATTTATTTAGAAATTGATGATTTGGAAAGTTGCAATTCCCTGTTTTATTTTACTTAGCAATTATAGTGATCAGATCTAAATAGCTACTGGGAAAAAACAATTACAATACTCGCATGGTTTTAAGATGGTCTCTAGAATAATGTAACCTAATGTTATGTTTCATAGCAAGGGTTAAGTGTTTATAAGTGTCATAGTGAAAACAAGTCTATCAATGAGAAACTCTTTAACAACTACATTACAGCAATCTTAATTCTGTGTCATTTTCTATTCAGAGTTCAAGAAATTAAATGATTTTCCTCATTTGAAATACATGCATTTATCATACATTTGTCATAAGTTTTTTGAATTTATCTATTTTAAGGTTACAACAAATAATTGTGCATATTTATGGGGTACAATGTGATGTTTTGATTTTTGCATACATTGTAGAAAGAGTTAATCAAGCTAATGAATACACCCATCACCTCATTAGTTACCATTTTTATGTTATGAAAATATTAAAAATATATTATTTTAGCAATTTTGAAATATACAGTACATTATTATTAACTGTGGTCACTATTAAATTCATTAGCAGAAAGCCATTATCATAAATTTTGAAGATCTCAAAATGTGAGTGCTTACATTCACAATTTTTGTATTAAATCTTTACTATGTCTATTAATTTTATAAGCAATTTCATGTATTATTCATTGCATGCTCACAAAGTTGTTTACAGAATCTTATATAAAGATTCTATATGTATTAAGAAACTTAAGAGCAATTTATCAAATTTTCAAAACACTCACTTATGCTGAGAGATTCTAATTCAGACCCTTGGTTAGCCCTACTTTAAGTTGTTTAACTTAAGAAGTAGAATGATGTTGTATTAAGAAAGTTCAGTGGAGAAAGAAGTCCCAATATTGACCTCTTTGTGTGTGTGTGTGTCTGTGTGTGTGTGATAGCATTGCTTTATTGTTCTCTGTAAGAGGTCACCAAACTAGAGTAGACTGGGATTTATTATTTATATTTATCTTCAGGGAAGTGTATATTCTGAAACTACTCTCGGTGATCCTGATATGCTTTTTTGTTATTGTTATGTCTTTTATTTTTTAATTTTTTTGACTTTAGTTTTTTTCTTTGTGCATTTACATTTACCTTTTTAATTTCATGTCAAATTATTATACAACATTTACTTTACTGAATTTTTTTAACTTTTAAGTTCAAGGGTGCATGTGTAGGTTTGTTATATAAACTCATGTTGTACAGATTATTTTGTTACCCACGTATTACGCCTGGTACCCAATAGTTAATTTTTCTGCTCGTCTCCATCTTCCCACCCTCCACTCTCAAGTAAGCCCCAGTGTCCGTTGTTCCTTTCCTTGTATTTATGAGTTCTCATCATTTAGCTTCCACTTATAAGAACATATGGTATTTGGTTTTCTGTTCCTACATTAGTTTGCTAATGATAATGGCCTCCAGCTCCATCCATGTTCCCATAAAAGACATGATCTCATTCTTTTCTTATGGCTGCATAGTATTCTGTGATGTATATGTACCATATTTTCTTTATCCAGTCTGTCACTTATGGGCATTTATGTTGATTCCATGTCTTTGCTATTGTGACTAGTGCTGCAATAAACATTTGCGTGCATGTGTCTTTGTGGTAGAATGATTTATATTCTTCTGGGTACATACCCAGTAATGGGATTGTTGGGCCAAATGGTGGTTCTGTTCTTAGCTCTTTGAGGAATTGCCATACTGTTTTCCACAATGGTTGAATTAATTTAGACTCCTACCAACAGTGTATAAGTGTTCCCTTTTCTCTGCAACCTCATCATCATCTGTTACTTTTTAACTTTTTAATAATAGCCATTCTGACTTGTGTGAGATGATATCTCATTGTGGCTTTGATTTGTATTTCTCTAATGATCAGTGATATTGGGATTTTCTTCATATGCTTGTTAGCCATATATACGACTTCTTTAGAAAAGTGTTCACGGCTGGGCGCAGTGGCTCAAGCCTGTAATCCCAGCCCTTTGGGAGGCCGAGGTGGGTGGATCACGAGGTCAGGAGATCGAGACCATCCTGGCTAACACAATGAAACCCCATCTCTACTAAAAATACAAAAAAATTTGCCAGGTGTGGTGGCAGGTGCCTGTAGTCCCAGCTACTCAGGAGGCTGAGGCAGGAGAATGGTGTGAACCTGGAAGGTGGAGCTTGCAGTGAGTCGAGATCGCGCCACTGCACTCCAGCCCCGGAGACAGAGCGAGACTTCGTCTCAAAAAAAAAAAAAAAATAAAACCCAACAACAACAACAGTGTTCATGTCCTTTTCCCGCGTTTTAATGGAGTTGTTTTTTTCTTCACCCAAAAACTACAGAATATATGTTGTTATCATTGCTACATGGTACATACTCTAAAATTGATTGCTTAATTGCACATAAAACAATCTTCAGCAAATGCAAAAGAACCTAACTTATACAAAACACACTCTCAGACCACGCACAATAAAAACAGAAGACTGACAAAAATCGCTCAAAACCATGCAATTACATGGAAATTAAACACCATTCTCCTGAATGATTTTTGCATAAATAATGAAATTAAGGCTGAAATCAAGAAGTTCTTTGAAACTAATGAGAACAAAGATACGACCTACCAGAATCTCTGGGACGCAGCTAAGGCAAAAATTCATGGCACTCAATGCCCCATCAAGAAGTTATAAAGATCTAAAATTAACAACCTAACATCACAACTGAAATAATTAGAGAAGCAAGAGTAAATCAACCCCAAAGCTAACAGAAGACAAGAAATAACCAAAATCAGAGCTAAACTGAAGGAAATCAAGAAACGAAAAGCCATTCAAAAGTTCAACAAATTCAGGAGGTTGTTTTTTAATTAGTAAGATAATAAAAATTGATAAGATAGGTTGCTAGCTAGATTAATAAAGAAGAAAAAAGAGAAGATCCAAATAAACACAATTAGAAGTGACAAAGGAGATACTTCCACTGACCTCACAGAAAAAAAAAACACCAAACATCAGAAACATCAGAAACTACTCTGAACACCTCTACATACGCAAACTAGAAAACCTGAGATGGCTAAATTCCTGGACATATACAGCCTCACAAGACTAAACCCGGAAGAAATTGATTCCCTGAACAGACCAATAATGAGCTCCAAAATTGAATCAGTAATAAACAGCCTACCGACCAAAAAGGGCCAGACGGATTCACAGCTCAATTCTACCAGATGTACAAAGAAGAGCTGGTACCATTCCCAATGATATGATTTCCAAAAAACTGAGGAGGAAGGACTTCTCTCCAACCTATTCTATGAGGTAAATATCATCCTGATACCAAAACCTGGCAGAGATACAACAAAAATAGAAAACTTCAGGACAATATTTTTGATGAACACTGATACAAAAATCCTCAACAAAATACTTGCAAGCTGAATCCAGAAGCACTTCAAAAAGCAAATCCATTACAATCAAGTAGGCTTCATCTCTGGGATGCAAGGTTGGTTCAACATATGCAAATCAATAAGTGTGATTCATCGCATAAACAGAACTAAAGACAAAAATCACATGATTATCTCAATAGATGTGGAAAAGGCTTTTAATAAAATTCAACATCCTTTCAAGTTAAAAAATCCTCAATAAACTAGGTATTGAAGGAACATACTTCAAAATAAAAGCTATCTATGGCAAACCCACAGACAACATTACAGTGAATGGGCCATAGCTGGAAACATTCCCCTTGAAAACCACCACAAGACAAGGATGCCCCCTCTCACCACTCTCGTTCAACATAGTATCAGAAGTCTGCCAGAGCAATCAGGCAAGAGAAAGAAATAAAAGGTATCCAAATAGGAAGAGAGGAAGTCAAACTATCCCTGTTTGCAGATGACATGATTCTATATCTAGAAACCCCCATCATCTCAGCCCAAAAGCTCCTTCAGCTGGTAAACAACTTCAGCAAACTCTTAGGATACAAAATCAATGTCCAAAAATCACTAGCATTCCTATACACCAATAACAGCCAAGAACCAAGCCAAGAGCCAAATCAGAAACGCAATCCCATTTGCAATTACCTCAAAAAGAATAAAATACCTAGGAATACAGCTAACCAGGGAGGCAAAAGATCTCTACAATGAGAGTAACAAAACACTGCTCAAAGAAATCAGAAATGACATGCACAAATGGAAAAACATTCCATGCTCATAGATAGGAAGACTCACTATCATTAAAATGGCCGTACTGCCCAAAGCAATGTACAGATTCAATACTATTGTTATCAAACTACCAATGACATTCTTCACAGAAGTAGAAAAAACTATTTTAAGATTCATAAGGAACCAAAAAAGAGCCCAAATAGCCGAGGCAATCCTAATCCAAAGGAACAATGCTGGAGACGTCATGTTATCTGACTTCAAACTGTACTACAGTGCTACAGTAACCAAAACACCATGGTAATGGTATCAAACAGACACATAGACCAGTGGAACAGAACAGAGTACCCAGAAATAAGGCTGCATACCTACAACCACCTGATCTTTGACAAAGCTTACAAAAACAAGCAACGTGGAAAGGACCCCTTATTCAATAAATAGTGCTGAGATAGCCAGCTAGCCATAAGTAGAAAACCGAAACTGGACCCCTTCCTTACACCATATACAAAAGTTAACTCAATATGCGTTAAATATTTAAATGTAAAATCCAAAACTAAAAAAGCCCTTGAAGACAACCTAGGTAACACCATCCTGGACATACAATGGGCAAAGATTTCATGACAAAGACATTGAAAGCAATCACGACAAAATCAAATATTGACAAATGGGATCTAGTTAAAATTAAGAGCTTTTGCACAGCAAAAGAAATCATCAATAAACAGACAACTTACAGAATAGAAGAAAATATGTGCAAACTATGCATCAGACAGAAGCCTAATATCCAGCATCTGTAAGGAATTTAAATTTACAAGAATTTTTATTTTTAATTGACAAATAATTGTATATATTTATGGAATGCAATATATTATATATTTCAAATTTGCTAAATGAGTGGATTTTAAATGTTCCCACCACAAAAAATATGTGAGGTGATGGATATGTTTCATCATTCCACAATGTATATAAGTATCAAAACATCACATTGCACCCCAGTATTGGCTCTTGCAAAGGTCAGATCTAAAGGCAAATTCTTAAACACATAGCCTTGACTGGCTCCTTCATCTATAACATAACAGTAATACCCAGACGGTCCAGATCACAAGGCTGCTTGAAAGTGTTTACTCTCTATGGGGCTGTACAAATATAAGGTATTATTAAGCACATTGCTATACACTAAGATATGCTAACCTGTCTAAATCCATTTGATTAAAATAGTTTGTATTAATAATTAATCTTTTACATTTTTATAGATACTGAATTACTTTCTAGTCCAGAGCACTAAAATATAATTACCCCAGCAACATGTACTTGATGGAATATTATGAAGCAATTAAAATGACTTATGCAGAGACTATTGAAAAATTAGCATGCTCTCTTCATTAGTTAAGTGTGATACATGACTAATGTGATCAGCATACTTATAAATTATTCAGTTAAGCATAACAAAAGATGCATCAAAGTTTTAATACAGCAGTGCTTTTAAGTGATAAGATTATAGATTTCTTTTTAACTTCTATTACCAGTTTTTAATGATATGTTACATATACACCAGAAACTATAAACGAAAAAGGAAATGCAAAAGATACTCTTTTTTAATCTACTATTAGTCTCTTTCCTTTACCAAAATTCCCTTAACCTGGACATTGTCAACTGTGTAGGTATTCTTGATCTCTCCCTGTGGGTTCCAAAAATCTCATAAGAATATCCCCAAACTGAATTCTGATAATTGACAATTTTCTTATAATTCAGTTCCCTAAGTACTTTAGAAAAATTTGCCTTTTGAGAAACAATATTTTTAATCAAATCCCAGAATAAAAACAAATAACTATTTTGGTAGCTTATTGCTTTGCAGAGCTCATGTGAATTACTTTTCACACATCATCTCATTTCATGGCTTTTCTATCAGAGGTACTTAATTTTTCTTCATTTTACTGATGAGAGAACTGAAACTCAGAAAGAAGTGAATTATCCAAGACTACACAGTTAGCAAAGTGTATTAGTCTATTTTCATGCTGCTAATAGAGCCACACTAGAGAATGGGTAATTTATAAAGGAAAGCAGTTTAAGGGACTCACAGTTCCACATGGCTGGGGAGGCCTCACAATCATGGCAGCAGGCAAAGGAGAAGCAAAGGCATATCTTACATGGTGGCAGGCAAGAGAGCTTGCGCAGGGGAATTCCAATTTATAAAACTATCAGATCCGGTGAGACTTATTCACTACCACAAGAACAGTATGGGGAAAACTGCCCCATAATTCAATTATCTCCACCTGGACCCCCCCTTGACACAGGGGGGATTATTACAATTCAAGGTGAGATTTGGGTGAGGACACAGCCAAACCATATCACAAGGTGAGATAAATATATAAGTATATATATGTACAAATATATGTGTCTATGTATATATACAAATATATATGCACCCAATATTATTTAAAAAGATAAAAAATATATCGCTTTGTACTTAAAAAGCTGTCAAAATCAGAAAGTTGGATAGTATCATGTGTTGGCACAAATGTGGGGATATAGGAACTCACGTATTGATGGTGGGAGTGTACACTGTTATAACTCTTTGACGGCACCCCTCATGTTATGTAGTAAAATTTTTAGTATTTGTATACCCTACTACCTAGTGAATGTGTCTCCAGTTACCTATCTCAAAGTAGTTCTGACACATGTGTAAAAGGGACGTGCATGTAGCTGCTCTTTGCAGTGCGGTGGCTGAGAATTGAAAGCAACCTCAGTGTCCATGGCTGGAAAAGTGGGTAGGGAAGACACGGTAGGTGCACAGAATGCAGTATCACGCAACACTTAACAAGCCTTTGGATGATTCTCATGTATTGTGATGGTTAATATTGAGTGTCAACTTGATTGACTGAAGGATGCAAAGTATTGCCTTTGGGTGTGTCTGAGAGGGTGTTGCCAAAGGAGATTAACATTTGAGTCAGTGGACTGGGAAAGACAGAACCATCCTCAACCAGGGTGGGCACCATCTAATCAGCTACCAGCATGGCCAGAATAAAAGCAGGCAGAAGAACATGGAAAGACTAGACTGGTTTAGTCTCTGGCCTATCTCTTTCTGCCACGCTGGATGCTTCCTACTCTCAAACATTGGACTCCAGGTTCTTCAGCTTTGGGACTCGGGCTGGCTTCCTTGCTCCTCAGCTTGCAGACCTCACCTTATGATTGTGTGAGTCAATACTCCTTAATAAACTCCATATATATATATATATATATATATATATATATATATATATATATATATATATATATGTATATAATCTATTAGTTCTGTCCCTCTAGAGAACCCTAATATATGTATGCTAAACAAAGTTAGAGAACCTAGGCAGTCCATGAATTCTAAGGTTTCCTTTAGCATGAAATCTCTTTCCTTCGCTCTACACACACACACACACACACAAACACATGCACACATAAAGCTTATAATGCTACAATTACAACCATGAAATTTTATTCATGAAATGACAGATTTATGAATTGACTGTAGCACTAGTACTTTATGGTCCAGGCCTTATTATTTCTAGCATACAGAGGTTCTCTTTATTTAGTATGCATCAGAATCATCCAGAGGCTTGTTAAATGTTAATTGTTAAATATTTACTGCTACCATTAGGTATGTAACAGTTGCTATATATTCTGTTCCTAGAAATGCATAATAATGAAAACAAACCCACCCACTGCGTATCTGATGTGTGCTGTCTCCACACTCCAAAGCTTCTTTTCCCTCTGTCGCATGCCTTCAGCCCTCTAACTCCTTGAAAAGGAGAAAATGGTTACTGTTTCTGCTTGTCCCATTCTCACTGAAATTTAACCCTTTATGATTTAATCCCTTTCCTCATAATTCTCCTGACATTGGTAGCTCGGGGATCACTAGCATTCTTCTGACTGTCATACCCCACAACTTTTCTCAGTTCTCATTGTTCATTTTTTGTCTTCTACCAACCAACCCCCACCCCAGCATAATCCATGGATTCTCTGCTTGGAAACTGTTCTCTGCCCTTTGGACTCTTGGTTCAGGTATCACCTACGACATAAAGCCTTCCCTTATGTCCGTGAAAGGTTTGTTGTTCTTTCTCTTGTAGGCCCCTGGGTCTTTGTGCACATGTTTACCCAAATAGAAGCTGGAATCCTTCCCTGATGCCACCCACCCATGAGACCTCTTTATGAATTCCTCTCCATTGCTTAAGTCCCAAGTGATCGAGTTCCATAAGTCTCTCTGGTTTCCCTCAACCATTTATGTGTCTGCTTCCTTTAAAGCTTCTTGTTGTTTCTTGTGTATTTACTTATTTACCTAATTATTCTTGTGATAAATAGCTTTAGTTCTTTTCTGTGTGGCCATAGGCAAGCTACCAGACTTCTGAGAGATGTGGATGTTTGATGTGCACATTGGGAAGAAGGATGCCTCCTATCTTTGCAGGAAGTGTTGAACAGTCAGCGATGTGTGTGCAGGCCTGGTAGCACTGGCTGATACACAGTAGGCATGAGGTGAAGGATGCTGACAAAGATGGGAGCAGCTCCTGACCACTGTCAGCTGTGAGTGAGGATGATGTTTTACTATTGAATATAAGCAATTTCACAGGACACCAGCACCACACAAGGTCATTCTTCCACTGTAATGGAACAAAACAAAAACAAAACCACTCTGTAATCATGTCTGAGTGAAGATCAAAACTAAAGTAATGTCTAAACCAGCAAAGTGACTGGACATCCACCTCTTTGGTTAGCATGAGTAACAGCTCTCTCTTCACCACTTACAGCTTTAGTTTTGCCCCATTCTTCCTACCTCCTTGATAAAAATTAGGATACTCACATAGGGTGCATCCTGTCCCTTGCACCGGGTAGTATGGCCAACTTAGTGTGCCTATAGGTGTGTTTCTGGTGGTGTCTGGCTTGTGAGCAGCAGCAGTAACTGTTACTGCAATCAATACATTTGCTGTTCTTTATTGAATTAAATGGCAAATGAATATGCACAATTCAAGTGAAGTCATCCCCTTGACTTTTTTAGCTATATAAACGCCTAAGGTCTAACAAAGCAAAATTTGGAAATGAATGCCACATCCCAAAGTCATTTATAAATATCTGTGTTTTAGTTGATGTTGAGGTCTTTCCTTATTTATGGTCCAGATTATTTTATTTTTCACCACTGTTCAGGTTAATAAAAACCATCCAGGCTAGACACAGTGGCTCATGCCTGTAATCCTCGCATTTTGGGAGGCTGAGGCCAGCAGATCACCTGAGGTCAGGAGTTTGAGACCAGCCTGCCAAACATGGTGAAACCCCATCTCTACTAAAAATACAAAAATTAACCGGCCATTGTGGGACACACCTGTAGTCCTAGCTACTAGGGAGGCTGAGGCAGGAGGATCACTTGAACTCGGGAAGTGGAAGTTACAGTGAGCTGAGATCACTCCACCGCACTCCAGCCTGAGCGACAGAGCAAGACCTTGTCGAAAAAAAAAAACCATCCAGAGATCTTTTCAGGGGACACAGTGATGCTGGTGACTGTTACCGATTTGTGTGACCAAAATAGAACTGCCTAATGGTGTTTATATACATTGATTTTTACTGAAGATACTTATAAAATATTATTTTTTCCAATAAAATAATTTATTACACCCTATTTTAAGAATCTTTGGCCGGGCGCGGTGGCTCACGCCTGTAATACCAGCACTTTGGGAGGCTGAGGCAGGTGGATCACAAGGTCAGGAGTTCAAGACCAGCCTGCCAACATGGTGAAACCCCATCTCTACTAAAAATACAAAAAATTAGCCCAGTGTGGTGGCACGTGCCTGTAATCCCAGCTACTCAGGAGGCTGAGGCAGGAGAATTGCTTGAACCCTGGAGGCAGAGGTTGCAATGAGCCAAGATTGCGCCATTGCATTCCAGCCTGGGCAGCAGACAGAGACTGCATCTCAAAAAAAAAAAAAGAATCTTTGGCCTGATAAGTGGTAAAGTTAAAAAAAATTAATAATATCAAATCTGCTGATGCCCTCTAAGCAGCTTCAAGTCTGATTTAAGCAGCTTCAAAAGGTCGTGATCTCTCTGAAGCCTGGCTGCAGTGCCTCCCAATTGGCTTCCATTGATTGTCATGATGGTCATTGGGAGAGTCACGTTTTGCCATCAGAAGTAAACCGTTTCAAACATACAATTTTGTCTGAAAAAGAGGAATGTTTAAGGGCTCTGGTCCCACCGAATTGCCTAGTTGTTCTATTAATTCTCCATCAGGAGAAAGGTATTCATCCTGGTATCACGGTGGTAAAAGAGGAGTCACAGAGCCCTAAGTAAACAGGACCTATGACCTGTTAGTTTAGACTGGGGGAGAAGACATAAAAGGATGATTTCAACTTGAGCACTTTTCAAGAAAGGAAGATGGGAATGATGTATCACTCATCACAGAAATCAGAGTCCTTCTAAGTTCTACACGTTCATTTACTGACATTGCCTAGGGCTTCTTTGGTAATGATTAACATTTTAATTGAATTAAACATTTAAGTAGGTATCAAAATATTTAAGTTGAATTTCAATAAAACTATTTTCTTTCAAATTGTAATTTATGTTTAAATAAGTGAAAACTTTCATTATAAACCTCACTTAAATACGTTATAGAATTTTGGGGGAAAGGAGAAGGGGGAAAAAAGCCTACTCATAATCCCATCACTCTAGGAATTAGTGAAAATTAGGAAATTATTTTCTGTGTCATGTATTTAAAGTTATATTCCCATCTATTAAATCATTTTGTAATTATAATTCAATACCAGTAAATGCAAGATTTTCCATTTTTATCACAGTTAATTAGCATTTAGAGGACATATTTGCTTTTTTTAGACTTTTCACACTATGAAGTGTGTACGTGTGAGTGTACTTCCAAATCCAACCTTTCCAATATCAATCAAAGTAAAGGACAGAGCATCTGTGATTTACAGAATAAACCCCATTTAAACACACTAAGTAACTTGCTCAAGGCCAACTTCCAAAATAAATAAACATTCCTGACCAACTCTATTCTACCACCCAGATCAGAGTCTCTCACGATGAATGCCAAATGATAAGTTGAATTTTTAAAGATACACATTTCCTCATGAATTTTCAGATGTTGTAGAAGCCAGAGCTTGCCATAATAAGTAGGCATAACTTTTCTCCCTGTTCTATTTGATTTTCTTTGGCATGCTTGTTCATCCCCATGAAGACACATATCCAAAGGAAAAACCAGCAGGGAAAATATTAGACACACAAAAGCGTTCACAGTCTAATAGAGTTTCTGTTGGCGAAAATGAAATAAAGCAATTGTGTTGACTATATTTTTCTCTGAATTCATTGAAGCCCCTAATGTTTAAGCTATTTTATAGCTTCTTGGTAGATCCAACAGTTCTCTGAAGAGACATCGAGGACCTCTAGATTTTAGTGCATGTTCTCATAGCACCGCAGGCTGAAGTCTCTTCTTAGGAAAGTGGGGAACACAGCCCAGGATACCCTCTGCCCCACAATGGGAGTCTTTCAATTTTTTTTTTTTCTGCCAGGAATGTCTTCATCCTCCTCCTCTCACCCACCCCCCATGAAGTCCTTGCTGATGCCTGCTTCATCCCACAGGCAGTTAGGGCACTCTCTGTGCTGGGTCACAAGGATCTCCATTCATTTGCAGGCCTCTAAGCCCCAAGAGGCTGTGAGCACTTTGGGGCCCAGGACTGTGTCTCATTCATCTCTGTACACTCAGCAACACATCATAAATGCCCAGTGTTCAGTACAGACTGACTGAATGAATATATAAATTCCAAAATGATAGTCTTAAGCAATGTGGGTTGCTATCATTGTCACTGGGGTAAATACAAGTGTAAAGTAAATGACAGCATATAAAGTAGGGAGGATTTGTTGACCCCCACCATTCCCATCTTGGGATATGATTAATGCCACATCTGAATTTCACTAATCAATTCATCACATTTCCTATATAGGACATAGGCCGGAGCTTTTCAGTGGGTAGTAAAATCATCATCGATGGCTGAGAATAACCATAGCAACCATAAGATAAGGCTAGATAGGGGTTTGTTGGTTTCCTAATGGAAAAAGTTGTAATGTAGTTGGTGAATTTGGTGGAGAATCTGTAAGAGTCATGTTCAGAAAAACAGAGGAAAGACTAGCTCAATGTCAGAATACAATTTAGACAATTGTGCTTGTTAAAGTCATTAAAATACTTACGATAAAAATGATAAGCCCATTATGCTAAGAACCTACCTCTCAGGTGAGGCAAGATGCAAAGGCGTAAAGCATGGCAAGGTATAAAGCAGGGACTCTGGTGTAAGCACTTTGACTTCCCTCCTGCAGCTGCAGCGACCTTTCATTCATTGACAGGCATCTTCAAGCTGTGAGACTCGGGACATCTTTGCACAAGAAATGAATCTGTGCCCAGGTAATGAGGACATGTTCAAGCTTTAAAAATCCAAATTCCATGTCCCTTTGTTATTTCAAAAAAGAGCTCCTCCCTAAAGACTCAACACTCCAAGAAAAAATTATGTTTTCTTTGTGTTTGACTGAGGCACATTTCCCGAATGACAGTATGTACTTGAGCAGACCTGCTAGTGTTCACTAGAAAATAAATCTCTGCACTACATGTGGTGAGGGGACATATTTCCCTCCATTTCCTCAAGAACGTGTTCCAATCATTCAGAGTAGTCTTACATTGTCTTCTTGAAAAAAATATATATAATGAAGTAAGAAGTAGATTTGCGGAATTCTGTATCCTTATTTCTCTAGTAGCTATTTTTCTTTCTTAGGACTCATGCTAGATACTTAATATCCAGGTTTGTGGCTTTCCAATGATTTGGGAGTTCATATTGGTTTTTCTTTGGGGTGTGTTATGTTTAGGAACATTTTCCTAACGTAACTCTCCATTTAAAACACATTAGGAAGACCCAGGCACAGTGGCTCATGCCTGTAATCCCAGCAGTTTGGGAGGCCAAGGCAGGCAGATCACTTGAGGTCAGGAGTTCACGACAAGCCTGGCTAACAAGATGAAACCCCATCTCTACTAAAAATACAAAAATTAGCTGGGTGTGGTGGCACAAGCCTGTAATCCCAGCTTCTTGGGAGGCTGAGGCAGGAGAATCCCTTGAACCCGGGAGGCAGAACTCGTTGCAGTGAGCCGAGATTGTGCCACTTCACTCCAGCCTGGGCGACAGAGGGAGACTCTGTCTCAAAAACAAACACATTAGGATACTTATCTAATGCTAATTATATTGAATAATTTGATACATCGTATTATTTATTGACACTGAAAATACAAGCTAAGTCCTGTGGAACAGAGCAATTCAAACTTGGGTGTGCACGTGAATTACCCAGGGATCGTATTAAAATGCAGATTCTGACTCAAGACGTCTGAAGCAGTGACTGAGATCCTGTATTTCTAACAAGTTTTGTCTCTCTGATGATGCTGATGCTAGAACCACACATTGAGTAGCAAAGCTATAGAATTGTGTTACTCAAGCTTCATGTGAACATCAAACATCACATGGAGGGCTCCTTACAACACTGTTCCTGGACCCCACACTCAGAGGTTCTGATTGGGTAGATCCGAAGTGGGATCTTGGAGTCTGCACTTTACACAAGCTCTTAAGTGAGTCTGATACTGCACGTGAGTTGATTAGATGTTGAATAGCATACAAGACAACCTGGTTGAGCATAAAATGCCAGCCAGATCTTTATTTACTAGGCCAAGCACAAAGTTTTGCATAACAGGATATTTTAGATAAATAAATGTTAGCATGCTTTGGAACATTCCAAAAAAAGAAACGTTAGCAATTTCTACAAGTCAGTTACAAATTAGAAAGACTGTGGCTGGTGGGAAAGAACATTGGAGGTGGGTTGACTTTTCCCCCAGAAAATAATAAGAGATGTGAAACGTCAAATGCGAACATTTGAGTTCATATGGAGGAAGTGTTTACCACATTTGGCTCCTCATCATATGCAAAGGAGCGGGAGAAATCTTTACACTTTGGCCAGCAGTCAGTGTGATTTGCTGTCAACATCAATAGATAAAAGATTGGGAAGGGTAGTGGGGGGCTAGGTAGGGATAGTTAATGTGTACAAAACCATAGTTAGAAAGAATACGACCTACTATTTGATAGCACAATAGGGTGACTATAGTCAATAATAACTGTATATATTAAAGTAACTTAAAGATTGTAATTGGCTGGTCTGTGACTCAAAGGATAAGTGCTTGAGTGAATGGATACCCCATTCTCTATGATGTGCTTATTTCCCATTGCATGCCCATATCAAAACATCTCATGTACCCCATAAATATATACACCAATTATGTACCCACAAAAAATTTTTTAAAAAAGAAAAAAAACAGTTAATGAGAATTAAAAGAAATTCAAGACTTGAGGAGGGTAAAGTCCTATAGTGCAAACCCAGAAGTGCTTGAAAGATTCAAGTTAGCTAAGAGAGCCAAAGAGGACTAAGGATGAAATAAAAATCCTAGAATTGTTTCATAATAATAAGGGCAGGGACAACCTTGGTGAGTAAGCTACCTGTGAAGCCACATTCCAGGCTTTCAATTTGAATCAGTAATGCAATGATGAGAAGGAATAATGCCTGCTTAAAACAAGCAGGGCTTTTTTTTTTTTTACCTGTTATTTATGGGGCCAGAAGAGATAGCATTAAGTTGCAGTTCATGAACAGATTCCCTGGCTGTGAACGCCTGATGAGACAAGAAACACCAGCTTTTCTCAGAGGAAACAATTACATGTGGGGTTTTTAGGAGGAGACAAGTGTCCTGGCAAAAGGATATAGTCCAGACCCCAATCTTCTATGTATAGCCCAGCTCACACAGGCCTCTAAGGCAAGGATAAAGAAAAGAACTGAAGACTTCACCAGATTAGCTACAATAGATAAGTTACAATTAGTTACAATAGATAAGTTACTGTAGTAAGAGATGCCCACTCTTCACCATATACCTGAAGGTTTTGCCATTTTCAGAAACATCTTGCTGAAGTCCAGCATCCAGTAGTGCACAAGTTTACCTGACGGCTTTGTCCATCTCCCAGGGAGGAAGGCTAAGTCCTCATCCAGTGACTGCCTGGAGATGATGGATAAATACCCCAGCTCCCTTGCTCCTCTGATGGATACATTGAGACATGGCGAAGTATACTGGCTCCTAGAATTCCCCAGTGGGGCTAAGCTCCAGTTGCTCAAATTGCAAACCTTATTAACTACTTTCCCTTCTCTGTCTCACTTCCCTCCCCTCCTACTGTTATTTCTTGAAATTGCCTTCCAAATAAATAACTTGCACTCAAATTCTTGTCTCAGGTTCTGCTTCTAGAGGAACCCAAACTAAAACATGTGGGTTTTGGTAGCATATTAGAAAGAAGAATTAGAATATCTGAGGACAGAATAGGCCACTATTCTGAGATCGGGTTCCCATAAACACCACTGTTGGCTGGATGTGGTGGCTCACGCCCGTAATCCCAGCACTTTGGGAGGCTGAGTCAGGCAGATGAGGAATTCAGCACCGGGAGTTCAAGACCAGCCTGGACAACATGGCGAAACCCTGTTTCTACTAAAAAGAAAAAAGAAAAAAAAATAGTTGGGCTTGGTGGCACATTCCTGTAATCCCTGCTACTCCAGGTGCCGAGGCATGAGAATTGCTTGAACTCGGGATGAGGATGTTGCAGTGAGCTGAGATCACGTCACTGCACTCCAGCCTAGGCAAAAGAGGGAGATACTGTCTCAAACAAAAACAAAACAAAAAACGCAAAAACAAAAAAAACTAAACAGCACTGTCAAAGCGCTGAGTGGAAGAAGAGCCACAAGCAACGTTGCCAGAAATGCTGTCAGAAAGAATTCCATGACATTGATTTGACATTAGTTTCAGAGGCAGATACAAAACAGACTAAGATGCCTTAGTTGATACGTGTATACATGCCTGTGTATGAGTCAGGACACGTACTTAACATCTATATGAGACAAATGGAACCATTTGCATTGCCTGAGCACACATACAGAAAGCTTGTTCTGCTCATCATGCTGGGGACTAATTTCCTAACATTTGAGTTTCTCTAACATATAGCAATATTCATTTTCCTTATTTCCTACAGTGACAATATATTTACACATACTTATACTCTATTATATACTAGACAGTGTTCTTTATATTATAATGACATAAGGTTTTGGCTTAGTCATATATAACATTAATTATAAATGTACATGTAAGTTTTTCTCCTTTTTTAAAGAATTACTTTCCTTTTCTCTAGAATTACTATAAGGACATAGAACTCCTTGTTAAATATTATAATTTAAAGCACACAAAGAACAATTCTACAATGGAAGCAGAGCATGTTGGGACAGACTTGTACTTTGGAGTCAGGTACTGCCTTAATTATATGACCTACAAAAGTCTCTGATTCCCATTTCCTTGTATGTAAAATATCAATAAATAACATTTCCATCATTTAGATTTACATAAGAAATATCTAGATGCATCTAAAATGTCTAGAACATTTCCTAGCATAGACAGGCAATAAATCAATAGATGTATATGTGTTTATAACAGGAATTACTATTATATATCAGACATTATGCATAAAATATTATTACAAATCACAGTATTACAGGAGATGACTTTTAGATAGCTTAAGTTTTGTTTGTTTACTTTGTGTGCATTTTACCTTGTGTGAATTGACTGATACATTAAAGAAAACACTAGAAATCCATATCAATGTTTCCTTCATTTGTTTCAAATCCATTTACTCAATATTCTACACAATGCTCATTTTCAAAGGTTTCAAAACCACTTCATTACTGCCTCAAGTAAGAAAGAATGGTATTTTGCTGTGTGGAGAAAAGTTGTTTTTTATTTGTTTGTTTTTCATTTTGATTATGGTACCAATGTTTGAAAAACACTGACTTCCTCTGAGAGTGAATTCCTGGCACTCCACGATGCTGCTGCCTTTCTGAGGATGGATGAAATGAACAGCAGTGCTGTAATGAACTCTTTGGGTAAATGTCCCAGTAATGTCTCTGACACCACAAGATGCTGATCTGGCTAAATCCACAAAGTAGGAACTTGTAAAGTAATCACAACCCACCCACACTTAAGGGTGATTTTCATGTATTCTCTCAAGTCAGTGACTGATGGTAAAATACAAAACCCTTGAGTATGGGGCAAAATAGACTGGCAAGCACCCGTTAATGACAAATATTTACATAGTATTGGGTTTCAGCAGACATTAATACTTTTTAAAAAATAAAATATTTTCAACCAGTCTAGAAAACAAAAGAGGGGAATAGATCCCTTCTGTGTTTGCATTATAATAACAATGGCATCCTCAAAAATAACGGCAATCACTTTACATTTATTGAGCACAGCCTATATACTAGGAAGTAAAATAAGTATTCTATATCATCTTATTTCTTATGACAACATAACCACCCTTATTTAAACCACTATTAAATCATGTTGACTGACAATATGCAATTAATATTTTGTCCATGTTCAATGGTTTTTAAAACAACATTAATTTTCATTTCTTCTTTGCTGATTATTTCATGAGCATTAATTCTGAAGTTTCAGAGGGCAATTGCTTTTTTGGAGTACTGTAATATTGATCTTACCATATTTTATCACAAAGCCTGATTATAAACATTTTATAAATACCAAGCTATTACTTAGTACATGATTTAAAATATATAAAGCACTAATTTATCTTGCACTCAAAAATGACAAAATAATGAGAGAAAATCAATTATTTTAGCCCTAAAGCAAGAGAGACTATTGGTTGCAAAAGATTTACAAAATCAGTCAATCAGTTTTATGAATAGCTGCCAAATTATATAATGAGATTTGAGAACTGAGAATGAGCTTCTCTCAAAATATCAGTTCCAGTCCTCACCATAATGTTTGACATTAACATATAAATATTCATTGCTGTGTGTCCTAATGGATTTTCAAATTTGTGATATCACTTATCGGACTATAAATGTCATGTGGTAGGTGTATCAATTTTCTCAGGCATGGAGTGTACCAAATTGCCAAAAATTTGTGGGTAAAAACAACACAAACTTATTATCTTACAGTTCTGTGGTCCAAAAATCTGACACAGGTTTCACTGGGCTGAAATCAAGATGTCAGCAGGATGCATGCTTTTTTTGGAGGCTTTATGAGACAATTCATTTCCTTGTCCTTTCCAGCTTGCAGAGGTTGCACAAATTCCTTGGCTTATGGCTCCCTTCCTCTATCTTCAAAGCCAACAAAAGCAAGTTGAGTCATTCACAGATTGCATAACTCTATTCTCCTTCCACAGCCTCCTCTCCCTCTGAATCTCCTTTTAGGCCTCCTTTGACTTTTAAGGCCCTTGGTGATTACACTGGGCCCACCTGTGTAATCCAGGGTAATCTTACTATGATCATCTGATTAACAACCTAAAATCCATCTACAATCCCAATATGCCTTTTTTATAGAGATATCATACCTATAGGTCCCAACGTTAAGGTAGTGAACATCTTTGGAAGGCCATTCTACTCACCATGGTGGGATATATATTACTGATGACATGAATTCACTTATTGTGCCTAAGTATCTCCTGAGTACCTACTATGTTTCTAGCACCAGGTTAGGCTCTGGAAAATTAACGTAAATAAGACAGTAATCAGCTGTACTTATCACACAGCTCTCACTGCTCTAAATAAATCTGGGAAAGTCTGGAGTAAGCATAAAGGCAATTCAACAAAATGCATGATTCTTATCTTTGGAAGCTTGCATTTTAAATTTTGGTCTTATTAACCCCAAACTGAGAGCAAGCAAATCAAATTTTTTTAAAAAATGTGTACCACTGAGAAGGCAAAGGGCAGTTTCCAATTTTAAAAAATTGCTCATTTTACTATTTTGCCCGAGGCTAGTTTTTATAAACAGATTATAAAAGACGTGGCAAGAATATAATAGAGCTATACTATACCCATATGGTATTTTTTAGGCAAATAGTAAATTACAGTTCTTTCTCATTATTCATAGATACTGTATTGTGAATTTGCCTACTAGCTAAGATTTATTTTTAACCCCAAATCAAAGCTTTATGTGCTTCAGTGGTCATTTGTGAATGTGCCCACAGCAGTGAAGACTCTGGGCTGCCCAACGTACCTGCTTCCAACTGAGTTCAAACAAGGTGGCACTCTGCCTTCCTGTTTCAGCTACAATACTGTAAACAAGTGTTTTTTTTCATTATCTATTCATTTTTCACATTTTTGTGCATTTTTTGGTGATTTCCCTGTTTAAAATGGGCCCCAAACGTAGAGCTGAAATACTGCCTTATGTTCCTAAGTACAAGAAAGCTGCCATGCACCTTACGGAGAAAATATGTGTTAGGGAAGCTTCATTCAGTCATGAGTTATAGTGCTGTTGGCCATGAGCTCAATATTAATAAATCAGCACTACAGACTATATAAGGTGTCTTTAAACAGAAACATACGTAAAACAAGGTTACGTATTGATGGGTGGACAAAAATATTGCAGTCAGAGGCTCACGGGACTCTAATTGTGTATTTACCCACTACTCTCTAATTCAGTGTTCACAGGAACTTTATAGAACATAATTTCCACGCATAATGAGAATCAACTCACTCTCTCTACACACACACACACACACACACACACACACTTCTAATTAAAGTGTTAATTTTTGTATAAATATGAGAAAAGACTGAAAGGAAACATTGCTATATATAAATAATTTTTGCATGAAGAAAAATTACAGTTGTTTCTATTTTTATATTTTCTCTGTATTTTTCAGGTTTGAATTTATAATCAAAATTGCTAAAATAAAAAAACAAGGTATTTTTATCCTATCTTAAAAACAATCTCTAGTCCCTCCTAAGGCAGTCCCTGTGAGATGACATAGCATAGCAATGGTTCAGTATTTGATAATTCATTGTCCATGGAAACTTTATAAAACATAACTGTCAGGGAAAGTGAGAATCAGCTGTACTTATCACATAGCTCTTGCTGCTCTAAATAAATCTGGGAAAAATCTGGAGTAAGCATCAAGGCAAATCAACAAAATGCGTTATATTGTTTAAAAAAAGGATCTTTAAATATTTATAATTATGCTCCTGTCATGTAAACTGTTTCATACTTTATAAGTTGCACCTGTCAGGTGTCAGAATAATTCATATGTATATCTTCACTATATTTATACCTTAGGCTATTTTCCTTCAAAAAATGTTGCAACCGGTTGAATGCTGACTGTAAATTAACTCATTGATTTTTTAAAAAATTTAAATACTTCACATTTGGCTCATGTATTGAAAAATATGATTTCCCTGTTGTTCTTACTTTCTAATTTTACCTTATATTAGGTATTTTGGGGAAATAAAACAACAGAGCTATAAATATGGATAATTAACTGTAGTAAAATAAAAGCTTATTTGAAAATGTGTTATATATGCTTGTAAAATTAATTCTTAAAGCCTGGCTATATGACAACTGGTGATTTCGAGGTCATGATGAAGCATGACTAATAACAAGGCCACTTCCAATCGCCTACCATGACTGTTCCTGAGAGAGGAGCGCGGAATCTCCTAAGGTAGGTACCAAGGAGATTAATCAACTCATCAGTGCCTCTCCATCCCACACTCTCCAAGTGCGGGAGAATGAAAAGCAAGTCAGTCACAACCAAAGCTACATGGCACTTTATCAGAGCTGGCTGAATCCTCGCTTGGGTGTGGGTGGCCTCCTTTCATCCCTTACTGAGGCAACCAACTTCGCATTCTTCTTGATCCTTTATTCAGCTTGGTCCTCATGGTGCTCATTACTGCCAGCCTTAACTTATTACAAGTAAAGTTGTATTGTATAAGACTGGGAACTTGGCTGGGCGCGGTGGCTCAAGCCTGTAATCCCAGCACTTTGGGAGGCCGAGGTGGGTGGATCACAAGGTCAGGATTTCAAGACCAACCTGACCAACATAGTGAAACCTCATCTCCACCAGAAATACAAAAATTAGCCAGGCATGGTGGTGCATGCCTGTAATCCCAGCTACTCAGGAGGCTGAGGCAGGAGAATCACTTGAACCTGGGAGGCGGAGGTTGCAGCGAGCCAAGATAGTGCCACTGCACTCCAGCCTGGGCAACAGGGCGAGACTCCATCTCAAAAAAATAAATAAATAAATAACAAAAAACAAAACAAACAAACAAAAACAAAAAACAAAACAAAAAACTGAGAACTTTACTAAAAATTTAAAGAGGAGAAAACATTTATCTGTCATTAACATTTTTATTATGGACATTTTCAAACATAGAACCAAGTAGAGAGAACAGAATTTAAAACTCACACACATCTACCTTCAGAGACGAACTCAGGACCAATTTTATTTCGCCTACACCCATGTCCCCTCCAAGTTTATCATCTTTACAACTCGATTATTTTAAATTCAGTCCCAGACATCATATTATTTCATGCGTAAATATCTCAAAGTGTATCTTTAAAGAATGAGAATTCCTTATAAAACAAAAACACAATTGTCACATCTAAAATTTCACAATAGTTCTGTATTAT
This sequence comes from Homo sapiens, assembly GCF_000001405.40. Classification (NCBI taxonomy): domain Eukaryota; kingdom Metazoa; phylum Chordata; class Mammalia; order Primates; family Hominidae; genus Homo; species Homo sapiens. Next base: position 76,383,655 of record NC_000016.10, on the reverse strand, counting down.
CAGCATCCTGTGTGGACTGCTTATCTCTTAAAAGTATATGTGCATATAAGTGTATGCAATATTGTTTAAATCGGGATATCAAAATTTTACATGTGTTGCATTCGATTGCTGTTTCTCTTAAATCTCTATTTATGGATCACTCTTCCTTTTTCTTTCAATCAACTATTGAAAAAAAAATGGCCCCATTTGTTCTATAATGTTTCCCACCTTGCTCATTGTTCCCCTCTGTTGTTACATGATACGTTTTTTTTTTTTTTTTTCTGTTCCTGTATTTATTATAAACTGGTAGTTAGAACTTTGGCAAGAATCTTTCGAAGCACACATTGTCTACTTCCAGGTACCTCCTACCTTGTTGTCTCTGTTTCAATGTGAGCCATCACTGATGTTCTCTAGGTACATTATTTCATTGGAGTTTACAAAATGGAGTTATTCTAACATTCTTAAATTTTGTATGCTGACCTGGAGTGCTTCCAAAATGGGAAAGTTTCTTTCATTAAATATTTGGTTACCCTGAGATGCAGTTTAGTAATTAAAAAAAAAAAAGTGGGATAAATGCTTGATTTTTCCTTTTACAAACCAATGTTCAGACTAATGAGTTGATTCTCTGGCATCTTCCCATAAAGATGGATAAGAAACGTTTTGTTCTATAAGGCATTCATTAATGTTTAACTTGATGTTTCAGTCCATTTCTGGTATTATTGATGTTTCAATTACTTCATTTGGCCAGTGAAATTCTTTTCAAATTAACCACTGAGTCCTTTTGACATCACTCCAGTAGTCTTTGACAACATACTTGTTTTCTGGTATAAAGTAATCCCAATTTATTTGTATATTTGATGGCTCAGTTTGGATCCAGTCTTTTACTGCAAGGAATTCTAGATCCTTTTAGAGGAAAGTGGTATTTAGTGCCCTCAGTCTAGGTGCTAGGAGATATCATTTTTCCTTGATAATTTCTTGATAAACATAGTCATGGTTTTTTGATAAACCAAACTAGGAAATAGTTCTATTTTTCTTAAGAGAAAATATATTCAGAGTTCATATTGATGTATCTAATTCAAACACAGGGTTATATGATATCTACTTAATCTTTCTGATTTTAGATTTGCTTCTTTTTTCTCTTAAATTGAAAATTATTATTTCCAATAATATCAATATAATCACATAACTGCTTTATCAGGATAAGTTTCTGAGTCACAGCACAATATTTTAAGTAAAAAAATGGCTGTCATTAGCAAGATGTGATCATTGAAAGTAGCTTAAGATTTTTTTGGCAATGGGATCTAAAACAGTAAAATACACAGATTACTGTTTTAAAGTCACTTTAAATAATTCCTTTCTATGTATTTATGCCTTCAACTTAATAGTTGAAATAAACAACAAATAGTTTATTTGTTCCATTTTACTTTTGCTTTTTAGAAATGGCTTTATATTTAATTTTGTATACAATTATTAAATTGTGTATATTACTCTACAGTAAAATCTGAAAAACAAGGCATGTTAAAAAAAAGTCTAGCTTCTGTCTCTGTTCTATCCCTCCCCTATAGTTTATCATAAAGGTAACTTTCTCTTTTTTTTTTTTTTTTTTTTTTTTTTTTGAGACGGAGTCTCGCTCTGTCCCCCAGGCTAGAGCGCAGTGGCGCGATCTCAGCTCACTGCAAGCTCCGCCTCCTGGGTTCACCTGCCATTCTCCTGCCTCAGCCTCCCGAGTAGCTGGGACTACAGGCACCCACCACCACGCCCAGCTAATTTTTGTATTTTTAGTAGAGACAGGGTTTCACCGTGTTAGCCAGGATGGTCTCGATCTCCTGATCTCGTGATCCATCCACCTTGGCCTCCCAAAGTCCTGGGATTACAGGCGTGAGCCACCGCACCCGGCAGGTAACTTTCTTTTAAAAAATTATTATCCTCCCATTTATTTAAAAAGCATAAGAAAATATGTAAATATATGTGCATATCTCCGTTCCCTTTATTTAAGTAAATAACATACCCTACACAGTTTCTTCACTTTGTCTTTGTGAAGGTGATTAAACAAATGTGAGGGGTAGAGGTAAACCACATGTTAATTCTCTTAAATAGATTTTACCCTTGAAGGGTTATCTAGATGAAATTGACGATCACCTGAAGGAAGTAGAAGCTGAGTCCTAGACATCCTACAGTAAATTTCAGAGGCCTTTCCAACTTAACTCCTCAGGTATTCCTGGTCATCTGCATCCTCTTTCCACTAGCACAGTATCAGAATTATCATTGTGACTTCTCCTAGATAGAGCCATGTGTCTCTCAGAGTCTCTTCTGGGAAAACACTGGGGTGGGAGGGGGCACTGGGAGGCTACTGTGTGATGGTTCAATGTCAGGTTTCGGGACTCACTCCAAAGACATGTCAACAATCTCTGTGTTAATGTCTCCAAGAGCTGCAAGAGCTGCTGAGGTTTGGAGAATGCCAACTCACACACACACACAGAAAGATTCTCATCTTTAAAGTTACTAGATTCTAAAATTCAGTCCATCTGATTCAATCTATCTAGAGGAAGATAGTGTGAAAGTATTAACAACTTCCTAAAAAAGTTTTATGCAAAAGTAATTGTGTGTAACTGGTAATGGGAAATAGAGGAAAGAGTTTCAAAGGTATGGAGAAAAAACTTGGGAAAGTGCAGAGCCTGGCGACAAAGGAGAATACGAAAGACTAAGATCCAGGGAAGTTCAATAATCCTAAGATGATAGACAACTAACTTAAAAGAAAGTAAATGAGTTCATGATAGGTCATAATTTTTTCTTGGCATTCTAAGGTACACATATTGATGCTTGTGGTGTGGAAGAGGCATCCTATATATATGACTTCCTGAGCACGCAGTGGTTCCACCCTCGGTAACTGCTGACATAATCACAACCTTTAAATATTTATGGATGGTTTAAGTACGTGGTGTTCTGTTCCAAGCACCGTCTAATGGTAAGAACACAGCCCTTCAGCTATATAAA